>NC_000009.12:118220552-118845552 GCF_000001405.40 Homo sapiens | reverse complement strand
AACTCAGGAATAGAAAACCAAACATCATATTTTCTCACTCGTAACTGGGAGCTAAGCTATGAGGATGCAAAGTCATAAGGCTGATACAATAAACTTTGGGGACTCGAGGGAAAGGGTGGGAGGGGTGTGAGGGATAAAAAACTACACATTGGGTACAGTGGACACTGCTCTGGTGATGGATACACCAAAAATCTCAGAAATTACCAGTAAAGAACATATTCATGTAACCAAACATCACCTGTTCCCCCAAAACATACTGAAATAAAAACAACAACAACAAGAAAGGCTCAAACAGGGCATAAAAAAAATTAAATATACCTGAGTTCATATCCCACTTATAACACTTAACCTTTCTAAATACCAGTTTATTTTTCCTTAAGATGAAAATAATGATATCTAATATAATTGAGATACTGTGAAGATTTAAGATAATACACGTATTTAAAATATGTATAACAATAATATATATAACAATAACTATAAGATGTTCAAGGGATTGGAGTGGTAGATGTTATCTGTGTAATCTATCTACAATGATGAAAAATTCAATTATGTTATAATGGAGAGACATGCTGGCCTTAAAATTAAGTGGAGAAATGCTATGATGATAAATATTAATGACCAAAAGAATATGAGGAATCCATTCATTCATTCATACATTCAACAAACATTCTTTATTTGGTTCTTTTATCTATTTTGCACTAGTCACTTTTAGGGATATGTGAAAAAAAATCACATATTTGACCCAAGTAATTCACAATCTTAAAAGCACAACATTTGAAATAAGGTTGAAAGAAGTGGGAGGTAAGCCTAGATACAAAAAGACTCAGAGGGAACAGTGTGTCTGGCTTCATATAATTCAGAGAAAGACAGTGCCATATTCTGAATGTCCCACAGGCAGAGAAGCGTATTCTAATTCAGAAAATTTTTTAAAGTTAGAGCTTAAAGTATATATATATGTAAAAAAAAAAAGTTAGAGCTGCCCAAAGATGACATAGCAATAATACTAGTATATGCCTAGAATTTACTGCATGCTGTGGTCTTTCCAAGGTAAGAGGTTGGCCCTATCTTATTTGATCTTAAAAATAATCGTATGAGATATATATTATTTTTTCTACAGGTCAGTAAGAAATCTGAAACCCAAGGATGATATGTAGCTTACTCAATGTCACAGTTAACACTTACGGAGCCAGTATTCATAATTTTCTTAAACCAAAGATCAGAATTTTATTTTCCAGTGTATACATTTTCATTTCAAAAAATGAACAATTTGGCCAGGCGCAGTGGCTCATGCCTGTAATCCCAGCACTTTGGGAGGCCAAGGCAGGTGGATCACAAGGTCAGGAGTTTGAGACCAGCCTGACCAACATGGTGAAACTCCATCTCTACTAAAAATACAAAATTAGCCAGACATGGTGGGGCACGCCTGTAATCCCAGTTACTCGGGAGGCTGAGGTGGGAGAATTGCTTGAACCCAGGAGGCCAAGTTTGCAGCATGCCGAGATCGCACCACTGCACTCCAGCCTGGGCAACAGAGTGAGACTCCGTCTCAAAAAAAAAAAAAAAAAAAAAAAAGATTTCTTCCAAAATGAAAATTTTAAGATGGTATGCCTAAAATGCATGGCTTACTTACATTTAATGCTTCATGAACTTAGGAAAGTAACTTTATCTCCTTGAGACTTATCATTCATCTATAAAATGGGGAATAATATTGCCTCTAGGATTTCTTTAATGCATGGAACAATGACTATTAATTGCTCTTGTGTACTCATGCTGTGCTGAAAGAAGCCCTGATAAAACATGAATCATGAATATAATGTGTTTAACATACAATAGCACTGAGTAAATGTTTGTTAGTATTTGTCACTTTTTTATTACTAGGGAATTTACCTCATAATAATATGAAAGTATAAGCTCAATCTATTGAAATGTGTAGAAAATACTGACAGAAAGGAACCCAACTTCATGTTTCCATGAGCTCATAAATATGAAATGATTGGGTCTGAATATATACCATCACTGGGTAAACATCTTACTGGAATTATTAATCATTCCATGGTTCGAATCAGTATCCAAACTCAAGCAAAAGATTAACATGCTTGATGTTATCTGAAAAGTATAAATTAAACAACTATTTACCCATACCTAGTAATCATTTGATTTATTCTTAAGAAAGCACCACTGCATTTAATTTGAAAAATGTGGTCTTTTCAACAACTAGAATTTGAATAATTAGACATCTATAGGGAAAAGATAGACCTTGACCTCTGCCTCATATCATGTACAAAAATTGGTTTGAGATACATTATGGGCCTAAATGTGAAAGACTGGGTCTTCTAGAAAATGTAGGATAGGTTAAAATAAATGCTCTATAGGTGGAGTTGTCTAAAATAGGACTCAAAAAGCACTAACAATAAAATAAAATAAAACTTTAAGTGAAAAAAACTTCTGTTTGTCAAATAACAGTATTAACAAAGTAAAATCACAAGTCACAGACTGGAAGTAACTATTTGAAATACCTATATCTGAGAAGGATTTATATTTAGGTTATATAACAAACTTCTATAAATAAAAAATCATACTAAAAACTCAATTTAAAAATAAACAAATGACTCAAATAGACACTACACACAAAAAAGATATGTGAACAGCCAATAGATGTTAAAAGGCATTTAACGGCATTGACTATCAGAGAAAAGCAAATTAAACCACAAGGCGATATCTCTTTGCAATCAGAAAGATACGTCTGAACAGGCATCATGATTAATGTGAAAAGGACAGACAACATGAAGTGTGGGCTAGGATGAGGAGTAACTGGAACTCTCTTACACTGCTGGTAGAATTATAAGATCGTAAAACCAGCTTTGGAAAATGAGATGTCAGTTTCCACTAAAGCTAAAAGCAAATGCCTAATTTATAGCTGAATACTTCCACTCCTCAGTATATACCAGATAGAAAGGAGTTCAGGTGTCCACACAACACTGTGTAAACAATCTTTGCAGATTTCTTCATAATAGACACAGTCTATAAACAAAACCAATCTCCTTTTACAGCACAATAGATGAAGTATGGTATACTTATTTAATGAAATGCTGCAGAGCAATAAAAATAACAATTTATTGATAATAAACATAAGACCCAAAAATATGTGAGTGAAAGAAGACAGACAAAAGAACAACACATATGATTTCATTTATCAAATTCAAGGACAAAACTAATTTATGATGCTAGAAATCAAAATAGTGGTTACCTTTTGTGGTAGGCAGAATAATAATCCCCCAAATATATTTCATGTCCTAATCCCAGAGCATTTGCATATGTTAGATTACATGGCAAGGGGGAATGAAGGTTGGCGATGGAATTGAAGTCACTAATCAAGTGACCTTTAAATAGAGAGAGTGTGCTGGATTATCTAGGCAGTCCCCGTGTAATCACAAGGGTCCTTAAAAGTGAAAGAGGGAGGCAGAAGCAGGGTCAGCGGGAGATATGACTATAAAAGCAACTTCAGAGAGGTGCAATGTTCCTGGCTCTGAAGATGGAACAAGGAGGTCATGACCTAAGGAACATGGCAGACTCTTAAATCTGAAAAACACAGGGTAACAGAGTCTCCCCTAAAATCTCCAGAAAGGAATCAAGTTCTACCAATACTTTGATCTTAGCCTTATGAGACTAGTGTTGAACTTCTGACTCTAAGATAATAAATTTGTACTGTTTACATCACTAAGTTTGAGGCAATTTGTTACAGCAACAATAGAATACAAAATACGCTAGAAAGGGTCATAAAAGATCCTCATGGGGATCTAGAACTAGAAATACCATTTGACCCAGCGATCTCATTATTGCGTATATACCTAAAGAATTATAAATCATTCTACTATAGAGACATATGCACACATGTTTTTTGCAGCACTATTCACAATTTTTCTTGTCTTCCACAGTTGCTTATCCCAAGAGCATTTCCTAATTTAACCTCACCCATGCTAATCTGCATCTTAGAGTCTGCTTGCTGGGGAACCCCATCTGTAATTGATGACCTCCTGGTTCTCTTTCATTTATTACACTTCATATCCCATGCATACATATTTAATCTTAATGTAAAATCTCCAACAGCAAGAACTTGTTAGGCTGAGTGTGTATGCATAAACAACTATTACAAATAATCCTTCTCATCCTATAGCCTTTTGCAAATAAAAGCCATAATTTTAATACAAGTAAATGTTTGCTGTGATTTTTAGTGAAATGCAACCTAGAAATACTAAATGACCACACTTCACCACTGGCATATTAATAGTAATTTTTCCTTGTTAAGTATGTTGCTGCTATTAATTCACTGCAAGTGAATAGAGGATATAATTCTCCATATTTAACAAATGGGGACATTGAGCCTCAAATACTTTTCATGGCTCCTATAAGTCAATAACTAAAGAAGCTAGAACTAGTATTAATTTGTTCCTATTTTAACTTCACAGTTTTTTCCACCATATGGTAGACAAATAGGTTCAAAACTATTTAGGTAAATTCTTAAATGATTGTATCATAATGATTAATTATTTTCAACTTGACTTCAAGAAGGACAACCATGTTCTGCTTACATAAGATTCTATTCATCTTAAGATGCAAGACACTTTGGATTCAGTTAAGTAATTTGGAGTTGGAAGGAACTGCAAAAGCTATTTATTACAGAGAATGCATATAAGCTCTTTTTCACATGCCAACTGTATTCTATTGGTAAGTGCTTGCTGCAGCATCCTGTGGAGAAGAATATTAATGCTACACCTGGCTAGGTGAAAAAAAAAAGTGTGGTGATTGATTAGTGATGTCTGCCATGAGCACAGGAATCAGCATTAATGGCTCCAATGCCACGTGTTTTTAATCTTGTTCCTAGTGAAATCTGTTGGTCTATTAATAGGAAAATTTAGTCACAGACAGAGTAGACATTGCAGGAAGAGTATATATATACATATATATATGTGTGTGTATATATATGTGTATATATGTATATATGTATGTATATATGTATATATATAAAAACATAAACACACATATATATAAAATATACAATTATATATAATATACAACAGCATATGTATAATATACAATATATTATGTACTATATTATATAACATGTATAATAATTAAATTATATATAATATACATTATATATTATATTGTGTGTAGTATACAATGCATATATATTTATTATGTATTAGTATATACTATATATTTCTATATATCTCTAACATACATGTGCGCATGCACACACACACACACATCCCCCATAGGTAGGGTTGAAACTAGAGTTTAAGTTGCATGACTCAGAGAACAATGCCATTTCTTTATTGCCTGTATTGTTCAATATAATATCCACTACCCACATGAAGCTATTTAAATTTAACTTACTTAAAATTAAATTTATAAATTCTTGAATCTTTCAGGCTAGATGCAGTAAGAGATAGCACAAAGAATATATTCATCATCAGTGAAAATCCTGTTGGACAGAGCTGCAATACCAATGGGTCTCTGCAGTTATGCTTATATTTATATTTTCCCACAACTTAGTGAACACTCAACAAAAATTAATTGAGAGTGATAACTGAAGTTAAGAGAAATCTAAAAGTTCTTTAGCTTATTCATAGACTGCATCAAAGTTATATATCCCCGGGACAATTTCTGTCCAAGGTTAACTTTTTGTGTTTTCAAAGTACGTAGAGTAAGTGCTAGTTTTTCAACTTATTGTTTACCATATGCCTTGTAATACATCCAGTGTCTTTCTACTGTAAACTCATAAGAGTCAGAGTGAAACTTTCATGGACATTTCTCCACATTGTAAGGAAAATGCCAGTCAGTACGCTATTGGAAGGAAAATGCCAGTCACACACATACACATGCATGCACACATTTATAAAGTTGTTTTACTTATTAATTTTAATATTGATCATAACCTTATATAGATGAATATATATGAGCCATTTCTATGAACATAAGGGCATATACATAGGAATTTCTAAGTTTAAATCTGCAGTGTAAAACAAATTTCCCTTTCTAAATGTTATCATTTAACGAGTAAGCACTGTTAGCTCCAATTACACAATTAATCCTCATAATGACCCAGAGTGATAGTATTGTTTTTCCTTTGTGGATAAGAAAATTGAAATTTAAAAAGTAATGTTTATAAAGACACAAAAGTGGTAAATGTCATGGAATATGACCTCATAGATAGCTCTATGCCTGTCTTCAAAGCTCATGGTATAAGTTGTCATTCTGTCCTGTCTGACAGGATAACCCATGCGCAAATTGACCAATTATTGATCTTTAAATAATTTTGGAGAAAACTATTGCCAAAGTAAGTAACAAACAAAGAGAAGCTCTCTAAAAGAAATGTGCTTAAGAATAACATGTTGCAGTGGGAATACACATGTGATAGTAAACTATATGCATTTCCAGGTAGGTAATGGAAGAGTATGATTTTCAAATTAAAAAATAAGGATTACATAATTGTTTTGAAATAATTATTCTTGGCCACCAAGATCAATAACAAGGGTGACACTAATACAAAATTGGACAGACAGTTGCTGGGCATATGTCCTTGAAGAAGATACTCTGTGTAAGGTTGCAATGGCCTTTGTGCAAGGTTTTGTGGTCTTTGTTGATGTTATCAGGCATACAAACATGATAACCCTCTCTTCATGGCCTTCCCTGGTTCTATTTGTTATTTTCTTAGCATCAGTGACTCTGTTTTGATTGACAACTTCCTCACGATTTTTTGAGAGTCACTGCTGAAAATACTGAATATGGATTTTGGATGCATTATTTGAACCATGTAAGGGGCTCAGCTTCTAATGTAGCCTTTAAGTGTGCCCATATTTTCACCAAAGGCTATGTGATGAATTAATTATTTATCAGTGGACCCACTCAGATTATGAGATAAAGAACACTGGGCATAGCGTCCTAGGATCTGATTTAAACCCTGTTTTTGTTTTTGTTTTTAACTGGCCAAACATTATTAAATAAATCACTTCCTTTCCCTAAACCTCAATTATCTTTATACAAACAAGATGGATTCCTGTGAGGGTTGAGAATGTATACAAAAGTACCTAACAGGCTTTCTAGCACAGCACTGGTACTTAGTATATGTGCACTCATTTGCTGTAGGACAGACAATCTTTTGTTCTGGAACCAACTTCAGAGCTTATCTGACTCTAAATATCATTGAACTGTGGTTTCTTCATCTGCAGTATGGTAATTCCTAAGCTACCTCAGAGGGTTTTTGTGAGGATTAAGTGAAATAATGTAAATGAAACCTGCAAATAACATAGAATTAAAGGGAGGTGATAACAGCTAATTTTACAAAGGCTTAGTATGTTCCAGGCCCTATATTAATCATCTTAGAGGCATTATCTTATTAAATCATTCCAATGATCCTATCAAATAGGCACTATTATTATCTCCAATATTTAGATGATAAAACTGAGTTCTACAACTTGAATACAGTAAAGACAAGATTCAAAACCAGACTAAGTGCATAGCCAGCACTCTTAACTATTATATAACACAGCCTCCATTGCATAGGGTGATATGCATGAAGGTATGTAGTAAAGAGGATCTTCAATTTGCTGTTGAACATTTTTAAATATTCTCCAGAGACAATGGGTGAGGCTTCTTCAAGCCAGGCTCCACCTTCCATTCCACTCTCGGAACACAAAGGCTCGTTTCCTCATCCATCATTTCCTTTTTAATAACACCCTCCCATTCATCTATCCTTCCTTCTTCACACCCCCTGGCATGTTGACAGTGGCTAGAGTTTCCCATTAAACCAGTCATTCTTGTAGAAAAGGGAGCTGACATGATTAATGTCATTCAGTGACAAAAGGCAGCATTATGCATTGCTGCACTCAGGTAATTGGAAGAATGGCATGTCCCAAATATATCTGGAATAATTTCCAAAAGTTTCCTGTAAAAGGAACAGATCCTATTCTACCATTTCAGCCTTTCTTTCACATGTATTATGGTTCAGGGAATGCTATTATCTAGAATCAAGAGAATGTTAAAATTGCCAATGGCATTTGAAATTGTCTAGTCATTTAATGGGCAGAGAGAAATGAGATTCAGAGAGGGAGAGTAACTTGCCCAAGGTCATTCAGATATTTCAGTGCAACAGGCAGGATAAGAATCTGCTTCTCATAATTTCAACCATTGCCTCCCTGATTTTTCATTATAAATCTTATTCGGCTACTTCTCCATCTGCCTCCACTGGGATCAGAAATGAGGTTGAATTGACTTCCATAAGTGAGTTCTCCATTTCACCCTAGAGTGAAGCTCCTTAGGTATCTTGCTGATAGAATATTTAATAAGTATCTCCTTTTAAAAAGACCCACTTCTTTTCTTGCCCAACATCTTTCTGCTGGTCCCCTGTGAACAGACCATTCCAGCTGGCTCCAGAGTCTCTCTCTGCCTCACTGCTCCACTGCATTCTTTAACTTTCTCCTTCCAAAGGCACAAGGCAGTATCATGCCCTGAATTTAGAGTGGAAAATAGAAACTATCTGGGCGATTGGACAAAATGACAAGCAGGAAAAAAAGAAAGGTCCCTCTGTCATGCCTGCTTTTTCAGAAACAAAGTAAAAAATCATCTTTGCATTCACCTGGGAATGGAATTCACAACGTAGACAGAGTCCTTTAGGGCCCCTCCTGTCTAGTCCTTTTAAATATAGTCTTATTACATGAAACTAAAGTGGAAAGCAAACAAAACATCCCAAGGACTCCACATTTCCCATTTTAATCTGTATACATACTACGTTGTGTGTTTTTCATGCGTAGCCTACTAGTTGACTTTGGACAAATCACTTCACCTCTTTCATCTGTACCCTGTTGAAGAATTGATATTGTCCAACCTCTCTTAGGGTCTCATAAGTTAAAACTGCATGTGTCAACATACCCTGCATGTCACAATAACTTTTCTTCATCAGGATTCAAGTGTTTAAGGAAGAAATAAGAAGAAAAGATGAGATGAGGGTAAAAGGAAGGAGATGGCAAGGAGGAAAAGCAGAGACATTATTCCACAGTAACAGGGTAAAAGCCAAGGTAAAGAGGAAAAGGCATTTTTCCATGGTGCCTTCTTTCATCATTCAAAGATCAATTAGTCTTCAATTTTATAGTCCTGAGATTGGTCAGTGTGAGCTGGACCAGGAGGACATATTTTTGACTTAATATATGCATGACTGTATTAGTCCATTTTCACGCCACTGATAAAAGACATATTCAAGACTGGGCAATTTACAAAAGAAAGAGGTTTAATTGGACTTACAGTTCCACGTGGCTGGGGAAGCCTCACAATCATGGCAGAAGGCAAGAAGGAGCAAGTCACGTCTTACATGGAAGGCAGCAAGCAAAGAGAGAGCTTGTGCAGGGGAACTTCTCTTTATGAAACCATCAGATCTCATGAGACTTATTCACTATCACGAAAACAGCACAGGAAAGACCCACCCCCATGATCCAATTACCTCCTACCAGGTTCCTCCCATGAAACATGGAAATTGTGGGAGTTACAATTCAAGATGAGATTTGGGTGGGGACAAAGCCAAACCATATCAATTACTTTTCTCTTTTTCACAGATATCCAGGGCAGCAATTGGATATCCAAAGGAAAAAGCCATCCCTGATCAAAAAAATATTCAAGCAGAAACAAGGTAGTGTTTTGCCAGATACATTCAGCAGGAACTTGTGATTTCAAAAGTTAATTCTTAGTGCTATTCAAGAAATGCATAACTTGGTGGTTTATGAGTCTGTGAGTCTTTGATTTCTAAAAATATATGATTCCTTAAATCTATAATCTTATGATTCAATCACTATGGTTCTATGTGCTGTGTCCCACCTAGTGTGCACCAAATCCAATTCAATTTTCATTATGTTACATTTTGTTTTGTTTGCTGTGACCCTTAACTGAAGAATACTAAAGTGCATTTTCTTTGTAGCTATTCAAATCCTGTATGCATGGTTTTGATTTCATCTTTGAAAACAGAATAATATTAACAAAAAAGCTAACTTTTATTAGATGCTTAATGTATACTCAATATATGTCCATGCATTACTGATGAATTATGTAATTGATTATAATAACTCCTTAAAGTTAATGCTACTGCACTGTTATCCTCTCTTTATAATGACATCCCTAAACACTGTGTAGGTGAGAGTTCAGTAGAGATGAAGAGAGTGATAGCAAGCTCTAGAATAACACTGTTATCACATTCTCATCAAATTTACCTTCATAATACTATTTATGAGAAGCATTAGAGTACAAATAAAGGCCTTAGCATGAATTTAAGCCCTGGTTCTTCCACTAATTAAGTAGCAACCTTGATAGTGACTTTACCTGTTTGAACCTCAGTTTCCCCATCTGTGAAGTGAGAATAAGTATGTATTCCTATTTATAATTATTGTAAAAATTCATCAGGATAATAGAAGTAAAAGTCAATAGTATATTGTAGACTATTATTTCAAACTATTATGCTGCTATAATGTTATTGTCATATACTTATGGCTTAAAAATATATGATTCCATTTTTAAGAAGGGGACTGGGGAGGTATTGGTCAAAGGGTACAAAGTTTCAGTTAGAAGGAATAAGTTTTTGAAATCTATTGCACAGCAAGGTGACTTTATAGTTAATAATAATGTAATGTATGTTTCAAAATTGCTAAGAGAGCAGATTTTAAATGTTCATACCACAAAAGAAAATAAATATCTGAGGTAATGATATGTTGATTAGCTTGATTTAATCATTCTACAACACAAATTTATCAAAACATCACTTTGTATTCTATACATATATAAGCAATTATTTTCCATTAAAATTAAAAATAGAAAGAATGCCCATTCCATTTAATTTGACCCAATGGCTTCTGACTGCTCACATTGTTAACTCTCTTCTGTATAAATCCTATGAATATTTGAAATATGGTCAGCATGTCATTTTTGAAAGCATATTCAGGGGCAGGATATGTAAGTTCAAAGCCTCTTCACTATTTGTCTACTCTATCTTGGTCAAATGACTTACGAGTGTCTAAAGCCATATATTTCTGTTAATTTCTTAAAAAAATAATAATAAAGTATATATTTAGAGTTGGAATAAAAGTTAATTTAAATTATATAAGCAAAATGTTAATCATACTGTGTGGGATAAATATTCAATCCTTCTGATCATCATCATTGTAATCATCAACAACAGTATTTTCATGAATATATTATAGAAGTATTTTTGTCCCAGTAATACACAGCCTACATTTTTATGTCTTTGTCTTGCATACAACATGACCCTTATAGGGGAACCAATAAAATTTTGCTTGAACGTTTTTTAATATTCGAATAAGTTCTACATTAAAAAATCTTAGTGTTTCAGAATTTGAAGAAATCTTGGTCTCTGTATTTCAATCTAGCACTTAAATTTTTTACAGTAATATTACCTACAACTTTATAGGTCCTTTGAGGACCTCTAAGTCCCCAAAATTTCAAAACAAACAATGGGTTTAACCTATATACTCTTATGAGGACCTGTAAGTTCCCAAAATTTCAAAACAATTGGTTTAACCTATATACTCTTAAGCTGAGTAAATAAAGAATTTCCATTACTTTGTTTGATGACCAGGAGGTCATCCTAAGTTTCAGACTCACATATTATATGTATTATATATAATATGACCACTAAATCAGCTACAGAAAGGAGAACTGCAATTATCATGAATATTTCTTCCTTTTTTGGTATGAATATGTGCATAACAAAATAAGAAATAAAGCATTATAAAAATAAGGAAGAAATATGGAGGGCCTTTACAGACCTTATTTCTGTCACTGGTCACATGGTCCTACCTGGTATTTATAACTACCTCTTTTACTACCCTCTCTGCATTTTCTTTTCCTTCAGCAAACAACTAAACTGATTATGGTTCTTTACCTTGTAGGGAAGCCCAAATCTTCATTCCTCCAGAAACTGGGGCTTTAGGAGTTCTGCCTGAATTTGGATTGGGTTGTTGTAGTTTTCCATTGATCTTCATCCCAGGGATGTTATTACTAAGATACATCCTAATGAATCTCCTGTATTCCAGACATACTCTCCTTACCTACATTATCCAACATCCCTTGATAGGCAGGATCAATACACTGGCAAGCAGAGTAATTCCCTTCTTTGCCTGTTAATTCAAGAGCATGAGAATTCCAAAGTTGCTGGTTGGCAGCCTTAATTTACAGTTAAATAAAAATCATTGTCAGATCTCCTGATGGAAACATTCCTCCTCTTGGAGCTTGAATCTCTAGGCCAGTAGAGCATAAAGTGTATGCACAGGAAGGAAAAATTTTGCTAGTGAGTCACTAGCAGTAATAATGAGTGGTGGAGGCTGAGGTGGGTGGATCACGAGGTCAGGAGATCGAGACCATCCTGGCCAACATGGTGAAACCCTGTCTCTACTAAAATACAAAAAATTAGCCGGGCATGGTGGTGCATGCCTGTAGTCCCAGCTACTCGGGAGGCTGAGGCAGGGGAATTGCTAGAACCTGGGAGGCAGAGGTTGCAGTGATCCGAGATTGTGCCACTGCAGTCCAGCCTGGCAACAGAGCAAGACTCCGTCTAAAAAAAAAAGAGGGGGTACCACTCCCATTTCCACCCATTGATTCCTGGACTCATTAATCTTGGATATGGAAGAATCAACATCATATATTGGACACAATTTAGAGTACATCCAGCCTTCTGGAGAACCTTACACCAGCCCTACAAGATGTTGCAAGAACAGTCTTCAAAACGCCATTCCACGTTTCCATCAAGTCAACTGCTTCAGGCTAGTAGGGAACATGGTAAGGTGTATGAGTTCCGTAAGTGTTGACCCATAGCCACACTTTTTTTTTGCTATGAAGTCAGTCACTTGTTCAGAAGCAATGTTGTGTGGAATAACACGATAGTGGATGCAGCACTCTGTTAAGTCCACAGATGGCAGTTTTGGCAGAAACATTACATGCAGATAAGGCAAATCTGTATTCAAAGTGTCTATTCCAGTAAGAATGAAATGCTTCCCCCTTCCACGATGAAAGCAATCCAGTGTAATCCATCTGCCACTACATAGATAATTTCCTTGGGGAATGGTGTAATATTGTGGACTTAGTATTGTTCTCCACTTCTGGAAGGCTGGGCATGCAGTGGTGACCACAGCCAGGCTGGCCTCGGTGAGTGCAAGTCTATGTTACTGAGACAACATAGACTTGCCACCATATCACTTTCTTCATGGACTCGTTGGGTGAGGACAGGAGTGTTTGGGAAGAAGGATGGCCGGGATTCACAGAATGGATCATGTTATCCACTTGATTATTAAAATTTCCTACTGAGGTTCCTCTTCGGTAGACATTCATATGAGACACAAATATCTTCATGTTTTTCAACATTGTGCCAACTGGGAGGAATTCCCTTTACCACCATCCTTCAGGAATATCCCACTAAGGGGCTGCAGTGCTGCAGCTGTCCACTTTCAGGTGATGGTGCTTTCATATCAAGCAGAACCATCTCTAAATCAGGTCCAATTATTCTCTTTCTCTGGAACTGACTATAGGGAACTCCTTATAGACCAGAGGTGCAATCTGGGAGAAAGAAGGTAGTGTAGCAACAGTGGAATCCATGGATATTTGGCCCACTTGTTTATGCAATTTACTTGTGTCTTCAGGGTCTGCTTGGGCTCGGTCATGTGTACACCACTTCCATTTGATGACAGAGTACTGCCATGCATGCCCAACTTTATGACTTCATGGATTAGATAATCTTCAGTTTGTGATGAACAGTTTGGTGGCCATGTTAAAGTATTCAGTCTCTACTAGGGTCCAGTCAGAAACAGACCAAGATCTATTTCTCAAAAGGTGAGTAGTTATCTGTGCAGGATGACAGGGATTTGCTCCAAAATCTTGAGGGCCTGCATTGCATTTCACCTGTCAAAAGTTCTAAGGAGCATACATACTGCCACTGACATTTGAAGCACATTTAAATCTGCTGGATCTTATGGTCTATATGGCTGATATTAGTATAGGCCTAAGCTGGTCATGGTTCTTCACCTTGTAGGGTGACCCTAATCTTTATTCCTCCAGCTGTTTTTGGTTACTAATGGCATAAAATATTTTTCCATACTTTACTGTCAATGTATGTGTGTCTTTGGATCTAATACTAACCTCTTGAAGGTAGCAAATAGTAGAAGTATGTTTTCTTTTAAATCTATTCTGCTAATCTCTACTTTTTCTTTGAGATTTTAATCCATTTACATTTAAAGTTAACTATTGATAAGGAAGTAATTACTTCTGTTACTTTAGTATTTGTTTTCTGTAGGTCTCATACCTAAACTTTATGTATGAAACATAGTATCTCATAGCTTTTTTTGGTCCCTTATTTCCTCCACTAATGTATTCTTTTTTGTTTAGTTAATTTATTTACACTGGAGTATTTTTATTTCCTTCTCAATTTCTAGTACAGATATTCTTTAGACATTTTCTTTGCAGTTATCACAAGGATTATATTTAATATCCTAAAATTATAGCAGTCTAATTTGAATTGGTATCAACTTAGCTTCAATAGCATGCAAAACTCTGGTTCTATACAACTGTAGCCCCTTACCACCACTGTTAAATTACTAATGTCATTCATAAATTTATTTTTACAAATTATGGGCTCAATATCATAGATTTATAAATTTAATGTATTTTTCTTTCAAATTATGTTGAAAATTAAAATTAGAGTTACAAACCAAAAATACTGTAATATTGTATTTTGTATCTGTCCATCTATTTACCATAATTAAAGATTTTTTTTATATGTTTTCAGTTACTCTCTAGGGTTCTTTCATTTCAACCTGAAGGACTTCTTTTAGCATTTCTTATAGAACAAGTCTAGTAGAGATAAACTCTCTTAGCCTTTGTTGATCTGGAAATGTCTTAAATTTCTCCCTCAGTTTTGAAAGTTAGTTTAGTCAGATACAGATAATTTTTTTTCTTACAGTACTTTAAATACATCATCACACTGCCTCAAAACCACTACTTTTTTTTTTATGAGAAAGCAGCTATTGAACTTATTGAGACACCCTTACATGAGGTGAGACATTTTTCTCTTGATGATTTCAAGACTATGTTATGTCTTTGGCTTTTGACAGTTTGAGCACAACATGTCTCAGTGTGAATCTTTTTGAGTTTTTCCTGCTAGAAGTTTATTAGGCTTCTTAGATTTGTATATTCATGTGCCTTATCAAATTTAGAAAGTTTTAAAATACAGATTATATAATCTATCCATATATGTAAAATATTTATTACCTCTTCTTTCTTCCCTTTCTGCTCTCTTCTTCTGGTACTCCTATAATGTTTGTATTGGTTCACCTGATGGTGTCTCACAGCTCCCTTAGACTATGATTACTTTTCTTTATTCTTTTTATTTTTTTCTGTTTCTCAGGTTCAATAATTCCAATGGTTGTCAGTTGATCACATAAACATTTTGTACTAAGAACACTTTATTTGCAATGCAAAGAAAACAATTAGTATTTCCAAAGAGTATTCTTGGTAAATTACATCCTTTAATAATAAGGTCAAATAATATTGAAAGCAATGTATACCTTTATCCCATTTTGAAGATGTGCAAGACATATAAACTCGTTATAAATTCTAAGAAGCCCTATAGTAAATATACAACTAAAGTTAGCATTTATTTATTTATTTACTTACAGAATTTTGTCCTTTTGTTCTCATTCCTCAAGGAATGTCTATTTAGAATTTCTTGAAACAAAACATGGCTAATTCAGTAAAAATCCAACCCCAAATATCTTATACAAAGGTTCAAAAAAGAGTTTAGTTTTCTTCTAGAGTAAGTCAACTTCTATTCAGAAAAAAGTATAAAAAATTTAATAATTTACATATTGTACTGCCTCACTGCTTGTTTATTTCTTTCTGTATGTGAAATTTTATACTTTGTCCAAGGAGGAAGTTTCATTAGAGCCATTGTGCACCACTACTGACATCTGGTGGTTTTATATTCTTAAGTAGCAGGTCTGACCCAGCTAAACTCCCAATGGGAAGTGTTGGGCATAAAGGTAGACTGATGATTAATTGGGGTCACCTAGAGGCTGTGTTTGCCATATGCATTTTCTTCTTAGCCTCCACATACAAAATCTGTGGATGTAACAGCAGAAGAGTCATTCTTTATATTCTTTATTCTCACTTGGTGGTTTACTCTGTGATCTTACCCTTGTCACCCATGGGATGAATTATCCAGACTAACTAATTTCACAGTCAGTAAATTACAGACATAGCCATCAAATCTCCATCTCATTAGGGAAGGTTAATTTAAGTAGACAATCAACAAAAATACAGGAGAAAAGCCCAGCTTGAATAGAAGAGGTCTCTACATCTAGGGCAAGCAATGAATTCACAACCTCAACATCTGCCATCATCAGAGAAAACACTTAAAAAAAAAAGAAAGAAAAGACAATTGACTCATTGTGATTTCCTCTGATGAATGGTGAATTTCCAATTAGCATTTTAATTACTCAATCCAGACTCTCAGCTGTCTTCAAGATAACAACAAAACTCAACAGCAGTTTTTATATTAGTTCTGAGAAGGAAACTTGGCCCCTGACTTTGGAGCACCATCACTCAGGTTTAGTCTATCCCTCTCCACATAAGTTACCTGATGAAGTGTTCAATGAAAGCTTTCAACATTTTATTAACTTGCTGCAGCACTATTTTGTGTAAGTGTTCCAGAAAACACAGTCTACTCTCTTACTTACTATATGCCATTGGACAAGACGCTAGAAACATTTGGGCCCACAATTAAAGATATGAAACAATAGAACTATTGGGGAAGTAATATTGAATGGTCAACTGGTAACCTTCCATTGAGGTTTCCATGATGTCTTCAGTCTGTTTCTTGAGGTCAGGCTATAGACTTTCCAATAGTAGAAACATTCAAATGTCTTTTGGCTCACCCTGCTGCCTTTGCATGTCTGAACAATTGAAAAAGGATAAGTTTTATTCATTTTCTGAAGGCCTCATTAAACAAAAATTCCATAAACACTCACAGAACTGATTCCAGTTCTACATAACTCCCATCCATTTCTTCACCTTTCTAAAGCATTCTTTGTTCAATTATAATGAGTAAAAGAAGATGTTCAAATTACTGAACTGGAAAAGACCACTATATTTTATACTGTTCATACCAAAAATGAACTGTGTTCAGTTGATATACTCATGAGCGCATACCTGGGGGAGAGTATTTAGGTTGGTAAAGGTTTGTGAAGTTTGCTTTATGAGGAAAATAGAACTGGTGATAATTAGCTCAGGGCAGGATTGATTAAGAAAGAAAAAGCAGGGGCAATAGCTAAGTTTAATAATATAAACATATTTTAGCAGGCAAAAGACAGAGGGGAAAATCTGACTTAATTTCCTCACAATTAGAGCTATCATCTTTGAATGACAATATTCAGCATAATCTGCCTGCTTATCAGCCAGGGAAGTTAAATACAGTACTTCTACACTGGATAGGAGATGAGAGTAGACAGTTTCTGACATTTTTTGCCTCTCTAAAATATTGTGATTTCTAATTATGCTCCAATTAAAAATGATGATGCAAATCTCTATTTATTGACATGGAAGGATGCCCATGACACATTGCTGTGTAAAAAAAAAAAACAGATTTTAGAACAGTATGTTCAGTATTATTCCATTTATATAAAATCTTGTACATATTTTTATATATATTTGTAGAGAAATGCTTAACGGAATGATCACCCGAACATTAACTGGTTTCCTCTGGAAGGAGGACATAATGGTTATTTTTTCTCTTTATATTTACATGTTTTGAATATATGTAATAAACATATTAATTGTTTTAAAGACAAAATTATTCTCAAATCAAAGGAAAATGTATTAGGTAACTGAAATTTCTTGACGACATTTCTGGATTAGAACAAACTATTAATGACTGTAACGGATTTAGAATCAAGGTAGCCTGAATTGCCTATCCATTGCTCTCTGTATGGCTTCGGGAAAATAATTTTTTTACCTCTCTGAGTTTTAGTTTTCTTTTCTGTAAAATGATGAATAAACACTACCAAGTAGTCTTATGGTGAGGATTGATTAAGGTAAAACATTAAATGACCTCAATTAGTTCAAGTACATGTAGATACTTAACAAATATGAAGTGCTTTGTGATTGATAAGTGTTTCCTTGTTTCATAAACATTAAGTATTTTTGTTTTATTAACAATAATGTGATTTTCAGATTCATTCAAAAATTTTATTAAGCCTGTCAGAGGAATTGGTGTTTACAGCAATGAAGAACTCTTTTTTACTTCATGGACTATTTTTGTTCAGGTGCTAGGAGCTTCTTTTTAATATACCCCTGCAAAATAAGTTCTTGGTTCATTAACCAATGGACAGACCTGCTCAATATCAATTTTCTTTTCTCAAAGGCCCAAACTATAGATACCCCATTCTCCATTCCCAACATGCAAATTTTTTATGGGGAGGTAAATGCAGAGTCAGAGGCATAATTATGTCTTTTGCATGTCCTTCAGGCCTCAAACTGAGGCCTCTTTTACCTGCAGGTGTTTTGTGTGTGTGTGTGCGTGTGTGCGTGTCTGTGTGTTTGTGTGAATGACAAACATTAACCATGATGAAATGACATCTTGAAGACATAAATTACAACTGGAGAAATACGGGGCCTGCTAAGGCTTTGCATCAAACCCTCTCAGTAGTCTCGCACCTTCTTGAACATGGTGTCTTTTCTTCTACTATGGTCTCTCAAATTTCATCATCACTTCTGCTCATGATAAAAATTTTTCAGAGCCAGTAAGAGGAGCCTTTTGCTTCTACACTCTCTTAACAGAGTGGGGACACAGTAAGTTTTATTACACCATAAATTAGATGAGGAAAAGGTAATGTACTTTACATATCTGTGACATACAAAACACACACACACATGCATACAATCACAGTAATCCTTACAGTGTAGTTCCCCATTGCACACCTGTCACTTTGGTTATTGGGTTATGATATGTCAGAAGTATATACTGTTAGATGCAACTCTGAGATATGAGAGCAAAGTATAGTGCCCATTAGAGGATGGCCTCAGCACAGAGGTGGCTTCTCAAGGCAGGTAAGTGCCAGGTTTCTCAAGGCACTACCCCATGGCATAGAGGGGAATTCTCCAAATGGAACAGATGGGAGGTCAGAGTCCATTGGTTAATGAACCAAAACATGTGCTAATATTTCCTAATTCCTGGGAGAGAGCAATGTTCCCTTCAAGAAAGACCTTGAAGTCTAGACTTAACTTTTTCAGAGTGACACTACTTAGCAGATACAGGCAATGTCAGGCCCCAAGATTTTTTTTCTGCCTAGCCTCAGGGCATAAGGATAGCTTTTTTTCTGGTGTAGTTTGATGCACTTTGTATGGATTTGGAGAGGTTCTTTCATTTATACATCAGTATGTCCTTATTCTGGGTCTGTGTGTCTGGTAGTGACTCAGTCCTGGAAATTCAGAGACAAAGTAAGACAAATTCCTGTCCTCAGAAAGCTCATATCCTTGTGAGGAAGATAAGTCTTCCATCACCATGCAATATAGAAATTACTAGTACTTCTGCTGTGTAGGATGAAATGGAACAACAGATACAAGCAGTCTTAATTTCACTCGGAGAATCAGAGAATCTTACCAAAACAATATTATGGTCAAGTTGAAATTTTAAAGAGATATTAAATTTTTCCTGGTGGATAAGAAGAGGACATTCCACGGAGAGGAAACAGGATATTCAAAATATCAGAGATGGCATACAATTTGGGGAAAGCCACATAATTGGTTCAGCATGATTATGATATAAAAATGATAAAGAAGTTACCTTGAAGAAAAATGTAAAGCAAAGAGTTTCCTCACAACAATCAATTTATGCTTCTGAAAACTGGCCCTGAGAGAGGGAACTGGATGAAGACTAACTTTCTGCAAAGACAGCAACACTTTGTTTAAATCATAGTTCTAATTTTCTGTGACATTGGATAAACTGTTTAACCTCTTTTAAGTTTCAGTTTTCTTACTTATTAAGTGGTGATGATAACATGAACCTCAAAAGGATTTTATTATGATTAAATCAGATAGCATGTCTATACATCTAATACAATTCAGAACATAAATAGGAACTCATCATATATCTGCTAAAACTTCATGTTAAACTTGAGCTCTTTCCTTCAGCTTCATGAAACCATCTACCTGTTGTTCCATTATTTTTGACAAACAGCATAAAAATACATCAAGACTATTGGCATAATTATTAATTATTTAGATTTTCCCTACATAGTCAAAAATTAGCACAAAGATTATATATACAAGGGTTTTGGAAGAAGGGAAAAGAAGGATAAGAAGTATTGAACATTTTGGCACCCTGTATAAATCAAGCTCTTTACCTACATTTTCCCATTGGTTCTTCATAACCCTGTGGAATAGGTGTTATTAATTTCATTATTTTTATTTACTCATATAAAAACCTTGGAGTTTTTCTTGCTTCATCTCTTTCTCTCCAAACTTCGTTAAAGAGATCAGCATATCCCTTGGCACTGTCTTTACTTTTCTCGTTTGTTTTTAAATTTTTAAAATTAAGGTAAAATATGCATAAAAATTTACCATGTTTACCATTTTTAAATGTACAATTCAGTGGTGATTAATGAATTTATATTATTTTTTCCCTTCATTCTCCCACATCCTCTGCCCTTTCTGGCCCCTGACAATCACCAACCCACCCTCTAGCTTCATGAGATTGTTTTTATAGCCCACATATGAGTAAGAACATGTAATATTTGTCTTCCTGTGCTTGGCTTATTTTATAATACTTAATGACCTTTAGTTTCATCCATGTTGCTGCAAATGACAGGATTTCATTTGTTTTCACGACAATAATATTCCATTTTGTATATATACCACATTTTCTTCATCTGTTCATTTGTTGATGAGCACTTAGGTTTATTCTGTATTTTTGAGTATTGCAAATAACACTCTAATAAACATGGAAGTGTAGATTGAGGAGATATGTGGCACCTTCTTTGAAACAGCTCAGATTCCATCCCCTTCTCACCATCTACAAGTCTTCAAACATGACCCAAGCCACCATCATTTCTCTTTAAAATAATAACTAGTTTGTATGCTCCTAGTTTGCTTTTCTTCAGTCAATTTTCTATTAAAAAGTTGGATCCTGTGAATATATGTCAGATTGTGACATTTCTATTATTGCCTTACTCACAGTAAATAAATAAATGTGTGTGTGTGTGTGTGTGTGTGTGTGTGTATATATATATATATGTATATATATATTTACCATAACTCCAAGACTCTATGTCCTACTCTCCTCCCCATCAGTATTTCAGTTAAGGCCACACTGGCCCTCTTGCTCTTACTCTTAGAGAATGGACAAGTTCCTGCCTCAAAAAAAGAAAAAAACAATAGCAGCTTAATGGTGAAAAATGAAAACCTTTCCCACTAAAATCAGGTAAAAGGAAAGAATGTCTCTTATTATTACTGCTTTTGATCACTGTACTCGAAATCTTAGCTAATGCAGTAGGACAAGAACATAAAATAGAAGGGCTACAGATTGGGAAGAAATAAATAAGCTGTCTTTGTTCACAGATAAAATAATCATCTGTGTGGAAAATCTGAAAGTATATTTAAAAAAATGGAACTAACGAGCAATTATACCAGTTTTAGGATACAAGGTGAATATACAAAAGAAAATAACTTTTCTATATACCAACAATAAACAGGTGGAACTTGACATTTAAAAAACACAAAAAAATTTACATTAGTACTCCTAAAAATGAAATAAATATTTAGGCATAAATCTAGCAAAATATATAAAGGTATATATAAGGAAAACTGCAAAATATGAAAAAGGACTATACTAAAGATATCCCACGTTCATGAATAGGAAGACAACATTGTCAATATGATAGTCTTTCCAATATGATCTAAGATTCAATACAATCCCATTCCAGCAAGTTAGATATTGACAAATTGATTCTAACATTTATACATGGAAAAGTAGAAAAATAAAAACAAAGCAAAACAAAAAACCCAGAAAACAGAATATCCAACTCACTACTGGAGAAGAACAAAGTTGGTGAATTGACACTATCCTACTTTAAGACATACTATATAGCTACAGTAATCAAGAGGGTGTGGTATTGGCAAAACTATTCCAGTAGATTAATGGAATAGAATTTGAAAGCTCCAAATAGAACCACATAAATGCAGTCCCCTGACTTGACAAAGGAGCAAAGCAATGCAATGGAGCAAAAATAATCTTCAGCAAATGGTCTTGGAACACCTGGATATCCACAAGCAAAATAAATCAAATTTAGATATAGAACTTCCTCATATCCTTCAGAAAAAATAACTTAAATTGGACCATAGACCTAAATTACAAAACTATAAAACACCTAGAAGATAACAGAAAAAAATCTAGATGACCTTGGCTATGGCACTGACTTTTTAAAAATACAACACCCAAGGCATAATCCAGGAAAGAAATTATTAATAGCAAGACTTCATTAAAATTAAACATTTCTGCTTCACAATGATTCTGAAGACAATTCCAAGAGAATAAGAAGATAGATGAGCCACAGACTAGGAGAACATACTTGCAAAAGACACATCTGATAAAGGGCTGGTATTTAAAATATACAAATAAATTTTAAAATGCAACAATGAGAAAATAAACACCCCAATTAAAAAATGGGCAAAAGACCTAAACAGACACCTCACCAAAGAAAATATATGGAAAGTAATTCAGCATCTGAAGACATGTTCAACACTGTGTGTCATTAGGGAACTGCCCATTAAAAAACAATGAGAAAGCACTACACATCTATTAGAATAGTTGAAATCCAAAATATTGACATCAGATGTTGGTGAGGAAATGGAGCAACAGGAACTCTCATTCATTTCTGGTGGAAATGCAAAATAGTACAGCCACTTTGGAAGATAGTTTGACAGTTTTTTACAAAACTAAACCTTCTCTTAACATATGAATCAGCAATTATATTCCTTAGTATTTACCCACAGGAGTCGAAAACTTTTGTCCACACAGATATCTACTTTATTCATAATTGCCAAAACTTGGAAGCAACAAGACATCCTTTAATAGGTGAGCACATAAATAAACTATAGTATATCCAGATAATATATTATGCAGCACTAAAAATAGATGAGCTATCAAGCTATGAAAAGGCACAGAGGAAACTTAAGTGTTTATTATCACGTGAAAGAAACCAATCTTAAAAAGGCTTAATACTATTTAACTATATGATATTCTGGAAAAACAAAACTATGGAGACAGTAAAAAGATTAGTGGTTGCCAAGGGATGAGGGAAGGGAGGGATGAATAGGCAGAGCATAGAGGGTTTGGGGCTGTGTAAACTATTCTTTAATATGCTTAATAGTGAATACATGTTATATACTTACACACTTGTCAAAACCCATGGAATGCACAACACCAATAGTGAATAAACTTTAATGTAAACTATGGACTTTGGTTGATAATAAAGTGAGATGTAAGTTCATCAATTGTAACAAATGTACCACTCTGGTACAGGATATTGATAGTGGGGTAGGCTGTACATGTATGGAAACAGGAGGTAAACGGGAACTATCTGTACTTTCTGCTTAATTTTCTGTGAACCAAACCTTCTCTAAAAATAAATTTTATTAATTAAAAAAAATAGCATTTTAAAATATATATTTATTGACAGACAAGTTCTGTTGTATTTGTGTATAAATATATTTAAAACTTTTTGAAAGCATAAAACACTTTTAAAAATAAAAATGGCATGCATTCATGTATTTAAATTTAAAAATGTTTTAAACATTTTTTCTATTTGATTAGCTGAGCATTAAATTGGAATAACCATAATAATTATTCTTGGCACATATTCGTGTACTTTAATCAGTTTCTTAAACATACGTATTTCTCTCACTGTGTCACTGCTATTGTTTTTCTCTGAAGAATACACTCTTCAATATGGTCTTATTGTTTTTCTCATAAATAAAGTTTGTAATCTTTTTCAAAGTTTCATGTTATAGTTAACATATTTAAAGTTTCTGACATCATCTATGGACCACATGCTCTGTTTTATAATTTCAGTTGAGAACATATTCTCTCTGTGGATGTGAAATAACTCTAAGCCAAGGGCAAATTCTTAAAAATGGAGTATATTCTTATATTTTTGATGTTAAAATGTATAAATATTTCAGTCCAAATATTTTCATAGCTATTGTCTTTTTCCTTCTATTCAGAGAATTTTACTGACAAGTATTTCAGAAGACAAAACTTGTCAGTTATTGCTTTATATATCTTTTTTTAATACTTTGCTAAATCTGGTTGCTGCAAAATTGAGGGCTTTCTTCAAGTCATTGCATTCCAGTACAGAATATATTTTAGATACTCTGAAAGTTAAAAATCTGATAAATTTTTGGCATTCATACCATTGAATATTGTGCAAAATATTTTAAACATGCAGCCAAAATTTAAAAGCCTCATTTGAAAAAAAAATAGTTTACTATCATTTTTAAAACATTCAGATTGATATACAAAATAATTTTTCCAGAGCTCAAATACTTCTAAATTTGATTTATGATGAGCATCAAAGTGCTAAGTGTGCACTGCTATTCTAATGAATATTTTTGTAACTTCTTGGAAATAATGAATTATGAGGGCATCAACAGCAATTTCTAGCATATTTCTTCACTGTAGGCCTCTTAATTTAGTAAAAATATAGTTTTCACCATGATGTGCTCTATGAAGTTTGTATTCATATTATCACTACAAAAACAGCTAATTTTATTTTCAATGCTGAACTTTCATCTGAATTTACAAAGCATTCCCTAAAATTTCAAATGTTTCACTCAACAAAATGAACTTATAAAAGCTGTATTTTGATTTTAATCACCATAATCAAAGTCATAATCATAATAATCATCATTATCAAACCATTATTAGAATTAGCTAATTTTACATTTATAGCATCTGGTAATACCAACACAAAACTCACTTTATACACCTAGCTGTGAAGCTTTTCCAGTAGTAATGGAACCAGTGTGTTAACAGCTATCACTTCACTTTATATTTGAAGGAAAAAAATCCTTCAAATAAAAAAAAATGAAAGAAAATGGAACAATCATTTGATCTCAATGAAAAGTCATGCTTTGCAAATGGATATAGAAACATTTTCTACTGCAGTCTCATGGATTAAACAATTGTTTGAGGATGAATCTTATGGAAACTAACTGCTAATTTGAAGTAAATCTGATTCTTCTTTAAAATGTGCATGTCTGCTTTTTATGGTCGATGATACCATTATGTTCTTTTATGACAGATGATAATGCTTACAAATATTTTTGAAGATGATACTCATCACCAAGTTTCTTTAGTAACTGAAATTCAGTAGTAATTTTTAATTAACCATTTGCTTTCTAAAAGCTCATTTCTTTAATAAAAACATTTATAAAAAAGAAATAAAACGGTTATAGGACATTAAAATCAATAGAATTTTTAAAAAAACTACTGTAGTGAGTGTGGTCAGATGCATTTGTACTCTGTCACAATTCCATGTACCTATGAACTACAGTCTCTCAGATTGCCCATTGATCCTGGCTACTAGGTCCTGAGAAATTTCCAGCATCTTGTAGGCCACTCTGTTGGGTACAGTGCAGATGGCTATTATATTAATAGTAAATGGCCCACAGGGCAACAGCGGTACCTTCCCCACCACAATCTAACATCTAAGTGCCTAAGTGCATTTCTTTTTTTTTTTTTTTTTTTTTTTTGAGACGGAGTCTCGCTCTGTCGCCCAGGCTGGAGTGCAGTGGCAGGATCTCGGCTCACTGCACTAAGTGCATTTCTTCAAGTCCTTAAAGAAGAGCACTGTAATATAACATCTGCAAATTATCTAAAAAAGAATGATAAATTATTGCTGGTCATTCTACATGTGTAGTCACTGGTTAAAGTAAAATTTCTGTTAATTGTGCATGTATCCAACATGCTGTTACTTGAGATAATGACAGAAATTACAAGTACAAAATAGAGGTTCCCATTCTTGCTTGTTTTAATGCAACAATTAGTGATAATATTTTGTTATAAATGAAAAAATAATCCAGAGCAACTTCTAAATTGGATGGGAAACCAAGGAGTCAAGCATAAAGCATGACCAGGCCCTATAAACCAGGAGATGTAGATTCCTCAACTATACACCAGTGAAAAATAGGGAGTATAAAATATAAGAGGTACTGCACGTCATAAAAAATAATTTTTTTTTCTTTTCTTCTCTTTTTTGAGATGGAGTTTTGCTCTTATTGCACAGGCTGGAGTGCAATGGTGCAATCTCGGCTCACCGCAACCTCTGCCTCTTGCGTCCAAGCAATTGTCCTGCCTCAGCCTCCCAAGTAGCTGGGATTACAGGCATGCACCACCACACCTGGCAAATTTTGTATTTTTAGTGGAGACGGGGTTTCTTCATGTTGGTCAGGCTAGTCTCGAACTCCCGACCTCAGGCGATCTGCCCACCTCGGCTTCCTAAAGTTTTGGGATTACAAGTGTGAGCCACTGAGCCCGGCCAAAAAAGAATTTTTTAAAACATCAGGCAGCCCTGTCTTAGCCTATTTAGGCTGCTGTAACAAAACAGCATTAAACTGGGTAGCTTGTAAAATAACACAGAAATTTACTTTTTATTATTCTGAGGCTGGGAAGTTAAACACCAAGTCATTGGCAGATTTGGTATCTGATGAGGGTCCATTTTCTGGCTCATAGATGACACCTTCTCACTGGTTTTGCATGAAAAAAGGGCAAGGCAGCTCTCTGGAGCCTGATTTGCAAGGGCACTAATTCCATTCATAGGTTCTGACTTGCAACTGGTCGGGAAGAGGTAGTCTTGGGGACTGAGCCTTCAACCTGCGGGATCTGATGCTATCTCCAGGTAGATAGTGTTGGAATTGAACTAGAGGACACGCACCTGGTGTCTGCTGCTTGGAGCGTGGGGAAAATTTCTCTGCATATTTGGTCACAGAGAAATCTGTGTTGATTGTTATGGTGTTAGAGTAGAGGAGAAACATTGTTTGAAAGAGTTTTTTCCCTGACAAAATTGGTGTCAGAGGTAGGATTTGATGGACAAGCCCTGGCTTCTGGAAATATGTGGTTTGGGAAGAGAAAGAATAAAAGAGTGGAGACGAGGAACCTTTGATTCCTGAGTGGCCATGTGGTCACCCATGCTATGGAGCCACAACCATGTTGTACTACTTACTAAAGGTAAAAGTTACCAGTGGAATTTAGAAATGGACCTAATTCCTATGGAGTTGGTTCACTGGATGCATAAAGAGATGCAAACAAATAAGAAAAAGTGAAATATTCAATCCCTTGGTTATTGTTATACGTACTAGCCAAAATCAAATTAAAAGAGAATGCTGGGTCAGACCTTAATGCTAGACCAAGCTTAGATTTTAGTCTATCTGAGCTCAGGCAACTAGCCACAAAGTAACCCACAAATGAGAAAATTATGTAGGGACAACAGAAAGTATCTCTGAGGACCTGTGGTTACCAAGAAGGCAGTCAATGTGGGGAAAGGGCACAACCAAGTAACTATTGAAATCAGAGGGTATAGTGTAAAGGAAGTGTTCCCTTTTATAGATTGGCATCGTCAGCTTGCTGAGGAACCTTTACTAAAATGGATTATGACAGTAACTAATTTAGGGACAGTATCTTTCATTTTAAACGCTGCAGAGTGTAAGAGCATGCTTAGGTTGATGCAGGACACATAGCTCATTACTGAATAATCACAGATGGGTATATATGATCCAGACACACAGGAACTTATTCCTGAGGCACCAGCCAGGCTGGTGGACTGGAAAAAAGCCACTGTAAGGTTTGTTTTTCCTGAGATGGAGGCTTTCCAACTCCACTTATAAATACCAAGTGGAACACCCCAGATGAGGGAGCTACTATATGAAGCAATGCATAAATAGTTGGGTATGCTAGTCATGTGGGACTAGTTTTATGATGACAGGGATATTCACCCTCTAAATAAGCCCATTACTCAAGTCATGGTAAATGCTGTGGTTGAAGAGGCCCCTTCTACATGAGCACCCCACATGACATTACTCCTGCCTAATAGAACAACTGTTCTAGGCTGGGTGCGGTGGCTAATGCGTGTAATCCCAGCACTTTGGGAGGCCGAGATGGGTGGATCACGAGGTCAGGAGATCCAGACCATCCTGGCTAACACGGTGAAACTCCGTCTCTACTAAAAATACAAAAAATTAGCGGGACGTGGTGGCGGGCACCTGTAGTCCCAGCTACTCGGGAGGCTGAGGCAGGAGAATGGTGTGAACCCGGGAGGCGGAGCTTGCAGTGAGCCAAGATTGCGCCACTGCACTCCAGCCTGGGGGACAGAGCGAGACTCCGTCTCCAAAAAAAAAAAAGAACAACTGTTCAACTGTTCTTTGAGACGCTTTATCAAATTTGCGGTCTCAGCTTTGCCTTATGGATCTTACACAGGCTCATGAAAACATTATGTTAACTTACAACAGAAAGAAGAAAGGCAAAAGAGAGAGTCAAAGGACTCATCCCAGGAGGGTGGAAATTTTTTAATGGTTACTAAGAAATAAGATGAATAAAGAAAACATTGATAGTGACAAAGAAGTTAGGAAGAAATTACTTAGGCAGATAGTGAAGGCATGGAAGTCCTCGGTAAGGTTTTCCTTTTAATGAAAAGCTGACCCAAATTATTTTCTTTTCTAACTAAGAGCAGCCTGTAAAGTCAAACTGCAGACATAGATGCCAGCAGTTGTGCCAATCATGTTCAAGATGGTGGCTCCATCTTCCCTTCTCTTTGTCAGCCACCCGTACAGTAGGAGCAGACAAGTAGCGCAGGGCAAGGGGAAACTTCATTTGCATAATAAGATTAGGGTGGGGTGGCCAGCCTTCCCAGGTGCCATGTAACCATCATACCTGATCAAATCAATCGTAAGCCCTATGTAAATCAGACACCACCTTCACAAACCTGACTATAAAATCCAGCAGGTCTGCCACCTGCCAGCCTTTCCTCTCAGAAGTCGCCTCTCTCTCACTAGAGAGAGAGTTGTTTTCCTTTCTTTCTCTTCCCTATTAAACCTCCGCTCCTAAACTCCTCGTGTGTGTCTGTGTCCTAAATTTTCCTGGCATGAGAAGACGAACCCTGAGTATTTAACCCAGACAACATAGCTGCTTCAAAAGTAGTAAAACCAAGAAGAAAAAGAAAGGGGAGAGTCATGGACAAATTCCAAGTAGTATGGAAATCTTCAGATGGTTATTAAAACATTGAATGAATAAAGAGGAAATTCCATAAAGTTAAAACAAATGTCTTTTTTTTTCTCTTCACAGAGCCTTGGTCTGTCACCCGGGCTGGAGTGCAGTCAGTGACCTTGACTCACTGCAACCCCCACCTCCCAGGTTCCAGCGATTCTCCTGCCTCAGCCTCCCAAGTAGCTGAGATCACAGTGCCCACCACCACTCCTGGCTAATTTTTTTTTTTTTTTTAGTAGTGATGGGATTTCACCATGTTGGCCAGGCTGGTCTCCCGACCTCAAATAATCTGCCTGTCTTGGCCTCCCAAAGTGCTGGGATTACAGGCAAGAGCCATCACATCTGGTCAAAACAAATGTGTTAATACAAGCATTGAGGGTTGCGTGAACCAAAGGAAACCCATCTAGTCCCCAAAAGGCCCCAAACCAGATTGCTGTATTTATTCCAGTTTGGAGAACTTTAAAAAGTTAAAAAGGCAGAGATATCAATGAAAATCTGATCTGAAATTGCCTAGGGTAGTAGTTGGGCAGATTAATCAAGATAAAGATTGACAAGGGGGCCAGGCTCCTTTGGCTCAACCCTTGGCTGGGAACCCAAAGCCTTTTGCTCAAGGGAGGGTAAAATGGTCTGAGAGTTAAGAGAAGTTCCTGGAACTACAACATGAAAATGTAAGGGTTGACAGAACTTTAAAAGTTGGTATATTTGAATATATTTTATGTGAAGTGGTTGTGTCTTTTTTTCCCGATTACATCCTTGAAATGAATATTGTACCTGATTGGGAAATGTTTTCTTTACGTTGTACCATAAAACAGAAGGCATGTAAATCTGCTCTTTAAGCAATGTTAATTGGACATGCTAAATTGGAATCAGTAAGATTGCCCAAGTCCACACAGTGCAGAGTAAAAGCCAATCAGAACAAATTCTCCATTTGGCAGCTCTTCATGGAGTGTTTTCTGGGGCTTATGGCAACGGCCTATGAGCATTTCACAACAACACCTACTAGGACTTTCGACCAGAGAATTTCCATTTGATGGGCATTTACTACTTCATTATGGGATGTTAACTGAAGCTACCCTATGACTGGGGAACATATAATGATTTTGACACCTGAAATACCTATGCTGTCTCAGATGATGTCAGGGGAACAGTCTAATCCAAGCTTGTCCAACCCGTGGTCAGTGGGCCACATTTGGCACAGGATGGCTGTGAATGCAGCCCAACACAAATTTGTAAACTTTCTTAAAACATTATGAGATTTTTTTACAGTTTTTTTTTTTTTAGCTCATTAGTTATTGTTAGTATTAGTGTATTTTATGTATGGCTCAAGACAATTCTTCTTCCAATGTGGACCAGGGAAGCCAAAAGATTGGGCACTCCTGATCTAATGAGAATGGCAGTGTTCAGAAGTGTTTTACAACAAAATGGAAATGGTTATACAGATATGTGCCACCTGAAGAACACAAGAAGATATTCACAAGCAAGGAGCCCCTTTACCCCTGGGATTGACTCTGGCAATAAATTCTATGAACACTTGGACAGTGTCCTATGAACTACTCTCAACTGATCAACAAGGAGCTGCTTAGTTTACAAATGGCAGTTCCAAGGTGAATGGACCCTCTCTTGTTTGGAAAGCTGCTATTTTGATCAAAAAAGGTAAAAACAGATCAGTTCGGTGGACTGGATTGCATGTTTTTCTAACAGTAATGGAAGAATTGAACAGTGGTAGGAACCCCTGCGTTTGGGTTTTTACTAACTCACAGGTAGTGGTCCAGGGCCTTGCCATACATTAAGGTGAGAATCCAATGAAAACCTAGCCTATTAAAAGGATGCCCATAAGGGTCACAGCCCTATGGAGACTTGAGGGGTGCATTAAAGTAGAACAAGTCAATGCCTATCAGAAGAACTTCCTTCCAGTTTCAGTGGTTCACTGGAATCGACAAGCAGACATCCCTGTGTGCTCCTTTAAGGTGGCCACCTGGGTCCATGAGTGGGTATGAAGGTACTGCAGCAGTGCAGAGATGGGCTGAATTTACACGTGTTCCTCTTTCACCCTTTCAAGCACATGATGCCAATACGAACTGTTTTGTTTCTCAGCAAGAGAGAGAGATTGCTGATGGCTATAGGGCCAATTCCCTGATGGGAAGGCCCTCATAGCTGGGAAGTGAGACTGATGCTGGCAGCCACGGAGGGCTACAAATGGGTCTTGACAGGAATAGACACTGACTCTGGAGTGAACTTTGCTTACCCAGTGGCAGATGCAAATGTTCAGAGTGCCATTTAAAAAACAAAACAAAATAATAAATAATAAAAACAGAAGAGAAGATAGAGAAGAAGTGGCATGAATTTGGATGTCTTGGATGGCTGGCTGTCATTTCATCAGACCAAGGAACACACTGTACTGCCCATAATGTCCAAAAATGGGCTGAGATATCCTTCTTAGAGAGAGAATTTGATAGAAAAGTAGAACAGGCAATTTTAAACACTGGTTGTCTAAAACAAGGGCAGATGAAAGTATAAAGAGTTGGCTTACACATTTTCATAAGTGTGTGCTCACACTCAACATGAATGGGTCTAAAGGAGTGTCCCTTCTAGATTTTTCTGTTTTTCTGTTTGATCTGGGGAAGAGGGAGTGGGGCGGGTGCTAGTATGACTATGTAATTCTTACCAAGGGAGGAGTACACTGGTATAACAACTATAACTTTTCCTTCCCCAAATCACCACACATGCAAAAAAAAAAAAAAGTTTCTTCTTCTCCCCTACCTGATAGAGTGATCCTAAGACCAGGGCTGCAACTACAGGTGCTGAAAGCAGAGATGGCTTCTAAACAAGAAACTAACTGTGGTTTAAAAACTTGTGTCAGAATTCCAAATGCCCTGATGCGGGTGGATTGTGTTCCACCCTATTAAGCAAAATGGTGGTAAGAGTGAATGCAGCTATGTTGCCTGGTGGTAAAAATAGCTCCCTAGGAGCCGAGATCGCGCCACTGCACTCCAGCCTGGGCGACAGAGCGAGACTCCGTCTCAAAAAAAAAAAAAAAAAAATAGCTCACTAGTTCTGCACCTATATAACCTTACCTTATCCAAATAGGAGTGGACTGAGGAGGGGGTACTTGGTAGACTTGTATTGCTGCCTGCAATCTAGACCAGCATAGTGGCAATTCTAATGTCCCCTGCAAAGGTGAAAAAGTTTGGGTATTAATGAAGAGAAGGAGGAACAGTAGCTTAAGGAAATGAATAGATGGGTTGTTAATTGAGGAAAATTCAATACTAACAACTCAAAATAGTCTCAGAACAAGAAATGATATTGTCTCAGCTCAATTATTACAGATGTTTGAAAGCTGAAAGAGTGAAGCTGCATATCTGAAAAGACCGCTCCTGCTTCTGGAATCTGACAAGAGTGAAAGGAAACCTGCAAATCTGAGTGCTCTCACCCTGGGAAACATTCATACAATATGATGGACAGAACTATTAATGACTACGCATATTCTTTTGATGTAATGGATCCTAGGTCAAAAACTAGGGTGTGGCCTATGGAGTTATGATATATACAGGTAGTGTTTTTATTGACGATTCCTGGCTCATAACTCTCATATCCCTTAATACAGTCTTTTCTTATAATGTTGGGTGTGTTAGGCCTTGGGTGTAGACCTCAGGTAACAGAATCTCTTCTCCGGCTTTCCCTTCACTTGCCCCAAGTCAGGACTCTAGTTTTCCATGTATTTCTAATTGTGAGTCTTAAGACTCTCCCCTGAGAAGGCCGTGTATCCTACCATGGGGGAAAGAAGAGTTCTACAAAAACCCAAGAGGACTGGGTTTGGGGAGTTTCCAGATAGCTGAACATATGGAGGTTCCTGGAAGGTGGCTCACCTGGAGAAGGCATGGAAGTTCAATGCCCATTCCTTGATAACTCACCCTATGCATGTGTATTAGTCCATTTTCACACTGCTATAGAGATACTATATGAGACGGTAATTTATAAATAAAAGGGGTTTAATTGACTCACAGTTCCACATGGCTAGGGAGGCCTCAGGAAACTTACAATCATGGTGAAAGGTGAAGGAGAAGCAAGTACCTTCTTCACAAGGTGGTAGGAGAGAGAGAGAGAGAGCATGCAGGGGAAATGTCAGACACTTATCATACAACCAGATCTCATGAGAATTCCCTCACTATCATGAGAACAGCATGGGGGAAGCTGTCTCCATGATGCAATCACCTCACACCAGTGATAGTCACAGGAGACAGACAAATTCCTAGGCAGACAGAGATGAGGCCCTAGCAAAACCCAACTTTCAAGCCAAGGACAGTTTAAAGCCTGCAAACCAAGCTGCCCGTTCTGGCTAGAGTCCATGACCAGAGTGAGAACTTCCATCCCCATCTTACCCACTCTCTCTCAATTGGTTCCTTCCGAATGATAGCTTTCAACCAATCAAATGGTGCCTTTCCAAGACCACCCACAGACCAATCAGCACACACTCCCCCATTCTAAGCCCATAAAACCCCAGACTCAGCCTCACAGATGCCAACCCACTTTTGGGTCCCCTCTCCCTGCTGAGAGCTTTCTGTCCCTCAATAAGATTTTACTCTGACTTACTCTCTAGTGTTTGTGTACCTTATTTCTCTTGGTTGAGGGACAAGAACCCAGAACTTGCCAAACCGAGGGAGCAAAAAACTTGTAATGCACCTGCTCTCCAATCTGTGTGCAGCAGGAGTGAAAGAGTGGCAACTCTCCCTCCTGCTCAGTGAACAACAAGAGAGAAGAAACAAAGCCACTGGATGCCACTCCCTCCCACTTGCTGAACTACAGGCCGCAACACTAAGTTCCTCCCTCAACATGTGGGGATTACAATTTGAGATGAACTTTGGGTGGGGACACAGAGCCAAACCATATCAGCATGTCTTCATCTGTATACTCTGCAATATTCTGTATAATAAACCAGTAAATATAACTGTTTCCTTGAGTTCTGTGTGTCACTCCAGCAGATTAAACAAACACAAAGACGGGTTCATAGAAACCCCTACTTGAAGCCAGTGCATCAGAAGTTTTGGGGGCCCAGACTTGTGACTGCTGGAGGAGAGACAGTCTAGGGGACTGGGGCCTCAACCCATGGGATCTGATGCTATCTCCTGATAGCTGGTGTCAAAATTGAACTGAATAAGAAGACACCCAGCTGTTGTCCACTGCTTGGTGTGTGGCAAAAATTCCTCTACACATTTGGTGACAGAAATCCTCTGTGTTGATTCTTGTGGTGTGAGAGTAGAGGAAAAACACAGTTTGAGAGTTTTTTTCTTTGACAAAAATAGCAAATAGAAATTAATAAAATAATAATGAAAATTAGTTTGGTACTGCGTTGTGGTATGTTGCAGAAATACCTACAACTTATTATTTTCTCTCTACCCATGCATTTTGTTAGGACTCTTTCTTGGACCTTGTGACCTGCTTTGGACAATATTACATTGATCCAGGTCTCATAAGCAGAGGTTTATAAAGTACTTGCACATAGGAGCTTGCTTTCTTGCTGCTCTTGGGAGCCCCGTGGCTACTGTACTGTGATGCTTACCCTGGCAAGTTTGCTGGAGAATGCGTAACATGTGACCAATTGATCCCCATCACTTCAGTGACACGAAGCCTACTAATAGATACACAAATGAGGCCCTAGTTGAGCCAACTAGGCTGAGCCAGTCCAGGTCATAAGAGCCACTAACAAACTCTCAAAATGCTTCTTCTTTTACAATGCTTAGTTTTGGGGTGATTTGTTACATAGCAATCAGTAATGGATTCACTGACACTTAAAAAATAAGGCAAGACAGTGCAAAGGTTTAAGAAGACAAATATAATGCCCTCCCTCCCACCCACCACTATTCCTCACCACCACCATCTCCACCTTTGCCACTGCTGGAATCAACATTTATATATATATATATATATTTATATTCCCTTCTCCTTTAAATACATGCATTTAACAACTTATTTGGAACTTTATTTCACCCAGAGAGTGCTACTCTACTTGTTAGTCTGCAACTTCATTTTATTTCTTTTCAATCTGGTACCATATCACAAAAGGTATAAGCTAGTCAATACAGCTTTATACTATTTGTGTTTCTTCTGTAATTACCTCATCTCTATATATACATACATAGATATTAAGGAGGATTATATAAGGCCTTTTGTACAGTCTTTTCACTTGGTCTATTTTTATTTGTCCCACCTCCACCTTGCTTTCTCAAGATAATATGTATAACCATATATGCCAGATAAACTTGAATGCTTTATTCATGTTTAAGTATCATGTACCGATATACATACACTAATATACATCTGTGTCCCTATGTATATACACAAATAGATGAGGATTTTACCAGTTTTCCTTTTTTAAATGAAGCCTTATTTTACACTTTAATTTTGTTACCTTACTATTGAGAGGTGACAGCATGCTGGCAGCGCTCACAGCCCTCGCTCGCTCTCGGGGCCTCCTCGGCCTTAGCGCCCACTCTGGCCGTGCTTGAGGAGCTCTTCAGCCCGCCGCTGCACTGTAGGAGCCCCTTTCTGGGCTGGCCAAGGCCGGAGCCGGCTCCCTCAGCTTGCAGGGAGGTGTGGAGGGAGAGGCGCGGGCGGGAATCGGGGCTGCGCGCGGCGCTTGCGGGCCAGCGCGAGTTCCGGGTAGGCGTGGGCTCGGCGGGCCTCGCACTCGGAGTGGCCGGCGGGCCCCGCCGACCCGGGGAGTGAGGGGCTTAGCACATGGGCCGACAGCTGCTGTGCTCGATTTCTCGCCGGGCCTTAGCTGCCTCCCCGCGGGGCAGAGCTCGGGACCTGCAGCCCGCCGTGCCTGAGCCTCCCCAGCCCGCCGTGGGCTCCTGCGCGGCCCGAGCTTTCCCAACGAGCGCCGCCCCCTGCTCCACGGAGCCCAGTCCCATCCACCGCCCAAGGGCTGAGGAGTGCCGGCGCACCGCCCAGGACTGGCCGGCAGCTCCACCTGCCGCCCAGGTGCGGGATCCACTGGGTGAAGACAGCTGAGCTTCTGAGTCTGGTGGGGAACTTGGAGAATCTTTATGTCTAGCTAAGGGATGTAAATACACCAATCGGCACTCTGTATCTAGCTCAAGGCTTGTAAATGCACCAATCAGCACTCTGTGTCTAGCTCAGGGTTTGTAAATACGCCAATGAACACTCTGTATCTAGCTAATCTAGTGGGGACATGGAGAACTTCTGTGTCTAGCTCAGGGATTGTAAATGCACCAATCAGCACCCTGCCTAAACGGACCAATCAGCTCTCAGTAAAACAGACCAATCGGCTCTCTGTAAAATGGACCAATCAGCAGGATGTGGATGGGGCCAGATAAGAGAATAAAAGCAAGCTGCCCCAGCCAGTTGTGACAACCCCCTCCGCTCTCCTTTGGCGTTGTGGAAGGTTTGTTGTTTCACTCTGCAATAAATCCTGCTACTGCTCACTTGTTTGGGTCCACGCTGGTTTTATGAGCTGTAATACTCACCGCGAAGCTCTGCAGCTTCACTCTTGAAGCCAGCGAGACCATGAACCCACCGGGAGGAACAAACAACTCCAGACCTGCTGCCTTAAGAGCTGTAACACTCACGGCGAAGGTCTGCAGCTTCACTCCTGAACCAGCGAGACCACGAACCCACCAGAAGGCTAAACACATCCAAACATCAGAAGGAACAAACTGTGGACACGCCGCCTTTAAGAACTGTAACACTCACCGCGAGGGTCCGTGGCTTTATTCTTGAAGTCAGTGAGACCAAGAACCCACCAATTCCAGACACACTATTTCCTACTTTAATTTTCTAACCAATAATACTTTATAAGATTCTGTTTTGTCAGTTAGCATGGTTCTAATCCATTATTTTTAATAGCTGTAAAATAGTTCCTTGGTATAAATGTGCTATAATTTATTTCACCATTTTTCCTCTTTGTCAATTTGCTGTTACTTTCTACCTCTACGAATCAACATCTGTATCCATAGGTCTCTATATCATTAGTCTACTTTGTGGGATAGACCTCAAGTAAGAAATGCTGTGTCAAAGGTTAAGTATATTTAAAATTTTAATAGCTATTGCTATATTGTTTCACAAAAGATTGTAACAATTATTATGCTTACCTGCATTGGTGAAATACATAGGCATCTAATTAACATGAAGTGATATGTTATTGTTTGATCACTTTTTGTGACTTCAACTCTCAGCAAGTTCCTGCATCTTTTTGTGCTTCTAGTAACCATTTGCGTTGGTCCAATGGGAAACAATGATATAAAGCCATTTTTTTTTTCTACTGGATACCTTCCCCTTTTTTTCAGTTTGAAAGAATCTTTCTGTTGAATAAATATTAGTCATCTGTCGTGTGTTGTATTTTTTTGCAATTCAATTATTTGTCTTTGACTTCATTTATGGTAACTGATCACTAAACTCAATACCATTAAGATATTCACAAACCCCAGAAAGTATGTATATATATTCTGGATTCTCCAATAAGGTACATCTTTTAAATTTAACTTTTTAATTACATAAAAATTTTATTAATGCAAAAATATTTGACTTTTTTTCTTCTATGTGAACAAACAGTTGTGTCAGCACCATTTATTATATAAACCATCATTGTACCAATGAATTAAAATATCACATTCATTCTATACTAAGTTGTCATAAAACATGTATGTTCTGGTCTAATGAACTATTTATTAATGACTATGGCACCACCATATTGACTTATTAACACTGACTTTATGGCATTTTCTCTAATGGGCAGGCATATCATTCTGAACTACCCTTTGTACAGAGATTTCTTTGTTCTTCTAGGCCATTTTTTTTTCTTTTTAAACAAATAATTTATATTGTGAAGTGTATTTCATATAAAAAGTATTAAATCTGCAGTATAACATAAATAATAAATTACCAGCTCATACCTACAAGAGTTAAAGAAATAGTACCATTCATTTTAAAGTTTTTGGTGTACCCTCGGCTGGTGGAAATTTCTGTCCTATTCCCTGCACAAGAAGCCACTATGATTAACTTTATTAGAAGAGGACAAATTGTTTTCCAAAACAAAAGGACCAATTTACACACTCCCTTGTGATGAATGAGAATCTTTTTCTGTTTTACGTCCTTACTAGTATTTGGTATTGCTAGACCGCTTAGATTTTCTTACTGTTGTGGGCATGAAAAAGCAGTTCATTGTACTCATACAGTGTTGTTTTTTTTTTTTTTTTACTTTTATTTTAGATGCAGCAGGTACATGTGCAGGTTTATTACGTAGGGATATTGCATAATCCTGAGGTTTGGGATACAAATGATCTTTTGATCTAGGTACTGAGCATAGTACCCAATAGTTAGCTTTTCAACCGTTGTTCCTGCCCTCTCTTCACCGTCTAGTAGTCCCAGTTTCTATCATTGCCATCTTTATTTCCTTGGGTACCCAATATTTATCTCCCAATTACAAGTGAGAACATGCAGTGTTTGGTTTCCTGTTCCTACATTAATTTGCTGAACATAATGGCCTCCAGCTGCATCTATATTCCTGCAAAGGACATTATTTCCTTCTTTTTTATAGCTGTATAGTATTCCATGATGTATATGTACTACATTTTTAAAATCCAGTCACCATTGATGGGCACCTAGGGTGATTCTATGTCTTTATTACTGTGCTGTGATGAACATGCAAGTGCATTTGTCTTTTTGATAGAAAGATTTGTTTTCTTTTAGATACCATATCAAGTAATGGGATTGCTGCATCAAATGGTAGTTCATTTAGATGTTCTTCGAGAAATCTCCACATTGCTTTCCACAGTGGCTGAACTAATTTACATTCCGACCAACAGTGTGTAAGAATTCCCTTTCCTCAACAACCTCATGAGCATCTGTTGTTTATTGACTTTTTAGTAATAGCCATTCTGACTGGTTTAAAATGATATCTCACTGTGGTTTTAATTTACATTTCTCTGATGATTAGTGATGTGAAGCATTTTTTCACATTTGTTGGCTGCGTGCATCTTTTGAGAACTAATGGTTCATGTCTTTTTCTATTTTTAAGTGAGGTTTTTTTGTTTCTTGTTCAATTGTTTAAATTCATTATAGATTCTGGATATTATACCTTTTTGGATGCATGCTTTGTGAACATTTTCTCGCCTTCTGTAGATTGTCTATTTACTCTGTTGATAGTTTCTTTTGCTGTGCAGATCTTAATTTAGGTCCCATTTGTCAAATTTTGTTTGTATTGCAATTGCTTTCGAGGACTTAGTCATAAATGCTTTCTGAAGGCCTATGTCTAGATTGGAGTTTCCTAGGTTTTCTTGTAGGAATCTTATAGTTTTAGGTCTTACATTTAAATATTTAATCCATCTTGAGTTAATCTTTCATATATGGTGAAAGGTAGGGGTCTATTTTCATTCTTTTGCATATGGCTAGCCAGCTATTCCAGCATGATTTATTAAGTAGGAAGTCCTTTCTCCATTGTTTGTTATTGTTGACTTTGTCAAAGATCAGGGAGTTATAGGTGTGCGGCTTTATTTCTGAGTTCTATATTCTGTTCCACTGGTCTGTTTTTATACCAGTGCCATGTTGTCTTGGCTACTGTAGCCTCATAGTGTAATTTGAGGTATGATAATGGGTACTTTCATCTTTGTTCTTTTTGCTTAGGATGGCTTTGGCTATTCAGGCTCTTTTTTTTGGTTCCATATGAATTTTAGAATAGTGTTTTCTAGTTCTATGAAAAATAATGTTGGTAGTTTGATAGGAATAGCCTTGAATCTGTAGATTGCTTTGGGCAGTACGGACATTTTGACAATATTGGTTCTTCCAATTCATTAATATGGAATGTTTCTTTTCATTTGTTTGTGTTATCTATAATTCATTTAAGCAATATTTTGTAATTCTCCTTGTAGAGATTTTTCACTTCTTTGGTTAGATGTATTACTAGGTATTTGTATGCATGTGTGTGTATGTATGGCTGTTGTAAATGAAATTGCATTCTTAATTAGGCTGTCAGCTTAATCATTACTGTTGTATAGACATGCTACTAATTTTTGTACATTGATTTTGTATCTTGAAACTTTACCGAAGTTCTTTATCATTTCCAGGAGCATTTTGGTGGAGTCTTCAGGGTTTTCTTGGTATAGAATCAGATTGCCCATGAAGAGTGATCATTTGACTTTTTCTTTTCCTATTTTGATGCCCTTTATTTCTCTCTTTTGCCGGGTTTCTCTGGCTATCATTTTACTACTATCTTGAAAGGGAGTGGTGAGAGTGGGCATCCTTGTCTTATTCTGATTCTCAAAGGAGTGGCTCCAGCCTTTGCCCATTTAGTATGATGTTGGCTGTTGTCATAAGTGGCTATTATGATTTTGAGGTATGTTCGTTCAATTCCTAGTTTCTTGAGAGTTTTTATCATGAAGGAATGTTGGATTTTATAGAAAGATTTTTCTGTGTCTATGTCTAGTAAAATGGTCATATGGTTTTTGTATTTAATTCTGTTTATGTGGCGAATCATATTTATTGATTTGCTTATGTTGAAGCAATCTTACACCACAGGAATAAAGCCAATTTCATCATGGTGGATTAACTTATTGATATGTTATTGTGTTTGGTTAGCTAGTAGTTTGTATTTCTACAGAATTGGTTGTAATGTCACCTTTGTTGTTTCTCATTGTGCTTATTTGGATATTCTCTGTTTTTTCTTTGTTAATTTATTAATAGCTAGTGGTTTGTTAATATTGTTTGTCACTTCAAATAATAAAGTTTTGATTTTGTTGATTTTTTTGTATGGAATTTTGGGTCCCAATTTCATATTCCACTTTAATTTTAATTATTCCTTTTCTTCTGCTATCTTTGGGGTTAGTTTGTTCTTGTTTTTCTGGTTCCTCTGGATTTGATATAAGGCTATTAATTTAAGATTTTTTTAGCTTTTAGAGGTAGGTGTTTAGCACTACAAACTTTCCTCAACACTGTGTTTGTTGCATCCCAGAGATTTTGGTATGTTTTGTCTATTTTCATTTATTTCAATTTTTTTTTATTTCTGCTGTCAGTGGGGTGTTGAAATTTCTCATTATTATTGTGTAGCTGTCTAATGTATTCATAAGTCTAGAAGGACTTGTCTTATGAATCTGGTTGCTCCAATGTTGGGTGTGTATATGTTTATAATAGTTAAGTCTTCTTGCTGGACTGAGCCCTTTTTCATTATGTAGTGCACTCCTTTGTACTTTTTTATTGATTTTGGTTTAACATCTGTTTATTTGATATAAGAATAGTGATCCTGCTCTTTTTTGTTTTCCATTTGCATGATAGATCTTTTTCCAACCCTTTACTTTAAGCCTATGGATGTCATTACTTGTGAGATGGGTCTCTTGAAGACAGCAAATGGATAGGTCTTTTTCTTTTTTTAATCCAACTTGCCACTCTGTAAATTTTAAGTGGGGCTTTTAAACATTCAAGGTAAATATTGGTATGTGAAGTTTTGATCCTATCATAAAGTTGTTAGCTAGTTGCTTGTAGTTTATATTATGTGGTTACTTTATAGGCTTTGCGAGCTATGTTTTTAAGTGTGTTTTTGTGGTAGCAGGTATTACTCTTTTGGTTGCATGTTTAGAACTCTCTTAGTGATCTCTTGTAAGGCTGGCCTAGTGGTAACAAATTCTCTTTGTGCTTCACCTGCCTGGAGATTTTATTTCTGCTATGCTTATGAAGCTTAGTTTGATGGGATCTGAAATTCTTGGTTGGAATTTATTTTCTTTAAGAATACTTAAAATAGTCTGGGCACGGTGGCTCACACCTGTAATCCCAGCACTTTGGGAAGCCGAGGTGGGTGGATCCCCTGAGGTCAGGAGTTCAAGACCGGCCTGGCCAACATAGTGAAACCCTGTCTCTACAAAAATCAGCCTGGTGTAGTGGCACACACCTGTAATCCCAGCTACTAGGGAAGCTGAGGCAGGAGAATCTCTTAAACTGGGAGGCAGATGTTGCAGTGAGTCGAGATCACGCCACTGCACTCCAGCCTCGGTGACAGAGCAAGACGCTGTCTCAAAAAATAAAATACTTAGAATAGGCAACCAATCTCTCTGGCTTGTAAAATGCCTGCTGAGAAGTCCACTGGTAGCCTAATGGAATTTCTTTTGTTTGTAATCTGACATTTTTTTCTAGCTTCTTTTAAAATTTTTGCTTTAGCATTGATCTTGTACAGTCTGGTGACTATATGTATTGGTGATGTTCATTTTATATAGTATTGTACAAGGGTTCTCTAGATCTCTTATATCTGTCTGTATGCCTCTCTAGGAAGATTAGGGACATTTTTTCAAATTATCTCCTCAAATATGTTTTCCTGGTTGTTTACTCTTTCTCCTTCTCTCCCAGGAATGACAGTAATTCTTAGGTTTCTTCACATTAATCCCATATTTCTTGAAGACTTTGTTCATTTTTTAAAATTCTTTTTTCTTTATTTGTGTCTGACTGGATTAGACCAGTCTTCAAGCTCTGGAAGTCTTTGTTTTTCTTTTTATGTTGCTTGGTCCAGTTTCCAGTTTATTGATAAAGCTTTGAATTTTGTTTTGAAATTCCTTAAGTGCAGGGTTTTTTTTTTTTTTTCCAATTGCAGAAGCTCCAATTGATGTCTTTTTAAGATGTTTACCTCTTCCTTCATTTCCTGGGTTGCTTTAAAAGTTTCTTTACGTTAACTTTCTACATTGTCTTGGATCTCATTGTACTTCCTTGAAATCCATGCTTTGAATTCTTTACCTGTCACTTCTGAGTTTCCATTTTGGTTAGGGAACATTGCTGGAGAGCAAGCGTGATCCTCGTATTTCTGATGCAGTGACTATCTTGTCAAATGTTGTAGGCCAGCCACATTTCCTTTGTAGTAGAATTCAGAATCACATATTTTGCTCATGTTACCCCCTTTTAAATTTGAGGTTTGTCTTTTTGTTATTGATTTTTGAGAAATATTTTTATGTTCTGCACGATAAACCTTTGTCATTTATGTGATTGCAAATGTCTTTTGCCAGTTTGTGACTTGTCTTTTCCACATCTTTATAGAATCTTATAATGAATAAATTTTCTAATACTAATGAAGTCAAAATTATATTTTTATTTATGTTTTATTCTTTTGCTTTTTGTTTAAGAAATTATTCCTTTATCTGAAGACATAAAGATAGTATCCAATTCAGTGGAGGGGAGCGAAGGGGAAAGTTTTATTTATTTAGCTATGATATTTTTGTCTTTAAATTATCTGGATATGATTTTAGCTTATGATGCAGGATGAGTATTCCTTGCATTTTTTTTCCCCATTTGGAGAACTGGTTTTCTCAGCAGCACTGTTGAGTAAACAGAGTATAATTTTGTTCCTAATTTGCTTTGCCAGTAGTGTTATGTAGCAGCCTTCGTATAGGTTTCTTTCTATTATGTTTCTCTGGTAGACTTTTTAAAACTATCTTTTCTCCAGTGAAGAAAGTTCTCTTTTTTTTCATAGTTCACTAAAAGTTTTTATTATAAATAATTACCAAGTTCATTGAATGTTTTTCATAATTTCATTGTAATTTTTTTCTATTTGGTGAAATAATATGATTGAATAAATGTATAGATTTTCTAATATTAATCATTCCTAGAACAACCTCACATTTGTCATAATGTATTTTTTTAAAATTCATTATTGAATGACATTTATTAACATTTCATTTTGAAGTTTTACATGTTCATGAGTTTTTTTTTCTCACATATTCTTATTGCCTAGTGTTGGTTTTGAGGTTATGTAATCTTTAAAAATAAACAAGTTGAGAAGTGACTTCCCCATTTATTTTACTCTTTGAAAGATATTGTAAGATTGGAATTATTTGTTTCTTAGATATTTTATGTAACTTTCTTGTAAACTTATCTGGTCTGTTGTTTTGTTTGTGAGAATATATTAAAATATTGTTTCAATATCATTAATGTTTATAAGGATCATTCAGATTTTGTACCTCTTTTTGAGTCAGGACTAGTAAACTATCTTTTTGAGGACGAGATTCCTATAAGTGCTTTTTCAATGTATCAGAAACTTTTTATTATACACATTGCCTTTTATTTCTATTAATTATTATTAAAATTGTAGGTATGCCCCCTTCTTTTCTTAACCTTGCTCTCTATGCCTTCTCTCTCTTTTCCTCTCTTCTCTCTCTTTCTCTTACACACACACACATACACACGCACACAAACATACTTTTGTCTCCATTATTAAATCCCCACTTTGTTAGTTTTTTTCTTCTATTCTTTTACTATTTTTTAAGTTAGTTAATTTTACCATTTTCATTTTGAATATAAAGATTTTGAAACTATAACTGGCCATCAAGTATAACTTTACGGCAGGACAAAGGTTTTAATAGATAAGATTTCCCTAGTTGTTTAAATATTTTCTAATGTCCATTATGATTTCTCCTCTCTGCATGAGTAATTTAGAATGTTATTTTATTTAAATTTCTGAAGATATGGGATTTTTCTGAATATATGCTTGTTTGTCAGAGTATGTACATGCATACATATTTATGTTTACTTTTCATATTTTTTATATTGACATCTAACTTAATTTTATTTTGGTTAATAAATTTAGCAAAGTAATATTCATTCTGTTAAATTTATTGATAAATGTTTTTGAAATAGTAAATGGTCAATTATTGATAAGAGAAAAGAAGTGTTGCAGCAGTATTTCACTAATCAAGCTTGCTACTTATGTTAAGTCCTCTACATTCTCTATTAATTCCTGAGAAATGTATTAAAATTTCTCACCATGATGTGGATTTGTCATTTTTTTGCAGTACCATTTATTCTTTTATTTTACATAATTATAAACTGTATGATTGGGTGCTTATATACATAAAATTTTAATATTTTCTTAGTAAATTGAATCTGTTTTCTCAGTAGAGAAAAGACCTCTCTTTTTAACCTTATTTCCAAAATTGTCTGAAATTTTAACAGCAATGTTAAGCTATAAGGCTATTAATATTTTCCTGTTATATTTTTCCATTATGGCCTTTCAATCTGTGGATACATTTGTTTTGTAGGTTTTTTCTTGTAAACAGTGTACAGGTGGAGTTTTTAAAAATACATTTTATACATTTTAAATTATTAAATGCAAAGAGAAATCTATTTACATTGATTATGATTACTGAAGCAGTTAAAGTCATACCTATTTTATTGTTTTCCATTTATCCCAATTTTCTATACTTTTATTTCTTTTTTTCTTCTTTCTTTTAGAATGAGGTCATTTTTCTACTTTACTAAGTTAAAAGTTATACAGTCTTCTGTTCTTTTAGTGGTTATCTAAGAAATTACAACATTCATATTTAAGTTAACAAAGTATAATCAATATATTCACTTCTCTGAGGAAAAAAATGATCCCTGAAGCATATTAATGAACTTTAATTCTGATCACAACCCTTCTGATTTATTATATTTTGATGGACAAGATGTAGACATCAATATAGATGTGGTTTTGAACCTCTCAAAGATCTCTGTGGATAATTTTCCTTCTGGTTCATCCAGTGATTGTTGTTTCTTTTTAAGTTCTTGTCTTAATTCAGATGATGTATTTATCCTCACAGGACTAAACTTTAGGCTTTTTTCTTTTCTTTAGCTCAAAAGTTCCCTTAAAACTCAGGGTTTAAGTCTCCAGTAAATGGCAGATGGTTTTAGTAAAAAATTGTCTATAATGCTCTCATTTACCCTTTTAATTTTTACTTTTGCATATCTCAGGCCTCTGAATCTTTTTCTGATCTTTTGTAGGTACATTTTAAAAAAATCAGTGTAGGAGGTTTTGTGTACTGACTGAGGCATCTGTGGCCACTTAGTCTGTGACACTGCCAAAGATGTATGTCCTTGGCCTTTTATATTCCATGTGAAATACATTATCATTGTACCTAATTCTAAAATAAAATAAAATAGGATTAAACAAAATAAAATAAATTGTTTGGATTATAACTGATGATCAATTAATATATTACTACCTTTCGTGTAACGTGACAAATTTATAATATTGTTTTCCCAGTTTTTTGTTTCATTTCTGGAATTGAGAGGCATTGACAACTGATTGAATAGTAAGCTACTAAGATGTGTAGATTAATAAGCACTTTAATGAATTTACCTACATTGAATCCCTGAACTCTAAAGCTTTTTCTTGCTTGGAAACACAGAAGCCTTCACAAATAAACATAAAAAAAACTAAATTAGATTTTCAATCATTGGGCAGATAATTAAACATTGGAATCCTTGGTCTTTCTCCTCATGTTTATTAAATGCTCTTCCTCAATCAGACACTGAACTGATGGGCTCCATCACTATCAGCTTATGGGGCTCCCTGGACAGCCTTTGCTCCTGGTGTGAGCAATTTCACAGGGGAAATACCCCTGGGAACTTTCTTGCCTTGGTCTCCTTGCGTTAGAAACCATGCCAAGCTGTCCTCCCCAAGTACTGTCTCTCTATAGTGACATAAGATTAAAAGGTGTCATTTTAGCCATATTTGAATTTTAGTCCCAGTTCTGCCCTTTTAAGCCATGTGACCACAAATGATTCTTCCCTCTATGAGTATGTCTCCTTTTCTTTAAGATGTGCTTGCTGTCCTGATTGACACCTAATTTTGTTTTAATCTAGGAGCAAGAAGTTAGGACAGCCATGAGTCAGCAAAGGGAAGTCATCCAATTCATGAAATATATGATGATTTTCTTGGATTATCTCCTTGGTGAATGAAAAACATAGAACAGTGAAGAAAGAAGTTCCAACCTCTTATACATTTGTTGAGGACTTCCAAGCCCCAGATTGTAAAAACTCATCTTGTCACAACATATGTCTCGTGAGCCTGGGAAAGAAAATAAAATATATAATGTATCTCTCATATTCTAGCAGATAAAACATCTAATGACATTCTTGCCCAAACCATTTGAGATAGGCATTCTTTCTACTGTTTTGCAGATGAGAAAAAACAAGGCTCAGAAAAGATAATCACTCTGAACTTAATGAAATGGCTAGCACATAGCACTGTCAGGGTGGGAATAATGTGTCACTGATAGTCATTTTGTGTCTATCACTTTTCACTGCATATGGACTTGAGTTCTGGTCCTGCATCTATCATTGAGTGGTACTGAGTGTCAGGGAGGACCATACATCTTTCCTGTCCTCAGTTCTCTCAAAAATCAAAGATGTATGAGGGTGTTATTTTTCCCAATATTAATTTTGTTGTTGTTGTTGTTATGGAATTTCACTCTTGTCACCCAGGCTGGAGTGCAATGGCACGATCTCGGCTCACTGCAACCTCCACCACTTGGGTTCAAATGATTCTCCTGCCTCAGCCTCCTGAGTAGCTAGGATTACAATCATTAAACTAAATAATAGATGGACAAACTCTTTGAAATGTTTAAATGCATAATAATAAAGCTCATACCTTGGAGATGCATCTTGGAATCATAGTACTACCATGGTGTGAATATTAAGGACACACATTCTGAAGCCAGACCACCCCAGTTAGAATACTGGATCACCTACCTATTCCCTCACCTGCAAAATGAGGATAATAAGAGCAAGTACATGATAAGGTTGTAGTCAGGATTAAAAGAGTAAATACATGTAAACACTTGGAACTAAACCTAGCATGTAGTAAATGTTCAGTAACACTAGCTGTTATGAGTACCACTCTATGTCTGGCTGTGGAGAGTATTTTAATAGAACTCTGTGCCTGTCTCCTCATATACAGAACTATTTACACATGGTCATGAGCACTTGACTCTTTCAAGAACTTAATATATTCCCTGGAAGAGATAAGTGGTCCATAACCCTTCCTTTTGTCCTCTCCTCTTCCTTTGTAAATACACTTATTTATTGCAGCTTTCAACACATAGTAATCAAGTGCCTACCTACCTACTGCGTGCAGAAATTTCAGATGGTAACTTGGTAAAGTGAGAAGAAGGGAGTCAAATGGGAGAAGTGAAGAAGAAGACAATTTCCCGAAATAGGAGATGGCCTTCTTTCCACTAAAGAAGGTACCTTGTGATGAGGGCAGGACAGTGTGCAGCAAATGAGTTTTGTTCTTGGCAGAAGAAAAGCCCCCAGGGAATTCCCCCACAAAGCTTCTCTTTTCCTTTTAATGGAGTTCTGTGCTGGAGCTATAAACCCTCCAAATGAGTTGAGATCATTAGGGAAGTTCGAATGATCACTGGTGAAAAAATATAACAATTAAAACCAGAAGCCTTGGAGCGGAAAGCTTGGGGAGGTGAGCAGGGGAGGAGAAAGGAACAGGAATGGCTCTTACTGCTTTATAAAAAATACTAATAATAGCAGAGAATTGAGTACTAATTAAAAGTTTCTAAAAAGAGAGATTGAAATAGATAAAGGAATTCATCCATAATATTTTGCCTGCCTGGAATCAGAAAGAACTGTGGCTTAGGGAGGGGAGTGAAGGACATGGAGTCTGGCATCTGGGTTCAAGGACTGGTCTTGGGTAACACGAGTGACCTTGGCAAGCATCTTCATCTCTCTAAGCCTTAGGCTTCTCATCTGTGAAATGGTGCCTAACTTTCTCTCTCGCTTAGTTTAGTAAGTAATAAATGTGAACTTGATCGCACTACATAACACAAACAAGTTGCTGTCTTTCCTCCAAAGGGAGGCATTGCTTAAGAGTTGTTATAAATGACCTCAAAGTCCTTTGCAACTTCATAATTTTATGTTCCCACTAAAAAAATATATTTTCTGAACTGATGTTTCAAATAGGTAATGGAACTGCGAGTTTAAATGACATTCTTGAAGGACTTTTGCCTCCAAATATCCCTACTGCCGATATGTAATAATCTTTGATTTTTTCCTATTAGGCATTCATTTTTTTATGTGTTCCTTCATGCCTTCATCTTTCTCTAATGAAAGTGCCACTGGATGATAAAGTCATCTCCTGCTACTAACCATGAACACCACATTAGCTGGTAAGTGCTTTCCTTAGGAGATAGTTGTATGTAAGAAAATAAAATAATTGGCTGGGCACGGTGGCTTATGTCTGTAATCCAGCACTTTGGGAGGCCGAGGTGGGCAGATCACGAGGTCAGGAGTTCGAGACCAGCCTGGCCAATATACTGAAACCCCGTCTCTACTAAAAATACAAAAATTAGCCGGGCACGGTGGCAGGCGCCTGTAATCCCAGCTACTCAGGAGGCTGAGGCAGGACAATTGCTTGAACCCAGGAGGCAGGGGTTACAGTAAGCCGAGATCATGCCACTACACTCCAGCCTGGGTGATAGAGCAAGACTCTGTCTCAAAAAAAAAAAAAAAAAAAAAGAAAAGAAATAATTGACAAACTGGAAGTTCATAACAGCTGGTATAATACAAGCCTGGGCAGGGAGAGAATTGGCATTGGCAATGGAATCCACCTGAAAAATGTGACTGGTTGCAAAGCATCATAAGCAGAAAAAAAAACAAAAGACTATTGAATAACTACTGTGTGTTCACTTTAGATGTGTTGCTCACTTAACGTGCATAAAAATAAAAGAGAAAAATATCTTACAGACAGAAAAAATCAAATGCAGAGAAAATACATAACTCATCCCAAATCAAAATGAGAATTAAAAGGCAGAGGCAGGAATTGACTTCAGAGACATGTTCCTTGCATTCTACCATGCTGACTTCTCTCCTTTCCCTGCTCCCTGGCCCAAGAATTCCAGAACAGATGATGAATGATTTGACAGCCCTAAAAATGAATCTAGAAACAGACTATTGATGGAATCACATGATTTTTCCAATTTGTGTTTTCAAAGCTGCCTCATTTCTTTGCAAATCCACACTCAACACCTTTCATCTCCTATCTCACTTTAAACTCCCTAATAACATTAGTTAACAGGTGCCTCTCACAAGGTTTTCTGAGGCAGCAGGGGGAATTTATTTTGTGAGTCAAGAATCTCCTTACTATGCAGCCATAAAAAAGAAGATCATGTCTTTTGCAGAAACATGGATGGAAGTGGAGGCCTTTATCCTTAGCCAACTAATGCAGGAACAGGAAACCAAATACTGCATGTTCTCACTTGTAAGTGGGAGCTAAATGGTGAAAACTCATGGACACAAAGAAGGGAACAACAGACACTGGGATCTACCTGAGAGTGGAGGGTGGGAGAGGAAGAGAAGCAGAAAAATAACCAATGGATACTAAGCTTAATACCTGGGTGATGAAATAATCTGTACAACAAACCCCCATGACATGAGTTTACCTATGTAACAAACCTTCACATGTGTCCCCGAATTTAAAATAAAAGTAAAAAAAAATCATCATTATTAATATTCATTTTCACAAACTTAAAAAAAAAAAGAACTACTTTACCACTTTTTAGAAAGGAAGATCCTGGCTGGGCATGGTGGCTCATGCCTTTAATCCCAGCATTTTGGGAGGCCGAAGCAAGCAGATCACTTTAGGTCAGATCAAGATCAGCCTGCCCAACATATTGAAACCTCATCTATACTAAAAATATAAAAATTAGCCAGGTATGGTGGTGCACACCTGTAGTCCCAGCTACTTAGGTGGCTGAGGCAGGAGATTCGCTTGAACCCAAGAGGCGGAGTTTGCAGTGAGATTGTGCCACTGCACTGTAGCCTGGGTGACAGTGTGAGACTCCATTAAAATAAAACTAAATTAAAATTAAAAAGAAGATGCCAAGGCCCCTTACCTCAGAGATTCTGATTCAGTGGTTAGTAGATGGTCCCATATCTGGACTTAAAAAAAAAAAGCACCTCTCCACCCCATCATAGGCAATTCTGACACCATTAATTCAGAGACCATTCCTGGAACACAGAAGAGCCTGAGGCAGGTGTTAGATGAAACTTGAGTTTAATTCCTGGGTCCTGCCATTCACTATTTCTGTGAACATAATACATTCCTTCAAACTGCCTCTGAGACCCAGTGGTATCATTTGTAAAACAATTGGGAAAAATATCTGCCTCATAGTATAGCCTTGAAAACAAAACTCTCCTCATCAAGAGAAAGTGATTTATAGTCATGGGAGCAGAGAAACAGAGAGGTGCAGAAGTGGAGGAATGCTGGAGACAGGCTGCTGGGGTTCAGATCCTGGTTGAAATGTTTCCTAACTTTCAGTTTGAAGTGAATTATTTAACCTCTCTCTGCTTTAGTTTTCTCATCTGGAAAATGAGAATATCATGGTACTAATGTAAATACTATGTACAAAATGAGAATATCACAGTACTTTATTGACTACATCATTATGAATGTTAAATACAATGATTCCTACAATCAGCTTGAAACCCCGACTGGCACTGACTTTTATTATTGCAATTTAATAAATAATAGTTTTCTGAGGATAGAGAACTCTTCTGGTTCTCCAAGCATGGAGCCTAGTGTTACGAGCAAAGCAGTTGTGAACAAGCACTGCTAATTTTTTTTTTAAAGGATCAGTGCTGAGAGTCTGGGGAAGGTGGCCCACTGGGAGACTAATTTTAGATGATGTCAGTGTTCCTGAAATCAAACACACCTCTGGTACAGCATTCTCTAGAAACATGTCCTTTCTTCTGAAACTGAAGTATATTCCAAGTGGAATTTAATCCATACGCTTCTCATTTAGTCATTTACTCTTTAATCATCCAAATATTATTGGATAAAACTATGTGATGTCTAAAAAGAAATATGAGAGATTCACAACATGATTTCTTAAAAAGCTCTTTTCTGCCAGACAAGAAACCACAAGTTGGTAAACAAACATGTCAACCAAAATGAAGTGATGGATATTGCCATTTTAATTTATTTCCACTACCCTAGAGTCTTAATGTGTATTTCAAACATTTTCACTCCATTTTTCTTTTTCCTTTCTTTAGTCTGTACTTTTTTTTTTCTTTTTTATTTCAACAACACATTGAGGGTAGGTAGACTGTGCTCTGCAATTTTGCAGTAAAGGAAAATGATTCTCAAGTTTGTTTCTGTACGTTTTGTAGGAAGAATACCAGGCGGAGTTCTGGTATTCATAGGCAGATAATTGCGTATTTCAAAGATTCAAATAACAGATCTTATCTTGCTGTTTTCATTAGGAACTTTTAGCAGAAATGTGGCACAAGAGGGAAGTCCTTTGATTGATGGATATATACAATCACCTGCACATGTAAAATTCCCCTATTTTGAGTTGGTGGTGAGTCGGATTGACAATTACCTCTATAATACAAGGCAGAAAGAGGTGAGGATAGAAGAGAGGGACAAATATTATACAGAAATGCAGAGAAAGAAGGGATTGGTTTTAATGGGGTTTTTAAATTAAATGTTTTAAGCAAAAGACAAGTGTGAGAGGTTTTATATAGAATGGGTAGAAATTTTATGTACACAATCTGGGTGGGCAATGGATTGGTAGAATAACCAGACTAAAGATCCAGAGGCAACACATAATGGAAAATATTTAGGAAATAATATTTTTCTGTTGATTCAGAACAAACTTTTTGAAAGAAATTTCTGAATTAAAATCAAGTTTTAAGTGATATAAAAGTCACCCAAGAGATAGAATGTGTGGCTTAAGTCCTGTCTCCAGTGGCTCCAGCCAAAAGGGTCCTCCTATTTCCAAATTTAGCTTGATCGCCTCTAGTGATGGGAAATTACCTGATTCAATAGTTCAAGACGTGTTTGAAAATCTGTGATTATTACTTGGAAAAAACTTTCACTTCCAGTTGATACTTTTTCTAATCCACTGGGTTACACAAAACAAACACAAATTGTCTTTTCTTACAACGCTAAAGATATTTAAGGAAAATAAAATGTACTTATTCATTATCAACTCATTGATTTTATGTCCCAGGTTCTGACCTAATCACTGGAAGGGTGATGGCGATAAAACAGCTTCAAACTCTGCTCTCATACAACATGTAGGGGGTACAGAAAAAATGACAACTCATAGTGATTGGTGAATGGTGAGGGAAGTCTCAGGCACTGAGGAGTTACATCACAGAGGCATGTAATCCTAATTTGGGGAAGGTGACATCATCATGGTCTCCATAATTATACTGTCTCTTCTTTGGACTGTATCTCAAATTTCTTCAATACTTTTCTTCACCATCTTGTTCCCTCTTCCCTGATCACATTCTCTAATCTGTCTTCTCTTCCTAAAATTTGGAAATGGTGCTGCGAGTCCCAACTGAATAGGCAGCATTTTTCAACTGCCTCCTTTTACATGCTAAGTTTCTATATATGAACTTTCAATTTGTAGCAAACATTCATGTTAAGTGGCCATCTTACCTTATTCTAATATTTCATTCTTACTATCAACTAAAACTCCAAAATGTTATTACCTAGGCACACACACACAGCACACACACACAAAAACACCTACGTGCATAAACATATTTGTAATCATATATATTCTTTGTAATTGATTGTAGCTTCTATTTCCAGGGATTTCCTTTTATATTACTACATTTTCCCACTTTAGACAAAGTTCATTTCTCCAGGCTGTTCAAATGACTTTGAATTCTGCTTCTGTCATTCAAAATATTCCTACCGTCATGTCACCTACATATTTGATGATCATGAGCTCTCACTCTTCATTCAAGACATTGATAGAAATGTTGAACAGGGCAGGACAAACAATAGAGCCTACAGGCTATATCCAGCCCCTGTCCTCAAGGTTGGCATTGATCCATTAATTAGCACTCCTGGGGACCATCTTTCAACTGGTTACAAAACCAGTCTGTCATACCTCCATCAAGCCCCCATTGCTCACTCTTTTCTACAAAGACATCAGGGAAGACTTCGTGAAATGGCTCATGGAAAGCTAAATATGCTGTATTGACTTCCTTTCCCTAATTTACCATCCTAGACTATAGCTCTCCTAGAGTGAAATGAGGTCAGACTGATTTGACTTACTCTTCAAGAGCTCAAAGTGAAAGTGGTACTCTTTTTGTATGATTAGAACTTCAGAATTGGGGAGTTGTAAAGGATTTTAGAGATTATCTTGTCCAGCCTCATCATTCCACAAGTGAGTCTCAATTTTGAAATAACTTTGCTCATGGTCGCACAGCTAGTCAGAGCTTGAAATAGTAGTTATAACTTATATTCCTCTTTTCACACTTAGGAAGAGTGGAATTGACATTAGAAAAGCATTTCTCAAAATTTATTCCATGAAATATTACTCCCAGGCTTTAAAAAAAAAAAGTTTCCCTGTTCAAATGCATTTGAAAAACCCAATACATTGTCATGTTAGTGACTATATAATCATTTAATAAATATTTACTAATTGTCTCCTATGCATCAGACACATGCTAGGCATGGGGGAATGATGATAAATAAACAAGAGTTTTTTATCTCTTTTAGATTTTCTTTTACAGGGAGAGAAACACACATTAAATCTCTAACTACCCAAATGGAAATATTGCTATAAATTGTGACTTGCTATGAAGGGAATCTGTCAGGTTTTCTAAGAGATGAGAGGAGTGAGAAAAAAGGCCTACCTGAGAATATAAAATTTAAGTATGTAAGAAAACACAGAGAGGAAATATCTTGGCATATTCAACAACATGAAAGAATGTGAAACAGTTGTCAGCCATGGTTTTGAGAAGAACACATAACAGGTAAAGAGGGTTTTGTTGGGAATGTTAGAAAAATAATACATAAATATAAATACAAGATTGATGTACTTTCAGCAGAAGAGTGTGCTAAACTCATTAGCATTTTAAAAATATTATACTTGCTGCTCTGTAGAGACAGTGTAGTTGGAGGTAAGAGTGCAAGCAGGGGGACCTGTTAGGAAATGTTGGCAGATTTGGAGAGAGAAGATGGCCTCAAAAATAATGACCTATTGTAAAAAATTAAAATTGCGCAAATCACTAACCTCTTGATTTTCTCCCAGCCTTTTCTCAGTTCACTTGGCCACAAAACTGTTAAGTAATATCTATTTTACTCCACTAAATTCTGAAGAATGCATACTAATCAATGCTGCTTTGGGATCTCTCAGGCTAAAATACCATTCTAGGCTTTTCTCCAGTGACAACAGAGCCTGCCATTTGCTTGATTTCTGCTTTGGAGAGTTTTATTAGTTTGTTTTCTTTTTCTGGTAGGTGATTCATTTGTTTATGACGGTCACCCTAGTGCTGGTTGGCTTACTTTTGTTCAAATTGCCAGGTGTCAGGCTTAAAGAAATACAAGCCCACATAGTAACCCCAATATATAACCATGTTTACTTGTGTATCCTTTTATTCCTCACCTCCCTCTGCTCACCCTCAACACAAAATATCGTCTGTTTTCAGAATAGAATTCTAATTGCTCATTAATATTTAGGAACACTAACTCCTACATAAAAATTACCTTTCAGACTAATTAGCAAGCAATGAATTACAGATTCTGGTACATTTCCATAGGCTGATGAAATCTTATTTTTAAATATGGAGTGAAGAATAAGAGGACTACAAGGACCACAAGGAGCTACCAACGACTCAATAATAAAATAATAATAAAATTCAGCGTGAATAGCATGATTCCCATTCATCAGCTGTTTCAATCATCACAGTATGACAGGGTTCCTCACACTTTAATGTGCACATAGGTCATCTTAGGACTTGGTTGAATGAAGATGTTGATTCAGTAGGTCTGGATAGAGCCTGACATTTTGCACTTCTAGCAAGCTCTTGAGTGACGCTTCCAAACCTTGGACCATGTTTATGAGCCTCAGGGTCACTTGGAGTGTGCTGAGCCTGTGCATAGATCAGGCTGGAAATGCCCAGAGTTGAAGTCTTAAGGAGCAACTGTCAATAAGTGAGGGGTGGGAGCTAAAATTCAAGGCCCCTCATTTCTTAACAGATAAATTCTGAGTTCTACAGATGGTCTTCAGTAGTAAAATCCCCCAGTGGCACACTGGCCTATTAATTCAACTTTGGTGACTTTCTTTGATTCCTCATCTCACATGACTCCTTCACAGAGATTCCTAGGATCATGTCTCCATAAACTACTTGCACTTATATCTTCATTTTAGTTTCTGCTTGTGGGGGAAAGAGTTAAAGTATAACAATCAAACCAACAGGGGAATGGAAATGTGCGTACCCCAATTCGCTTAGAGGGATGGTTCAAAAAGTGTGGACCATGGAACAGCAATACAGCATCGCCTAGCAACTAGTTAGAAATGCAAATTCTAGGGTTCTTCCACAAGCCAACAGGATCAGAATCTCTGGGGCTAAAGCCCAGAAATCTGTGTTTTAACAAGGGAGTAGAAGTTGCACAAAGCCTCAGAATTAGAAAATGGGAGGCCGGGCGCAGTGGCTCATGCCTGTAATCCCAGAACTTTGGGAGGTCGAGGTGGGCAGATCATGAGGTCAAGAAATCGAGACCAGCCTGGCCAACATAGTGAAACCCTGTCTCTACTAAAAATACAAAAATTAGCCGGGCATGTTTGCATGTGCCTGTAGTTTCAGCTATTTGGGAGGCTGAGGCAGGAGAATCACTTGAACCCGGGAGGTAGAGGTTGCAGTGAGCCAAGATCGCGCCACTGCACTCCAGCCTGGGCAACAAGAGTGAAATTCCGTTTCAAAAAAATAAAAAAGAAAAGAAAACGGGAGAACCAAATTTTTGAACTCTGGCTTAGGGCAACAGACAGAGTGTTCCTTTCCTGTTTTCTTTCACGCTGTGGTCTCTGAGGAACCTTGGGCAGAGTGGAGAAAAAAAAATGCCACTGAGGACTAGGTTTCCCTTGCCAGAAGTCTTAGCATGTGTTCCTTCAGTATCAATAAATCTCATGAAAATGCAGACAGATAAAGCATTCTGACATTTATATCCAGCATGAAATACATGAGAATAATAAGAGGAGAGGATAATAGTGCATCATGAAGCTTTCATTAATGTTAGACTAACTCTGTAGGGGAGATGGTTCATTTTATTGCTTTAATGTCAGGCTCTTTTCCTCCAATGGGCATAGCACTGGGGCTGCCCCTGATTTTCAATCAGTAGATGAGAAAGCAGGTATTTTGTACCTCAGGGGTGTCAAGAAGTGCTGTATGAACCATGGGGATTTCTAGGAACATACAAAACACGGACCTCCCTAAGAGCTCATGATCTGCTTGAAGAAACAACACAAATAGAGAATTCAGATTTAACATTTGTTAAGTGATCAAGATGTTCCAGAAACTATATTGTGTGGCTTTACACATATCATTTTATTTAAAAATACACACAAGCTAATAAGCTAACACAATAAGGCAGAGTATAATCAGTTACTAAATTTGTGTTCAATATGGATTTTGAGAAGTAAAAGAGCATCAGGAATTATAGCTCTGTCATTAATTTGCTGTGTGATCTTCATTAACTCACTTCCATTTTTATAACTTTGCTTCTTCATCTGTAAAATGAAGGCATTGAGCACATCTCAAAATTGTATCCTACAGAAAGTTCCTCTTTAGGATATTAATAAATGTGCAACATTGAAAACAGAAACAAAAACAAAACAGTGTGGGGAGAGAAGACAAAAATGTTTTAGAAACACCACTTTCAACAAAATTAAGCAGGTTTCTTCCCTGAAGGACCTCTCAGAACTTTGAAGATGCTTCTTTATTTTGTGAATCTATAAGAGCAAAGTCTTTTTTGTAGCATTTCATAAAATGGTTTTACTACAAAAGCTACTATTGTGTGGCACTGAGTAACATCCCTTAGAATGCTCTCCCAGACCCAATGTGGAAAATGCTGGAAATCACGTCTGAAAACTCTTCCAGCTCTATGGTCCTTAGCCATGGCGATGAGGTCAGTTCACTTAGGCAATTTTTAAAGCATGGTTCAGGTCTGATTCAATGAACACCAAGAGAATTTGCAGGGGAGATAACAGCATAAAGAAAACCTCTGGGGTAATGTCTTCCTTCACTGGGACTATAGAAAAGCAATATACCTTACGTTTGTCTAGTAAATTTACAATGTGTTTTCAAATGCATTCATTAATTTAAACCCCCTGCAACCCACATTTAGCTTTTTGTATTCCTCTTTTTATTTTCAGTGAGATAACTGAAGCTTCTAATGGTGGCATCTGACTTTCTCAATGTCACCTTCCCTGTGCCCTCCTCCCCGATCCTTTCATTTCATAATAAGCACTCATTTGCTTATCAAGATTTCTGTGAGTGTGCTTCCCCTGCACACAGCATCCTGCTATGTTATCTAGAGTCCAGCCCTGGCCTTCAAGGGCCCGGCCACAAGCAGGGAGGTCACTCAGATGGAAAACTGGGATGCTCTTCAGAACGTATCACCTTGGGTTTGGCCCTGGTGATACTTCTGGCCAGCCACCAGCCCTCAGCCTGGTATCTGCAGTTAAACACCCCAAACTGTGTGAGTTAATTAGGTGCATGTTTATAGAGAAATCAAAGCTCTGCCTGGTACAGAGGGTGCTCTGAAGGGAGAAGTCTAATGGGAAAAGCAGGAAGGTCAGAGCTAAGAAACCAGCTGTCTGGGCTCAGTCCCAGGCTCTGTACCTTCTTCCTGGGTGATGCTGAGCAAGCCACACCTCCTATTTCAGTCTTTTTGTCTCTTTAGATTTTTTAAAAAGAGCTTTCTAAGGATCCTTTCAGCTCTCACATACATTTATTTTTTAATGTGAATTGACCAAGTCAAACTTAGCAATCAATGAGGTGACTAATGTCACATCAGATAGCCCTCATGGTCATTATTTGAATAGGGGCACTTGTAACCTTCCCAACCCCCTTCTCCTGCCACCAAAGATGAAAGTGTCATTTCTGACCTCAGCAGTGACCTTTGCCTTGAACTTTGCAGTTTCTTTCTTATTTCCATTTCCAGCTGGATCTTTGCCCCCTGGCGAGACCAGACTTTTCTGAAAGAGTATAAACTTCTCTGAATGATATTTGAAAATAAAGTATAATTGATTTCACAGCTCCTTGAACTTCTATCAGAAATTGATTTTTCCCCTCTTTTGTTTTACCCACTAGAAAGTTATTTGAGTGATGACAGATAGAAACTCCAATGCATAAATGCTCTTTGTCCTTTCTCCCTTCCTCTTCAAGATTGCTACTGAGAAAAGAGTGTGTGGAGGGGTATTTGTCAAATGTCCTTTCACATGTATTTGTATCTGTATTTGCCTGTGTTTATATGAGTTCTTGAATCTGCATGCATGGTACGTGAGCTTTTGTTTCCCAATGTCTGTGTGTCTGTGTTTACCCACGTATGTACAAATGCATTTGTTTATGGATGTGTGCTTCCTGTATATGTCTATCCAAATGCAAGTTTGTATCTGTGTGTTTACAAGCAAGTACATTCACATGAGTGTTTTGCATACATATATGCCAGTTTATGTGTCTGTGGTTTGTGGCTTTATCAGCCTATATATGAAGATGCGGTTTTCTTTCTAGGTGTTTGTGCAAGTATGTTTATCCATACACATAGGCATATGTGTGTGCGTGTTATTAAGTATTAAGTAGTTAGACTGACATTCTAAAGCACACCTATCCTTGCCATTCCCTCTGTTCCCCAAAGAGAGAATAAATAAAGCTCAACTTTTCTTGGCTGCACTGGACAGATCCTGCTGATTTGGACAGTTATGATGAACCATGGCGTGCACTCCGCTGCCAGCCCAGTATTAGCTGTCACTTCCTCGGGCAGAACAAAGTCACCCAACTGGACTGTGTCCTAATTATCTGGCAAGAGAAAGAGGTGTGGCAGCTGCCTCTGATAGACCTGGTAACCCCTCTCTCTGTAGCGGCCCAGGGACTCGTTTGGCTCCCTAGAAACCACCCACCCCTAGGGCTATTTTGAGTGGCACACGGGCTGTGTTAACATGGTGCTGATTGAAATGTTGGTGTGGCAGAAGCTGTCGGTGCCAGACAGGTGCAGCACACCTATTTTCCATCCCTTGCCTGCCTGGATATGTGTGAACGGCAGATCTGTGCTTCCTGTCAGTCAACCCATCTGCTTTGAGCTGGCAGCACTGCCAAAGTGGTCAGTTGTGACAGTGATGGTTGGTAGGGGAAAAATTGGGCTCATGTTCAAATAGACCTTTAGCTTCCTTTAGCAGGAAGAAGGAGCCCCCACATGGGGACTTATGCCATTACCTAGGAAAATAAATGCAGATACTTCTATTACTTGAAGGTAGAGTAAGATGTCCAGACTCCCTACAGATGCTGAGGATAAAGTGGGCATTCATAGTCTGGGGAATGGGGGTGAGAAAATATAATAAATAAAAGCATACTAGTTTGGTAGTATAGAGACTTAGGCTGAAGTACCCATTCTTCTACTAGAGGGCTGCAAGCTTATGCAAGTGATTTTAGAGGAATCTCAGGAAAAGGTTGGATTTATTCTCAAAATAATGATAGGCTTGCCCCATTCTGGTATAATGGAAAGAATCTTAGTTTCAGTTCCTGCAAGAAAATTTAGTCCAATAGGCAGACTCTGTTAGGATATTGCTTGGTCAATGACAAAAGTTACAGTCCAAGATCAACAAAACCCTATTTGAAAAGATTAAAATTCAGCCTTTTCCTGCTTTCTAGGTTTCTGTTTTACTATTCACTGATTACCCCCACTTGGGTATTTTAAGTTATTACACATTCAAGATATCCAAAAACAACTTCATCCATCTATTCTACAAACTGCCGTGGCAATCACATGCAAATTGTTACCTACTCCAAACCAAAGAATTAACTTTCACCTCTTTCACCCATTCCCAATCAATCAACGAATTCTGTAAGCTCACTTTGTAAGTATCACTTGAGTCTATCTCCACTGCCAAAACCCCAGTTCAGCCTGACAAGCATCTTCTCTTGCCTGGATTTTGCAATGCCCTCCTAAATGGCCTCCCTGACTCTACTTCTGTCCCTTTCAAATCCATTCCCAGACTGAAGCCAGAGTGGCCATTTAAAACTACAACTTTGTTCATGTTTTGCTTTCATGATCTTTTTATCATCCTGAGGATAATGTACGGATCCATTAGGATGGCCTGTGAGGATCTCTGTAATCAGACCTATGACCACAGGCTTATGTTTTCACATTCTGCTCCTTCTGGTGTATACTAACCATTATCAGTTTCTTTTACGCACTAGAATAAGTCCTGCTTCCGCTCACTTCTCAGCCTCTCTGATACTATCCCTCCAGCTGAAACAGTTTTCTATTCTTTCTATCTGACCAACTCCTATCTGTTCAGCTTAACTATAATTCCTCTGAGTGAACTTTTATGTAGCCCAATGCAGATGAAACTCTCTTGCCAAATCATCCCTAGCAAATTCCACTTCCCTTGCATAAAACACATTACATCCTACTGGAATGAATTTCTTAATTGACAGTCATCCTTATTAGAATTCCAGCTGTTTTAGGGCAGAAAGCAGGTTTGAAATATTCACCTGTGGATCACTGTTGCCTGGTACAGTACTTAGCAAAACATGAAAAATGTCCCATAAATGTTTGCAAAATAAACAAATAAATAAATATCAACTAATAATGCTTTAAGTGTAATTATGTTAAATTGCTGTATGTGAGGAACTTTATAAATACAGTGCAACCTTGAATGTTAGTTTCTGAGAGTAGGGACTTGTTTCTTACATCATTGTGCCCCCCTTCACCCTAAGAAAAATGTTTGGTATGGGGGGGTAATCGATTAATAATTCATAAATTGTCATAATTTAAAATAAATAGTTATTTCATATTATGCTATGCCCATAGGTGTGATACAGTGTTTCTCAGCTTTGCCTACCTAAATACCCCTAACCTTAAGGAAGCATGTATATGTACCCTTAGAGCATCTGGAAATGTAAGCCAAAATGGCATGCTGTAAGAAAAATCTTTTTCAAGTCTTGAGTTATATCTCAAAATCCATGCAAATTCCCTATTTTATACCACAGCCTGTCCATGTTTGCTTTAATATCAAAATAAGGTTTTAAATTACTTGCTATGAGCAGAACTAATAATTGAGAAATTTATGCCATGCATATCATCTGGTTTTGCACTTTCTGGCACATAGCCAATAAGCTTGTTCTACTTTGAGAGTGAATGAAACCCCCGTGGCTAACTCAAAAGCCACAGTGTTGCCAGAGATATGCTGTGAAGCTGGTGGTCTGCCAAATACCAAAAACTCATTTGAGGACGCAGTTTTGGGGATTTCACTCTAGAATTCTATACATGGGAGGTCTCCTATACACTAATCCAGGCTTTAACCCAGACAGAAATAATTGTTCACTGCTATCTCACAGCTATTTGAGCCCATCTCTTTCTCCTGCTACAATTGCCCTCTCTCTGCTATCCACTCTGTGACCCAGAAGCCTCCCTTCTGCCCTTTTTCTATCTGCCAGATGTTAGTTGCACACACGACTCATGCCCTTTCAGTTTCTCAAGCGTAGAATGCAAAGCTTTTGAGGCCTTTTGCATTTATCCCTTATCCTCACATACCCTCACTATTGAATACCATCTGCAAATTTAATTAGCCGGCAATTTATTCTCTTTGCCTAATCATTGGTGAAGTTGAACAACTTGATGAAAAGGGAAAAGAAGAAACATTCTCATATACTGTGTACAGAACACAAAATTTCAGTCTTTTAAAAAATTTTTCTTATCTCTTCAGCTTACTATAAGGGACTTCTCAGGTGATGGGAGTCCAAGCCAATCAGAAATCAGAGATATAAAAACATAATGGGATACAATGGGAATTTTTAAAGTAGCTCTAGAAAAAGAAAAACCAAGGAGCTTATCTAGAACAACACAGTTGTTTGTGGCACAGAGCTGTTCAATTCATTTCAGAATATTGTTTTTCCCTCTAAATACTAGGTAAGCAATTTTCAAAATGACTTAGCCATTTGTGTGGCATCTGCTTATTGTCATTCTTTGGGAGCTGCCCCTGAAGAATCTAGATTTCTGCTTTGATTGCCATGGCCTCAAAACCACTTTTCTTTCACTGATTTCAGATTTTTTTTTTCCTCTCATAATCAGCAAGGCAATTAGTTAACCTGGTCCTATTTCCAGCTGCGACTCCTTGGGAAACTTCTTCTGACCTTAGGGAAATCATCCAGTCCATGGCATCAGAGAGAAGGTTATCCTTATCTCATTTTCATGTATTGCTCCAGATTGTTTGAAACAACAAGGATGGTCACACAACACCTTGGCCAGTGTCAGATGCTACCTTGGTGAATTCTGCTGAGTTTCAGGCTCTTAGAGAAAACAGCATCCATCAAGAAATCCAGTGAATTTTTGCATTTAGTGCCATCTCTCCTACCATCACGTATTTTCACTTTAAAGTGTTATTCTAAAGCATAAATGGATGTATATGGATTATGCCACTAACACATACAGTGCTATAAGGCAGTGGAAAGAATGCTGACAGTGACATTGGGACAAGTGGGCCCTTCTATTAATTAACTGTGTGGTTTTTGCCCATTAATTCCTTTCTCTGTGCCTTCTTTTCTTAAATGAAATAATATCATTTATATATTTCGCCCAACAAAACCTCGAACTAGGTAAGGACAAAGGCTGCAGTTTACTGATTTTTGTATAAAAAGAACCTACTATAATACCCATACTTGAGAATCAGATAGTGTTTATCAGTTAGAATTTGTAGGGTCATTGTGAGGCTGACTTGAGAAAATGCATAAAATTATTAGATGAGTGTAGATTATGAGTAATCATCACCATTATTACTAATTACTACTGCTGAGGGAATAACCTTAACTGAGAGGACTGTAGAATATCTAGAAAGTTTCAATTTAGTAAATATTTCTAAAATATGGGCCAACATTCTTTTTTATGAGTTTATTCTGGTTCGTCTAAAATGAATATTTAGTTCTAGTTAAGTATGTCACAAAAACTCAGCATTGTGATTAAAACTGTTTACAATTTTTGTACAGGAGTGCAGACTATTGTTGCTGAGTACAGAATTGTGGCCCTATATAGACATTTCATCAACCAAAGATAATCAGATGAGTGCCATTAACGGAAGCAAAAAAAAAATGTCTTGCATATTCCTTGTTTTACCAAGACTCACTGTGTGGTAGTAAGAATTCTGAAATGGTCCTCAAGGTTTCCATTCTGTGGTTTGCACACCTTGTATAATTCCTTCCGTCCCTATATGTGGGTGAGACTTTTGACTATGAGGAGATGTTTTCGTAATTAGGTTACCTTATACGGCAAAGGTAAAGGGATTTTTCAGATGCTAGTAATGTCCTTAAGGAATTGAGAATAAGTTAATCAAAAGAGAAAGTAGTCTGAGTGGGCCTGCCTTAATCAGTTGAGCCCTTAAAAAAATGGCCCTTTCTTTGTGTTATAAACAATCCAATTATACTCTTTTAGTTTAAAATGTAAAATAAGTTATTGTTGACTGTAGTAATAATTTACTGCAGCAATACTAATTTATCATACATTTTAAACTAACTAAAAGAGTATAATTGGGTTGTCTGTAACACAAAGAAAGGATAAATGCTTGGAGTCATGGATTCCCCATTACCATGATATGATTATTACACATTGTATGTCTGTATCAAAATATGTACCTCCTGAATATATACACCTATAATTTATCCCCAAATTTTTTTAAAAAATGAAAAAAAAGTTGTCTAGAAATCAGAAAGTCAAAGTAGCATAGATGCTCTTTTTCTGGCCTTGAAGTAGTGAAGTGTCACATGTGGAGACAGTCATATGACAGGGTATCAGGGGCAGGCTCTAGGAGCTGAGGTCCTCAGTCCTACAACCACAAGCAACTGAATTCTGCCAACAACCAGCAAACACTGAAGAGGACCCAGAGCTTCAGATAAGGTCACAGTCCTGACTGCATTTTAGCTTGTTAGACCCTGAGCAGAGGAACAGCTAACCCACACCCAGGCTCCTGGCTGGGGATAATAAAAGTGTGTTGTTTTAAGCTACTAAGTTGGTGGTAATTTGTTACATAGCAATAGAAAACTCATACTCATACACTTTGTGTATTATTCAGGATTCTCTAGAGAGACAGGACTAATAGGATAGATGTATATATGAAAGGGAGTTTGTTTAGGAGTATTGACTCACACAATCACAAGGTGAAGTACCACAATAGGCCATCTGCAAGCTGAGGAGCAAGGAAACCAGTCCAAGTCTCAAAACCTCAAAAGTAGGGAAGCTGACAGAGCAGCCTTCAGTCTGTGGCCAAAGGCTTGAGAGACCCTGGCAAACCACTGGTGTAAGTCCAAGAGTCCAAAAGCTGAAGAATTTGGAGTCTGATGTTTGAAGACAGGAAGCATCCAGCATGGGAGAAAAATGGAGACCAGAAGACTTAGCCAGGCTAGTCCTTCCACGCTCCTTTGCCTGCTCTTATCTTAGCTGCACTGGCAGTTGATTAGATGGTTCCCACCCAGATTAAGGGTGGGTCTGCCTCTCCTAATCCAATGACTCAAATGTGAATTTCCTTTGGCAACACCCTCACAGACACATCCAGGAACAATACTTTGCATCCTTCAATCCAATCAAGTTGACACTCAATATTAACCATCAATCTTTGGATAATTGTTACTCTGGATTTCTCACTATTGAAAAGAGTCCAGAATGCAACCTTTTAAAAAGTTTTTCAATGTCTGAGAATGAGCCCAATGCAGAATATACTCATTATTTGCATTCTTCAAGATTTTGCTTAAATCCCTTTTTTCCCCAGATCAACTTAACATATACTAAGTTAAGCTTTTCACTTGCCTCCTCCTTATTCTGATTCCCGGTCGACTTTACTGCATATGGTTCATCTCTTGGTTAATAGTCTTACCAGCTACCCAGTACTCAAGACTAGAAGCCTCAGAGCCATTCTCTATTCTTTCCTCTTGATTGATTCTCTAATCAGATCAATTGTCATCTAGTCTGAGAGACTTCCCTTAGCTCTGGCCTCTCATATGCTCCCTAGTATTCATCTAGACAATTACTATGTGTGCCACATGCAACTGTCACTTCCATTTGGTCCATTTTTTCATTGCCATAGAATGGTCTTTATAAAGAGAAAGCCGCTTTATTTACTCATCTGCTGAAGCATGCCTGAGGGCTTCCCACATGGCATGCTGTGTTCTTTACAATCTGGCTCCAGCCTTCTCCTCTCCCTTCTCAACATGTTCCCTATATTTCTTTTACACTTTCCATGAACGTTGTGGATTGCATTGTGCCCCTTCTCCAAAGAAAAAAGGAAGGTATGTTCTAGTTCTAATCCCTGGTACCTGTGAACATGCCCTTGTTTGGCAATAGGGTCTTTGTAGATGTAATTAAGTTGAGAGTATTAGGTTGAGCCCTAATCCAATAGGATTGATGTCATTATAAAAAGAGGAATTTTTGGACATAGACACACATACAGAGGAGGAATATTGCTGATCACATCTAGCATTCAGATTTAAACCCCATCTATATGCTGACCATTCTCTAGTGTGCATCAATAGCCTTGGCCTTCTTCCTGAAAATAAGCTTTCTGTATTTCGCCTTATTCTCCTTATTATTGTTATAATAACAATTTTACTTGCAGAAGAGAATGAGATGTGAAGACAGAGACAAATAGGGAGAAGACAACCAAGTGAAGGAGGCAAAGATTGGAGTGATACTTACGTGAGCCAAGAAACGCTTGGGGTGAACAGAAGCTGTAAGGGGCAAACAGAAGGAGTAAGAGGCAAGGAAAGATCCTCTCCTAGGAATTTTACAAGGGAGTGAGGCCCTGTCAACATCTTGACTTTAGACTTTTAGCCCCCAGAACTGTGACAATAAATTTCACTTGCTGTAAGCATCAGTTTGTGCTGCTTTGTTATGGCAGCTCCATGAAACTAATGCAGTGGATATGCCCACCCTTTTCACTGTTTCATGACTTTAAACAAGCCGCTTTCTTTGCATGAAGTGGAAATTTCTCTAAACATGTTAGAGGACCCAGCGAGTAATCCACACTTTTAGTAAAAACCTTCTAGGAGAGCCTCAGACCAAGTTTTGTTCTCGCTTCCTGATTCTCTTACAACAAATTATCCGATCTCTGTTCTATTGCTCTTATTGAGTTGTTCAGTTACAATTTTGAGCTCAACAGTTGCAGTGTCTTTGACTGGATGGAAAACTTCTCAAGGGCAGGGATTATGGCATACAGCTCTTCAGTGTATACTTGTTGAATTAAAAAAACAAACAAAAATAAAAATAAAACCTTCACTAGTCTCATGTATCTGGTGAGACCTAAGTTTGAAAATAAAATATTCTTTAAAAACTGTATAAAGTAAGATTTCTATTCTCAGTTCATAGGTGAGGCTCAATAAATGTTGGTCCATGTACTACTTTTGCTCCCATGAGATTAACAAGCCTTAGAAGCCAGAGACTGGGTATCAAGTCTCGCCCAGATTTCATTATTCCACATGACTTTTGGGAGCTGTGTAATATTTTGATGATGGTGTGGCTGATCAGCTGATGGAAGTTATAAAAAGAATTAAAAAATAAAATTAAAAAGGCTTGAGGAAAAATATGTGAAAAGATCCTTGTGAGTAATTCCTGCATTTATCACCATTTCTTTGACATGGTGAATGAATTATATATAACCTTTATAATGATGTAATATCTCACAGTCCTCGATGGCTTGTGGAATTGAATGGCCTGGCTGGGTTTATGGAAGAAAAAGAGGAACAAGAATGAACTCAAAGTCATTTGGCATGCTGTTCAGGATTTCCATCAGCTGCAATTTCCTTGTATTACTGAAATTGTTTAAATTCAATGTATTATAAGAACCATATATTCACTTGGATGTTGAAGAAATACCTGAAGAGAAATAAATTCATTTTTAAAAACATAGGTATTTATTTTCTTCTTTGTTTTTTCCTTGACAAGGTTCCAATCTTTCTCTTTCCCTGTCTCTCTTTTTATCAATGTTTCAACCTTTACAAATCACTCAATCCAATTGAGTACCATTTTCCAACTTGCAGATTGGTGATCAGGGAGCTATAAACTTGTGTATAATATGCCATTAGTATGTTGACATGGGAAAATATGATCATCTATTCTGTTGCCCCCTGAAGATAGATGGAGTTAATGCTTTCTTTTCTCATATAAATGACTTTATGGTCCATGAAGCTGAAGTGGAAGAATGAAAGTGAACATAGCTTGTCCAACATCAGTCTTCTGAGTATAAGTTCAGTATGCAGTAGACATATAAGAAATGTTGGATGAATTATGATTTTCTTTTTTCACATATCCCCTGGTACATAAAGAAAGGTGTGCCAAAGCAAACTTTAGGTCATTATGACCATCAAGACATAATAATAATAATAATAATAATAGTAATGATAAACAATAATCATTACAATAAAACAATAATTGCAACAAAATAATAGGTAATAATTACCAAGAACTTAAAATTTGTGGGTCCTTTTTATGTACAAAACTAATTTTGTAATTCCAAATGTGAGCTGAGAGTAGGGTCTTTTTTTAGAATTTACTGGACTCTTACATTGAACGCACAGGCCCTTTCCCTCCTCCAGATAAAACAAAAGCATGCCTTATTGTCATCTCCCACCACCTCATTGGTGAGAAACGGGAAGACCCTTTTTCCAGGGGAGAATAGGGCTAATTCATTCCATTCTGAATGTGCTGATACTGATGAAGGAAGCAAATACTTTCCATCTTCTAGAGAGCTTGTGATTTCCCAATACATTTTGAGCAAGCTGTGGTCAGTTGGTTAGTATAGTTACAGAAATTCCAGCACGTACAACAGAAAGAGAGCAGGCATGGTGCTACTCATATTAGACCAGATCAGGCTGCAGTAACCAATGACCCCAAAGGTTCAGTGTTTTGAAACAAAAAAGTTTATTTTTTCACTCACAGCATATAAACATTATACATTTTGTTTTCGAGACAGGGTCTTTCTCTATTACCCAGGCTGGAGTGCAATGGCGGGATCACAGCTCACTGCAGCTTCAATCCCTTGGCCTCAAGTGATCCTTCCACCTCAGCCTCCTGAGTAGCTGGGACTAATGGCACACACCAACACACCTTACTAATTTTTGTATTTTTTGTAGAGATGAGGTTTCGCCATGCCGCCCAGGCTGATCTCAAACTCCTAGGCTCAAGCAATCTACCTGCCTTGGCCTCCCAATGTGCTGGGATTACAGGCATGAGCCAACATGCCAGCAACATTACACATTTGTGGAGGATTTCTGTTTCATATTGAACCACAGCTAATGAAGTTCTCACTACATAGAACATTGCCAACAGCAGCACAAAGAAGAAAGAGATAATCACACACCAGATTTTCATGCTTCTGCTTGGAATGGATACATGCCACTTCTGCCGATAACTCATTTGAGAAAGCAAAACAAAGAGCTATACCTAATTTCAAGACAGAGAAGAAAGGTGATCCTCTTGGATGCTTGAAGGAGCATTTCTTCAGAATTGTTGGTGAGTCACATTGTTGTCTGCCATCACTGAAACATCATGCTATTAATGAAAAGAGGCAAGTGAGAGCTCTATAGTCGTGGTCTCGGGTTAGTCTACCACTATTCTGCTGTGCCCACTCTAACAAGGCTTTCACTGACACAGCTCCAGCAAAACCATTCTTGTCAAGGTCAGCAGCAACTTCTGAATTGCTAAATGCAGTAGCCACTGCCAGTTTGTTCAGTCATTTCAGTTGACCTATGAGCATTATTTGAAAAGGTCTATTTCTCCCACCCCTTTATGTACGTTAATACTAGGTGAGCACAGCCTTCTGGGTTTTTTTTTTTTTTCTACCACTGGCTGTTTGTTATCAGTCTCTTTTGTGAGTTCTTCCTTATCTTCCTGACCTCTTAATCTCTACAGCAATATCAATAGATTTCTTCTCTTTTCTATCTAAACTCAGGCACTTGTTGATCACATCCAGTGTTCAGGTTTTAGATCCCATCTATATGCTGACCATTCAACAGTCTTGGCCTTCTTCCTTAAATTAAGCTTCCTATAGTTACCTATATATTTGATATTTGTAATATCTATGGGGTCTAAACCACAATTCTTGATTTTCCATTGCCAACATGTTCTTATTTCAGTCTTTCAACAAACTTTGTTGTCTTTATCTTCAAAATATACCCAGACTGCATTTTGTCACATACACTCATAGTGACCTAGTCCAGGCCACCACATTTGCACTGTTGCATTAGTATCCTAATTGGTCTCACTTTTTCTATCCTTGATTAACCCATTCCTTTCAGTCTCTCCTATCACATCAACCAGAGTTAATGTGCAGAATTTTATAGTGATTTTCCATCTCAGTCTCTCTAATTCCAAAGACAATGGTCCTAAAATCCCACATAGTCTGGCCTTCAATTATCTCTCTGACTTTATTTCTTAATCTTCTCTCTATTCATTCAATTCCAATCACACCAGCTTCTGAGTGTTCACACTCAAGGCATGCTCCTGGCTTGGAGCCTTTAAACATTTTGTTTCCTCTTCTTGGAAGGCTCATTTCTGCATATATGCACAGTTCTCTTCTCAAACTTTTGTTCAGATGTTTTCTTCTTAATGTGGCCTTGACTGAGCAATCTACTGAAAAGTTTAAACCCTCCTTTCTGCCCCAATAATCTACATGCTTCTTTCTGTTTTTCAACTTTTTTCTCTGTAATTTATTACCTTTGCAGTAATATATAATTCAATTATTAATGTGTTATTGCTAGTCTCTCCTACTAGCATTTAAGAGTGCTGTTTTGTTGACTTGTGGGTCTCCAATACTTAGAAAAATGCTTAAAACCAAGTTGACCGTCAATAAACTTTTGGGAATTGAATGAACGATAAATGAATGAATAAATAAATAAACAAATAAGGTTAATTTGATGTGGTTTGGGCTCTTAGCAAGAACAATCTGAATTAAAGGACTAGTCTGCCAATGTACAAATAATTCATCAATCTTCTTAAGTATCTTCACTAAAACCCAATTTCCCTGTCATTATTCAAGCATAGCATATGCAGTGAAATTCAAACTACTATGCATTAGTACAATCCTATCATATTGTATCTAATGTCTACAGGTTAAATATATTTGGGAAACAGTTTAGTGACCACAGGAAGATGCCTCCTCTCAAGGTACTATTTTATTTGAGGATTCAGATTACAGAAAAGGGACTCTCTTAACGACCATTATTAACACAATCTAGGTTTTTGCCATGCCTAATTTTTCCTCAAATAACCCCAAATGTAGAGTTCTAGAAAGCTTTTTGTTAAATATCTTCTTATGTTTCCCCTGAAAGTGCTCACTAATACTTACTATCCAGTTAAAACCTGTTTTCTCTCTTTGAGGGTAAACATGGAGATGAGATGAGCAAAGTTACCAACTAAGAGGAAGGCAGAAAGATCTGTATATTCAGTCCTAAAAATAAAAACCACATGTATTAAAAAAACAAAAGAAAATAAAGAACATACAATGCTTACCATGTTCCTGTGAGAACACTATTTCTAGAAAATACCAGCTTACTTGCTGATAATGTGGCTATTAGAGAACAGAGAGAGACTTGCATTATAAAACTGCTGCCACTGATGGAATAAGTTGGAGTTTTTAGGGATTCCACAATTAACACTCAGCTCTTATTTTCCTGAGTATGGTTATCATCAGACAGACAACAAAATGTCAGTGTTATTAGCAATAAAGTTGTATTAAAATAGATAACCTCATCGGCAACCACAGCTGGGTTTTTTGATAGCTTATCCTTTAAAATATTTACCATCCCCTGAGAGGTTCAAGGTCTTATCCATCACTCAATCTCCTATAAGCTTAGGACACAAATGAACAGAGTCTATGCATTGACTCTCTGAAAGAGCTGCAAGAAGGTCCTGGGATGATCATGGTGAATTCCTTCCCTTAATCCTATCAATTGGAGAATTTACTTCTTCCTTGATAATGAGGGAGAAATCAGAAACATTTCCAACTTTTGTTCCCTAAAAGAGAAAATTTTGTCTCATCTATGGGAATGTAAAAATAGGTGATCTTTTTTCTTTTCTAGCAAAGAGAATTAAACTTAGCTCTTATCAAAGCTCATTATTTGTTACCTACAGGAGAGATAATAAGACAAGAGAAAAAAATTCTCAACTAACAAGTAGTTGTTCAAGTGCAACAGAACGCTTTGTGCCTGACGACTTAACACTTAAAAATATGTGTGTATAAATGGTGGGGATAACTGTAACACTTGGATTTTTAATAAAAAAGAAATGTTAGCAAAGAGATGAAACCACATGAGCAGAAGAGTTAAAGCTTGTATGATATCTAGAGGTTTTCAGATAGCTTGTAGTGGAGAATTAAGTATAATTACAAAATACTTTGTCAGTCAGTACCTGTCATTTGGTGCCCTAAAAAGTATGTTTCCTTGTTTATTATAAAGAATAAAAATTAAACCCATCTAAGTAGACACCCCCATCTTAATTTTGCAAAGATATACAAGAGGTGGATTTAGGTATTATCCCATTTAACATGCCAGGGGATTGAAGCTGAGATTTGCCAATTTACTGAAGGACTCAGAGTTGTCTAACAGCAGATCCAAGACCCAAATCTCCACACTTGACTCCAATCTTCTAACCACTTTTTTTCCACCTGTCTTTATTGCTCAAAACTTTCCTATTAATATTTAAATATATAGGATGATAGGTGTGGCAAATGTACAAATGTCCTTTGCAAGCACAATAGTGGAAAAAGACATAGTATGTTTTAATTTCATACATAAAGAGCTGAAAGCAGTCAACGATATCATTCTGTTGAGTCATTAAAGCAATAAGTACAGTTGCCCCTCAGTATCCATGAGAGGCTGGTTTTAGTATTCACTCCCCCCACACCACCTCCCACCCTTAAGGATGCCAGAATTTAGTGGAGGTTCAAATCTCTTATATAAAATGGAGTAGTTTGCATATAACCTACGCACATCCTTCAGTATACTTTGACTCATCTCTAGATTACTTATAATGCATAAGATAATGTACATGCTATGTAAATAGTTGTTATGCTGTTTTTTATTTAAATTACTTTTTGTGGTTGCATTGTTATTTTTTTCTGAATATTTTCAGTTTGTGGTTGATTGAATCTGTAGATGTGCGTGGATATGGAGGGTAGACTGTATAAGATAAATTCCTTGAGCATGGGAACTTAATTCACACTGCCTAACACAGCACTACTTGGATAGTAGATCTCTAATAAGTACTTTTTAAAGGAATGACTGATAATTCTGCTTTGGATACAATTTTGGTTTGTGATGGTGTGAGACGTGTTAAGTTTTGTAAGACGGTTGCTTTAATATCTTCATCTATTTCACCTCTTAGAAGAATCTCTCTCTTTATTCAACTCTAATTTTCCCCTACGATGGAGAGCTTGATTAAAACACATGGACAAGTTTGAAAACCTAGTTTTATCACTTACTTTTTCTGCCACTGAAATCCACCATTTCTTTATTGCCTCCTATTCAAATGTTGTTCTTATTTTGGAATGAATAGGGAAAAAAAATCTGCTAGGTAACTTTTGCTGTGAGTTAGTGCATGGGTACAGGCACTTGGCCTTAAAAAAAGAGAAAATCAGATGGTCCTATCCATGACTGACTCTTAAAGGATTGATGGAGAGATGCAGAGATGGTAAAAAGATTATTCATTTTGGTGGCAGCATTAAGAATCCTGTGGTGGTGAGGACCCAGTGGCAAATGGTGATATCCAGAGTCCCGCTACTGGCTGCACTGTGAGTTGTCAGTGTGTACAGAGAAGTAGTGAATTTCCTGCTTCCTAGCCTCTCTTGGTTCCTGCTTATTTTCAGGGCCTGATTGATTAGTCTATTGTTGATTTTGTAAGTTACCCAATATCTTTCCAATAAATTGTGTTTCTCACCAAAGTATCTGTTCCCTTTCTGTTGCTTGCAACCAAAACCATGACTGATACCCAGAGTGGTCCCAGGAAGTGGGATATAGTCAATGGTTCCCAAGAAGAAAAAAAGTGAGAAATAGAAGGATGATAGCTACTAGCAAGAAAAATAACATGTGATCTCAACTTTCAGTTCTTACCATGGAATTGAATTTTTTTTATATCAGTTATGTTTTTCTTCTTAAAGTAGAAGATGTTTCAAAAGGCCTTTTGGAAAGAGGCACCAGTGGTTTTATAGCTCTGGAGATACAATGGGAATTGCTGACAACTTGATAACAACTGTCCTTCCTTTGGTATGCACAGTTTCAGGGAATTGCTAAAGTGGGAAATGGTGCCACTGTCTGACTTCCTTGGCCTCCCAGGGGCATTTGTTCAGCGGATCATGGCAATAATGAGGAGAATGAAATTTCATAAGAAAGAGAAACATGGGGCTTATTTTCAATTACGGGTCCAGAACTTGGACTGTATAATATACTTAATTTTTCGTGAAATCTATTTTTTTCACTGTCTTAAGGTAAATTGCAAGGCTAGAAGAAACTCTGAATATATGAAATCCAAATTCCTCCAGAGAATTTTGCAAACCATACAAGCTAATTATAAACTCTGATTTTGTATTTTTTGTAATACTATATGTTCTAATCAATGAGGAAGAGTAATGTTTCTGCTGTTTATTAACCATAGTAAAAGAATGATGATAATGATAGTAGAAATGTTTTTGAGTGTAGCTGTGTCAAACATTGTGCTAGCATTTTACATCTTTGAGCACATTACTAAGATAAGTGCTTTTTGTCCCATTTCTTATATAAGGAATTCTCCCCTCCCTCACAAAAATGCCTCTCTTTCTTGGAGTGGTGTTTAAATCCTACGCTCATTTTACAGAACAGCCCAAATGTCACCCACTCACCTTCACTGATTTAACTGAGCAACATTTGTTGAGCCCTTTTTTATATATCAGGCACTGTGCAAGACACACAGTATACTTGTGGGTGAAGAAAAAGTTATTTATTTCTAACCATATAAAAACCATAATCTAATGAAAAAAACAAGCGATAAAGTAAACAAGCAAATAAATATGTGATTAAAATGACAATATGTAATATGAAGGGAATAAACTGGATCCCGTAGTCAGAGCAGGGGACTGAGGAATGAACTTTCAATCCTTCATTATATCTGCTGAGGACCTTTCTGCAAATTAGAAAAAGCCATCTCTTGCTTAAGCTTCCTCATTTATAACTGCCATCAAATCATAATAAATACACCAACCACAGATGACTAGCAATGTGAACAGCACCCCCTTGGATTTTCAGTATATAACCTACAAAACTATGCAGCAGCCTTGAGAAGATAACAAATAAAACAAATTGTCAAGGGTGAGAATGTGTCAGATACTCAAAGATAGCAGAAGGAGAATCCTCTAGATGGAGGAATTAGTAGGTATTATGAAAGGAAAATAAATCTTGGGGCCCCCAAATCACTAAGCTAAAGGGAAAAGTCAAGCTGGTAACTGTGGCAAACCTGTCTTCCATTCTATTCAAAGTCACCCCTCTGCTCACTGAGATAAATGCATATCTGATTGCCTCCTTTGGAGAGGCTCATCAGAAACTCAAAGGCAGGCAATCATTTGTCTCTTATCTACCTATGACCTAGAAGTCCGCTCCCCGCTTGGAGTCATCCTGCCTTTGCTTTGAGTTATCCTGCCTTTCCAAACCAAACCAATGTTCATCTTACCTATGTTGATTGATGTCTCATGTCTCCCTAAAATGTATAAAACCAAACTGTGCTTTGACCACCTTAGACACATGTCGTCAGGACCTCCTGAAGCAGTGTCATGGGTGCGCATCCTCAACCTTGGCCAAACAAACTTTCTAAATTAACTGAAGCCTTTCTCAGATTTTTGGAGTTCACAGTTTTAAGAATTTGAGATAGGGAAGAGCCCATGGGCTTGAGAGACTGAAAACAGGTCAGTGTTACTAAGGCATTATACATTGAAAGAAATGATACAGAGGAAATAGGCAAGAGCTAAATAAGGAACTGGGGCTTTATTTCAACTGTTATCAGGCTTCACTAAGAGATTTTTTTTTTTTTTTGAAATGGAGTCTCGCTATGTTGCCCAGGCTGGAGTGCAGCGGTGTGATCTTGGCTCGCTGCAACCTCCGCCTCCTGGGTTCAAGTGATTCTCCTGCCTCAGCCTCCTGAGTAGCTGGGATTACAGGTGCATGCCACCATGCCTGGCTAATTTTTTGTATTTTTTAGTAGAGATGGGGTTTCACCATGTTGGCCAGGCTGGTCACAAACTTCTGACCTCAGATGATCCACCTCCCTCAGCCTCCTAAAGTGCTGGGATTATAGGCGTGAGCCACAGCGCCCACTTGGCCCACTAAGAGATTTTAAGCCAAGAAGTAACATGATCAGACTTGGGTTTTGTTTTGTTTTTGTTTTTGTTTTTGTTTTTTTGAGACGGAGTTTTGCTCTGTACCCAGGCTGGAGTGCAGTGGCGCTATCTGGGCTCACTGCAAGCTCCGCCTCCCGGGTTCATGCCATTCTCCTGTCTCAGCCTCCCTAGTACCTGGGACTCCAGGCGCCTGCCACCATGCCTGGCTAATTTTTTGTATTTTTAGTAGAGACGGGGTTTCACCGTGTTAGCCAGGATGGTCTCGATCTCCTGACCTCGTGATCCGCCCGCCTCAGCCTCCCAAAGTGCTGGGATTACAGGCATGAGCCACTGCGCCCGGCCAGACTTGGGTTTTCACTTGATGAATAAATGGGAACAACATAGAAAGTGAAATACAAGCAAGGGCCATATTGCAGTAGTGTAGTCAGGAGGTAACAATGGTCTGCATTAAACAGTGGCTTAACATGATTGCTTCTTATTGTCTCTCTGCTATCCAGCTGGTTGCTTTCAGTTAGGAGGAACTATATTTTTACACACCAGATCTATATCAGTTTTGGCACATAGCAAGTGTGAAATAAATCTAAGAATAAGGAAGGAAGAAACTCATCTTACATTTCGCCTCCTCAGTGTCACAGGTTGAGTTCTCCTGAAGCAGGGACTGGGATTGGATTTGTTATTAGAAATAACACCTATGAAAAGAAGGAAGGAAAACAGGCTTGGGCAGAGGAAGAAGTTGAGCCACGATGCAGGTCCCCAAAATACTCCAGTTCACCTCTAGCTGATATTACCTGAAAGAATAGAAATCGCAAAGGCACAGAGGCAGGAAGGCACAAACCCCTGTTTGGGAAAGATTCCTGCCTCTGGCCCTTATAAAAGGTACTCATATCTCTCAGTGCTTAGAGAAGGGCATGGGCTCCTGATAAGGATCTAAATCATACTGAAAGTATGAGAATATTGAACAGAGGTTGGAAAGGAAAAAAGTGCTCTTTCATCAGAGGTGTCATTGCATGAATGCCCTTCTCTGCTCCTCAGTTTCCCCCAAGCAAATGAGAGACTTGAAACAGATGGACTTGAATCACCCTCCAAGTTCCGAAATTCTGTGATTCTAAGTAAGAAAACCCAGTTCAGGAAGTCCATTACAACTATGGCTGTCCTTTTCCATTAGTCCAAATGCATCTAGACTCATCAAAATGGGCTTTGACTTGCAGGGACCAAATGTCTTCATTTAGATGAGACGGGGAAGGCAGTCTTGCAAATTACACCATTTCTACCACCTCCATTATGCTCCGAGCATTCTGCCAGTGCTGTTACAAGCCAACAGCACGCAGCCAATTGGAGCAGAAAAGACAATAACCTTAATGGGAAGGAATTGGGAGCTGGGAGACGCCACAGATTGTATTAGGAGAAATGAAATAATATTTAATTTCTCTGGTCATAAATAATCTGTCTGCCAGCATTATGAGCATATCGGAGTTGACAGGGAAAATATTCACCAACATGGGAAAAAAGATCATTATTTTTTCATTATTAGTGGGTAATGGAGGTGGGGGGCATGTCAAATGTGCTTTTTTTTTCCTTTTCTTTTCTTCTGACAGATGGAACTGCAGTAGCATAGGAACTCAGATTAGCTGGTAATCCTCACAATTTGTCTACAAGAGGAAACAACAGTTATTGTGGTGATGCCTCATTCATATTGATAAGGTTCTTAGGTAGGTGTTTTGTTTTGTTTTGAGAGACAGTCTTGCTCTGTCACCCAGGCTGGAGTGCAGCGGCACGATCTCGGCTCAATGTAACCTCGGCCTCCTGGGTTCAAGCGATTCTCGTGCCTCAACCACCGGAGTAGCTGGGACTGCAGGCATGCACCACCATGCCCAGCCAATTGTTGTATTTTTAGTATAGACTGGGTTTCAACATGTTGGCTAGGCTGGTCTTAAACTCCTGATCTCAGGTGATCCACCCGCCTCAGCCTCCCAAAGTGCTGGGATTACAGACATGAGCCACCATGCCCTGCCCGTAGGTAGGTTTAAAAGTGCTTTTCAGTTTGTTTCCTCAAATGCACCTCAGTATGTGAGAAGGTATAATAATCTTTTCGGAGATAAGGACACTGAGGCTCAATAACTGGTAAAATCTTCTGGCAAGATGACTCAAAAGGCTTTGGCTAAATTAGTGACTCACAGACTCCAGGTTTTCCTTTACTACTTTCAAATTTTGCTATGACAGTAAACAACCTGTACCCTGTACTATTCTTTTTAACTTAAGTGTTTTTATTTAAATTGGCTTGCTTTTAACTTGAATAAATTCATTTTAAATAGTACCATCATAAAAAGAAAGTTTTAAGTCACTTGCCTAAAAGAGAATTAGATCGTCATTATTCATGGTAGTTAGGTTCTATAAAGTGTCTGCAAACATAGAATGGGTGAATACTGAATTATTACACCTAAGAAAAAATATAGGGTTAGGTTCCTTCTAGCCTGTAGTCACATGTTGTCATCAATCAATCAATACATACACGTGTTTTATGTATGTTTCTGTTTAAAGATGCCTCATCTAATATATGTTGTTGATTCTTTAACATTCAGCTCACAGCCAACAGCACTATAACTCGTGCCTGAACAAAGCTTATCTAACATATGTTTTTTCCCTGTAAGGCACATTGCAGCATTCCAGTGCTTAGGAACACTAGACAGCCCTTCAGTACTGTGTTTAGAAACCATTTTCAACGACAAAATCACTAACAATAAAACCCACCAAAATCCAAAAACGTAACACTAAATAGACCATGAAAAGGATGCTTGTTTACGGTATGGGATCTGAAACAAGAAGACAGAATGTCACATTACTCAATGTAAGCTGAGAGCAAGCATGTACAAGAACTCAAACTTTTTCACTACTTTGAACATGTCTGAATGACTGCAGAAACTTTGTGAGTATTTCAGGATTGCAAGTAGATTTTAGCAAGTAGCTGAATTCACAAATATGGATCCATAGATAATGAGGATCAACTGTAGCTTTAAATTTGACTGAATCCTAGTTAGATATTTTTAGTGGCCTAAGGCTCTTGAGATGAGACCTGTTTCCTCTTTGTTAAAAAACAAACAAACAAACAAAAAAAATCCCAGCCCTTTGGGAGGCTCAGACAGGATCGCTTGAGCCTGGGAGTTGGAGACCACTTGGGCAACAGAGCGATATCTAAAAAAAAAAAATAAATAATAAAAATAAAAATCAGCCAGGTGTGGTGGCATGCACCTCCTGAGTAGCCCCAGCTACTCAGCAGTTTGAAGACGGAGGATCGCTTGAGCATAGGATGTTGGAAGTGTGATGAGCCAGGATTGTGCCACTGCACTCCAGCCTGAGTGATGAAGTGAGAACTGTCTCAATTTTTTTCTTTTAAAGGGGTGTTAAATTAGGCGTTGAAGACCCATTTTAGCTCAAAATTGGAAGGTTTTATTTTCCTTGACTTAATTCAAAGAGTTGGAAGAAAATTGAAATAAAAATAATTCTGCCATCATGTGATTCACTTTTCCTTAGCATTGGAATTGTGTACCATCTACAATTTTTGAGTGCCCTTTTCAATTTCAAGAATGCTTTCAATCATCACAAGTATTACATACAAACATTTCAGAACTACCAAGGTTACAAATCCACATTTTGGGGAGCAATGTGCTAGAAATATGAAAGTCACCTAGATTTCTGGGTGCTCAGGTTTCCTCACAACATTGTGGTAGGAAAACATTGTCCTGGTGTCTCGTCTATGAGGATGAGGCTAACTCTTTGGCAGTGACAACTCTTTGGCAGTGACAACTCATTGCACTATTGAGCTTGCTTTGCGTGCTGTTGTGGTTTCTGAGAGAAAATCCTCACTTATGAAATGTGCAGAAAGCTGAAGGAAATCACGGGGGTTTGAATGGTTGACCTGTCTTCCCTATGTGTTTAAGGATTCTTTTGATACTTAAAAAAAAAAAAAAGAAAAAGAAAAGAAAAAAAAAGCCAGAGAGGAAAGTTGGCTTCCTTTTCAAATGCGCCTCAGAAATAAATTCATTCCCTCATTTCCTTTTGCAGAGTTCAGGAGCCAAATCTGAACTCAGCAGAAGAAAGTCATCTTTTGCTATCAATTTATTCCCTTGTTATTGGGAAGGGATCTTCTATGGGCTTGAGTCTCGTTTTTTGTTTTGTTTTGTTTTTTGTTTCTATGTCAGAGTCCAGGCACAGGTTCTCCTTTCTTTGAGATAGATTGGTCCAAAACTGCTTTGTATTATCATCTCGTGAAACATACATAGAAAACACGTATTACATTTGTTTGTAGAGTATGGATGAATCAGAAAATGAGATTTGAAGTGCTAGTCATCATAAACAGAGCCAAGCACACTTATTGACTTTCCATGATGAACATTGCTGGTGTGTGAAAAATAGAATTATCTAAGGTTTTTAAAACAATGGATTCTTGGTTGTAATTTCCCAAGGCTCTAAGCAAATCATTTAGCTTTTTAACTGTGGACTTGGTCAGTCCACGTTTATTTATTTTATTTATTTATTTTTATTTTTATTGTTTAATTTATGTAATTTTATTATGTTTCTCTGAGAGGCTTTTTAATTTTTTTTACTATGAAAAGGTTGTAATAGAGGTGAATACACAGCAAGTGCACACACAGTGAGGTGTTGCTATCACAGAAAACACTGTGAGTGATTAAAAAATACATGCCACTTCCATCCTTCACCTAGTAACAGAAGGGTCTAAGCCACCTTTTCCTTGGCCCACTCCTCAAACTCTCTCTCCTCCTCTGTATGGTGTCTTGGTACTGTTAATACTCAGACACCAGGTTGTTCATGTTGCTCTCGACCTCAGCGAACTCCACGTCATGCATGCCCTTGCCTGAGTACCAGCTTAGGAAGGCCTTGCACCTGAACTTGGCTGTGAACTGCTCCAAGATACACCTGAACCTGAACAGCTCCTGGATGGCCGTGTTGTTACTGATGAAGGTAACAGACATTTTTAGCTCAAGGGGTGGGATGTCACAAGCAGCTCTTTCCACATTGTGGGGGATCCAATGAGCAAAGTAGCTGCTGTACTTGTTTTGGATGTTATACGTTTGCTCATCCACCTCCCTCATGGACATGCAGCCACCAACAATGGGAGCTGCCATTAGGTAGCAGCCATGGCAGGGATCGCAGGCAGCCAACATGTTCTTGGCATCAAACATCTGCTTGGTAAGCTAGGTCAAGTGAGTTCATTGTGAAGATATCCAGGTTTGCAAAGGTATTTTGGTCCTGCCAATTATTGCATGTGACCAAGAGAAATGATGTACTCAGTTTCTTTGCTTCTCATTTTTGTATTTATAAAACAAGAGTAATAATACCCACTTAAGAGAACTGTTGCGAGTATTCAGTGAGGTTATTTAGGTATAGTGAGAGCACAGGGCAACTAGGAAATTATTGAATCCATAGAAAATTTCTTTCAATCTAAGCCTCAGATTTCTTAATAAAGAGAAATTTTACCATGTAGAGGGAAGTGGTATAACAGAATGGTAAGGAAGAAGCGTTGGGAGATAGACAGGCCTGAGTTCCAATTCCTCTTCTGCTACCTACTAGCCTTGTGAACTTGAGAAAACAAGATAGCTACTGTGCATCTCAGATGTCCCCTTTGTAAAATGATTTAAAAATAGGCTTTCTGAGATGTTGTTATGGGGTTTAAAGTGTGTAAAGCACTTAGTGACTGAAGCTATGTAAGGGATAAATAAATTCTAACGTTTGTTTTATTTGTCTATTATGTTTCTCTGAGGAATGTTGATAGCAACCTGTCTTAATCATCCACATAAATACTGTATGCGTTGTGAACTCTTAGGAGCACTGGCTGTTACAACATGCTAGAACTTGGTTATCAAAGAGCCATAAACTCTCAAGGTTGGAAATGACCTTGGAGTTCATCTAGTTCACCTTCTATCATGCCCAGATGGCCATAAAGATATCCCAGATGAATATTTGCCTCGCCTCTGTTTCAATGCCTCCAATCACTAACTCTAGTGAGATACTCATCCAATCGTCTTGCAGCTTCATTTGTTAAGAAGTACATAATTGAGGTGAATTTCATCATCATACTTAAGTCTTGTATGACTTCATACATAAGTCATACAGGCCTTACTTCCAGATGTAAGTCCTGGTTCTGCTACTAGAGACAGACAGAGCACCTGTGACACTCTTTAAGGACTTAAAAACTCTTGCTTTCTTTTGTGGCTGTTATGAGTTAGGGGCTAGGTCTTTTGCCAGAATCACATAGACTTGAATCCAGGCATCCTCACTCTCTGTGTGTTGTCAGAAATATTAATGTCATTCATTAAAACTCAGTTTCATCAGTTTTACTACAGAGTAACACACATACGCACATACACATACATACACACAGAAACACACACATTGATTCCCTCAGATACAGTGTGAGAATTAAATGAAATGGTACATTCAAAGTTTCTAAGACACTACTTAGCACAAAACAAGCATTCACTCCTTGTAGCCATGTCTTGACTATTGTAATAAAATGAAGCAAATTTTTTTCCTCTGGTTATTTTTTGCTCCAATAGCATATTTCCCTGATTTTGAGTTTTCTCATTTACTGCCTCAGTTTCTCTCCCCTTAATATGTCCTCTAAAAGCATAATTAAGAACTAGTCTTTGTATTTCAGACAATCTGATCAGTACAGAACAAAATAGAACAGACATCTCCCTCCTTAAGCAGTCTAATATCGCCTTAATTTCATCAGAGTTACATCATGTCACAGATCGATACTGAGTTTACGGTCAACTAATTGAGAGAGAACCCAGGGCTTCTCTCTTTTTCTTTAACTTTCATTGCCAACAACATTTCACCAATTCAACAGGATGTAGAAACAAAGACCAGGAGAGATTGCTTTACTTCTCTAAGGTTATGCCAAGGTTTGACCAAGGTTTCAGGCCCAGAAGGCAGGTCTTCCAACTCCCAGGACACAGTTTTTTAAAAACAACTGTACTGTTTCTCATACTTCACTTCCACACAGATTGTTTGACAGCTTTAAATTCTTTTACTTTTATCTCACCTCTGGAACGAAGAATCATTCTTGGTGTGAGAAGAGGGATATATTTGAGGAGTACGAATGTGGGCCAGGCTGTCAGGTCGTGGCTCATCTCTTCCTGAGGCAGGCAGCTTTCACAAGGGTGATCCCAATGACCTGGTGTTTCTACTTTCTCATCAGTGACCCTCACTGACTCTGGGGCCTCTAGACCTGGGCAGATCACAAGTGCTTTTACCTTAGAAACCTCAAGGGGTGGAGGCACCAGTGAGGGAGACTTCTGATCATGCCTCTTTCCTCCCTGATACTCCTCAGAAGACCCTCCATCCAAGACCTCTGAATGCCTCCACTGCCGCTGCTTTCTCCCTCCATAAGCAGCCCTCCCCCAAGGCAAAGCATCACTGCCTTGCCCTCCAGATTGCCTAACAGCTGCTCCTGAGAAGTACCCAAGTAACTGAGCTTCTGCAGGAAATGAAGCGCAGCCAGTGGCTGGCTGTGGCTACTGGAGAAAGATAGAGGCATTCAAAAAGTCCTTCGGTGGAAACTCAGAGGGAGAATTTTGAAGTTCAGCTGTGGAGGGTGGGAAAATAAGACACAAAGAACACAGAAGAGATACAAGGAGCACAATACCAGACAACTACAGGGTAATTTCAAAATATTCTGATGATCATATTTTTTAAAAGTACAGATTTGTGGATTCCATTCCTAGTAACTAATTTAATCCACTGTATAGCTGAGTCATTGAGAGCAAATATACAGTTAATCAGTTTCCTCAGTTTGCAGCATACTCTCATAGAATTGGTTCATGCAAGACTGCTTTCCAGTTTTATTATACTAGATTATTTGCTTTTGTTTTATTCCTCTACATGCCTTCTCTCCACTTCCATTCTTCATGCACGACACCACATCCTGCTCCAGGCATCTGCTCTAATGTACTTGATATATGTGTTTGGTATGAAAAATATTTAGGTTCTTTGTATTTCTAACATGGAATGAAATTGCAAGTTGTCACATGTATCCTTACAACACACACACACACCCCCACGTGCACACACAATCACTGAAAAGAAGCATGTTCTTGGACCCATTAGAGAACTGAGGTTGCAGAGCAAACCAATCTCTTAACTTGAAAATATAGGCAAATACAGAGAATATTCACACTTGAAGCGGAAGGTACTAGAAACCTTTAAATAGTAATTTTGATGGTTTTGTGAAGGTAGAATGTAGACTAGTATAAAAGTGAAAATTTTCTAGGGCCACAGACTTAGTAGATTCCTCATACATTCATAAGATTTACCAGTAGGAACCCCACCAGGTTCTCATGGTAAGGAAAGAGAGAGATCCACTAGTGACTGTTGCAAGAAATGGAGAATAGTAATGATAGTGAAATGGTTCTTCATAACACATGAACAAGGCCCCATCAAATGGCACTGGATAATACTTACAGGGATGCAGGACACAGACTCTCTCTGAAGAAGAGTAATTAGAGAAGTCTAAAGTCGACAAGAGAGACAAAAGAAAAATAAGAGAAGGGTTTGAAGCTTCTGTCACGTAAAGCTATACCAAGCATTAAGCACGTTTAATTCATAACAAGAGTAGAATAAAACTAAACATTAAACCAGATTCATCTCAATCGCTATTATGCAATATATTATGTCTTTCAACAAAAAATTACAAGACCTTCTAAAAACAAAACAAATAAACTAAAAAAACCCCACACAGTCTGATGAGAAAAAGTAAGCATCAAAAGAAGATTCAGATATGACATAGCAGTTTGAAATATAAAAAAAAGGATTACAGCCAGGAACGATAGCTCACACCTGTAATCCCAGCACTTTGGGAGGCCAGGGCGGATGGATCACGAGGTCAGGGGATTGAGACCATCCTGGCTAACACAGTGAAACTCTGTCTCTACTAAATGTACAAAAAAAAAATTAGCCGGGCATGGTGGCACACTCCTGTAGTTCCAGCTACTTGGGAGGCTAAGGCAGGAGAATCGCTTAAACCCTGGAGGTGGAAGTTGCAGTGAGCCGAGACTGCGCCATTGCACTCCAGCCTGGGCAACAGAGTGAGACTCCATCTCCAAAAAAAAAAAAAAAAAAAAAAATTTAAAATAACTATGTTTAACATGCTAGGAGTTCTTAGGAGTTGTAATAGAAAAAGTAGACAACATGGTAAAACAGATGAGTAATTTCTATCATTTAAATATGTCCCTCAAAATTCACATTGGAAATGTAATTTCTAATGCAATTAGAAATTATGAGAGGTGTGACCTTAAGGGGGCATGCAGGCCATAAGGGATTCTCCCTCATGAATGGATTAGTGCAACTATTAAAAGGGCTGTCAGGAGAGAGTTCTCTGTCTTCTGCTCTTCTACCATGTGAAGAACAGTGTTTCTCCCCTCTGGAGTAGGCAGTATTCAAGCTTTGAAGTGGAGACTAGATTCTTACTAAACACCAGATGCCTGCACCTTGATCTTGGATTTTCCAGTATCCAGAACTATAAGAAAAAAAAAATCTGCTTTTTAATGAACTATCCAGTCTCAGTTTCTGCTATAGTAGCACAAAACAGGCTATGCCAGAATTAGTAACAGGAGTATCATGTTGCTATAATAAATACCTAAAAATGTGGAAGCAGCTTTGGAAATGGGTAATGGTAGAGGCTAGAAGAGTTTTGAAGTGAATGCTGTAAAAAACCTGTATTGCCATGAATGGGGCATTAAGCATACTTCTGGTGAGGACTCAGAAAAAGAGAAATTGTAGAAAGAGCCCAAGTCTTAGAGAAGATTATCTAAGTGCTTGTGAACAGTATCTTGGTAGAAATATGTACAGTAAAAGGTGTCCTGATGTGGTCTCAGGTGGAAATGAGGAATATCTTCATGGAAACTGGAAGAAAGGCCATTACTACTATAAGATGGCAGAAAACCTTGTTTGAAAGGTGTCCATGTCTTAAGACTTCATAGAAGGCAGAACTTAAGAGCAATGAACTAAGATATTTGGCAGAACAAATCTCTAAGCAGGAAAACATTCAGAGTGCTTTGTTGCTTCTCTTAACTACTTATAGTAAAATGTAAAATGTGAGAACAATTTAAAGATGGAATTTATAATTAAAAGGGATGCAGGATGTAAAGATTTGGAAAACTCTCAATCTAGCCATGTGAAGATACAAAATTTTGTTTAAGAGAGAAAATCGAGGGTGTGGCCAAGCAACCATTTGATAAGGAGATTAGTAAAAATAGAATGAAGCCAGGTGCTATTCATCCAGACAATGGGAGAATAACCTTGAAGTCATTTTGGAGATAATCAATAATGTCCCTCCCATCACAGCATCAGAGTATTAGGACGTTCAGGGCAAAATGGTCTCAAGGAATGGGTTCAGGATGCCTGTGAGACCTCAGGTATTTGCTGCCCAAAACCACCCTGAGTCTAAACTCCTCACATTTTGAAGTGTTCCTTGGCTTCCCCAACTATGGCTTAAGTGTGCCCAGCTCGGGCTACAACTTTGGAGGACACAAGCAGTGAACCTTGGCAGTGTCCACTTGGTGCTAACCCTACATAGGGTGCAAGAGCTATGTGAAATGGCTACCTCCACCCAGATTCCAAAGAATGATTCAGAGAGACCCCAGTAGGGCAATGCCCAGTCAAACTGTGGGGTTGGAGCCACTGAAGAAAGTCCTCACTAAGACAATGCCTACAGAAGCCATGGAAATGTGGCTGTTCCCAAGACCCCAGAGCTACCAGCATGTAGTACCAGCCTAGGAAAGCTGCAGGGACTCAACTGCAACCTGTGAGAGCTGTATGAGCTCTGCCTAACCAAGCCATGTAATCAGAGCTGCCCACAGCCTTGTGGACCCAGCACCCACTCCAGTGTGCTCAATAATTGGGACATAGGGTCAAAGAATATTATTATCCAGGAATAAGATTTAATGTTGTTTGCACTATTGGGTTTTAGACTTATTTGGGAACAGTTACTCCTTCTTTCTTTCCTATTTCTCCCTTTTGGAACAGGAATGCCAATGTTATCCCTGTACCACCATCGAATTTTGGAAGTACATAATTTGATTTCCCAGGCTTACAGCTTGAGAAAAAAATCTCAGAATGAATTGTTCCTTGAGCCCTACCCATATCTGATTTAGAAGAGACTTTGGACTTGGACTTTTTATTTAATATTAGAATGGGTTAAGACTTTGGGAGCTATTAGGATGGAATGGATGTATCTGTATGTGAGAAAGACATGAATTTGATTGGAGGAGAGGGGAATGGACAGAATATGGTTTTAAAGTGTCTCCCAAAACTCATGTACTGAAAATTAAATCCCCAGAGCAACAGTATTGAGAGCTGTGGCTCTCTGGGAGGCATTTAGGACATGAGGGTTCTCCCTCATGAATAGATTAATGCCACTATAAAAGTGGCTTGTGAAATGGTTTCTCTCTTTTCTGTTTTTTCTGCTATGTGAGGAACAGTGCTCCTCCCCTCTGGAGGAATCAGCACTTAAGCTGCTATCTTGGAAGCAGATGCCAATGTCTTGAACTTGGACTTCCCAGCCTCCAGAACTGTGACAGAATAATTTTCTATAACTTATAAATTACTCCGTCTTAATTATTCTGATATAGCAGCATAAAATGAACTAGGACAGTAATGTGAGGATAAAGAAAGAAACTCTAAGAAAGAATCCAATGGAAATGCTAGAAATCTAAAACACTGTAACAGCAATGAAGAATGCCTTTATTGGACTCATGATTATACTGGGTGTGGCTAAGAAAAACAGCAAGCTTGAAAATGTGTCAGTAGGAATTTACGTAACTGAAATAAAGAAAATGAGAGAAAAACAACAGCAAACAAACAGAATAAAATATTCAACTATGTCACAATTTCATAAAGTGTAACATAGTTATAGTTGAAATATCAGAGGAGAAGAAAGAAAGAAGCAGAATGGAAACTTGGAGAAATAATGGCTGAGAATTTTTCTAAATTAATGAGAGACAGCAAATCATAAATTCAGAAATCTTTTTTTTTCTAATCAAGCAAGATAAACACCAATCATCATCATCACCATCATTGTCATCAACATCTATACATAGGCATATCATATTCAAATTGTAGATAACAAAAGACAAAGATAAAATCTTGAAAGAAGTCAGATTTGAGGAACTGGGGGAATTTGCTTATAAATGAAATAATAGTTATATATCATCAGAAGACATGCAAATAAAAAGAATGTGATGATATATTTTAAATATTGAAAGAAAAAAAAAGAGCATCAACCTAGAATTCTACACTGAGAGGCATCATCCTTTAAAAGTTAAGAGAGGAAATCATAATTTCTTCAGCCAAAAACTGAGGGAATTTTTCATCAGTAAACCTGATTTTTCAGATATATTACAAGAAGTTCTTCAGGAAAAAGAAAAACATGTAAGTCATAAACTTGGATTTACATTAACAAAAGTTTGGATATTGGGAAAAAAATTTATGATGGTAAAGTAAAATCTTGTATTTTTATTATTAATTGGCCAAAACAATAACTATTTATTTAAATTAATAATAGTAATAACATATTAAGTATTTATAATATATAAATAGATAAGTGAAATAAATAACAGCAATGGCATGACGTATAGGTGGAAATAATTTGAAATACTCTGTTAAAAAAATACACTATAGTCCCAGCACGGTGGCTTATGCCTATAATCCCAGCACTTTGGGATGCCGAGGCAAGTGGATCACCTGAGGTCAGGAGTTCGAGACCAGCCTGACCAACATGGTGTAACCCTGTCTCTACTAAAAATACAAAAATTAGCCAGATTTGGTGGCACACACCTCTAATCCCAGCTACCTAGGAGGCTGAGGCAAGAGAATCACTTGAACCTGGGAGGCGGAAGCTGCAGTAAGCTGAGATTGCTCCACTGCACTCCAGCCTGGGCGACAAAGCAAGACTCCGTCTTAAAAAAAAAAAAATACACTATAAGTGATGTGGTATGATGTTATTTGAATACAGATTTAGATTAGAGAAAATTTAATTTGCAAATTCCAGACAAACTACTATTTTCTAAAGAAGTATAATTCATATATTAACAGAGCAGAAAAAAATGGAATAATATAAAATTCTCAGTAAAAACCAAGAAGGCAATAAAAAAGGAGAGGGCAAAGAAAACATCAACAAAAACTCTTACCAACACTATAAATGAATTTAACTATGTCAGTAATCAGCTTTAGTATGAACAATCTAATTATACCAATTAGCTTCTTGGTGTAGATTAAAAAAAAAGATTCAACTATATGTTGTCTACAAGAAACTCACTGAAAAAATCAAGACTCAGGCTCACAGTAAAAGGATGGAGAACAATATGCCAGACTAACACTAATCAAAGAAAGAGTAGTTATATTAATTTTATACAAAGCAGATTTAAAAGCACAATAAGAAATATTATCATAGTTAAGGATGAGTATTACTTAAATTTGGGAAATTTTGGTCAATTCCTCAAAAAGAAATAAAAATTCTAAACATGTATGCACCTAACAGCAGAGTCAGTTATATTTAAGAGTCGAAAGACAAGAGGCAGAAACTGTTAGAAGTAAGGAGTAAGGGTCATATCCACTATTATAATTTAAAAATTCAACAGTGTTTTTATTTTTAGTAATTGGTAGAAAAATCAAGCAGAAAATTAGTAAGGATGTAGTTTACCTGGACAGCTAAATCAACTTGATCTTATTGACAATTTTAGAAAAATCATGATAAAAACTTTTCAGCAAACTAATAACAGAGGCAAGATTCTTCAACTTGAAAAATAATGTCTACAAAACAAACAAACAACAACAACAAAACCCACTATTGCTTTATGCTTAGAAACTGAATACTTCTCTCCCAAGATGAGGAATGAGTCAAGGATGTTCTTTCTCAGCACTCCTATTCAATATCATACTGCAGTTCCTAACTAGTGCAATAATTAAAGAAAATGATAAAAATTATATGAAGATTAGGAATGCACAAATAAAACTGTTCTTGCTTAGAAATAAGGTGATTGTCTACATAGAAATTCCCTAAGAATTGACAAAAACAACAGCAACAACAACACTCCTGGACCTAATTAGTGAATATAGTAAGGTTGCAGGAAAAGGGTAATGTATAGAAATCAATTGCTTTCCTATATACCAGGAATGGACAAGTGAAATTGGAAATACCACCACTACCGCATACACAAAAAAAACTTTATAAATCTAACAAAGTATCTATAAACTGATTAAACAAGTTAAAGAAGATGTAAATAAATGGAGAAATGTTCAGTGTTCATGAACAGAACAGCTCAATATTATTATGATGTAAGTTCATCTCAGTTTGATCTACAGAGTCATTGTAATCAACATCTCAATAAACCATTTTATAAGTATTAACAAACTTATTCTAAAATTATACAGAAAGACAAGTGCCCTAGAATACCCAACACAATATTGACCAAGAATAAATTTAAAGAACCCACACACTGAACTTTAAGATTTATAAGACTTAGGTAACTAAGAAAGCATGGTATTCGTGAAAAAAAAATATCTCCATAGGTCAATGGAATAGAATATATTGCCCAGAAATTGATTTATGCAAATGAAGTCAATTGACCTTTAACAAAGACACAAGAAACATTTAATGAAGAAAATATGCTTTTTTCAACAAATTGTGCTGGAATAAGTGACATTCACATATCAATTATATATATATATACATATATATATGTGGAGAGAGAGAGAGAGAGAGAGAGTCACATTTTCTTCATTCATCCATTGACAGACACTTAGGCTATTTCCATATGTTGGCTATTGTAAACACAGTAGTGAGATATCTCTTTGAGATACTGGTACTTTGGATATCTAATCAGAAGTGAAAATCCTTGATTATACAGTAGTTTTATTTTCAGTTTTGTGAGGGGCCTCCAGGCTGTCTTTTATAATGCTTTGACTAATTTAAAATTCTACCAATAGTGTGCACATATTCCCTTTTCTCCATTTCCTCTCCAACACTTGTTAGTATACGATTTTAAAATAATCCCCTTTCTACCATGTGCAAGGTGATATCTTATTGTTTTGATCTGTAGTTCTCCAATGATTAGTGAAGCTGAACATCTTTGTGTATTCTTACTGGGCATTTGTATGCGTTTAAAAAAACATACTATTTGCTTCCTTTGCCCATGTTATTAATATGATTGGGTTACTTGATTTTGTTGCTATTGAGTTGTATGAATTCCTTATATATTTTATATATTAGCCACCTATCAGATATAACATTTGCAAATATTTTCTTCCATTCCATAAGTTGCCTTTTCATCTTATTATTTCTTTTGCTGTGCAGAAACTTGTAAATTTGATGTAGTCCCATTTGTTTATTTTTGCTTCTGTTGCCTTTGCTTTTGAAGACATATTCATACAATTGCCAAGATTAATGCTGAGATCCCTATGTTTTCTTCTAGTAGTTTTATGATTTTAGGTCTTATATTTAAATATTTAATTATTTTTGAGTTTATTTTTTGTGTATGGTATAAGAGAAAGGTCCAATTTTATTCTTTTGCATGTGGATATCCAGTTTTCCCAACATCACTTATTGAAGAGACTATGGTTTCCCCATTGTGTATTCTTAGCATCTCTTCAAAGAATTAGTTGACTTTATAAGTTTAAGTTTATTTCTGGACTCTCTGTTCTGTTCCATTGTACCATGTGTCTGCTTTTATGCTAGCACTACACTGTTTTGATTACTATACCTTAATATACTTTGAAATTAGGAAATGTGATGCCCCCAGCTTTGTTTATCTTTCTAAAGATTGCTTTAGCTATTGGGATTTTTTTGTGGCAACATATAAATTTAGGAATTTTTTTTCTATTTACATAAAAAGCATTGAAATTTTGATAGAAATTGCATTGAATCTGCAGATCTTTTGGTTAGTGTGGACTTTTTAACAATATTAATTCTTTCAATCCATAAACACAGTTCATAAATCTTTCCATTTATTTGTGTCTTCTTCAAGTTGTTTCATCAATATTTTATAAGTTTCAGTCTATAGATCTCTCACCTCCTAAATTAAATCTATTTCTAAGTGTTTTTAATGCTACTGTAAAGGTAATTTTCTTAATTTATTTTTCAGATACATCATTCCTAGCATATAGAAGCACAACTGATTTTTATGTTGATTTTGTATCTTACAACTTTACTGGATTTGTTTACTAGTTCTAACAATTTTTTCATGGCATATTTATGATTTTCCTTTTATCTCTTCTGACTGTATTTTCAAATAGCTTGTTTTCAAGCTCACTAATTCTTTCTTCTTAATCAAGTCTGCTTTTGAGAGACTCTGATGCATTCTTCAGTATGTCAAGTTAATTTTTCAGCTTCAGAATTTCTGCTTGATTTTTTGAAATCATTCCAATTTCTTTGTTAAATTTGTCTGATAGGATCCGAAATTCCTTATTTGTGTTGTCATGAATTTTGTTGAGCTTTCTCAAAATGGTTATTTTAAATTCTTGGTCTGGAAGGTCTCATATCTCTATCATTCCAGCATTGGTCACTGGTGACTTATTTAGTTTGTTTGGTGAGGTCATGTTTTCCTGAATGGTCTTGATGCTGATGGATGTTCATCAGTGTCTGAGCACTGAAGAATTAGGTATTTATTGTAGCATTCACAATCTGTGCTTGTTGCTACTCATCCTTAAGAAGGTTTTCCAAATATTCAAAGGGAACTGAGTATTGTGATCTAAAACTTTGGTCACTGCAGCCATATCTGCATTACAAGGCACCCCAAGCCCAGTAACACTGTAACTTCTGCCAACTTGTAAAGGTACTCCCTTGGTGGTCTTAGATAACATCTGGGAGGGTTCCCTGGATTACCAGGCAGAGACTCTTATTCTCTTCTATTACTTTTTCTCAAACAAACAAAGGCTCTATCTCCATGCTGAGCTGTTTGGAGCTGGAGCACGGGTAACACAAGCACCCTTGTGGTCACAACCACTGAGACTGGGCCGCGTCAGACATGAAGCCAGTATAGTACTGGGTCCCACCCAAGGTCTGTTGTGACCACTGCCTGGCTACTGCTGATGTTCATCCAAGGCCTAAGGGCTCTTTGCTCAACAGGTGGTAAATCCAGACAGACTTGTGTCCTTCCCTTTAGGATGGTGAGCTCTTCTCCTGGTCTGGGAGGCAGGGCCTGGAGTGAGGAGCCTCAGGAATCTACTTGGTGCTCTATTTTACTGCAGCTGACCTGGCACCCAAGCTGTAAAACAAAGTTCTTCCCAATCTTTCCTTTGCTTTCCTCAAGGATAAGGAGTCTCTCACTATGGCCACTACAGCTGGGAATGTGCTGGGTCATGCTGAAGCCAGCACGGCATAGTCTCACCCAAAGTCCATGGCAAAAATTGTCTGGCTACTGCTGGTGTTTATTCAAGGCCAAAGTGCTTTTTAGTCAGTGGTGATAAATCCTGCCAGAACTAGGTCCTTCCTTTCAAGAAAGTGGGTTCACTTCTGGCTTAGGATGTGTCTAGAAATGTCATCTAGGAGCTAGATCCTTGAATGTGGGACTTAGGACTCTGACTAATGTCCTATTCTACGTGGCTGAGCTGGTATCCACATTGCAAGAAAAATTCTTTTTTATTCTTCCCTCTCCTCCAGCAGAAAATATCTCACTAGGTCTCATACACGCCAAGCCTACTGGCTCTGAGCCCAGCAAAGTACTAGGATTTGCCCAGGAATTTCAGTCTTTGTGGCCTAGATTGCCTTCCAAGTGTATTTCGGACCCCAGATTGTTTAGCCCATGGTAGTGCAGCTAGCCAGAACTCAGGTTCTGACCGCTGGGAGGGACATTTCCCCTCTGGCTAGGGCTGGCTTAATGCTACCTTAGTGGGCACAGGTTGAATTCTGCCCAGTACAGCTTTCCACTGTGACGGGTAACATCTAGTTCCAACGCAAAGCCCCACAATCACTGTGCTGTCCCTCTCTCAAGAACATAGATTCTCTCTCCATGCCATGTGGCTGTTGCCAGAGGATGAGGGAGTGTTGATGTTGGCAATTCAAGACTGTCTTTTCTAACCACCTTAATGCCTCTTTTCTTGATAGGATGCTAAAATCAGGTACTGTGATCACTCACTAGATTTTTAGTTCTTACAGAGGTGCTTTCTTGTATGAATAGTTGTTCAATTTGGTGTTCCAGCAGAGGGTGCAATCACTGGAGGATTCTATTTGGCTCTTTTGCTCTGTGGTGTTCCTTCATCTGTTTCATTTATGCTCTGATTGTTGGTATTCCCTTCATTCTGCTAACTTTAGCCATAGTTTTCCTTTATCTAGTTTCTTGAACTATAAAGTTAGGTTATTTATTTGCAATATTTTATTTATCTTAATATGGATGTTTATCACTATAAGCTTCCCTTGCTTTTGTTGCATCTTATAAGTTTTTGTACATTGTGTTTCCATTATTGTTTGCCTCAAACTATTTTTAATTCCCTTTTGATTTCATCTTTGACCCATTGGCTGTCAAGAGTGTGTTTAATTTCCATATATTTTCATAATTTATCTATTGGTTTGCTTGTGTCCCGTAAGTCCCACAGCCTTTCTTCACTCTTTTTGTTCTTTTTATCCTCCTCTGACTGAATAATTCTAAAAGACTTGTATTCACATTTTCAGATTCTTTCATTTGATCAAGGCTGCTGTTGAAGCTCGCTATTGCATTTTTAATTTTATTCATTCATTCTTCAGTTCCAGGATTTTTTCTTGGTTCTTTTTCATGATTTCTCTTTGCTGAATTTCTAATTTTCTTCATGCATTGCTTTTCTTATTTCGTTGAATTGTCTATCTGCATTTTCTTGCATCTTGCTGAGTTTGCTTAACATAATTATTTTGAATTCCTTTTTTTTTTTTTTGAGATGGAGTCTCGCTCTGTCGCCCAGGCTGGAGTGCAGTGGCATGATCTCAGCTCACTGCAAGCTCCACCTCCTGGGTCCACGCCATTCTCCTGCCTCAGCCTCCCAAGTAGCTGGGACTACAGGCACCCGCCACCACACCCGGCTAATTTTTTGTATTTTTAGTAGAGATGGGGTTTCGCCGTGTTAGCCAGGATGATCTCGATCTCCTGACCTCGTGATCTGCCCACCTCGGCCTCCCAAAGTGCTGGGATTACAAGCCTCAGCCACCACTCCCGGCCTTGAATTCCTTTTTATAAAATTCGTAGATCTCTATTTCTTTATGTTCATTTATTGGATAATTACTGATAATTATTGTTCTTTTGGTGATGTCATATTCCCTTGTTTCTTCATGTTTCCTGTGCTCTTGTGTTTATGTTTGTGCATTTAATGGAGCAGTTACTTTTTTCAGAACTTACAAGCTGGCTTCAGTGGGAAAAGACTCTCAGCTGCTGGTGATTGCAAGGTCACTGGTTGGGTGCAATGCAGTGACTCTGGTTTAGCGTGGGAAGCAGCAGTGTGGTCTCCAGGAAGCTCCAGGACACAAACTTTTAGAGTGCCTGTGCATCTGGGCTCAGGGACTTAAGGAAATACTGTGACACCTGCATCCTTGGGAGCAGGTCTACTCACTGAGTTGTGGACCTGTGCAGAACACCCAGAGAGCCAGAGTCTATGACTCTGTGGCCTGCCTCAGAAATTTGTGCTGGAGAAATAGGCTGCAGCTGTGGCTTGAATGCTAAAGGTCCCTGGAAAGGTGGGGTGCCACATCAGCTTAATTCCTGGGGTACAGAATGCCCTGGCAGCAAGGCCCCGAAATGTCGGCCCACAGCAAAAACCCAGGTCTCAAGATGTAGGATGCAGCAATAAATTGAGCCCTAGGAATACAGCTTTTTGGCAGCAGCTTGACCATGGGGACATAGAGCAACAGCAACTCACAAAGATGGTGGGGTACTGTGGCATCCCAGGCCCCAGGCAACAGAGTGCAGTGGTAACAAGGGCCCAGAAATGGTGAAGTGCAGTGGCTACTCAGGAAAAGGTACAATGCAAAAGCATAGCATTGTCTCCTTCTCTGGGACAAGTGGACAGTGTGGACTCCATCTGGGCAGCTTTCTTAGTTGGGCTTAGCATTGATAAAGACTGTGGAGGTCACCAGTGGTGAAGGCTCCAAGTATTGTGTCAGTGGTGAGGACTGGGGTCCTCCTGCTCACCTTTGTCCCATGGGGGAAATATCCCTCTGAGGAGATCCCTCTTAGATCCATGCTGCTCCTGCTGGGGGATGAGGTGACTCAGGCAAAGTGTTTTCTATCCCTTTCTATGGGGTCATCTTTAGTTTCTATGCTGCCCGGAGTTTCTACTACTTTTTGCATTACTCCAGAGTTCTTCCATAGCTATTTTCACTGATATTTATTTATTAACTTGTTGTTTTTTGTTTGTTTGTGTCTTAGAGGGAGATAAGTGTTGGGACTGCCTAGTACATCATCTTGCTGACATCAGTCCTCCTGTAAGATTGATGTTGGATTATTATATTTCACCATTGCAGATACCATATGCTAAAATACGGTTCATGCTGGCCTTGTGTGTGGTGTCCATTTGAATGAAAATCTATTCTTTTGATATTTAAAAATCCATACTTTCCCCATAACCTGATAGTTTATAAATCTGGGGTCATATTTAGGAAAATCTCTTTACCACAGGGTTATAATTCTCTGATGTTGGAACCTATTGACTTAGTGGTATTTTTTTTTTTCATTTATATATGAGCTGCCAATCCATCCTCAGTAGGGCAGAGTTTTAACATTATTTTTCCCCATATAGTGATTCAGTTCTCCCAGCACCAACTAGTAAATAATTTGTCCTTTCCTCACTAGTTTATAGGACTATCTTCATCATATACTAAGTTGCCAGTTATAAATGGGTCAGGTTTTAAGATCTTTATACTCTTTTTGCCTCATTAGTTTATAGGACTATCTTCATCATATACTAAGTTGCCACTTATAAATGGGTCAGGTTTTAAGATCTTTACACTTATCAAGAATCTTTACATTTTTTCACTCTAGTCTGTCCATTGTCATTTAAATATATTACTTTTTATTACTATGACTTTTTCATATGTTCATGGCTGATAGAAACAATTTTTCTTCTTTGCTTTTAGTTTGCAAATTGAATTAGGTCTTTGTGAAAATTTTATTTTTCTATGTAACATTTTAGAAAACTTGTCAAAATCTTCAAAAATGTTGAAGGAAATGTTAAATTCCCAGGTGTTTCAAGATTTGAAAGAAACAGTTTTGCAATGCCACTCAACATTTATTTAGCACCTAGAAAATTGGAGTAACATGTGGGGAACACTTGCCATGGGCTAAACACCGTTCCAGATAATTTACATAATTTATTACATGCATTTCTCATAGAAACTCCATGATAACTTCATGTGAGCAGCTCTATTTTAAAGGACATGCAGAAAGTTAAAGTACTTTGCCAAGGTCACTTTTTAGTTAGTATCAAACTTGGTATTCAATCTAGTCAGTTTAATTTCAGCATAAAGTTCTTAGCCATCAAATATCTTTTTCAGGTAATTACACATTAATTGGACCTTGCAACCCTGTAGAATAGGTTCTGCTTCCTTCAGGAAGCTCATTGTGAACATTTTCACACTTTCTGTGTCCCTGATGGAAGTTATAGCTTTTTTTCTTGGAACTCCAATGACATTTTATCCACATTGCTCTCTGGTGCAACAATAGCGGAAAATTTCTTTGAGGCCAGCAGTTCACAGAGGAAAGATATGAAATTTCCCCTTTCATAACAGCTTTGGGGTAAATAGAATAGAGAACAGAAAACACCCTCAGGGCTGGGAGCTGTGGCTCACGCCTGTAATCCCAGCACTTTGGGAGGCCAAAGCAGATGGATCACCTGAGGTCAGGAGTTCAAGACCATCCTGGCCAACATGGTGAAACCCAAACTCTACTAAAAATACAAAAAAATTAGCCGGGCATGGTGGTGGGTGCCTGTAATCCTAGCTACTCGGAAGGCTGAGGCAGGAGAATCGATTGAATCCTGGAGGCGGAGGTTGCAGTGAGCCGAGATCGCACCACTGCACTCCAGCCTGGGCAACAAGAGCAAAACTCTGTCTCAAAAATAAAGAAAAAGAGAAGAGAGAAAACACCCTCAAGTTGGCTTGGCTCTGCTTGAGTTTGATACAGATTCAGCAGCAATAATTTTAATGTTTAAATAGTATTGGTTATAAAACTATGAAAAAAAGAAGAAATGCTTGCCCCAAGCAAAATAGTTTATTCATCTTTAGGAATTAGATTTTTGTTAGTTATAGATATACTTCTCTGTGTCCTATTATTAGTGCATTGAGGACAACCCCATGACTGCCTAAATTGTGTGCAAATGGGGATATTGTCATTGCCTTCAATTTCTCTTCCCTTTTTCTCTGTGAGGCTACATTACATACTTTGGGCTGGCAGAAATAATCGTTGACATGTTCATGAAATATTAGTTGGTCTTTTTTTTGTAACAAAAAATGTCAAAAAAGTATTCAATTACTTTCACTAAGCTCTGAAAGGACAAAAAAATTAGAGTAAGTGACTAAAGTTAGGACACATAAAGTCTTTGGTGGTCACATTTCAGCAATGCACCAATTCATAAGTTAGCTCTTAAGATAATAGACCATATGTTTATAGAGGTCTAGGTCTTATCTCCCTCATAGACTGTGAGCTGCATCTGGGCCTGTTGAGGTTTGTCTCCACGTTCCACATAATCAGCCAACTTAAATTCCACCTTCCTGACATCTCAATCAGAATATAAAATACGGCTGGGGGCGGTGGCTCACGTCTGTAATCCCAGCACTTTGGGAGGCTGAGGTGGGTGGATCACAAGGTCAGGAGTTCAAGACCAGCCTGGTCAAGATGGTGAAACCTCATCTCTACTAAAAATATGAAAATTACCTGGGCATGGTGGTGGGGACCTGTAATCCCAGCTACTCAGGATTCTGAGGCAGAGAATTGCTTGAACCCGGGAGGCAGAGGTTTCAGTGAGCCGAGATTGCGCCACTGCACTCCAGCCTGGGTGACAGAGCGAAACTCCATCTCAAAAAAAAAAAAAAAAGGAATATAAAATACATGCAATAATGTTCACAATAAAATGTTAAGTGAAGCAAGCAAATGTACATTTGTAATTACTGGAGGCTTCTGAGTATATATGTATATATATTTATTTATATATACACACATTTCTAAACATATGAATAACGATATGGAAAAAGTGAAGGTAGGAATACATCAAAATGAAATAGTGACTAACCCTGGATGGTGGAGTTATAAGTGATTTCAACTTATTTTATGTACTCTTTTTTACTGACAAAATGTATTTATTGAACATTAAAGTAGAAATGACTGGCTGTTGACCAAAATACATTATTCCTGATCCATCATGTAGAGTTTTGCTAAGAAAAAGCTACTAAGCAGGCACTATGTTTCCCAGGCCCCCTTGCATCTGGGGCCCTGTGATTCCATGCTTGCCTTATAGAATGTGAGAGAATGGGAGACGTGTAATTAAAGAAGCAACTATACCTTCTCTATCTACTTTTTTCCTCAGAGGGGACTCTGAGGTCCTAAAAGTTGACAAAGCCGCATGGTAGAAGGAACATGGGTCCTTGAGTTACCCCTTGGAAGCTGCCTGCTAAGTAGAACAACTACATTTTTTGATTATCCAAGCAAAAATTAAGCTTCTGTTGTTAATCAAATTCCTTTGCCTGGTTTTCCCTAAGAACAGAGCCTATAAAAAAATTGTAGGCAGATAGTTTTTTAGGAATTTATTCAGAGAGCCAGAGTGAGGGGGTCACTGAAGGAAGTTAGAGACAGAGAAAAAGGGATTGTAAAGACATATTATTGAGTTGACCCTCACTGCAGACAGCTGGTGCACAATCCCACCAGGACTTCTGAAGAGGCATATAAATTTACCTCAGAACAGCATACCTGTGGAAGGGAAGGAGGGAGCATTTATACATCTGCTCTCATCTTCAAGTGGTCAAGAGCTGGTCCCTGGGGCACTGATTCTCTGGCTTCCAGGCTGCATATGATTGCACAGAGTATGTGATGAAAGTGTACCTTGCTAATCAGTCAGAGATGTCCTAGGGCAGAAAGACGGAGGTGCCTAATGCCTGTCTGATGCAAGGTCTTGCTATGTCATGCCTGAATTAGGCCATTCATGACTGACATGGCTGAAATAAGAGGTGAAGTTCAAAGGATTTCAAGTGGTCACTGAAAATGTATAATTGGTTTATTATAGTATCTAGCCTTGCATTAATTAAAATAAGCACATATTACTCTTAGAATTAGAAAGTACACACACACATATTTATATACATATACTTGTTTGGTTTTGCAGAATATCTCAGTATTTTTACGACATTTACTTCTTTTGATTCACGTTGAAAGTGTAACTAACAAGTGAGCCACAATGGGCATCTTTCCTCCTCAACTATTCAATCACCAAAGCCAATCAATTCCACCTCTTAAGCAGTGATTGGAACTTCCCCTGCTGTCACATCTGTTGACTCTTCTTTAGTTGGGGCCTTCATAAGTGCACCCATGAATTATAGCTAGAGCTCCCAATCCTCGTATTCATTTTTTAATATCTAAAATTAAATTGAACTGCAGTAAATCCCTGCTTAAAACCTACTTCAAGGGCTCCCCATTGTCACAACATTCAAGCTCTTTATGTGGAATTCTACACACTTCATAATCCAGTCCCAACACAGATGTCTAACTTCACCTCCATTATGCCCTAGGCTACACCTGGCACTTGAGGAAGATAGTAGTAATTCTCAGGAAACCCCAAGACTTGTCATGCCACTCTGATTCCGAGCATGCCTCTCAATACTGGGAATGCTCTCCTTAATTATTTATTTCCCCTAGGGCAGGTATTGGCCAACTACAACCCCCCCAGCCAAATTCAGCTCATCACCCATGAGCTAAGAATGTTCTTTTAAAAAATATTTGTAAATGACTGAAAGAAATGTTTAAAAGGTAATATTTCGTGACACATAAATAATCATATGACATTTAAATTTCATTGTCCTTAATACAAAATTTCTCAGAATACATCCATGTTTGCTTATTTGTTCACATATTGTCGGTGGCTTTTTTGGTGCTCTAATGCAGGGGCCTCCAACGCTCAGGCCAAGGACAGGTACAGGTCCATGGCCTGTTAGGAACCAGGCTGCCCAGCAGGAGGTGAGCAGCAGGTGAGCCAGCATTACCACTTGAGCTCTGCCTCCTGTCAGAGCAGTGAGGGGCATTAGATTCTCCTAGGAGCAGGGGCACGAACCCTACTGTGATCTGGGCATGCAAGGGATCCAGGCTGCTCACTCCTCATGAGAATCCAATTTATGCCTGATGATCTGAGGTGGAACAGTTTCATGCCGAAACCAGCCCTATTTCCTGTCCGTGGAAACATTGGCTTACACTAAACCAGTCCCTGGCGGCAAAAAGGTTGAGGACTGCACTGCTCTAAAGCAAGAGCTGAGTAGTTGTGACACAGATCTGCAGCCTACAAAGCCCAAAGTATTTATTACCTGGCTTTTTACAGAAAAACATTCACTGAGAAGTTCTACTCTTCCTTGTCAAGCCTGCCCATGAAGGGTCATTCCAGATCTTTGTGTCCACAACATTTAGTTCTTACCTACAGAAACATGCTTTCCCTAATTGTGAAACATGCATGTACATATCTTCTCCCCAGCCCTGCCTCATTACCTTCTTGGAAGCCAAGATCACGTCTTATTTATCTCTCATTGTCTCCTGGCCATTAACTTAGTGCCAAGTACACAGTGGGACTCAGCCAACATGGTTGAATGTGTCCAGTTCTGAGCCCTGCTTCCAGATACCATGGCTTTTTTTTTTTTCTTTTTGGAAAGTAAGTGGTTAATATCATGGGCTAGGGAGTTTCACTACCTGATTTGATTCTGGGTCTGGCACCTAAAGCTGTGCAACCTTAGGCAAATTATCTTAACCTCTCTAAGCCTCCCTATCCTCATTGACCAACAAAGATACTGATAGCAACTATTTCATAGGCTTGTTGTGAGAATTACATGCAAATTACTGTTCAACGTGCTAAGCACAGTGCGAGTGCATAGTACATTTCCAGTTAATATTAGCTATTATGATGATGTTTGCATAGTTCCTAAAGCTTAAATGAAATCCTGGGGTCTCCTGAGAGACATTGCTGACCAAACAATATCCCCTGCATGCACAGCTCTACGGCATTACTTGTTTTTCGGCTATTTTAACGCACACATTTGTTGTTAAATGAAATGATGTCTTTGTAGAGGCAAGGGAAAAGATCGACTTGAAAACACAGTCTTTTCATTTTATCTAAGAATCTCCCTCAATCTTGTTTTGCCTACATCTATCTTCTTCCCGCTGGGTTTGTTTTCCTTTTCTCTCCGTATTTCTTTCTGCCGGCTATGTCTCTCACTGCTTTCTCAACTAGTTTGATTACTTCATTTTGCTTTTTCATCCCTTTCAGCCTAACTTCCTTCCTCCTCACCTCGGGTGTCTTTCCTTTACTATGTATAGATTTTACTACTTCTCAGCTTTTCTTTTTTTCCTCTCCCTTCACTTTTTGTATCTCCCTGCTTCTATTTACCCTCCCTTTCTCTCCCTCTCTCCTATGTGTTTTTACTTTCTACCTCTCATTTTGTCTTATGAATCTTCCTTTATCTTTGAAATACAGACTTTTCTATCTTTATTCTTTCCTTTTTTCCATCCTATTTTCCTCTCATTTTGCTTTATTTCTGTCATCTCCTTATTATATCTCCTGGCTTTTCTTTTTTCTTCTTCCTTGTTTCTGCCTCCTCACACCACCTACACTGGTTTCTCTCCCTGGGTCCTGTGTGGGGTAGAGGCTGCTCTGGCTTCCAGATGGCCAGTAGATCAACAAAAAGCTATTAGTCCCCTAGCAGAGGAAGAAGTCAAGCTGTTGAGATGCTTGGGGAGCATCTCAAGGCCAGGCAGAAAATGAAGTGGTCAGGAAGGAAGTGGAGGTGGTGTTTAATGGAACAAAAATAAAATAGGTGAGAAAAAATGAAATGGAAAAACAGAGATTTACGACACAAGAGAATTTAGTTGGAATGAGATTGTCATCAGATCAGCTGGGGGGAGAGAATGGAAAAACAAGCTTGTTAAAGTGAATTCTTTCTCATAACCATGAGCTTTTTATATTCAGCTTGCCTGCTTGGCTTCTCAACACAGTTTTGTTCTTTGATAACCATTTTGTTTGATCCTTCCCTTCTCACCATACTTCGCTATTTACCCAGCCCTGTCTGATTTCCATTTACTGACTGATTTTCTTGAGCACTTTTGATTTCTAACCAAGAGGTTAGAAAAAGATCTAGTTTTATAAAGGTTAGAAGTGCAGATTCAGGATTCAGACAGGACTTAGAATTGGGCTTCAAAAATCAGGCTGTTTTTGTTATGCAAGAATACTATGAAATTACTTGTATCTATTACTGAGCACAGGCCTTGGAACAGATTAACTTGAATTACAATCCTGTTTCTCCACTGACAGTTTTGTGATCTTGGTAATTAGTTAACTTTTCTAATCCTATGCATTTTTATCACAGTGATAACAATACTTACTTTCACAGATAGGTTTGAGGTGATAAATAAATGAAATAATTGAGGGCAAGTGCCAGGGACAGTGCCCAGCATACGGTCAAGCTCTTTTAATGTTTGCTGGCTCATTATTACTATTTTAATAAATAGGCCCACCACTCCTTTATTATGAGTTGAGGCCAGCTTTTCTGGATTACCCTCCCACTGCCACTCCAGATCAAATGCTTTTTGGTGCTGCACAGATCGCCTCATGATTAAGACTCACTTTCCTAGGTTGGTGCCCAGGAGACACCATGATTTGCTCAGCAGAAAGATGTGTGTTTTGGTAGACTTCAAAATTGTGTTAAACCTCACCCACCCGCCATTTCCATGCCCTCCCCTTCTTGGTTCCTACTAGGGGAAGGACAAAGGAAAGGTTGAACCATCTCCCAAGAGACCCAGCATAGCCCATGAATTCACCACTTCCAGCTTAAATAGCTATCCAGAATTCAACACACATCACACACAACTCCCCCCTTCCACAGCATTGGATGATTTTAGCTACTGGTGAGAATCTCATCATAAAAACCATTTCTTTCCATGTCTCTCCTTTCCATCACCAACTCCACCATCCCCACAGCCCACCCTTTGGAAACATTCTTTACACCCACCCCGTGCATTTAAACCTGGTATTAAGAGGGTACAACCCAGCTGGAAATTTCCAAAGGTAATTTCACTGAGTCCTCCTGCATGCTTCATTTCAATACAAAGGGGCAGCAGCCTGTAAACCAAAGGGACACAGCAAAGTTTACTGCACACCTCGCTGACCTGGGATGTTGCAGGTGACTCTCAGCAAGTCCCTCTGTTATACTTTACCTCAGTTTCCTCGACGGCACAATGCCAAAGGATCTTTGCAGTTGGTCCTGGCTCCAGCATCACACGTTCAGAATTCCAAGCTGTATTCTGGTGAATGCAGATATCCAAAGAGACTTTGTTTTTACTTCCTGTGTCCATTACCTGGATACTAGTATACCTAAAAACTTCACCAATTTCTGTCCTGTTTCCCAACTTCAGGACATACAAATTCCAAAAGCATGCATGTCCAAAGAGGGTTATAGAGAAGAACCACCTTCCTGGGAAATGGTAGCAGCATTGTGTGACGGTGAGTTACAACTGGCTCTCTCCAATGCCAAACCATTGAATTTGAAAAATAAAGATGTTGGGGTCTGGCACAGTGGCTCATGCCTGTAATCCCAGCACATTGAGGGGTCAAGGCAGGATGATCACTTGAGACCAGGAGTTCAAGACCAGCCTGGCCGACATGGTGAAATCCTGTCTCTACAAAAATTAGCCGGGCAAGGTGGTAGACTCCTATAATCCCAGCTACCTTGGGAGGCTGAGGCACGAGAATAACTTGAACTCAGGAGGCAGAGGTTGCAGTGAGCTGAGATTGTGTCACTGTACTCCAGCCTGGGCCACAGAGTGAGACTCCTTTTAAAAATACAAAAAAGATGTTAGGGGCACCATTTCTTCAGATTTCAACTGTAAAACAAATTCTGAAAAATGATTTTTCAGAGAAAAAATTAGGGATGATCTGTAGTTTGGTTATTTGTCCCTGTCCAAATCTCATGTTTAAATATAACCCCCAGTGTTGCACTTGGGGCCTGGTGGGAGGTGTTTGGATCATGGGGGTTGATCCCTCATGAATCACTTGAGCTGCCCCCTTGGTGGTAAGTGGGATCTCACTCTGCATTCTCATAAGATCTGGTTGTTTAAAAGTGTATGGCACCTCTCCCTCTGCGCCTTCTCACTTGCTCCTGCATTCACTGTGTGACATGCATGCTCCCACTTCGCTTTCCACCTTGAGTAAAAGCTCCCTGAGGCCTCCCCAGAAGCCAAGTGACATCAGCACAATGCTTGTATGGCCTGCAAAACTGTGAGCCAATTAAACCTCTTTTCTTTCAAACTTACCGCTTCTCAGGTATTTCTTTATAGCAATGCAAGAACAGTCTAAGATAGATGAAGAGATAAGAAAGGGAAAAAGGAGTTTGGGTAATAACGTTCTGACAAGCAACCAAGGTAATCCAGTGCAGGCATGGGTCTCTCTTCAGTGTATACTTTATTTTGAGTGCTTCTTTTAGCTAGGAATTGTAATTTCATCAGATGAGCATCTCACATGTTGAAAAGTAGATACCTGTTGTAATGCTGGCTGCATATCTCCAAATGAAACAATAGGCAATGAAAGGGAAAACATGGTTGTAAACAAAGAGACTCAATTATAGCAAACAATTTTATGTTCTAGAAGGAAAAATACATTTAAGGTGATAAAGAGATGCCAAAGAGGGGTGGTTAATAAAATTTAAGAAAAGAAAGAAATAGGAGAGGGATCTTACAAGGTAAAAATTGTTGTATAATAGAAAAGAACATTGGATTGGGAATAAAGAGACCTGGCATCTAATCGAAATGGCACAAACTACCTCATGATGCTGTGAGCCTCTATGAACCTCAGTAGACTCATGTGTGAAATAGGGAAACAAAAAGCTTTTCCTATCTTTCCCATGATAAAAAGTTGCTGTGAGAATCAAATGACATCACAGCAATAAAGGTGCTTTGTTAACTGTACCCACCTAAGGGACATTTTTATTATAAAATGTCGAATTCATTCTAAGCTTATTAAGAGTGGTGCATCCCAGAGAGTCAGGTTCTCAGGTTTAAAATGAAATAACAACTTGTGAATGAGTCTTCTTAATCTTCTTCATGTGGCAGACTTCCTTTTGCCTGAGCAAAAGACTCTGGAGGACTAGAAGTCGCCAGGTTGGATGTGAACTAATGGAGAGACCTAAGGCACTCCCTCTGTTTTCTCTGCTTGATGGGCATTGCTCAGGAGGAGGCATGGGTTTGCTCTTCAGGCAATCTGAGCAATTGATCATCCTGCTTCTTTCTGTGCTGGTCTAGAGCCTTTATTGATAAACAGAAACATGGCCTTTTCTCCCATCTGACAGTAGAAAAATTCTTATAATACAGTCATAGTGTGATAAATACCATTTGAAGTAATGTTCTCCAGTAACCTCACTTTACTGGGAGTTCCTGCCAACCATTTTTAATTATGTGACTATATACACATATTTCTCATGCTGATTGGATTAAACAGAGATGCCTGATCAAAACTAGTCTAGTTACAGTTTCTTCCTGAGAGTTTGGGGTGGAGAGAGAGAGGGAGAGATAATTTTGGGTTATTAGAACTTAAATCCAGATTCTATGATGACATGGGTATCTCCCTCTTTCTTATTCTTTCTAAGTGGACTGAAAAAGTGAGGAAAGTTATTGGTCTGGGAGAAGATTAAACAGATCAAGATAAAATTAACATGGTTTTTTTCACCTGAGTCCCAGTATCAGGCTGTCTTAGTTGTATCTTTACCTCAAGGAAACATGACTCTCTCTTTTATGCTTATAATGAGGCTTCTTTTCCTTTAAGTTATCTAGAATTAGTTGCTGTGTCTTGAAGCCAAATATATAATTTATTCACAAATTCATATTGATTATATGCAAAGAGATCTGATATTAGGAGCTAAGCAGCAAGAGTTCCAGTCTTGACTCTCATGTAATATTTACTATGTGTGTTAGGCTGTTCTTGTATTGCTATAAACAAATACCTGAGACTGTGTAATTTACAAAGAACAGAAGTTTAATTGGGTTATGGTTTTGCAAGTTGTGCAAGCATGGCACAGGTATCTGCTTTGGTTCTTGGGAGGCTTCAGGGAGCTTTGACTTATGGCAGAAGATGAAGCAAGAGCAGGCATCTCACATGGCAGAGCAGGAGCAGGGGTTTGCAGGGAGGTGCCACACACTTTTAAATAACTGGACCTTGTGAAAACTCTCTCACTTTGGTGAGGACTGCACCAAACTATAAGAGATCCTTCCCTATGACCCAAACTCCTCCCACCAGACCCCATGTCCAACACTGGGGATCACAATTTAACATGAGATTTGGGCAAGAGATATATCCAAACTATATCATTACACCCCCTGGACCCCAAAATCTCATCCTTCTCACATTATAAAATATAATCATACCTTCCTCCAAGTCTTAAATAATTCCAGAATTCATTTGAAAGTCCAAAGTCTCATCCAAGACAAGGTAAATTCCTTCCACTTATGAGCTTGTAAAATCAACAACAAGTTAGTTACTTCCATGATGCATTGGTGGTATATGCATTAGGTAAACATTCCTGTGCCAAAAGGGAGAAATTGGCCACAAGAAAGGGGCTATAGTTCCCATGCAAGTTTGAAACCCAGGGTAGTCATTACATCTTAAAGCTCCAAAATAATCTCTTTTGACTTAATGTCCCACATCCAGGGTACACTGGTGCAAAGGATGAGCTCTCAAGGCCTTGGGCAGCTCCATCCCTGTGGTTTTGCAGGGTTCAGCCCTTGCAGCTGCTCTTGCAGGTGCCTAAAGCTTTTTCCAAGCACAGGGTGCAAACTGCCAGTGGATCTACCATTTTGGGGTCTGGAGGACAGTGGCCCCCTTCTCACAGCTCTACTAGGCAGTGCCCCAGTGATGACTCTGTGTTGGGGTTCCAAGCTCACATTTCTCCTCCATACTGCCCTAATAGAGGTTCTCAGTGAGAGCCTGCATTTGCAGCAGGCTTCTGTTTGGGCACCCAGGGTTTCTCATACATCCTCTGATATCTAAACAGAGGTTGCCAAACCCCCTTCACTCTTGCACTTTGTGGGCTGGCAGACTTAATATCACATGGAAGCTGCCAAGGCTTATGGTGGCTTGCCTTTTCCAAAGCAGCAGCCCTAGCTGTACTGGAGCCCTTTGAGCCACAGCTGAAGCTGAAGCTGCCTGGATGCAGGGAGCAGTGTCTCAAGGCTGTGTGGGACAGCACCATCCTGGCCCTGGCCCACAAAACCATTTAGTCCTCCTAGGCCTCCAGGCTTGTGATGGAAGGGAGTGCCTCCATCACACTTTGAAATGCCTTCAAGGCCTTTTTGCCATGTTTGTGGCTATCAGCACCTAGCTTTTTTATTACATAAATCTTATAGCAAGTGGTTGCTCCACAACCTGCCAGAATTCCTCTCCTGAAGAAGTTTTCCCTTTCTCTGCCATATGGCCAGGCTGCAAATTTTCCAAACTTGTACACTCTTCTTTTCCCTTAAATATACCTTCCAACTTTAAGTCATTTATTTGCTTCCATATCTGAGTATATGTTGTTAGAAGCAGCCTTGCCACTTCTTAAACACTTTGCTCCTTAGAAATTTCTTCCATCAGATACCGTAAATCATCACTTTCAAGTTCAAATTTTCACAGAAACCCTAGGGCATAAGCAGAATGCAGCCAAGCTCTTTGCTAGCCAAGCTCTTTGCTAAGCCATAACAAGGGTGACTTTTACTCCAGTTCCCAGTAACTTTCTTATTTTCTGTCCGAGATTTCATCAGCCTGGCCTTCACTGTCCATATTATTATCAGTATTTTGGTCACAACCATTTAACCAGTCTGTAAGAAGTTCCAAGCTTCCCCTCATCTTCCTATCTTCTTCTGAACCTTCCAAACTCTTCCAGTTTCCCATTTTCCAGTTCCAAAATTGTTTCCATATTTTCAGGTATCTTTATAGCAATGCCCCACTCCTCAATACTAATTTTCTGTGTTAGGCCATTCTTGCATTACTACAGAGAAATGCCTGAGACTGGGTAATTTATAAAGAAAAGAGATGTCATTGTTTCATGGTTCTGCAAGCTGTACTAGCATGGCACAGGCATCTGCTTGGTTTCTGAAGAGGCCTCAGAGAGCTTTTGCTCATAGTGAAAGGTAAGGCAGGGGTAAGCATGTCACATGGCAAAAGCAGGAGTAAGAGAGAAAGTGGGTGGGGAGGTGCCACACTTTACAACAAGCAGATCTTTCAAGAACTCATGCACTATCACAAGGACAGCACCAAGCCATAAGGGATCCACACCCATGACCCAAACACCTCCCACCAGGCCCCACCTCCAACATTAGGGATTACATTTCAACATGAGATTTGGGTAGGGACAATTATGCAAACTCTGTCAGTATGCAATAGTTGGAAAGTTGATTACCTTTCTTGAGCCTCAGTGCCATCATGTACAATCAGCAAAAATAGTCTGAGTTATATCAAGGCTGGTTGGAGAATAATGGATTTAGAAGAGTTTTATGAATTATGCAAACATTAAAAAATTATTATAAATTATATGTGTTTTTGTTTTCTTTTAAAATGCACTCTTAGCCTAAATCAGAGGCCTTCTAACCTCAGGTTCTAAACTATATTTTGAATGTTATTCTGTACAATATTTAAACTAGATCTCTCTCTTTCTCTCTCTCTCTCTCTCTCACACACACACACATGCCCTTCTTTAAAATGTCCTGCAGTTTCCTGTCATTGTTCATACCTATGCTCTCTCTCCCTTTTGCACTAGTGTCTCCAGCACTGCTTCCCTAATTATCACCATATCTTTTTTTGCCCATTTCATTTCTGTGCTCTTATTTTTGAAGAAATAACTCCAATGTCCTAGCCTTTATAATTGCTTCTTAGATACACCCAGTGCAAACTCTTACCATTTTCATGAAGAACTTGGGCATGTTATGACACATCTTACAGCCTGCCTGCTATGGTAGTCTGTGTCATCAACTTAGGGTGGAAAACTTGGGCTTGACAGACTAGCAGACACGGATTTGAATCTTGGCTCAGCCTCTAATAAGCCATATAATTTGAGGAAGTTCTTTCGTTTTCTTTAACTGTTCCAAGGAAGTTTCCTCATTGAAAAAATAAGACTGATAATAGAACTTATCTCATGAGTCTGTTGGGAGGACGAGATAAAATGGTATGCAAAATATTTAGCATCCTCCTTTAGCACATAGTAAGTAAGAAATTATAGCTATTATGACAGTTTCTGTCAGTCCTGCCTGGTTTTCATAAGCTTAATACTTTCTTCTTCCATATCTCTGTTCTGTGGAATATAGCCCTGTATACTGCATGGTCCAGAATCTCATATGAAGAGATACATAGATATTCAAACAACAGGAGCACTGAAATGGTATTGGAGGGTGAGAGGATGGGAGAATTCAGAGTATTTGTCCCTCAACACCCACCTCCACTTCCACCTTAGGTGATGTCTATACTCGTGGCTGGTTCTCCTTTGTTTCTCTGTTTAGTCCATTGGACAAATTTCCTGTGGTTCTATGAGACCTTGTCTCAGAATCTAGCAATATCACGATTTGTCTCCTTTCCTTTTAAAAATTAGGGATGGTTGTGTAGTTCAGCTGTTGATAGTCTTGGGGTGCCTCCCTGACCCTCATTGTCTTCTCTTCTCTTCCATCACTTGTGTAATAAATTCCTTGTACTAGGTTTCCCCTCAGAATAGTTTTTATTTTCCTGGTTGAACCTTCATCAACACTGGCCACCCCTACCCACATTCCAGGTAGACTGGAAATTTATTTTAAATAGAACATATATCTACATTTACTAGATTTTCTTATAGAAAAATATGTACGTGAGTAATGCTAAACACATATTTATTGAATTCAATATTTGTACACAGTGATTTACCAACTTTTGCCTGTCTCTTTTGTCAATTGTATCACGCCACTTGTGAGGTTAGGTCTAAGCCTGGAAAACTGAATGAGCAATATCTCCGTCTATTCTCTGATGCCCATGTACTAATGACCAGGAGACAGGTTCAGGATGATCATGGGTTGTAGACTGTGTTCTATGCAGTTTGCTCCTTTTATTCCCTCCTAGATGTAATAAAGACTTTATGCATCAAATTCAGTTCCATCTCATTTCATTTGTCGTGTTAATTTTGTCTTAATTTTTTCATTTACTCTGCCAAGTCTATAGGCAAAAATTGCAGAATTTGAGAAGCCTATTAAGTAAACCCAACTTTTAGTAGTACAGGGTAATATGGTACAGATACAGGGCCAAATGTAGTCTGAAGGCTACCTAGCCATGCCTTGTCTTTTCTGGATTCTAAATAACTGGATTTCGAAAATCAGGCAACATATGTTTCTTCTTTTTAATATGCTTTCCTGCTAAGTCAAGAGTTGCAAACACATGACATTCAGGCTGCCTTTTTCAGTGCCTATTGTACTCCAATCAATCGAAGCTAGTTCTCAGGATAAACTGCATTGTCATTTCTTTTAAGTATTTGTTCTTGCTTTGTTTTGTCTTTTCATGATATAGCCATGGTTGCTGTCTGCCAATACCCATGTTTCTCCTTTTTCATTGGGAAGCAGCCATGGGTTTAGAGGAGATTAAGTGTCCCAGCTCTTCTTGTACTATTTAAAATTTATCTAATCCCATAGGGAACCCCACCCCATTGTTATAGTGATTAATTCAGGTAACAGAGGCTTAAGCCAGTCAGAGGACAACATGCCCATGGTCAGTGGCATTGATATAAAAATGTGTATGTGATTAAAGTTGAATCAATGAGTCATGGGAGAAGATTTTCTAAGGGCTTTATAGAAATAGTTACTTGCCCTTCCGGGTAAGCTATCAAAAACCAACCCACTAGTAGTTACTGGGAAATTGTAGTACAAGAAGTAGCTTAACAATCTTGACCCCAGGAGTGAAGCCAGCCTTATAATGATGTTGAAATTGGCACAAAGGAAGGCAGAGTAGAGAGACAGAAGAAAGCTACTTGCTTAGAGAGACCACTGAGCTACTGAATGAAACATACTGAAGACCTTCCACTTTATGAGGTCATAAATAAGTCCTCTTTGTTGTTTGAGTCACTTTGAGAGGACTATTCCTAAAAGCCAAATTTAACAACACATCCAGCCTCAGACTCAGGTAAGTTCTGCTTCAGCCACCACTTTTTCCCTACATAGTCTCCAGCTCCATCTCTCAGATCACATTAGGCCCATTTTTCTTCTTCATTGTTCTTACTTTAATGGTCCCTTCTTACAGATCTCTACCACCTCCCAGCACCTGACTCACCTTCACAGCTGATTTTCATTTGTTTTACTGCTCTTCATAAGCCATCACTTATTACTCTCCCTCTTTTTTTTTTTTTTTTTTTTTTTTTTGGTATTCTAATACTCAGTAGTGACATCCTTTGGAGAGGGGAAGAAGATAGTTTCATATAGGCTCTGATTTAAATTTCAGAGTTGCAGCCTCGGGGTCAAATTGACTGAACTGACAATTCATTATTTTGCTTTTCTTCTTTTGTGTGTTGTTTTAAATGAGTTTCGGAGAATTTTATAGATAAATGGGACCTTGAAAGATGTACTAGCCAAACCCCTTTATATAATAGCTAGAGAAATGGAGGTTTGAAAATGTTAAGTGGCTTGCCCCATATCACACAGCTGGGGATCTTGAAGAAAGATTATAGCTCAGGTATGCTGACTCCCAGCCAGTGCCTTCATTCTGACCTCATGCCCACTTTCATTCATAACACAGCATTTTACTAGGGGCTTTAGTTGCAGATATCCTGCACAGAGCTCTGAGATTTGGCTGCTCCCAGACGGCACATCAAGTAGACACAGAAATGTTGCTGCTGTCATTCACCCACTGGACAAGGACCTGGTCAGGCAGCCTGACAGGTTCAAGATTCACCCATAATTCCCCAGATCAAGAACTGGCTGCTGTTGACAGCAGGGGAGGCCAGAGTGGTTCAGAGTTTCAATCCAGTCAGATCTATTTTCAGAATGATAATGTGAAGTGAATTTTCTTAGAAACTGGTGAAAGAGTAACAAAGAAAATTTAAAAGCTATCTTATTTTATCATAAAATCCAAAGCTCTCCAAAGATTCGGAAAATGTGTTACTTGAGGCCATTGAGGCTTTAGGGAGGTAGTGTATCTAAATGGTTAAAGACCTAACACTCTGAAGTTAAACCCTCTGGTTTGTAGCCATCTCTGACAGTTATTAGCTCCATAACCTGGAGTAGCTCGTTAACTTCTCCAAGCCTCAGTTTTCCCTTCTGTGAACTGGAGACTAGAGTAGTACCTGATTCATAGGATTTCTGGGAAGGTTAAGTGAGTTAATTTAGGTAAAATGCTTAGAATAATGTCTGGCATATTGCACACCTTAAATAAGTTATTACTATTAATATCAACATCACATTTTTTATGTTCATTTTCGTCAATTACAATGTTTTTATATTTTGCAGAAAAGATGGAAGGTCATATATAAATTTTTTTAAATGAGTGAAAAAGAGAGAAGAGGTGAATAAATGTGAGAACCAGGGAAAGCGAATAAAAAGGATACAAGGAAAGATGAAGGGGAGAATAAGGAGAAATGGGAGGTAGGAGGCAGAAGTGAGTGACTCATTTGTTCTACTCACATACACTGAGGACCAATATTTGACCCAGGTACAATGTTTGTTCCAGGAGTAAACCTTCTTCCTAACTGAACAAAATCAAAAAACAAAAACACAAGATTACTGTCTTTTGTCTTTATAAGAAAGACAAAAACTAACCACAAAAATATAATCATAACTTTCTGTAAAGGCTACATTATGTGGTCAAAGCAGGCTTTCCTGAGGAAGGGACATTCACCAAGAGTTTTCTATAACCTAAGTATCAGGCATATGCGCATACGTTATTACAATTCTATTTATACATTTAGTTTTTCATTTATTGCTTTATACACTCATCCTTCATTTTCTAGCAACTATACCCCAGACCATTTGCATCATGCTTGGAGTATACTGTTAGAATACAGAAAGGCAGCTGTGTAAAGAAATAAGGGTCATGAAATCTGATGAAGAGTTATGAGGTCATATACAAGAAGGTGGGAAAATAAGGAGATCATCAGAAAAAAAAAAGACTCAGAAGAAAACTAGTGGTTTTTGTTGCTGTTTTGTGTTGTTTTTATCAACTCTGTGCCAGCCACTCTGACAATTCACAGATGCCATCTCATTTGTAAAACCATCTCATCTGGTAAGTCATGAAGATTCTAAAATTCAACATAGAGAAAGGGCTGGAGTCCAGGCTCAGAGTCTTTCTCTTCTAGGATAGTACATGGCACTGGGCAGAGGAGGGTTTCAGTGGAAGACGCCTTGCTAATAAAAGGAGAGAGAATAGCACGCTTGGCTGCTGTAGGGAGAACCTGTCCAAGTTTGTCCCTAGAGAGGTGGTAGAACTCTGCCATTAGACAGAGTGGTGCAGAGAGCTTTACACTGTGCTGTCACCTCTCATGCCTACAGCAATCAGGCTCTCCTACTTCATTTCTTTCTTCTGGCTTCTCAGCCAAATCATACCCTCTCTTTTTCAAAGACAGTGTTCTATCTAGCTCTTTATAAAGCTGATGTCAGATAATGCGGCTAGCATACTTACTGTTGAACAACTGCCATATTAGGCTTGTGGTGGGTGTCTGGACTAGAAAAGTAGAGTGAAACTGAATCTTAGTGGTGTGGACCCATTCATGGCTGGGTTGTAGGGAGTACGTGCTTCTGCTGAAATTCAGGACTTATTGTGTGAGCATGTGTTCATGTGCATTTTTATAAAAAGTGAGGATTTTTAGCTATTCTCACATTTTCCAGGAATCAATGACAATAACATGCCTAGTAATTAAATACTGATTATGCATCCACCTTTTACAGACTAAGACCATTGATTGACTAATAGACCAGGTCATGTTTATAAAAAAGCAGAAATGAAAGAGAACACCTGTTCATCAATATATGAATTAGTGCTGTGCAAAACATATTATCATAGGTGAATATAAAAAATAAAAGCTTTATTTTCCTTATTTCCAAAACTTTGGAAATACCAACAGACAGATTGGCCAAGGTCGCACAGTACAAGGTTGAGTTTAAAGTAGTATACAGATGTCCAGGCTTTCAGGATTATATTTTTTTAAGTTTTTAACATTCTTTCATCTTCAAAGGATTAAAGTTATAAACAATTTTACCTATGGGAACTATAAAAATTGAGGATTCTATGATTTTAGAGTAGCATGAATAAAGTATGAACATATTTCTCTCACTTAAATAGGTTGTATTCTGCTTCAAATACATTGTATTCTGCCACTTTATCAACACAATAAGTATGCTATATGTGTTGATAAAGAGCAAATTTTACTATAAAACTATGATATGAATATAAAGGAATCAACTTAAGCATGGCAATAAAGTACCATTATGCTACCCAGAAAGCTGGAGTATGACTAAACTTGGTAAATTCTGAAATTTTGGAAGTACTAATCTGGGCTACAGAGGGCTCTTCCTGTAGTCTAATCAACATAATGAAGCCTGTTTTAAGGATGGAGAGAGCTTTTTAATATATTATTCTTGCCCTTTCTTTCTTACTCCTTTTATTTACTGACTTGTCCAGGCTTCATGATAGCGTGGAAATAACATAGAATTCAAAGGGGAATAGGCTCACATTTAAATGTTGGAGCCATCATTTCATTTTGGTAGTAATAAGAATAAAACTGTAAAAGCTTGTTACATTTGCAGCAGTTGTTTTGTATCTGAAACTGGGCTAAAAACTTTGTATCCATTATCTTATTTAATCCTCATAGTAAACCATCAGAGTTGATCTTCTATTATTCTCATTTTATATGCTTGGAAATTAATACTGAAAATTTGGACTGGGTATCCAAGGCAAGACACCTAACTAGATGCCACCAGGAAGAACATCTCCCACAAAAACAGACCAAAATATCCAGTAAATCAGCATACTCAGAACAGATCATCTGAAGGAATGAACTAAAAGAGATTAGAAAGACAACCCAGACACCAGGATGAAAGGGAGAGGAAGCTGGGAATCCTTCTTGGGGTTGCTGAATATGGGACATGTTCCAGGCCCTGAATGGCTCTGAGTTACGTAAGTCACTAGACCTGGAGAGAGCAGGGCTGTCTTTCCTGCAGGTCCAGGATGAATCTCATCTGTGAACCCCACTGTCCACCAGTCCCTTTCGGAGTCCCTGCCTAGCCATGTCTGCATGGAGCACAGCCTTAACTACCCCACCAGAGCACTTTTGCCAATGTCCACCACCATAGTGGTTTTGTCCAAGCACCCCTGCTGCCCTACCAGAGCACTTTTGCTGACAGCCTCCCATCTGAATGTGTTCTCCTGCAACCCTATCACTACCCGCTTGGAGCACATTTGCCTATGGCACCCCTGATGCTCACGTTAAGCACTTCCTGCCTGTAGTACCCCTTCTGTCCCTGCTGGAGTGCTTCCTGCCCCCAGTGCACCTGCCACTGCTGCCATGCTTCGCATCTACGGTGCCCCTCCCACCCCTGCTGGAGCACTTACACCCATGACCCCCCACTCGCCCCTACAGAGTGCTGTTGCCAGCAGTCTGGGAGCATCCTAGCCCATCAAGCTCAGGCAACACTCAATCTTGATGGGCTAAAGGACAAAGCTGCAGACCTGGTCCCAGCCACCCAGGGTTAGAGCAGGCAACCCAGGAGTGCAGAGCTGAGCCTGAGCCCCCTGAAAACATCCAGAAATAAAGTCATTCAATTACACCAAGCTTGCACCACAGTCAAACTCTCAAGACTGGGCATGATGGCTCACACGTGTAATACTAGCACTTTGGGAAGTAGAGGTGGGAAAATCACTTGAGCTCAGGAGTTTGAGACTAGCCTGGGCAACATAGTGAGAATCCATCTCTACAAAATTTTGTTTTAAAAATCAGCCAGGCATGGTGGCACATGACTATAGTCCCAGCTACTTGGGAGGCTGAGGTGGGAGGATCAGTTGAGCCCAGGAAGTCAAGGCTTCGGTGAGCCATGATCATGCCACTGTACTACAGCATGGGTGTCAGAGTAAGACCCTGTCTCAAAAAGAAAATTCAAGGGAAATAAAGATCATAAAAACATAAAACCAAAAAGTCCCATTGGAAGAACAGCAACTTCAAAGGATAAAGGAACATCAGCCCTCATAGAAGAAAAAGAACCAGCACAAGAACTTTGACAACTCTAAATGCTAGTGTCTTCTTATGTGCAAATGATCACACTAGCTCCCTAGCAATGGCTCTCAAGAAGATTGAAATGATTGAAATGACAGACATAGATTTTAGAATCTAGATGGCAATGAAGCTCATTAAGATAGATATAAGAAAAGATTGAAACCTAATCCAAAGGATCAGTGAAATGATCCAAAAGTTGAATAATGAGATAACCATTTTAAGAAAGAACAAAACTAAATTTCTGGAAATGAAAAATTTACTACAGGAATTTCAAAATACAATTGGAAACATTATCAAAAAAATAGACCAAGCTCAGGAAAGACTCTTAGAAGCGGTAGGCTGCTCCTTCAAAGCAATACAGGCAGACAAAAATAAAATAAAAAAGAATTTAAAAGAAGAATAAAACCTCTGAAAAATTTGGGATTATGTAGAGACCAACAAATGACTCATTGACATTCCTAAAAGAAAAGGACAAAGAGCAAGCAACTTATAAAACATATTTGAAGATATAGTCCATGAAAATTTTCCCAATCCCACTAGAGGTCAACAAACAAATTTAGTAAATTCAGAACACCCTTGCAAGATACTATGCAAGATGACCATCTCCAAGACGCATAATCATCAGATCCCCCAAGGTCAAAGCAAAGGAAAAAATCTTAAAGGCAGCTAGAGAGAAGAGGTAGGTCACTTATAAAGGGAACCCCATTAGGCTAACAGTAGACCTTACAGCAGCAGCCTTATAAGCCAGAAGAAATTGGGGGCCTATTTTTAACATCCTTATGGAAAAGAAATTCCAGCCAAAATTTCATATGCCATCAAATTAATCCTCATAAGTGAAGAAGAAATGAAGTTAATTTCAAACAAGCAAATGCTTAGGGGATAATTTACCACTAGACCTACCTTACAAGAAGTCATAAAGGGAGTGCTAAACATGGTAATGAAAGAATGATACTTGCCATCATAAAAACACACTTAAGCACAAAGCCCATTGACATAATAAAAGAGCTATACAATCAAGTCTACATAATAACCAGCTAACAGCACAATGACAGGATCAAATCTTTACATATCAATTTTGACCCTGAATGTAAATGGGCTAAATGCCCCCACTTAAAAGGCATATAGTGGCACATTGAACAAAGAAGCAAGACCCAACTCTCTACTGTCTTTGAGAGATTCATCTCACAAGCAATGACACCCATAGGCTCAAAGTAAAGGGATGGAGAAAGATCAGGTAAATGGAAAACAAAATAGATCAGGAGTTGCTATTTTTATACCAGATAAAACAGACTTTAAAACAATAATGATCAAAAAGGACAAAGGCATTACATAATGATAAAGGGCTCAACCCAACAAGAAGACTGAACTATACTAAATATATATGCAACCAACATTAATGCACCAAGATTCATAAAACAAATTCTTAGACATCTATGAAGAAATATAGACAATCACACAATCCTGGGGGACTTCAACATCCCACTGACAGCATTAGACAGATAATCAAGGCAGAAAACTAACAAGGATATTCTGGACTTAAACTAAACACTTGACCAATTTTATCTAATAGACAGCTACAGAATACTCCACTTGACAACAACAGAATATATATTCTCATCTGCACACGACACATATAAGACTCTAAAACTGATCACAGCTCAGCTATAAAGCAAGTCTCAATGAATTCAAAAATATCAAAATCATACCAACCACACTCTAAGATCACAGAGCAACAAAAATATAAATCAATACCAAAAAGATCTATTAATACCGTACAATAATTTATGGAAATTAAACAACTTGCTTCTCAATTACTCTTGGATAAAGAATGAAATTAAAGCAAAAATTAAAAAATTCTTTGAAACTAATGAAAACAGAGTCACAACATACCTGAATCTTTGGAACATAGTTAAAGCAATATTAAGAGGAATATTCATAGCACTAAACCCCAACATCAAGAAGTTAGACAAATCTCAAATTAACAACTTACTGTGCCACGTACAGGAGCTAGAAAAACAGGAGCAAACCAATCCCAAAGCTAGCATAAGAAAAGAAATAAACAAAATCAGAGCTTAACTGAACAAAATTGAAATGTGAAAATCTATACAAAACATTAGTGAAATTAAAAGTAGGTTATTTGAAAGACTAAACAAGATTGATAGACTAGCTAGATTAATAAAAATATTAAGAGAAAAGATACAAATACACACAGTCAGAAATGATAAAGGGGACATTACCACCAACCACACAAAAATGCAACAACAACAAAAATTCTCAGACACTATTACAAACACTCTATGCACAAAAACTAGAAAACATAGAAGAAATGGAAGAATTCCTAGAAACACTCAACCTCCCAAGATAAAGCCAGGAAGAAATTAAAATCCTGCACAGACAAATAACAAATTCCAAAATTGAATCAGTAACAAAAAGCCTACCAAACAAACAAAGTCCTGGATCAGATGGCTTCACAGCTGAATTCAACCAGAAATATAAGGAAAGCCCAGTACAAATCCTACTGAAATTATTCCAAAAAATCAAGATGATGGGAATCCTCCCTAACTCACTCTATGTAGCCATCATTATTCTGATACCAAATCCTGACAAAGAAACAGCAAAAAAAGAAAACTTTATGCTGATATCTCTGGTGAACATAGTAGCAAAAATTTTCAACAAAATACTAGCAAATCAAATCCAGCAACACATCAAAAAAGCTAATTCACCACAATCAAGTAGTTTTTATTTCTGGGATGCAGGATTGGTTATGTGATTCACTTCGTAAATAGAATTAACAACCAAAATCATGTGATCATCACAATAGATACAGAAAAATCCTTCAATGAAATTCAATACTGCTTCATCTTGAAAGCCATCAACAAATTAGGAATTGAATAAACATATCTCAAATAATAAGAGTCATCTATGACAAACCAGTGGCCAACGTCACACCAAATGGACAAAAGCTGGAAGCATTCCCCTTGAGAATCAGAATGAGAGAAAGATATTCACTCTTACCACTCTTATTCAACATAGTACTGGAAGTGCTAGCCGGAGCAATAAGGCAAGAGAAAGAATACAAGGCATCCAAACAGGAAGAGAGGAAGTCAAAATATCTCTTTGTAGACAGTATGATTCTATACCAAGAAAACCCCATAGACTCCACCAGAAGGCTTCTAGAACTAATAAATGACTTCAGCAGTTTCATGATACAAAATTTATGTACAAAATCAGTAGCATTTCTATACACTAGTATTATCCAAGCTCAGTCAAGAACACAATCCCATTTATAATGGCCACAAAAGAGAATAAAATACCTCAGAATACAGTGAACAATAGAGGTAAAAGATTTCTACAACAAGAATTAGAAAAAACTGCTGAAAGAAATCAGACATGAGACAAACAAAAGAAAAACCATTTCATGCTCACTTATGGGAAGAGTCAGTATTGCTAAAATGGACATACTGCCCAAAGCTATTTATAAATTCAATGCTATTCCTATCAAACTACCAGTGATATTTCACAGAGAATTAGAAATACTATTCTAAAATTCATGCAGAACCGAAAAACCCTTATTCACCAAAGAAATCCTAAGCAAAAAGAACAAAACAGAGGGTATCACACTACTTGACTTCAAACTATTCTACAAGGCTACAGTAACTGAAACAGCATAGTACTGGTACAAAAACAAACACGTCAACAAATGGAACAGGATAGAGAACCCAGAAATAAAGTCACACATCTACAACCACCCGATCTTTGACAAGGTCAACAATAACAAACAATGAGGAAATGACTCCCTATTCAATAAACGCTACTGGAATAACTGGCTAGCCATATACAGAAGACTGAAACTAGACCCCTTCTTTTCACTATATACAAAAATTAACTCAGGATAGATTAAATATTTAAATGTAAAGCCTAAAACAATACAAACTCTAGAAAAAAACCTAGAAAATACCATTCTGGACATCAGCCTCGACAAAGAATTTATGACTAAGTCCTCAATAGCAATTGCAACAAAAACAAAAATTGACAAGTGGTACCAAACTAAACTAAAGAGCTTCTGCACAGCAAAAGAAACTATCAACAGAGTAAAGAGGCAACCTACAGAGGGGTGAAAGTGTTTGCAAACTATGCATCTGACAAAGGTCTAATAGTCAGAATAAGGAACTAAAACAAATCAGCAAGCAAAAACAAATAGCCCCATTAATAAATGAGCAAAAGACATGAACAGACACTTCTCAGAAGAAGACATACGTGTGGCCAAAAAATACATGAGAAACTGTTCATAGTCACTAATCATTAGAGAAATGCAAATCAAAACCACAATACGATACCATCTCTCACCCATCAGAATGGCTGTTATGAAAGTCAAAATTCAACAAATACTGGTGAGGTTGCAGAGAAAGGGAAACACACACTGCTGGTTGGAATGTAAATTAGTTCCACCACTATGAAAAGCAGTGTGGGGATTTCTAAGAGAATTAAAACAGAGCTACCATTTGACCCAGTGATCCCACTATTGGGTATATACTCAAAGGAAAACAAATCATTCTACCAAAAAGACACATGCACTCATATGTTCATTACAGCAAAAGCATGGAATCATCTAAGATTCCCATTAACAGTGAACTGGATTACAAAAAATGATATATATATATATACTGTGGAATACTACATAGCCATAAAAAATAATGAAATCATGTCCTTTACAGCAACATGGATGCAGCTGGAGGCCATTATCCTAAATGAACTAACGAACTAACGCAGGATCAGAAAATGAAATACTGCATGCTCTCACTTATGAATGGGAACTAAAGGTTAAATACACGTGGACATAAACATGGGAACAATAAACAAAGTAGGGGGTAGGAGGCAGGTGTGGTGGTGAGATTATTCATATACACGAAGTGTCAGCATCATGCAATTTACCCATGTAATAAGCCTGCACATTACCCCCTGAACCTAAGATAAAGTAGAAAAATTAAAAAACACAAAACTATAAGCCTTGGGGGGAAAAAAAGGAATTTGCTAAATGTACATGCACACACACACACACACACACACACACATGCACACACACACAACTTGTTCAAGGTTACCTAATTCTATGGATAATGCCTGGATTCAAATCTTTTCTGGACAGTTCCAAATTTCAGGGACTTAGCATAATAACCAGTTTCTCTCACTTCTGTTTCTGTTCCTTTGAGCCAATCATTTGTCTCTGATCCTCAGTTTTTCTTCATTTAAGAAAAAATCAAAAGGACTAGGCATAATCTCTTAGCATTGTTTTGAGAATTAAATAGGAGCATGCATGTAAAATGTCTGGGCCATAGAAACAGGCTTACAAAAACTTGTTCCCTTCCTGATTCTGAATCATCAATCTTCTCTCTCCTTGGAGTTCTCCTCTGCTATCTCTGCTCCTCTATCCTTTCCTTGCCCTGCCCTGTTGCTTGGGCACAGATGGCAAAGAAGCCAAATGACACAGGCCGTGGTGACTGGTAGCTACATGTCTAGGGTCATGTAATTTCTTCATTATCTTTCTTGATTGAAAACAGCTTTTGTAAGATAAAGTGTCCATTAGTAAATATTGATGCTGGCAGGCAGGGCGTATAAGCTGTCAAACAGCTAAAATGAAGGATTGTCAGTTCAGCAACAAGAACATGGGGAGCCAGTATAAAGTAAAAATGAATAAAAGAGTTTAATGTAACTAAAAGAACAAGCAAACACTCATCAATGATGAACAAAGGCCAAGAAGGTCTCAGGTTGTTTTGTGTTTGGAGTGAGTGTACAGCTTCATGAAAGCTTATGCTCTAACGCGGAATTTAATTTAAATCAATTTGCAAAGGAATAAAAAAAAGCATGGTGCCTGTCACGTGCAATGTGTAGGGAATCAAATATAAGCAAGATGCAGTTTTTGTTTTTATAACTTTACTAACAATAAGGAGATAGTATAGTGTGGTTATGGATTGAACACAGGTTTCACATTGAGAAATATCTGGATGTAAACCCAGGTGGTATGACCTTGTGTTCCTTATGCAAATCTTAATTCCTTCTCATAAAATGAAAATGATAATGCCAGCACCATAGGATTGACGTGAAGGTTAGGAAAGCATGTGACATTATCTTTAGCCCCCAGTACATGCGCTCAAAATTACTGATTTTTAAGAGTGATAAGATATTATCGCATAACATTATAAAACAGAAAATTCTAGGAATAAAAAAGATAGGAGTTCAAAAATAACATCTGCTTGTTTAGATTAGAAATAAGGAAATGAAGCAGGGATGCTGAAATTGTTTGTTGAGGAAAGGTTAGTATTTGGCCATGATAATTTTGTAAAGACTATTAGATTCAGGGAGAGCAGCAAAAACAAAGGTTGTGAGGTTGGGGAGCTTGAAGCAGAGCAGCAAGCAGGAGACTTTTTTGTTTGTCTTTGAATATGGGGTGTGATGATGGGTACTGTCGGGGAATATGACTGTGAGAAAAATTTGGATCTAGATATTGAAGTCTTAGATGCTTGGCCAATAAATTAGGACTTCAATCTCTAGTAATAAAGTTACCAGAAGGTTTCCTTGAGCAGGATGAAATGTCATCATTTATTTTTATTTTTATTTTTTTTTTGAGACGGAGTCTCGCTCTGTCGCCCAGGCCGGACTGCGGACTGCAGTGGCGCAATCTCGGCTCACTGCAAGCTCCGCTTCCCGGGTTCACGCCATTCTCCTGCCTCAGCCTCCCGAGTAGCTGGGACTACAGGCGCCCGCCACCGCGCCCGGCTAATTTTTTGTATTTTTAGTAGAGACGGGGTTTCACCTTGTTAGCCAGGATGGTCTCGATCTCCTGACCTCATGATCCACCCGCCTCGGCCTCCCAAAGTGCTGGGATTACAGGCGTGAGCCACCGCGCCCGGCCGTCATCATTTATTTTTATCAGGCCCTAGTTCCATGTCCAATCTTAAATTTGTGTAGCATGCTTGCAATGGACTGACCACATCCTGTTTTCTCCATGCAAGGATACAATGAGAAGATGGCAGTGTGTAACCCAGAATAGGGCCCTCACCAGAACCTGACCATGTTGGCACTATGATCTCAGCCTTCCAGCTTCTAGAATTGAGAGAAATAAATTTATATTATTTATAAGCCACCCAGTCTATGGTACTTTGCTATATAGCAGGCCAAACTGATGAAGACTAATATTCAAGAGCATTGGTTCAGATGTCCCGTAGTCTGATTTTGAGGATCAGGTGACTATGGCATCTCAGTCAAATGATTTCATCTCTTTCTACCTCAGTTTCTTAATTAGTAAGATGGGATAATTACTAACTCACAGTACTATATGGTGATTACATGAGATAATATGCTGCATTATTTACAATAGAGACTGGTATCATCATCACCTAGGTCAATGAGCTATTTAATAATGCTTGGTAAAAGATAGCTATTATTGAATAATGACGGACCTGGGTGGTAGGTGATGATGATGCTGAATCAGTCTTTCTCCTACAGCTGGCACTCTACATCCAATTTCTTCTTTGACAATGGGTATTGCTCAGCTATGAACCCATGTATAACCATCACAGTTTACAATAGAATGGCTTTGGCTGAATTGCGATAGAGATACCACAGCAGGAGTGATACCACAGCTGGTACATCATGAGGAAGATCCTGCTGAGAAATTAGGTCCAGGGTGGGCAGATGCAATTATCAGAGCTCAGAAAAGTGTCTCCCTTTCAAGAAAATCACTGGTTAGTTTGTTGGAGGAGGAACACTCCCATTTGAAGTTTGGCTCAACTAGCCATGAATTTGCCTGCTGACTTGTCCTAGTTGTATCTCAGACAGTTGACGTTGTTGAGTAATCCTGCAATGTTTATCCCCATGCTACTAACTTTCTAACATTCATGTGAACAAGAATGGATCAATTCTCTATTACTTTCCATTAAACCAGCCTCCTTTGTGTCTAACCCTAAAGTCTAGATACAGACTGGACTCTATGTTTCGAAGTTCCTTCTGCTGCCCTGATTGGAGCTTCACGATAACTGCTAGAGTTTAGGTAGAGCATAGATTGTCTTCCTTGTAAGGAAATAAAAAATATAAAAGGGAAAATAACTTGTTCCAAGATACACATCCAGTTAGTGGAAGGCCTGGTGCCCTGCCCTGGCTATATGAAGTCCCTGGCACTGTACTGCCTCTGTATCTGCTTAGAAATATTTTTTTAAAAAACTATAGAGATGTGTGCAGACAAGACATATAAGAATATTACTCTCAAACCAAATCCTACTACTTGTATGGTACTTCTCCAAATTTTTAAAATGCTTTTCATTACATCTTATCTAATACAGCACAATCATAGGTTATTAGTCTTAATTCAAAACTTAGACAACCCTGAGAGAAAAGAGGGCTTGGGAAATAGGGCCTGTTGGATACCTGAGAAAGATTGGAACTATTTAGCTAAGAGAAGAGAAGGTGGATGAGGAACTTAATAATAATCTTCAAGGGTTATTAAAAGACCAGCTGTTACCCATTTCCACCCGGGGTAGTAGGGAATAAATTGCAGTCATGAGAATTTAGTTACAGCATTATAAAGAATTGTTTTTCTTTAGCTATAAGGTCTATTCGACACCAGTCATGTTACTAAGCAAAACTGTGGACTTTTTCCTCTGGAAACACTCCAGAATAGGGTATGTGTCCTAGTCAGTAATTCCTAAGCACTACTTCTTGAACCATTAAGATCAAGTCGCTTGGGGAATCTGTTAAAAATACAGATTCCTGGGGCCCACTGCAGAGCTACAGTCAGAATCTGGGAGCAGAGACAAGATTCTATGTATTTTATCAAGCCCTCAGGTGAATCTTGTGCTTGGCCACATTCAGAAATCCCTCCTGGATGTAAAATCAGTATAATTTAATGTATCAAGAGTGCACTGAGTGCCTACTTGGTGATTCTACCACTACTGTTAGATTCAGGGAGCAAAGATAATAAAAGGATACAGCACAATTTTAGTCCTTGTGGAGCTTTCAATACGATAATTAAGCACTAATGATGAACTAGAACAAATGTTTGCCTTTAACTTAGTGTGACTAAGGGAAAGTTTCTTAATTCCTTTGGCCTGAGATCCTAAATCGTTGAGGAACTTGAAAAAAAATGGTTCTATAAGGTCTTGTGAATTTTTAAAATAACATAATGCAGAATAAAGTTTATTTTGAAAGATAACAAACAAAGGCTGATACAAGTGTGAAAGGGAACAACAGGAGGGAGACCACTTCATCAAGACAGGACTTACCAGACTAGGCCTCATAGAGAACATAAGATTCAAACTTGACATTGAAAGATGGATAAGACAGTAGGACACATGAATATGTATTTGCGGGGGCTGCAATTTTGGAACACCCACTTTATACCAGTTATTTTCATATATTACAACATTTAATATCTGTAAAGACTTTTGTTGTGATTGTAGGGAAAAGTTTTAGGCTAGGCACTTAGGTTACTTTACAAGCATGATATGATTGGGTGATAATTATTGCATCATTCCCCAAGGTAGAATTATATAGGTTTCTCTGACCTCAAGAATTCTTTGATTTCCATAGCATAAGAAAAGATTTGGGGGAAAAAAATGAAGAAAAGAGAAAGGAGCGAGGAAGGACATGCTGTGGAGATAGAAAATAAAGTATAGGATACTAAAAGAAAATAAAGTACAAGATACTAAAAACTCCAATCTAGTTTGAGTACAGGATGAATTCTCATTTATATTTTATGGTTGTGGTTTTTTATATAATTGAATTTTACTAACTGACAGGAGGGGTGACAGGAGGGGATGCATATGGATTCCAATGAAGAATTTTTTAAAAAGGACCTCAATATTTCAAAAACAATTGTAACTGAACTGAATGTTAGTATAGTTATATTTAGGTAGTATAGTATAGTTAGTACCCTTATATATAGTTAGTCCAGTAAATGTTCAGGATTTTTGGAAAGGGCATAGATTTCCTAAGCAATTGAACACTTTATTATTAAATGGAGTTCCTAAAAGGTTTTTGTTTTTTATTTTATGTCCACAGAAAGAGAGGATTTTCTCAATTCCTAAAGGTTTGGGTTTCAGTAATGTCTGTCTCAAGTATTAATTCAAAAATTTGATGAAATGATCAAGTCATATTTATCTGTGTTCAGATGACACAAATTCATAAGGAGTTGTTCAGAGTAGTTGGGCTTAAGTATCAGTTAAACGTAATTTGGGCTTGGGTTTGGGCCCAAGAATTTGAATTTGAAGTATCAGTTACTTAAGCCCAGAACTGGGCTGAAGTATCAGTTAAACCTAAATTCAAATTCTTATTCTGCCACTAAAATACTTTGCAACACAATAAAAATTATTTGCCTTTCTGAGAGTTACTTGCCTCATTAATAAATAAAATAATAAATTAGTAAATTATTAATGTATTTGTATATTTACCTAAATGTACTATAATTTATAAAATTTATTATTAAATTAATACAATTTAATTTTATTAAATTAAGATGTTTCTGTTTAGATTAAATGATATAATATATAGATAGTCTTACATTAAACATGCATATCTTTTGACATGTAATAACAAAGCAACTTCGAAACTATTCTAAGAGATTAGCTGCTTCTCTGCCCTTAAACAGGTACCTTTTCTACCCTGGTCATCATATAAAATATTCGAAGGTAACTAAGTCATAAAACTCTAATTTAATAATTACTATGTTCTGTCCAATGCAATCTCACAACTTGGAACTAGATATAAAGTGAAAGCTTCTCTCCTCCTCTCATATAGGCCCTCTTCAGTCTAGTAGCCTGTAGGGGAAACAGAGCATATGGATAGCTGCACTCCTTTCTCTTTGTTTTGGCTTCTAAACATTCCATTATTGGAGCAAGCATTCAGGAGGCTATGTCAGGAAGCAAGCATAAAAGTTCTCATTGCACTGGCTGGGTATTTAGCTTCAGTGCTCTTTGTGCGTGAAAGCTGTTTAATGCTGTCCATGTCTCTCTTAGGTTTTTCTGATTCTAACAACCCTAACTCTGAGTGTCTCTCAGTTAACGTTTTCATGATGCATTTCTATTCTAGATTACCCCCTCTGACTCAGCCCACAGCCTTCACCTATACTCTGTTCCTCATGCTTCTCCATGTAACCCTCTTAGACACTGCTAGGCAATTCCAAATCTGTGTTCTTTATCTCATGGCCCAGAGCTAGTTTGTAGGGAAGGCCAAATATCCTTTGTTCTAATAAACTTGGTGGGGATGGTTATTTCTCAAACCACAGCTCTTTATTCTGAGAACATAGGTCACTTTATCCAGGGTCTTCACTTTTATATTTCTGAGATATGACTCAGGGGTTAGATTACAAAAAACATTAAATAAGCTCTTCAAATGGTTTTCCTAAAGTCACATGTATTGATATGAGATAAACAGGGCAGATTCCTTTACTTGTTTCCTGACAGGGGCATGAGACTTACAGCATATACAGAGCTGTCTCCAAAATTACTTCTTTAATCTTCAATTAATGAGTACTTTATAGCCTTAATGAGAGATCAGGGTTGAAGTATTGTCAGATAGATTCTAATCCACTATTTTGAAATGTGTGCTTCTTGGTTTAGAACCTTATTTGGGAATATACCTCAGTCAAAATTTGCATTTTAACATTCTATTACATATATCAAACTGATAATATAATATCTAGCCATATTGTTAAAAAGTAAAAGATTCACGGTCAAGTTCAAATTGCTATAATTGTATCATATTCTTCATCTATAAGAAAAACAGGCCGAGCACAGTGGCTCATGAGTGTAATCCCAGCACTTTAGGAGGCTGAGGCTAGAGGATCTCTTGAGCCCAGGAGTGCAAGACCAGCCTGGGTAACATAATAAGGCCCCATATTACCCCCACAAAAGAAAAACAAATTGTTTAAAAAACTAGCTGGGCATGGTACCATGTGCCTATAGCCCCAGCTACTAGGCAGGCTGAGATGGGAGGATTACTTGAGGCCAGGAAGTCAAGCAAGGGAAAGAGGAAGAAAGAGGAGAGAGAGAAAGAGAGGGGGGGGCAGGGAGGAAGAGAGGAAGGGAGGGAGGAAGGAAGGAAGGAAGGAAAAAGAAAAGGAAAGGAAAGGGAAGGGAAGGGAAAGGAAGAGAAGGGAAAAGAAAAGAAAAGTATAGATATATGGGCAGCTTGTGATGATATATTTTAGGAGAGGATTGGTGACCTGAATATTTCTCTGACAGGAGGTTTCAGGAAGAGCTGAGATCATGGAGGCATCTAATTTACTCCTCCAATATTAGGCCTAATAGTATGAAGCCAATGTAATGGCAGCCAAAAGATTGATATAACTTTATTAATAGCTACTTTAAAATTCCCACATTCAGCATGTGAATATTGAATGATTCAGTACTACTTGTATAAGAAATGCTTTAAGGTGCCTTAGTTTCATGAAAAAATTTTAATAACATTCAACTGGAATAGAGAGCATGCTTTCCTTCCAGTTTTCTTCCTTTCTTCCTTCCTTTCTTCCTTCCCTTCAGTGTTAACTTTCTTCATTTTCTCCCTCCTTTTCTTTTTTTTTTTTCCTGCATCTATTCCCTCCTAAATTATCTAGTAAAAAAGCCATTAGGTAGGCGGATCAAGGTTTACATTCTCCAAGGAAGAAGGTCAATGCCTGAGGGGTGTATTGGATCCTGAACGGGTGAGAAGAATGTTTAGGGGAGATGGCTGGTGCCAGAATGCATGTGTATGTAATTTCTGTATGTATATACACACATATTCTATATAACTTCATTGAGAGGTCTTAGAAACAGAGAAACCTTATAGCAATGAACACATCTAAGATGTACATCTTTGTCTTTAAATAACATTTTCCCCTACAGGGCCAGGGACAGTGGCTCATGCCTTTAATCCCAGCACTTTGGGAGGCTGAGGCGGGTGGATCACTTGAGCCCAGGAGGTTGAGAACAGCCCAGGCAACATAGTGAAACCCTGTGTCTACAAAAAATAAAATAAAATAAATAGCCAGTTGTGGGGGTGTGTGCTTGTGGTCACAGCTATTCAAGAGGCTGAGGTGGGAGGATCACTTGAGCCCAGGAAGTCAAGGTTGCAGTGAGTCGAGATCACACTACTGCACTTCAGCCTGGGTAACAGTGCAAAACACTGTCAAAGGAAAGGGAAAGGAAGGGAAAAAGAAAAGAAAAGAGAGGAGAGGAGAAAAGGAAAAGAAAAGCAAAAGAAGGAAGGAAGGAAGGAGATAAAGAGAGAGAAAGAGAAAAAAAGAAAGAAAGAAGAAAGAGAAGAAAGAAAGAACAAAGAAAGAAGAAAGAAAGAAAAAATAAAAAAAGAAGGACAGAAAGAAAAAGAAAAAAGAAAGAAAGAAAAGAAAGAAATGTGTGATCATTTGCACAAAAGAAAGAAAACTAATGATCCCTAAAAAGATTGCTGATTTCAATGTTGTGGAAGCAAAAGTATCAAATAAGCCTGATACATCTCAGTATACCAGAAAATACACAAGTGCAAAGAATAGTGGTGTGGTATAAAAAAGCGTAGTAACCAGCCTCAAGGACCTCCCAGTGAAATAAGCCTGATGTCAAATTAAATAATTATGGTAATGCATTATAACCATTGAGTAAAATAGGTACCTGAGAGTACATTCTGATATGTTAGTAAATAAATAGGGATAAGTAAATACCAACTAATAAATGGAGAAAGAAGGTTGGCCACAGGAAATCAACATTTGGCAACCATTGTAATAATTCATTTATCCAGCTAATATCAATGGATGCTGAAATTAGTGAGTGGAAATTTGATAAGGAATAGAACGTTTGCCCAGTCTCAAAATATCTCCCATATAATATTAATTAATTACAAAAGTAACTTTACAGTAGAGAAACCTGACAGAAATAACCTAAATTAGGCAATCAAAGTCAGCAGTGAGACAAGTGAAATTGTGTACCACCTGATAGGTTACAATGAGAACACAAGACCTCTTGCTTTATATTTTTGCCAAGGATCCATAATTTAAAACTGAACATAAGTAAATATCAAACAGATTCAAATTGAGTGACATTCTACCAAATAATTGGTCTATGATAGTCAAAAGTGTCAGAGTCATTAAAGACAAGCAAAGGCCAAGGAACCATTCCTGATTGAACAATACTAAAAGGATACGAAAATTAACTTCAACACATAATTTGGAATTGGGCCATCTTTCTATAAAGAACATTTTTGGGAAAGTGAAGACCCTTGAGAGGAATTGCAGAATTGGGTATTAGTAACGCATCCATGTTAATTTCCTAATTTTGGAGATGGTGTTGTGGTTATGTTGGAAAATGTTAATGTTCATAGGCTTTACACACTAAAGTGTTTAAGAGTGATGGGACATCATATCCACAACTCACTCTCAAATGCTTCAAGGAAAATAAAGATGCCTTTATACTACTGTTAAGATTTTTTTATAAGTTTAAAATTACTTCAAATTTTTAAAAAAGAGTAGAGAAAAAAAGTAAAAGTTAAAAATTACTTTCTCTGGTAATATCAATTACACATTTTTCCGACTCAACTGGTGCATTGCCTGATGGTATCTCTTACAGAATGATGGCAGTAGACAATTGATCAGCTCTTCTCGACTCTTCATATGCATGAGCTAATTCATATGCCCAGGGTGCTTTGGTAATTTGTTTGATTTTAGATACAGAAATATTAGTGAGCTATACCATAAGAGTACTGAGCCATGTGTTGAATGCACAGGTCATTTAATAAACAGGAAAAAAAACTACCAAAATACCATTAAGATTGCCTAATGTGGGTTAGAAATCAGATAATAGTTACATTTTCAAATAGTTGCAGCTCTTTTTGATGAAAAAGTGATTGTATTTATTTCTCTAGGTGCAGATGGTAAACCAATCGATTGAAGATTAAGGATACCAATTTTGATTCAAAAAGAGATAGTTGCCTAAGAGAAATACTGCTTTGTAAGATAGTGAGTTCCCTATAGTAAGATCTGCTCAAGCTAGTCTGTGGGATAACTTGTTAAAGATGTGGGAGAACAGATAGAGGAAGCAGAAATGAAGGAAAGCCTGATTTCTAAATTCTCCTCGAACTGAAATACTTAACATTTTATGATTCCCTGAGCAATGGAAGGTAGAATTAGACTAATCAGATGTACTCAAGGAGATAGAATCTTAAATATGAATGTTTGTATTCCTATTCATGAGCATTTCAAAGGTGTTCCACTTCTAAGATATAAGTACAAACTCAAAATATCCATTTTCTCTGCTATAGATTTGATAACCATCTCATGTTGATGGGCCTGACTTCAAGTGGAAGAAAAAAAAAAGAAAAGAAAACCTCCTTCTTTACTGTCAAAATAACAAACGGAATGAGATTTTAGAAGAACATTGACTGATCTTTACTTCATAATTGAAAGATGGGCCTATTAAAGGGACACAGCAGGCCTGATGGAATTGTGTGATCATTTGCACAAATGCTAATTTTGATATGTGGCACTTCATAACTGTAAACATAGCTTGGCTGGGTCCATATGATGTACAATGCATTCTTCCCCCAGGGGGCCTAGGCCTCAGCAAATCACTTACTGAAGGGCCATTTGCGGGGATTGAAGGATGGGGTATTCACTCTCTCTTCTTGCTGTGCTAATGGACAGAGCCTGTCTGAAATGGCAGGATGCTGTGCTTACAAAGGAAACCATCTTCTTCTCCAGATCAACCATCTTTCTGTGTACAGATGTACATATGAAGCCTGAAGAAAGTCATTTCCTTTCTCTGGCCTTAGTTTCTTCACTTATAATGTAAAGAATTTGGAATAGTCTAATGTCACTGAAATGACTCTGCTTGACATGTATTGTGGATTGAGAGAAATAATTTAGGCTTTTAATTAAGAGAGCCAAGGATTCAAGTCCTGCTCAGCCATTTGTGCAATCTCGAGCAAGTTTCCTGAGCTCGTTGAGCATTGCTTTCAACTAAAAACAAGTGAGAATAATAACACATTCTTTACAGGGCACTGGGTGTGCTAGTTGGGACACAGTCCTCAGTACATATTTGCTGCATAGCTGAACTTTTATATATGTAGCTTAATACACACCAATATGTATATGATTAAGTAATCAAATATTTACATTTGTGCACTTTTACCCCTACAAAAGTCCAGGAGGTGATGGGAAACATGGCCAAGCAATAAAGATGTGCCACAGGATGAATAGAATTCACTGCCCCAGATTCACATAGCCTTATCACCATAAGGCAGGTGTTATGCACTAAATGTTTGTCTCTCCTTAAAACTCATATGTTAAAGCCTTAACCACCTATGTGATAGGATTTGGAGGTGGGGCCTGGGAGGTAATTAGGTTTTGATAAAATCATGAGGTTGGGGCCAACATGTTATTTGTATCCTTATAAGAAGAAGAAGAAGCCAGAGTTCTCTCTCTTTTTGTCATGTAAAGTCACAATATGAAGGCAACCATCTGCAAGCCAGGAAGAAGGATCTCACAAGGAATTGATTCAGCTGGCATATTGATTTTAGACTTCCAAGCCTCTAGAATTGTGAGAAATAAATGTCTATTGTTTAAGCCATTCAGTTTATGGTACTTTATTATTGCAGCATGAGCTGACTAAAACAACAAATACTCAGTAAATGTTTGTCAAATAAACACATGAATAAAAGTACCACATCCCAACCCTCACATCCATAAATGAAAGTCCATAGTGTTAACTAAAATTGTAAAAAAATAAATTTTTTAATAAAGATATGCTAACATGCCATCTGCCTTCTATGTATGCAGGTTTTTCTTTTCTTCCTCCTCCTCCTACTCCTTTTTCTTCCTCCTCCTCCTTCTTCCTAGTTCTATCTGGTTTGTTATAATAGCAATGGAAGGAATATTTCTCATGCAGTGCTCTGAGCTCAGATCCATTTAGCTTTGTATGGAAAGGTCTGTAGGTCTGTGTGCAACCTTAATGTAGGTTTCTTATAAGCATTCACTGAAGTAAATTAATCAGAGACTTGCCTTGGTCACACATAGAAAGCCTCTATGAAACCCAATGGGGAATGTAAATTTGGTTGTGGAACCTGAAAGCATATACATTTTGTAAAATCCATCTCAAATTCTTTTGGGAAAGATAATGAACTAAAATATTGGGAAATGCTACAATTTTCTCAAGCAAGAAATAAGAGAATTGAATAAGTTGGAAAGAATGGACTTCTAATAAATGGTACAGTATTTGATGTTTTAAAAAAATCAAATAAAAGGCCACAAATTGAATAAAATAGTTTTTTGTTAATGGTGAAACTTGCAGGGCCAGTTAGAGCTTATTAAAAGGTGATGGGAACTATGCAGATTAGATCAAGTTTGGTAATTGGCTGGTTCTGAATCCATTAGAAAGGTTATAGGGCTGTTTGGGTGGGTTATATTTTATAAATGGATGATTAGAAGTATATTAATGGGCCAAAGGGTTATAAGGATGGGATTGGTTTAGTAATATAATGTCTGGGATAACATTAGACTGGAGGCAAGGTTATATGGATAGAATTAGATTTGGGGAATAGGTCAGTTATGACCATATTAGATGGGTTATGGGGTTGTTTGAAAAAGTGTCCTTTGTTTAATGGCAGTGAGAAAACAAGTATCTAATTAGACTTCCTGTGCATCTGTGGCACTTCTAATACTCTGGTGCCTTTATACGTAGAAATTACCCTCCAAAATATATGTGAGATCTTGGTCAAGATCTTACTAAGAGTTCAGGTGTCAAGCCAAGCCACTAATTCCTAGCAGAGTCTGGTTTTCACTGGCATGTTACCAAAATATAAAAAATGCATACTGGGAAAATAGAAAGCATGAGATTATGTCAATATTTCTCAAAAGTGGGTTCAAGAGGAGATAACATTTGAGCAGGGTCACGGCAAGTTGAATACATACTTGTCACAGAGATGGTAATAGGAGATTGAAAAGGCAGAGTCTAGGAAGAGGGTGTTCTATGAAAACATGTGGGCATGATAAACAAACCAATGCCTTCGAGGAGCTCAGACAGCCTGTGTGCATCTGTGTTGGAGAGAGGGGAATAAAAGAAGGAGGGCTGTACAGATGTGTGTATTTGTGTTTGCAGTAAATGATAAGAAAAGGTAAGATGACAGGGGCTGAAGTTTGAGGGAAGAGTGTATAATTTATAAACTTTGTTAATTATAAATGTGAACTTCATCCTTTCCACAAGTCTACCCCCAAATGTATTCCACAGCAAACAAATATCATAAATACACAAGAAAACAATAAAAAATGAGGATTCTGTGGTCAAATATGTTTGTTAATGCTGTTTTAAATTCTTAGCATCTGCCACTTCTAACATGTTTAACTCACATTAGAAACTTAAAGGTTGTGGCCAGGCGCAGTGGCTCATGCCTGTAATCCCAACAGTTTGGGAGACAGAGGCAGGCAGATCACTTGAGGCTAGGAGTTCAAGACCAGCCTGGCCAACATGGTGAAACCTGTTCTCTACTAAACGTACAAAAATTAGCCGGGTATGGTGGCTCACACCTGTAGTCTCAGCTACTCCAGAGGCTGAGGAGAGAGAATGGTTTGAACCCGGGAGGCTGATCACACCACTGCACTCCAGCCTGGGTGACGGAGTGAGACTCTGTCTCAAAAACAAACAAACAAACAAACACTAAACTTAAATGTGGTGAGGAGTTCTGCAGTTACAAAAATATGATTCCTTGCCTTCTCTAACCCACCATGTTTTAAGATTCTGGGATTATAGATACCTGTTACCTATTCCAACATCCAACAGAATGGTTATTAATATTCCTTTGCATAAATGTTCTAAGGAATATACTGTTGGAAAACATTAGTCTAAGAAAAGGGAAGCTGTTCAAAGAAAGGCTAAGTATACTTAATTTTCTCACTTTAAAAAGAAGACAGAATGATACAGAAAGTTAACTTACTGCAAAGAAAATGGGAAAAATATTGATATTGTAGTAGAATAGTTAATTTGAATTATCTATTCCTAAATGGGTATATGACCTTTAGAAAACTTGATCTCTGTGTGTCTCAGTTTTCTTAAGTATATGATTGGGATAACAAAGGGATTTAAGAGCACTAGATAAGATAATGCTTGTAATGATGAACAGTGTCTGGTAAGTAGTGAGAACTTGATTAATATTAAAAGTTGCAAAAATTCTAACCTTCCCCACAGTCTCAGGTATTCTGGCATGCTCAGTTTAGCCTCATGTTCCTAGGTACAAGTGTAGGAGCTCCTCCTCAGTTTAAGTCCTGGGCTTCCTTTTAATCTACTGTCATATTTGGAAGCATTATAGTGAGATATTTTTACCAGGTACACCAAGGGTGGTAGATTAAAGCTCATGGATTGGGCATCAGTTATCTTCTTGGCTGTTGGATAGTAAGCATACTTGATATAAATGGAAGGAGATGCTCCTATGATTAGTCTAAACATCTAACTGGTACAAGAATCAGGATTTTGAGTTGTAAGCATCCTAAATCACATGAGGAAGGAGCCACCAGCTAACAACGTCATTGTGCCAATACGGCTACTGATCTTAAATATTGGGCTTCTAGGAAATCTTTGCCCAACCTCCATGCTCACTTCTTCCTGGACAGTCATTCCACTTGGAATCTATTGTGTCAGTTCCGAACATTTGCCTGATATTCAGACTTCCTAAATATCCCTCCCTGTCTTCACCAAGCCTCTTGGCCAAGAAATTTTATAAATTCAAAAATGTTATGTATATTTTTTCTATTTATTTCTCAATATTACCTTTGGCAAGTAATCAAACAGAGCCTGGACGTAAACCAAGTTAAGATAATTAATAATAGCTGAAGTGTTTTTCCCCTTCTTTCAGGGACTGGCGGAATTACTCTTAAGAAGAAATAAGAAACAAAACCAAAAACAGTCTGATCTCTGTTTCTTGGGGGGAGTGATGGGGTTCTGAAATCTGTTCTAAGTCAGTTTTCTGCCCATTTCTATTTCTCCATGATTTCTACTCTAGGGCAATAAGGAAACAGTTAAGTTTCCATATCGGGATAAAAATTTGAATCTCAACTCACTATTGTTATGCTGGGTGCAATAATACAGAAGCAAAATTGGTTTACTCTTAGATCTTAAATGTAGACCTTAAATGTTCTTACCACAAAAGAAAGAAAGAAAGAAAGAAAGAAAGAGAGAGAGAGAAAGGAAGGAAGGAAGGAAGGAAGGAAAGAAGAAAGAAAGAGAGAAAGAAACAAAGAAAGAAAGAGAAAGAAAGAAAGAAAAAGAAAAGAAAGAAAGAAAGAAAGAAAGGAAGGAAGGAAGGAAAGAAAGAATATATGGATTACTTTCACCTTTCTTTCCCTCTTGCCTTCCTTTTTCTTTTCTTCCTTCACATCTGTCTTGCATTTTCCTCTCTTTCTTCATGGAAACCCTATTGATGTCAGTTGCTTTTCTCTCTGGTACCCTCAACAATATTTTACACACAGTTCCCTTTTGCTTAGGTTGTATTTTTGTTTTATTTAAAGTTTGATTTGGTACAGAAAAAAATATTCACATTTAACAAGCTAAAACAGCCAAATAAAATTTACTGCAACTTTTGTAGAATTTAATTTGTGCTACAAGACGTTACATTTTTTTTTCTTTTTCTTTCTTTTTTCTTTTTTTTCTTTTTTTTTTTTAAGATGGAGTCTCGCTCTGTCACCCAGCTGGTGTGCAGTGGCGCAATCTCGGCTCACTGCAAGCTCCGCCTCCCGGGTTCAAGCTGTTCTCCTGCCTCAGCCTCTTGAGTAGCTGGGATTACAGGCGCCCGCCACCAAGCCCCACTAATTTTTTTTATTTTTAGTAGAGATGGGGTTTCACTATGTTGACCAGGTTGTTCTTGAACTCCTGACCTTGTGATCTGCCCGCCTTGGCCTCCCAAAGTGCTGGGATTACAGGCGTGAGCCACCGCTCCCGGCCAAGACATGTTATGTTTTTTCTTACTGAAGATTTAATGATTAAATGTGTGTCCCTCCAAACTTCAAACTACTTCAAGAGGACAACGTTGCCTTATTCTTCTGTCTGTCCCTTTTCTGGTCCATGGTTCAGTGCTGAATAACTGTTTGACAAATGATTGCTGGATGGATATGAAAATGAATGAAAGTATTTCTTCAAATCTCAGCTATGAGCATCACACTACGCACCATTTTACAAGAGGGCTGAAGCAGTTTATCTTTATTGTCCATTCCAATTAAGACATGTTGTCTGTGGTTAAAAACAAACAAGCAACAAAACTATAAATAACCTTCAGATGAATTCATTCAGTAACCTGGCTTTATTTCCTTGTAAAAGTCAATCTAACAGATTTTTTTCTTTTTAATATTTAAAAATAAAGCTTGATTTGTAGGCTGAGTCTGGGGCTCTGGTGAGTTCCTTTCATTGTTAGAAACCTGTGAAAACAAGGGGTTTAGATGAGGACAACTGACAGATCCTTCACTATGAAATCACAAATGGGCACCATCATAATAATCAGGCGTATTTATAAATCAGAAACAACTTTCCCAGCAAGACTGCTTTACCTCACCTCCCACTGCATGACTGCTCCTTTCCAGGGCTGTCAACTTGCACTCCTATTGCTAATTAACTCACCACTCAAAGCAGGTGAACAGCTAAAGGAAAGAGCCCTCAATTTTTCCTTCCTGTGTTCATTCCCCCTTCAGGTCCCTGGACTTTGGGACTCATTCTGCTCGACTTGATCCCTGCTCTGCCCATTGATCACATACACACGTTTACACCTGGCAGAAGAGGAAGAGGAGGCATGAAGGAATGGCCTCTTCAGAATGGAGAAAAGGTAGGAATCATCTGGGATTTTTACCAGAGAGAACCCCTTAGGCTGACTCAGGAGTTGAACTGAATGTGAAAGAGACCAAGTAGGAAAGCCAATAAATATACTACAAAGCTTCCCAAGAAAACATCACCATAGCATTCTCAACACAGATTATCTTCCCATTAGAGGATATTTTCCACTGGGAAATATATAAATCCACCCAACTATCCATGTGTACAAGAAAGTGACTTTATCAGCCGTCCACTTTTCTCCATGTCTAGAACCATGTCTCTAGATTAAATCACCATGGTCTCTCGGTTTAATTGCTTTAACAGCCTCCTTCTCCAGAATGCAGCCATCACAACTGGTTTGTAGAAATGGAATTCCACTTTGTATTTCCACTTAACATCCCTGTTGGTTAAACTCTTTTTCCCATTAATTTTAAGATAAAATTCTAAGGCATAATAGTCTATGGTACCCTGCATGGCCTTGCCCCTGTTTAACTTTCTAGCCCCCTTCTGTTCTACTTTGCACTAGTTTTCAGCATAAAACAAACTTTGTCGTGCTTCAGGCCCTCCATACAGGTTACTCCTTCTGCCTGAAACCTTCTTCCTCCCACCTTTACCTGAAATCTGGCTTATCCTATCAACTAAAGCCTAGATTTCACTTTTTTTGTCAGCAACATTTCATTCTATTGACAACCCGTACCCACCAATACAAATCAGTCTCCCAGTTATACTCTGACATTTCAGCTTTTACCTTTCTGCATAATATTGATCATAATTTGTACTTATATGTATATCTACAGATATATAAATATTTATCTCTTTCACTAGACCAGTGAATCAGCCAGAGTTGATTTTTCCCTCCAGGGGAGATTTGCCAGTGTTTGAGGTTATGTTTTGCTGTTAAAATTGTGTGCCAGGGAATATTACTGGCATCTAGTTGGTAGAGGCCAGGGATGCTTATAAGCATCCTATCATGCACAAGACACTTTCTCACAATACAGCATTACCCAAACCAAAATGGCAACAGTGTCAATATTTGAGAAACCATGGCCTAGACTGTAAGCACCATGATCTAGGGGGAAGCCACGCCTTCCTTAAACATTCCCATTTCCCCAGGGCCTAGACTTTACTTGATATATATTGTGCTTAATAGATGTTGATTGGATGAACACATATTCCTTATCACAAATACAGGCTAATCATTTACTGATTTATCATTTACTGAGCGTCAATGGTATATCAGGCCATGTATTTGTCATTGATACTATAATAATACAAGAGTCCATATTATCAGCAGCCTTAAATTATGAAAGAGGAATGAAAAAGTGAGCAATTGATTGAAATTGGGAAAAATTGTAATGCACCGCATAGTATAAAAAATTAGTTTACTTATTGAAGTAGCACAAAGGATGTTTAAAAGAAAAAGTAACATCCTTCATTCACTTAACAAATATTCATTGAAGGCAAATGTTGGAAGGTATCAATGAACAAGACAAGTAAGACCCTTGTCCTAATGGAATTTATATTCTAAAGGAAAAGACATATAGTAAAAGGAACAGTGTAAATCAACAAGATCATTACAGGTGAACTATGTGCTCTGAAAACAATAGGTAAGATGATGAGTTAAAGTATAGCAGAGAGAGTACACTTTAAATAGAATAATTAGAGAAATTACCTCTGAGGACATCGTATTTTGCATGAGGTTTGAATACTACAAATTGGGCAGATGTACAAAAAGATATATAAACTCACTTTCCAAACAAATTAAACAACATATGTAACATATGTAAAAAAGACCTTTGAATAATGCAGGGAGATGAAGGAGGTTGATGAATCTAGAATTCTATGAGATTCAGGGAAAAATGACATCAAATGAAGTCAGAGATAGATTTTTTAAAAGACCTATGACAATTACCTAGGTCATAGTAAAATGCATGAGTTTTTATTCTAAAAAGAATGATAACACACATGGACTTTTTAACATTTAAATTTATATTTTAAATGATCCCTCTGGCTGTCTCATGAACAAAAGTGGAAAGAATGAAGGCAGATAAAACTACTAGTGAGGTATTGCAGTGGTCCATATGACAGGTGAGGATGACTTTTTTTTTTGAGACGGAGTCTTGCTTTGTCACCCGGGCTGGAGTGCAGTGGAGGGATCTCAGCTCACTGCAACCTCCACTTCCTGGGTTCAAGCAATTCTTCTGCCTCAGCTTCTTGATTAGCTGGGACTACAGGCACACACCACCATGCCCAGCTAATTTTTTGTATTTTTAGTAGAGATGAGGTTTCACCATGTTGGCCAGGCTGGTCTCAAACTCTTGACCTTGTGATCCACCCAGCTCGGCCTCCCAAAGTGCTGGGATTGCAGGTGTGAGCCACTGCACCTGGCCAGGTGACCATTACTTTCATATGGTGGTAGAAGTGGAGAATGGAAGAAGTAAATGAATGTGATATGGTTTTCTAAGTTATCATAGATAGAAATTGGTGATAAAATAAATGCAAGAGAAAAAATTAAAAAATCAAAACAATACCTAAATTTAGGGCACAGTGATTTACCGCGGAGAGTATTATTTCAAGAGAAGATTGGATTAGAAACGATGCTTGTATGTTTTGTTGGTGATGGTCACATACTGCAGCTGGACATAGTATAACTGCAACATTAAACATGAAAATAGCAATAGTGGCAACGCTTACATAGTACTATATGTCAAACATTCTCTGCATTTTACAGACACTGGCTGTCTTAATCTTCAAAACAACTTCATATGTGAGATATGACTAGTCTCTCCATTTGAAAAAAGAGGAAACCAAAGTAAAGAGAGTTAAAGTAACAAAGCTTAGAGCAAATAGCAAGTATCATGGAAGTGGAAATATGAACAAGGCAGTTATGTAGAGGAATCTGTAATTCAGACTGTAGCTCTGGGAATCTTAATTTGCGATATTTAAGGAATGGTTGAGATTTGATGTCTATGTAGAAAGATAGTATTACCAACAACAACAAAAATAGCCTTTAAGCTTTGGTAATATGATTGGTCAAACAATGTAAAGAAAAGATGGAAACAGGCCAGGTATGGTGGCTCATGCCTGTAATCCCACTACTTTGGGAGGCCAAGGAGGGCAGATCATGAAGTCAGGAGATGGAGACCATCCTGGTTAACACGGTGAAACTCCGACCGTACTAAAAGTAAAAAATTAAAAAAATTAGCCAGGCATGGTGGCATGCACCTGTAGTTCCAGCTACTCGGGAGACTGAGGCAGGAGAATTGCTTGAAGCTGGGAGGCAAAGGTTGCAGTGAGCTGAGATTGCGCCACTGCACTCCAGCCTGGGTGACAGAGCGAGACTCCGTCTCAAAAAAAAAAAAAAAAAAAAAAAAGAAAAGGCTTTAAGCTTTGTTAATTCGATTGGTCAAACAATGTAAAGAAAGATGGAAACAAATGAGTAGGCAAGTCTAGCTTCTGTGGTAAATTTATATTCTGTTATGTTGGAACATTTGGAAAATATAGGAAGGCTTCAGATTTTCTGGGCTTTGAATGCCAGGCTAAGTAGTTTTATTTTCTGTATGTATTCTGAAGTCTTAGAGAGCCTGTGAGAAAAAAAGTGGCAGCATAGAGTGGTACTTACAGATGACACATCAGGCAGTAGTAGGTGGAACAGTTAAGAGTACTAGTGAATAGAAGTTTTGAAATCATTTAAAAGGTAAGCACAATACCAAATTTCCTCCCAGGGACAAGGAATAAAAGAGCAGAGTAAACAATACATGATGTTAGCAAAAGGAGCATTGCAAGGGGCTGATGCATTCATTTTAGGAGAGCAGCCCAATGTCCCTGGGGATTCTGTCTCTCAAAGTGATATTTCTCCTTCATGCCTCCAATGTGTCCCTTCTATTTCACTTTCCTTGAGGATAGGTAATTTAAGAGCTGTTGGGATTTTGTCAAAGAAAACATTCTCAGTGTTTCAGATTCTCAACAAATGGGGTTGGATGAGAAATTTCAATCTGGCAGAGATATTATATAGTGTGTATAAATCTCTGCACATAGCGTTGAAGATCTAAAATATGCACATCAAAAATCTTCAACACCCAAAATCCATACTTCAGTGTCCAAGTAGTTACTGATAGTTCCTTTTTTTTTCTCAGTTAATTATCCTGTGGAGTGCTCTGAAGAATGTGGAGAGAAAAGTAAATAATATTTCTGATTGCCTTCTATCTTTTAGGCTGTATTAGGCATATTGCCCTACAAGTACCCTGAATGGTGATTAGATTGTTTATTTATCTCGCATAATTGACTTCTCTACTTATCTGAATTTACCATTAAACCACATGTTTCCTTGGGCTAAGAATCAAAGCTTGTATAACACTGACATTTGAGAACATGGGCCCAACAGCCATGTTTTCTGGGTTTAAGTTCCAACTTTCATTCTATAAATAGGTGTATAAACTTTGACAGATAATTTAACCAATCTGGGCTTAACTTCTTCATTCAAAACTAGAAAATGTAATAGAAATCATGATGAGGATTAAGAATTAATAAATTTAAGCTGCTTGTCTTATTTTGCATCAATAAATGTTATTATTGACATATCTCCCATATATAATTGGAGATCAATAAGTATTTGATGTCGGTATTGTTGGATATTGTGATGGTCTAATGTGGGTTGCTTAAGGAAGTGTTTTTGAAGGCTATGTGAAGCAGATCAAGACATGCTTAATGTAGTGTGGCTGTACTGAAATTGTATTGGTTGTTTTAGTGTACTTGTGTTGAAGGTGGGAGGCAAGTTCAAAGGAAAACAGGAATTCAGGTCCTAAAAAAGTGTGTGCAATGAAACAGTGTTCAATATATGACATTAATGAGTGACAAGGGGTGCTTAGTGCTCAAGTGTTCTATTCAAAGGTCCACGGAAATATTGTGAGACTTTGGAATTTATAACTAGAAACTCAAATATTGTTTAAAAACCATTATTTCTGGGCCAGGCATGGTGGCTCACACCTGTAATCCCAACGTTTTGGGAGGCTGAGATGAGAGGATCCCTTGAGCCTTGGAGTTGTGTAACATAACTCCAGATAGGTAACATAATGAGAACCCATCTCTATAAAAAATAAAAAATAGCCAGGTATGGTGCTGTGCACCTGTACTCCCAGCTAGTCAGGGAGCTAATGTGGAAGAAGTGCCTGAGCCCTGGAGGTTGAGGCTGCAGTGAGCCATTATCACAGCACTGCACTCCATCCTGGGTGACAGAGCTGAGACCCTATGTTAAAAAAAAAAAGATAAAAGAAATGGGACAACTTCTCACCTAAGATAGTAAAAGTGGTCCATAATTCAACAAAATGTACAGTTGGAGATTATGAAACACAAAGAGGAGCTTTTTTTTTTACATGAGTGCATGAAAAATATTTGTAATAGAAGCAAAGACAAACTAGAGAATTATGACATAACCTCAGAGACCATGAGGTGGGAAAGAATAAGCAAGCTTCAAGAAAGAGTTGTCAGAGGAGACTTAGCTTTATAAAGACAAGAGGAGAAGGAACATTTGGTGACAAGGTTCCTGATATAAAGGAGGCATTTATAATGGTGATTAGGTTATAACTGGCACAGAAATAAAGGTCAAGGAAATTTTCAGAAACTAGGAAGCATAGATTTTAAATGAAAGATTAAGGTAGGATGTGTAACTATATGTGTGTCTGTGTTGGAAGAGTAGAGATGGGTGAAAAGACTTACATTTTAATGGTGGACAAGGATGCTCAGGATGAGAGGCAAAACTGTGTCAACTGCACTTTTGATTTCAGGACAATTCGGCCTGAGAATCCAAATCCTTTTGAAAGCAATGAAGTGAATTTGCAAATTTCTAAAAAAAAATGAGAATTTGATGTGACAGAAAATGTATTATACATAATGGTAAAGTAACGGTTCAAAGTCCTCAAAATTAAATAGATATATAGGATGGATATAAACAATAAATAATTAGTTAACAGATATAGTTTAAGAGATTATTTAAAACAACCTTTCCAGAAGGCTTAGGATGTTGGTTAAGACTATGAATGAGCTTTGAAGAGAGGCTGCCTGGATTTGAGTTTCAGTTTCATCTTTTCACAAATATGGTGTCTTAGGGAAGTTAACTAAACCTTATGTTGCTTCTATAAGATGACTATAACAACAATAGTCATCTTATTGAAGTGTAAGACTTACACTTCTATAAGATGTGTAGAAGTATAGCTGTATAGATGTATAGAAGTATAACTCTTATACTTCAATAAGATGACTGTAACACATCTATAAGATGCCTATAGGGAGGCCAAGGTTTGCGGATCATGAGGTCAGGAGATCAAGACCATCCTGGCCAACATGGTGAAACCCCATCTCTACTAAAAATACAGAAAATTAGCTAGGCATTGTGGCGCATGCCTGTAATCCCAGCTACTTGGGAGGGTGAGGCAGGAGAATGGCAAGAACCAGGAAGTCAGAGGTTGCGGCGAGCTGAGATCGCTCCACTGCACTGCAGCCTGGTGACAGAGCGACACTCCGTCTTAAAAAAAAAAAAAATGACTATAACAACAATACTAACAAAATAAGAAATTTTATACTTATAAATTATTTAAAACAATTCTTGACAAATAGTAAATATAATTTACAAGAGTATTTGTTAAAACACACAAATGCCACAATTTATTTATTCATTCCTCTACTGAAGGACATCTTGATTGCTCCCCACTTCAATTCTGAATAAAGTTTATGCATTCATGTGCAGATTTTTGTGGGGATGTTTTCATCTCCTTTGGGTAAATATATAAAAACACAATTGCTGAATCATATGGTGAGAGTATGTTTAGTTTTGTAAGACACTCCCAAACTCTCTTTCAAAGTGTCTGTACCATTTTGCATTTCCAGTAGGAATGAATGACAGTTCCTGTTACTCCACATCCCCAACAGCATTTGGTATTATCTGTGTTCTGGCTATTGGTCATTCTAATAGATGTGTTGTGGTAACTCATTGTTGTTTTAATTTGCATATGATGTGGAATATCTTTTCATATGTTTACTTGCTATCTCTATATCCTCTTTGGTGAGGTATCTGTTAAGGTCTTCAGCCCATTTTTAATTTTTTTTTTATTTTACTTTTGAGTTTTAAGAGTTCTTTGTATATTTTGGATAAGAATCTTTTATCAGATGTGTCTTTTGCAAATATTTTCTTCTAGTCTGTGGCTTGTCTTCTCATTTTCTTTACATCTTTTGCAGAGCAAAAGTTCTTAATTTTAATAAAATTCAGATTGTCTATTATTTCTTTCATGAATTGTGCTTTGTGTGTTGTATTTCAAAAGCTACCCTCATATCCAAGGACATCTAAATTTTCTTCTATGATATCTTCTAGTAGTTTTCAAGTTTTGACTTTACACTTAGGTATATGATCCATTTTGAGTCAATTTTTGTGAAAATGGTTAGGTCTTAACCTTAAACCCAAAGGTATAGGTATTCAGAAGTGAGTCTTTGAGAGATGATTAAGCCATGACAGCAAAGCCCTCATGGATGGGATTAGTGATCTCATAAAAGGGCTTGAGGGGGAGAGTTTGTCTCCTTTTTTTTTTCTTTTGGCATGTGGATGTCCAGTTGTTCCAGCACCATTTGTTGAGAACATTATTTTTGTTCTGTTCCATCGTATTGCCTTTGCTCCTCTGTTCAAGAACCAGTTGACTAAGAGCTCTCTTTTCTGTTCCACTGGTCTATTTATCTATTTCATAAATACTGCACAGCCTTGACTAAAGTCACTTCATGGTAAGACTTGAAGTTAGGTAGTATCAGTCCTCCAAGTTTGTTCTCACTCAATATTGGATCAGCTATTCTGTGTGTTTTCCCTCTCCATCTAAGCTTGAGAATCAGTTGGTCAATATCTACAAAATAACTTACTGGAATTTTAAGTGGAATTGCGTTGAATCTATAGATCAAATTTGGAAGAACTGACATCTTGACCATATTGAATTGTCCTATCCATGAACATAAAATATTTCTCCATTTATTTAGTTCTCTGATTTCTTTTCTCCAATTTTTGTAGTTTTCCTCATATAGATCACATACATATTTATTAGATTTACACCTAAGTATTTCATTTTGGGGGTTATATCTGTGGTACACTTAGATAATGGAATATTATTCAATGCTAAAAAATAAATGAGCTATCAAGCTATGAAAAGACATGGAAGACCCTTGTGATGGTTAGTATTGTGTGTCAACTTGACACACATTGTTCCTGGGTGTGTCTGTGAGGGTGTTGCCAAAGGAGATTAACATTTGAGTCAGTGAACTAGGACAGCCAGACCCATCCTCAATCTGGGTGGGAACCATCTAATTAGCTGCCAGTGCAGCTAGGATAAAAACAGGCAGAGAAATGTGGAAGGACTATACTGGCTAAGTCTTCTGGCCTCCATCTTTCTCCCGTGCTGGATGCTTCCTGTCCTCAAACATCGGACTCCAAGTTGTTCAGCTTTTGGACACTTGGACCTACACCAGTGGTTTGCCAGGGGCTCTCCAGCCTTCAGCCACTCACTGAAGGCTGCACTGTTGGCTTTCCTACCTTTGAGGTTTTGGGACTCAGACTAGCTTCCTTGCTCCTCAGTTTGCAGATGGCCTATTGTGGGACTTGAGCTTGTGATCATATGAGTCAATACTCCTTAATAAACTCTCCTTTGTGTATACATTTATCCTATTAGTCCTGTCTCTTTAGAGAATCCTAATACAAATCTTAAATGCATATTACTAAGTGAAAGAAACCAAGATGAAAAGGCTGCATACTATATGATTCCAACAATATGACATTCTGGAGAATGTAAAACCATGGAAACAGTAAAAAGATAAGTGGTTGTGGTGGTTGGACAGTGGAAAGGAAAAATAGGCAGAGCACAGGTGATTTTTAGGGCAGATAACATAAATGATCTGTATGATATTAGAATTGTAAATACATGTCATTATACATTTGTTCAAACCCATATAATGTACAACACTAATATTAAACCCTAATATACACTATGAACTTTGAATGTTCATGGTGTCAACGACAGTTTAATTGTCATCAATGTACCACTCTGGCAGCAAGTGTTGATAATGAGGGAGGCCATACACGTGTGGGGTCAAGGGATATGTGGGAAATCTGTACACCTTCATCTCAATTTTGCTGGGAATCTAAAATTGATCGAATAAATAAAGTCTTTAATAATAATTTTAAAAAAATCCATACCACTATGGTTTGAATGGATGCGTCTTTTTAAAATTCCTGTGTTAGAACTTAAACCCAAAGGTGTTGGTATTCAGAAGTGAGCCTTTGAGAGATGATGAAGCCATGATGGCAAAGCCCTCATGGATGGGACTAGCCCCCTTTAAAAGGGCTTGAGGAAGTGAGTTTGTTTCTTTTTGCCCCTCTGCCATTTGAGGACACAGTGTTTATCTCTTCTCCTCCAGAGGACTCAGCAAGACAGTTCCATGTTGAAGCAGAAAGCAAGTTCTTTCCAGACACCAAATCTACCAAAACCTTGACCTTGAACTCTACAGCCAATAGACCAATGAGAAAAATTTCTATTGTTTATGAATTATCTAGCCTAAAGTATATTTTTCTCATTGCCCTGATGGACTGAGACATTTACCAACTGTTTGACTTTGGGTAAATTATATAACTTCTATAAGACCCAGTTCTCATATTTATGACATAAAAATAGAAAAATATGTGCCTCACAAAGTGTGATGATTAAATAAAAATTAAATAAGATAGAGCAAGTAAAGCACATAATATAATACATTGCACATAGTGGTCACAGGGTATTTTTTATTACCTGTTACAACCTGATATAGTTTGGATATTTGTCCTCACTCAAATCTCATTTTGAAATACAATCTCCAATGCTGGAAGTGGGGCATAGTGAGAGGTGTTTGGATCATGGGGGTGGATCCCTCATGAATGGCTTGGGCCATCCTCTTGGTGATAAGCAAGCTCTTGCTCTGAGTTCACAGGAAATCTGGTTGTTTAAAAGTGTATGACATCTCTCGCCCTCACTGTCTCTTGCTGCTTCTTTCAACAAGTGATGTGCCTGTTGCCCTCACCTTCTGCCATGATTGAAAGCTCCCCAGGGCTTCACCGGAAGCCAAGCAGATGCCAGCATCATGCTTTCTATAAAGCCTACAGAACCTCTTTTCTGTAGGTTCTGTAGGTTTTCTGTAGGTTTAACAGCCAATTAAACCTCTTTTCTTTATAAATTACCCCGTCTCAGGTGTTTTTGTTTGTTTGTTTGTTTGTTTGAGACGATGTTTCGCTCTGTCGCCCAGGCTAGAGTGCAGTGGCGTGATCTCGGCTCGCCGAAAGCTCCGTCTCCCGGGTTCACGCCATTCTCCTGCCTCAGCCTTCCAAGTAGCTGGGACTACAGGCGCCCGCACGCCCGGCTAATTTTTTTGTATTTTTTAGTACAGACGGGGTTTCACTGTGTTAGCCAGGATAGTCTTGATCTCCTGACCTTGTGATCCGCCCGTCTCGGCCTCCGAAAGTGCTGGGATCACAGGCGTGAGCCACTGCACCCGGCCTCAGGTATTTCTTTAATAGCAATGCAAGAACGTCCTCATACAGTACCACTATAATAGCAACTATTTATAAAATCACAGCAATTATTTTGAATTTAAGGTTTTTAGACTTCATAAAAAGCACAAATTATCTGGAAGGAATTGCTTAATTAATAAACTTTAAAAATATTTTGCAGTATTTTATATTTTAATAAAAATTAAAGCTTCTTCCTCAGTTGATCATCTTTTCTCTTAACAATTCCTCATCGTATATTTATATGATAAAAAAGCATATCTAAACATATTAAATATAAAATAAACAATAACAAACATATTATTCTTAGCAGAAAGCAGGGTGCCATATTATTCTTAGCAGAAAGCAGGAAAGAGAAATCAATTCTGTTGTAACAGGGAGAGGGACTTTTAACTTTACAGACATTAAAAAGCTACTCAGGTGTACAGAAGGAGGTTATAGAATTCAATGAAACTAAGCACAGTATATATTTTGTACATAATGCATGCAAACAAAAATCAGAAGAAAACCAGTATTTATTTACCTTCTGCCATGAGAATGTGTTGCTCTTGACCAACATGATTGTCTGCATTTTCCCAACAGCTGAGTTTCTATAGGATATGCACTATGCCTTGGACACTCTTGTGGACTTACCTATCAAATTTCCTAAAATATAGGAGGCATTTAATAAATATTTGACAAATGTATGTGTTCATAAAGAAATCAACAGAAATCTAAAAACAAGTGACTACCTTATCCTCAGGGAATGGATAGAGAAAGTGAACATCACACATTTTTAAATCAAGATTGTATGTTTGTCACATACTAATCTGAAATATTTTGTAATTACTATGTCTAAGGCATTATTCACGAAGAAATTCTACTATTTAGTTGTCCTTTACCTCCTGTCTCTTTAATAAAAACTGAAGAACTGACCACAATTTTGCTACTGTTTATGATTTTTGTATTAGAAGACAAAAGGGGGCTCCTTCTTCCCTTATGAGACCAAATTCTCAAAACTATTTTTGCTACCCCATATGTAAATTTTACTTCCTCCAATGTGCCTTGATGCATTTACAATGACAACACTGTCAGTCTCATTTTCCCATTCTTTCATAATTGTCTGAGTACCTCCTCTAATATCTTCTATTTGTTAGTCATTGATAATTACCTGCCCCCACCCCTCATTTTTTTCATCTGTATAATATCAATGTCTGCTTCAGAAGGTCTTTTTATACTTTCTGGGGTGTCAATTTTTGAATTCTGCAAAAGTAATTAAGATTTTCCCTAGTCCTCTTTTTAGTGCATTTTCTTCATTTTAAAATCGGTTGTTAAAATTCAAGATGTCTTGTAACAACCCTTCCTGCAATTAAGAGACAGACGTGTGTCTGGATGTTTTAGTAGGAGAAAAAAAATCATTCAGCAAACAGCTGTGGTTCAGAAAAGAGCAATTCTGTGTTGTCCATGGTGCTGAATGTGATTTTCTGTGGGTATGGCAAGGCATTAATGGCTTGTCCAAGAATCCAAATAGAATTTGATTTTTACCAACCACATGAGCCAGTATGGAATGTGTAATAGAAAACTGAATGCATATAGATTAAAAGTAGAGTACATGTCATAGCATTAAAATATGACAATTTTATTCATTGTTTTCCCTCCATAATTGGAAATGTTTTAAGTAATACAAACAGATATAATGCTTGATTCCCATCATTTAGAAAGATGTTTCTTCATAAGTTTTGGGTGTTCAAATTTTCCTGTATTACTTAACCTATGATATTTCTTTCTTAGCTCATTACTTACTGGTCAAATAAAGCATAAATTAAAATAAATTTTATTTATTGCCAAGGCATTTGTTGAAGACCTAATATGCACAATGTCTTGTATGCCATATGTTTTCGCAATACATATTTAAGTGTTATAATACATGTCAATATCATTTATTTTAAAAGTTTACTTTTGTGGCGAAGGCATTTGGCTGCAACATCTTTAACTATATGTACAACTTCTTAGGCCTTGATGAATAAAGGGATATGAAATTCTAAGTGTTAGACTGGTCAGATTCTGACTTCAGCACTGAAGCAGAATGTGAAAGAGACTTTTTTAAAACTTATGCTAGTGGCTTGCCCATTGCTAGATAATCCTATCAGGATCTAGGGACAGAGAAAGATAGGATGGAGAGAAAGATTTAAATGCAATTGAATGCCTGAAATTTGTCTACAAAAGGGCAGATATGGCATGTGGATGCTCCAGTGAGATCAAGTGGTTTAAGGAACGTTCGATGACTGTTGGTGCATTACCCATGGGTTCTTTCACTTTGAATTATTCCACTATGAAATACTCGTCTGCTGGCTGCAGAGAGAGGATGACAGAGAGAAAAGAAACATGTTTGCCTTGTCTAAACTTTGTAGAGAGGCTGTCGCACATAGGGCAGGCTGTCTTCTCTCATTTGTGTGAACAGGCCCTAAATCACTCTTTTCAATTCACTGCCTCTTACTATGGAGACTGTAGTGCTTGGTTCTTCCACGATGCCATAGTTACAGAGGGCTCCCATGAAATGTTTCAGTAGGTGCATTGTAGGATTTCAACAAGCCCTCCCCTCCCAGCTATTCTACTAACTGTTACTTTCTGGACACATACACTCCACCAAACTAACAAAACTCAGAGTAGCATTGGCAGTAAAATTCTCATGAAATTTGAATGTGCTAATTAACATCTACCAGTGTTAACATGTGGGATTGACCTCTGTGAACCTTACAATTAACACCTTTCTCAAGAGTCTATTCTGAGTATGCATTTTCTTTGGACTTCACACCCTGACCTTTTTCTTGTATCTTATCGGTGCAGTTTATGAAGTAATCCTTTTCCCTGTTGTTAAAAGCGAGTGCTCAAGTCACAGAGTTGCATATCAGCACTCCAAATCACCATATGCATGACCTACCCCAAAGATTCTCACTGAGTGAGACTTTGGCAAATTTAGCAGGGTGATTCTAGCTTGTACTGTACAAGTCATTCATTGCAGAGAATTTAGAATTTTTGGTTCCCCAATATTAATTTCCTATTGAATAGTAGTAGCATAACTATGGAGAAGGCACCCTTATGCATTTCCAGATGCATTTGGGAGAGATTTACCACCTAAATTGACAGCCATTGATAACCCCTTCTTACAGTGAAACTAACTTATGAAATAACTACAAGGGTTGTAATTACAGCTCCAGTGTCCTGAATTCAATTCTTAAGTTGTCTTGGTCTCATGAGAGTAATATATAGAGGAGGTGAGTTTAGAAAAAAATAAAGTCAGTACAAAGTAGCCTCTGAATATTTAGATAGGTATGGTTATAATTTTTTTCATTTGTTAAATGTGTATAATTGCATCTGTCTTACCTAGAGTTGGGATTATTTTTCTCTTCAGTTAGGTTTATGTTTATGAGAAAAACACTATAAAATTCTAAGAACTATTACAAATAAAAATGTGTTAATTGATTTGATAAATTTTTAGAGTGTGTGCCAAAAGTATACTATTTTAATTCAGGAAGTTTTTTTATGCTTTATTTTATTGTTTCAAGTTTAAATCTCAAAAATTGGCTAAATACCTCTCTAAGCTGCTTGTTCAAACCAGTTACCACCAGAACTCATTTAGAAGAAAGAAGTACTTTGTAATGGATCTGAATGGAGTTTATGGTATCACGTTCTTAACAGACAGTTGTGCAGCCCTAGGCATGATCGACACAATTGGTGGGTGCTCTCTGGAGATCCCCTAAAGATACAATAAGTGGGATAAATGGGCAATGGAGAATGAAGTGAGTTGGAAAAGTGCCTGTTTGACTTAATAAATACTAGAAAGGAAAGATAGGGCAGGATTTATCTTCGACGAATAAATCTGATTTACTTGGACTGTATACACACATGCATGCATGTATTTTTGCACACATGCATGCACACACACGTGTGCACACACATGCTGCAATTTGTCTTTTACTTTAAATATATCAAGCCTTCTTGGGCTTTATTCTGACAGTAAGTTGACCCACCTTGACTTCAACTGTAGTTAAAGAAAACCCTACCTCATCCAGAGCATAATTTGTCTCTGTCTGTTGCTGTAAGAAGCCATATCTCTGGTATTTGATAGTCAACCAAAGAGAGAGAAGACAGCCTAAGGGTTCTCAAGCTGAAATTGCTTCCATGTAGAACTGTTTATCAATGTGCTCACTCCACTTTCTCAGCTCTTTTCTTCTGTGGCTTACTTTCATAATGCAAATACCTTCAAGCTACCCCTGGGAAACCTGAATGTCTGAATTTGATGCACTCTTATGCTAACCTGGTACCCTGTGTTCTTTTAATTAATATGTAATTGGAATTACCAATATTTAATGAAAAACGATTTGATGCTAAATACTTAACAGACATAATTTAATTTTTATAGCAAATCTATGAGGTAAGTATTGGTATCATTCTTATTTGATAATTGAAGGAACTAAGACCCACGGAGGCCAGTAGAGATAATAAAAAACCAGTCATAATAAAGGCAGAAACTGAGACTTAAGCAGAGTAACCCAGTTTTTCTTGATTTAAAAAATATTCCAGCTTTCTTAGGAATTAAATTCCAAATGGTATCTCCTCTCTTATTCCTATAATACCATGGCTTTCTACATTAAATTCAAAACCGTAGGTAATGCATCAAGAACATCAAGGCAAATATTGAATGTCTTCATTCAATATTTCTTGTTAATTCTAGGAAATTTTATACAATCAAATAAGTTCTGATTTCTGTCTATCCTAGTTCATGTCTATGCAGCCTCTTCTACCTCTAGGGAATCATCAGTATAAGCACTGGGCTTATTTGCAGCTCACAGTCTGCAGCTAAGAAATCTCGAGACTCAGGAATTATCTAGGCTCAGCCTGCCAGCACCACTGCATTCAACTCACTGAGGTCTGTATTTTGAAAGCGGTGGATTCCAGTTACTCTTCCTTCTTCTAGTCAACATTTTCAGTACTGTTGTGCTACATCTGGTTTATTTTGTTAGGAAAGGGAAGGGTCAGGGAGCTCTCTTGAGAGAGAATGTAGGGATTTATAACCCTAGATTCTGCAAGGGAAGGATAATATTTAACAAAAAGCAAACAATCAATAATGATAATTCCAATACCACTGCATCTTCAGAAAGTAAGATTTTTTTAGTAACTACATATTTGTAGAAAATGTTTAAATCATATCCTTTGATTGAATGTCAGATTCTTATCTGGGTAGGTCGAATCTAATTACATGGGTTCTTAAAAGTAGAGAATATTTGCTGACTGTGATAAGAAAGAGTTGTGACTATGGAAGAATGGTCAGAAAGATGCAGTATCATTGGCTTTGAAGATAGAAGAAGGGAGCCATAAACTAAGAAGTTAAGTGGTCTCTAGAAGCTGGAAAAAGCAAGGAGACAGATGTTCTGCTAGATCCAGATAGGAATACAGCCTTCCTGACTTCTTGATTTTAACCCAGTGAAAATCATATCACACTTCTGACCTATAAACTGTAGAATAACATGTTTGTGTTAATTTAAGTCACTGAGCTTATAGTATGTTTTATGACAGTTATGGAAATACAATAAAGTTGACTACTTAGACATCCAGACAAGCTGAAATCTATGCTAGATTTCCCAACTCAGGCTCTCTCTAGATGTCCTTATCTTTACTTTTTTTATGGCCCCTAAGGTGAGGTTTAGGTCTACTACAGTTTCTAAACAAAACTTGTCTGGGTAATGATGCTGCAGCCTTGATTCCATGAATGGTAAGGTTGTGATAACAGTCCTAAGTTTAAGTGCTGACATCGGCAAATCATAGACATTCCACATCCATTGTCCAAGAATGGCCTAGCCTGTAAGACTACACTTCTTGATTTGTGGAACAAATATCTATTTTATACCCACTATGTGCCATTGTTATGCTGATGCCAGGAATCCAGGAGAAAACAACATGTGGAGTTTATACCTTAGAACAAGGGTCAGCAATTGATGGCCCATGAATCAAATTCAGTCCACCACCTGTTTTTATAGTTTTCTATAATACAGGCATGTGTTATAAAAAAAAATTCATTCATTTATTTTCAATGCTGCTTCTATGGTAAAGGGGTAGAGTGGAGTAATAACAACACACACTGCATGGCCCACAAAGCCTATGATATGTATTATCCAGCCATATCTAGAAAAAGTTGGCTAATCCTCACTCTAGAGGGAAAACAGACAATGAAACAAATATGTACAGATATGAAGAGTATTACGAAGAAGCATAGGGTGCTCTGGAAGTACCTTAGGGTATGGAGATGACATTTAACCAAATCCGACGTAACTAACACTTGAGTTACAGGTCATCACACTGGCTTGGTATCCCCTGCTTTCAAGTGTCTCTACCCTCATTCTGTCAGATCATAGTTTCCTATCATTTAATGGAACCAGACAAACAAATATTCAAACAGAGAGACAGACAAGCATTATCATGACCTCAAGTGCCAGCTCTCCAACATCCTAGCTGTGTGGTGTTAAATAACGACATTAAATGGCTTCTGAGCTTCTTATTTCTAAAATGGTCATAATTTCTATAAGGATTGATTGGAAAACTATACAGCAGTAGCTTGATTGCATCAATGATCCCACTAAAGACATCTTTGTATCCACAGCCCCTGGTGTCTGGACCCACTCTGTAACCTTTTGTTCCCTCCTGTATTAATCAGAGTTCTCTAGAAGGACAGAACTAATAGGATAGATGTATATATAAAGGCAAGCTTATTAAGGAGTATTAACTCACACGAACACAAGGTCTCACAATAGGCCATCAGTAAGCTGAGGAGCAAGGAAGCCAGTCCGAGCGCCAAAGCTGAAGCACTTGGAGTCCAATGTTCAAGGGCAGCGTGGGAGGATGCATCCAGCAAGGAAGCATCCAGCATGGGAGAAAGATGGAAGCTGGGAGGCTAAGCCAGTCTAATCTCTCCACATTCTTCTGCCTGCTTTTTATTCTGGCTGTGCTGGCAGCTGATTAGATGGTGCCCACCCAGAATGAGGGTGGGTCTGCCTCTCCCAGTCCACTGACTCAAATGTTAATCTCTTTTGGCAACACCCTCACAGACACACCCAGGAACAATACTTTGCATCCTTCAATCCAATGAAGTTGACACTCAGTATTAACCATCACACCTCCCATGCTGACTTCTACCTTGGCCCTTTAACTTTCTTTGGTCAATGAAGACATAGAAAATGTCATACAAGGAGAGACTCCAAAATGTCCTCATGTGTTAATGCTTCCTCTTTTACTTCTCAGCCTTCCCCATGAGAACATGCCTAAGACAGACTGCTGAAGAAGGCGGCAAATGGAACAGCGCTGAATCAGCCTGGTCATCCCAGTCAAGCCTCCAGACATGTAAGCACCCTCCTCTGATCTGCAGAGCTGCCTGGCCCAAATACTGTTGACCACTCTTGAGTAAGCCCCACCAAGATCAGCTGAGAACAGTAGAACTGACCAGATGACTCTAACCTCATGAATAAATCCAAGTGTTTTTTTATTTGCCTCTGAGGTTTCATGGTTGATGTTTTCATATATATATATATATTTTTTGCAGCAGTTAACTGAAGCATACAGGAAATGGGATAAACAATGTGCCTAGCATGTACTCAATAAACGGTACCTCCTACCTTCCCAACACTGTCACCTGTATGATATAAATATCAGCAGGTGTCATTTCAGAGTATGCTGTCATTATTACACTGATTGGGGTGATGTTTCACTTCTCCTGGGTTTCCAGGTAACAGCATGCTTGCAAACACACACACACACACACACACACACACACACACACACACACACACAGTTAAATAAACTGTGGGTTTCACCATCTGCATTCTTAAATAAGTACCTGCCTGTTGCATTCTAAGGGGACCAAAGTCCCCTCCAAATCTCAACTTGCTTTCTCTTTAGGGCCCACTATATCTCACACATGCTCCTTTTCCCAGAAGAACTGAGCAAGCTACATCACGTCGGGGTCAGCACAGCCGGGCTTATGAATTAGGTCTGGAGATGGTTTCCAAAGAGACGTGTTATTAAAGAAACAATGCCTTTGTCTCAGCAGCAGGGCTAAGTGCTGTTTATTTCCAGATGCTTTCCTGGAACACAGGGAAAGGAGTGCAGCTGCACGTCATTCATGGAGTGGCTGAAGCAGGATGGGGACAACATTCAGAGGAAATGACCAGGCTCATTCAGGGGTGGGGACATGATGCAATTTGTTGTCCCTGAAAGAGAAAGACTCAGTTTCCTTCTTCATGGGTCTGCACCTGCTCCAAACTTCAACACTTTTTTGTTTGAATGACACCATCCATTTCTCCTTCACCTAATTGTCTAAGCTTTAGCAATTCTTAATTTATCCATATAAATATCTTCTTAATTCTTTTTTCTCACCCCTATATTATTCATTCTGATTAAAATAGTGGCTCTGAATACAGGCTCTGGAGAAAATCTGATTCAGTCAGAATCCATCTCCATTTGTTTTTGGACAAGCCTTCTTCAAAACTTGCTTTTCATTAGTGGAGATGGTGATGTGAGCCTGTAATCCCAGGTACTTGGGAGGCTGAGGCAGGAGGATCGCTTGAGCTCAGGGGTTCAAGTCTGCAGTGAGCCATGACTGAGCAACTGCTCTCCAGCCTGGGTGACAGGACAAGATCCTGTCTCAAAAAATAAAAGAAATAAAAAGGAAAAAATAAACTTGCTTTCCTTATAATGGCAGATATAAAAAATAGTGCTACATTATAGGTGTGTTTTACAAAATAAATAATTCAGAATTAAATGTTCATCTCAGTATTTGGCAAAGAGCAAGCAGTTAGTAAATATTTGTTCTTAACTATCATCACCATCATTTTATTATTATTGTTATTATTATCCTGGCTGAATCCTGGTGTTTGTTGGACTAAACATCTCACAGGTCTTCCGTTTGTCTATCTGAGTCCACCGTCCCTGTACTCACTATATAAGTCACCTTTCTGGCTTTCCAACTAGCCTCACCAGTTTCTCTGTCTTGCTCCTAATCTTTCTTCACTGGCCCATCATCTTTTTCTAGGATAACTTCTACTCTTTGTAACATCATGTGTTAGTTTCCTAGAGCTTCCACAACAAAGTGCCACAAACCTAGTGACTTAAACAACAGACGTTTAGTTTTTACACAGTTCTAGAGGCTGTAAGTTTGAAATTAAGGTAGTGACAGGGCCATGGACCCTCTGAAACTTTTAGGGAAATACTTCCTTGCCCCTTCCTACCTCCCGGGAGTTTGCCAGCAGTAGTCGGCAATGGTTGGCTTGTAGATGCATCATTCCAGTCCTACCATCTCAGGGAATTCTCCTTATATGTCTCTGTCTTCACAGGGCCATCTTCTTATAAGAACACCAGGTGTGTTGAGGCCCACTCTCCTCCAGTATGATCTCATCTTCACTAATCACATCTGCAATAATCCTATTTCCAAATAAGGTCTCATTTTGAGGTACTGGTAGTTTGGACTTCTAGATGTATTTAGGCAGGAAGGGGACAATCTAAAACATGGCTCTTCAGAACCCACCTCGGTTTACCTCTCAGGCCCTGTTCCTCGCCACTCCCTCCACACTCTTCTCTCTGGCTATAAGAGTATTTTTAGTGAGTTGATGATTCCATGCCCTCTCTGTTTCCTCAGAGCCTTTTCATAGGCTGTGTACTGTGGCTATCACATAGCCAATGCCCTCCCTTGGTTGATTTTCCACCTAAGGTTTACTTGTTCTTAAAATCTCAACTTGGTCATACCATGTATTATAAGAAGCCTGAACTAAACCCTCTGGGTAGTGTTAGGTATCCTTCTGTCATTCCTCTATGGCTTTTGAGGGGTTACTGCCTAATGGCACTTATTACGTGGCTTTCTAACACTTAATTACTTTTCTGTCTCACCAACCAGGCTGGCTATGTCTGCCTTTTGTATGGCTAGCTCCTAATGCATTGTCTCTTACATAGTAGATTTCCAATTATTGTTAAATGAATGAATAGCCATCTATTATGATGACTATTAACTTAAAACATTAAATAACAAATGTTGGTGAGGATGTGGAGAAATTATAACCCTTGTTACAATCTCACATTGCTGGTGAGATCGCAAAATGGTGAAGGCACTGTGGAAAACAGTGTGGTGTTTCCTCAAAAAAATAATAAAGGTAGAATTACCACTTGAATTACCACGAAAGAAGTAATTTTACTTGTGAGTATATACCCAAAAACATTGCAGGCAGGCACCTGAAACAAATATTTCTACACTTATGCTCATAGCAGCATCATTTACAACAGTCAAAAGATGAAAGCAACCCAGTGTCCATAGATGGATGAAGATGAATGAATAAACAAAATATGATATATACATACAAGGGAATATTATTCATTCTTAAAAAGGAAAGAAATTCTGACACATGCTACATCATGACGAACCTTGAAAATGTTATGCTAAGTGAAATAATCCAGGCACAAAGGGGCGAATACTGTCTGTTTGCATTTGAATGTAGTACTTAGAATAGTCAAATTCATAAAGACAGAAAGTAGAATAGGGGTTCATAGGGGTGGAGGGGAGGAGGAAATGGGAGGTTATTGTTTAATGGGTATAGAGTGTCAGTTTGGGAAAATTAAAAAAGTTGTAGAGATAAATGGTGGTGATGTTTGCACAATGACAAAAATATATTATACTTAATGCCACTGGCCTATAAATTTAAAATGGTTACAATGGTAAGTTTTATGTTATATATATTATCACAACAAAAAATAAAAGCTACCCCAAGCACCTCCCCCAGAAAATAAGTGAATGAGTCCTTTCTATGTATCCTGAAATGTCTGAATCAATCATTTTTGAATAATTAACTGAAACTTAATGCATCTATATGCTGGTCACTGTCCTCAGCACTATGCAAATATTAATTCATTTAATCTTCATAACACCTTATGCTGTAGGTAATATTATCATACCAATTTTATAGATGTATATACTGAAACATAGAGGCAAAGCAATTTTCTTAAAGCTAACAGTTCATATGAGGCAGAACGGGGTTAGAACAGGGGCAGTCTGGCTCTCCAGTCTGGACTGTTAACTCTCATAGGTCAGATCATGTTAACCACTGCCATACTCACCATATTCAGGGATCCAGGTTATGGGCACAGCAATGTTCATACTACTTAGTTTTCCACGAGGGTACTTAAATCAGCCCCATACAGGCTTTGTTTCTATAATATTCTTCCATGTTCCTTACTCCAGGAAAAAGACCTCCCACCTATATTTTTAACATTTTCTGAAGTTTCTTGCTTAAGTGATGTTCTCCACATTATTTTTCCTGATTAACTGTTTCTATGTAAAAGCTATCCTGTAACTTTTAGTACTGCAAAACTGCCAACTGGCTTTTCTCACAATTTTGTGTGTCAGAAATTTTGAAGGGCTTGGATAGGCAGCTTTTCCCTGATGCATGTGATACCCACTGGGGACAGCTTAGGGTGGAGGATGCACTTCCAAGATGAGGGCTTCTTCTTCTTCTTCTTTTTTTTTTTTTTTACTATCATTTTCTTTATTTTTTGAGATGGGGTCTCACTCTGTCGCCCAGGCTGGAGTGCAACTCCGCTCACTGCAAGCTTCTCCTCCCGGGTTCACGCCATTCTCCTGCCTCAGCCTCCCAACTAGCTGGAACTACAGGTGCCAGCCACCATGCCCAGCTAATTTTTTTGTATTTTTTTGGTAGAGACGGGGTTTCACTGTGTTAGCCGGGATCGTCTTGATCTCCTAACTTCGTGATCTGCCCACCTCGGCCTCCCAAAGTGCTGGGATTACAGGCGTGAGCCACCGTGCCCGTCCGAGGGCTTTTGAACTCACAGGTTGGCACCTCAGTGCTTCTTGTCCTCCCTCCCCTTCCCTGCCCTCCCCTCCCCTTCGTTTCTCTCCTGTTCCCTCTGCTTTTAACCTTTTTCTCCTCTTGTTCTTCTTCCTCCTCCTCATCCTTCTTTGTCTCCCTCTCTCTCTTTCTCTCCCTTCATATGACTTCTTACCATTCTAGTATACGGTGACTTCACTTGCTTGGGCTTCTTAACAGCATGGTGGGTGGTCTCAGGGCAGTGGCATTTTTTACATGGTGACTGGATTCCAAGACAGGGATAGCAGAAGTTGCCTAAAGAGTTAAAAGATTTGTTTAGAACTGGCACAACATCATTTCCAACATATTCTATTAGTCAAAACAATCACAAGACCAACCCATATTCAAGGGGTTCAAGAGAGAGGCTTCACCTTTTGATGGAGTAATGGCAGTTTCCATTGCAGAAGAGCGTGTGGAATGAGAGGTGTCATTGTGGCCACCTTTGTACAATATTTCACTATCTGTAGTTACACTGTATCTTTATCTCTATCTCTATATTTATATCTATATCTAGTTGGAATCAGATACAAAACTTGATAGCTAGATAGAGTAATATAGATATAGGTAGCTGTATCCATCTATAGGTGAGTTTGTATGTGTATTTATTAGATAATACTTCATCCCAGTCAGTTGTATATGTAGCAGAATCCCAATTTTAATTAAAGATAAAGATAGTATGCATTGACTCAACATCCAAAGTGAAGAAGAGGCAGGGAGAGATCTTGCTCATTTTAATCATAACTGAGTCAGGCAATCAGATACCTTGGAACACTGTCTTTTCTTACCTAAGTTTCTTTTCTACCTACATTTACTTGTGTATGTTGGCTTCAGAATTTCTCTAGAACTGGGAAGAAACATAAAACAATTATAAATACATAGCAGAAGCCTGAAGAGAGATACCAGAGATGAAGATGACTGTCCAAGGATCATCTACATAGAGACTGACCATTTTTTGCAGATGTGAAATGAATGAGGTCTTTAAAAAAGATAACAGCCCAAGTAAGGAGAAAAGACATTTAGATCACAGGGAAGTCTTGATTTTCAGGATGAAAACTTTTATATTATAATGTATGTATGAGTGTGTATGCGTGTCTGTCTGGCCAGGGAAAGATTTCATAGACCCTCGACTAGAGTAAGTTACTAGTAGTAACTGGTAGTAAACACACTCTCTGCCTCACCTATTTCAAACTGAAGTTGTAACCTTAAGAAAGAAATGAGATAACACATTGCTTATTGGGAAAAGACTGCAGTTGAACTTAGCAGACATGTTTCTGGTTCTCCATTTTCAGCTGATGGAAATGGGTACCTGAGGCAAGTTTTCTAAGTCTTTGGAGGTTGTTTCTTAAAGTTATAAGATGAGAAACCTGGGTTATATGAGTATTGGAGGCTCTTCTAATTCTAAAAGATTGTGACTCTATAAAAATGCTTTTGCGAAGTATATAAAATTACACAAAACAGGATTTTATGACTTTTAAAGGTTGATTTATTCACAGTGCCTGTCTACATTGATCAGTTTGCCCATATAAATGTCAACCATTTCATTTTATTTGCACTGATGGACCTAACCAAGGTTATGAGTACATTCTGACCATATCCACAAGGCCACAGCCAAATGGAAATTCCTGGTAAACATCATCAAAGGGGGAACTACAGATAAGCTTTTCTTCATGCAGCTGCTGTGGTTGTGGCAAGCTTTTGGTAAGTGAAAGTTTTATAAATTTAGTTGCTTCTTAATTACACTAGAAAAACTGTTATTTAAAAAAACTCCATGGTGACTCACATATATATGTGTTTCTATATATACATATACACATACATATGTAAATATACACACACACACATACATAAAGTGCCTTTGTAATATGAATCCTAATGGCTTAATTAATGTTTTGCAAATTATAATTTGGGTATGTACAGTGTTCTTAATACTCAGTCTACCCATATTGCATAGTCAAATACTTCTATGATATTTCCTCTATAGAACGAATTGATACGCAGGCTGATATCTTCCAAACTGATCAGCCAGACATATTTTTCAAGTGGAATTTTATCTCAGCTGTCCAAGTCAATGTTTCCACTGCTCAAATTCATCAGATAATTGCCACCATATCAGTTTGACTTTGACAGCCAGTCCATTTTCTACTGCTTTTCACTGCTTCTTTCTAGTCAGTCATGTTATCAGTTTCTGTCTGACTCACTTATTCTTCAATAATTTCTTTTCTTTTAGCTAAATGTATGTGTGCATGTTTTGTTGACTGTAAATAAATTCATTCTTGCTACAAAAGAATTTAAATAGCACCACCATTTATAACGTAAGATATAAATGATTTCACTCTCTTACACTTCAAGCCTCTAAGATGACCACTGTTCATAGTTTGGCATATATTTCTTTCAACTTTTCAAATTTTAGTTTAAAATTTGATAAATTATATTCATCTGTTAAGAAAGCACATATAGAACCACATTCCACATTATTTCCTGAATTTGTGTCATAGCCTATAGGATTATTTTCAAATCATTTATGAAATTGACACCTCGATTTTAGATATATTAGCTGCTTTTATTTTCTATTTCAATATTGTATTGAACATATTCACCCCACCTACTAATTGTTTACTTAATGTAAATTCTTAAAATTAAAATTCTTAATTTAAGTCATGTGGACATTTTTTTTTTAGGAAATTACAGTCAGAACAAAAGTGCATAAGGATGCTTGTTTAACCATATTCTTGCTAAAACTAGACTTAGGAATCTTTTGAAATATGTTTTTCTTTCTTTCCTTCTTTAATTAGTATTGGTAGGCATCTTTTCATATTTTTCTGGTTATTTATAGTTTACTTTTGATAACTATGTAATGCCTTTAGGTTTTCTTATTCTGATGCATTTTAACTTTCAACATAAAGTTTTTCCAAACAATTTAAAAGTGTTGAGGTTAAGTCTTTTGAACAGACCTCATAATGAAAAAAATTCATGCCCAGTGTAAGTTTTACTCACTTATCCAAACTTACTCCCTGCTTTTCCTCACTATTCCAGCTTAAACATTCCTTCCCATCTTTCTCATACACTGTGCTCATCATAACTATTGGATAATTACTTATTTATCCTTCAAAAGCTCATCTGCCCCATAAAGCTTTTCTGTCTCCAGTTCAAGCTCTTCCCCCATCAGTGCCTCTCATAGCTGACACCTTTAGAATCCAATTTTGTGACACCTTGCATTTCCTTCTCTTGTTGCCTTCAAAAGCAAATAATTCCTTCTGGTCCAGAATAAAATTCAGTTCATTTGAATATTATTTCAAATCATACAATGGATTTAGAAAATCTCAAGGAATCAATAAGTATTGGTAGAATGGTTTATCCATTTCTAATATTTTGCCTTTACCATAAGCCCTCAAATGCTAATTCTTCTTGTCACTCCAGTTTTGAGCTATTGTGCTAGCTATTAGATACTAGCATGCTTCTATCTGGTTCCCTTTCATCTGCTAATGGATTGCATACTCTCAGCTCCTGAGAGTGAATACATAACGTGGGTCTATGCAAAACAAATAAACAAGTGCATAAATGAAGAATGAATGAATAATCTATTTTCCTGACCACCATAATTATTTTGGAAATAGATACATGAATCAGCCTTATCATGCTTCCCTGGGACTTTTCTACCTGGAAATACTGCTCCTTTCCTTGGAAGTCATGGTAATACAAAAATGTCAACAGGGCTGGCAGTAGCATTCTTCAGAACACTATGAATGTAACCCATTTAAAGATATAGAAGAGCCAATATATAGACAGAGAAAGAACAGGTGTGAGGAGGAGTCTAATGGACAAATCATTTGAGCTCTGAATCAGGGCATGCCTGCTCTCTGTATTTCTTCTGTATCTCCCATATATGAGAATCTCAAGAACTGACTTTAATATCTTTGGGTTCCTCTACATATTATGGAACTATTCCTAATAAAAACTATTAGTCCCTTAAACTTCCCTGCCAATCTGGAATGTTCCCTTTGGATTTTCCTTCTTAATTTACCAATTTCTGAATCCTAGATTAAGATTCTTACCCTTAGTATAATACCTTCCTTAAGCCTGCCACTAAATGCTTGTCTAAATGCTTGGGGGATTTCCTGTGAAATATTTTTCATTTGACTGAAGGAGTGGTTGGAATAGAAGACAAAATAGAAGAGAAAGAAAAGTTTGGGGTGGTAAGAGAAGGTCTTATTGAAAAGTAACAGTTGCCTCCCTCTCCCTCTCCCTCTCCATCTCCCTCTCCCTCTCCCTCTCCACGGTCTCCCTCTCCCTCTCCACGGTCTCCCTCTCCCTCTCCCTCTCCACGGTCTCCCTCTCCCTCTCTCTCCACGGTCTCCCTCTGATGCCCAGCCGAGGCTGGACTGTACTGCCGCCATCTCGGCTCACTGCAACCTCCCTGCCTGATTCTCCTGCCTCAGCCTGCCGAGTGCCTGGGATTACAGGCGCGCGCCGCCACGCCTGACTGGTTTCTGTATTTTTTGGTGGAGAAGGGGTTTCGCCGTGTTGGCCAGGCTGGTCTCCAGCTCCTGACCGCGAGTGACCTGCCCGCCTCGGCCTCCCGAGGTGCCGGGATTGCAGACGGAGTCTCGCTCACTCAGTGCTCAATGTTGCCCAGGCTGGAGTGCAGTGGCGTGATCTCGGCTGGCTACAACCTCCACCTCCCAGCCGCCTGCCTTGGCCTCCCAAAGTGCCGAGATTGCAGCCTCTGCCCGGCCGCCACCCCGTCTGGGAAGTGAGGAGCGTCTCTGCCTGGCCGCCCATCGTCTGGGATGTGAGGAGCCCCTCTGCCAGGCCGCCCAGTCTGAGATATGAAGAGCACCTCTGCCCGGCCGTGACCCCGTCTGGGAACTGAGGAGTGTCTCTGCCTGGCCGCCCATCGTCTGGGATGTGAGGAGCCCCTCTGCCCAGCTGCCCAGTCTGGGAAGTGAGGAGCGCCTCTTCCCGGCTGCCATCCCGTCTGGGAAGTGAGGAGCGTCTCTGCCCGGCCGCCCATCGTCTGAGATGTGGGGAGCGCCTCTGCCCGGCCGCAACCCCGTCTGGGAACTGAGGAGTGTCTCTGCCCAACCGCCACCCCGTCTGGGAGGTGAGGAGCATCTCTGCCTGGCCACCCTGTCTGAGAAGTGAGGAGCCCCTCCGCCCGGCAGCCGCCCCATCTGGGAAGTGAGGAGCCCCTCCGACCGGCAGCCGCCCTGTCCAGGAGGTGGGGGGCATCCCCCGCCCGGCCAGCCACCCCATCCGGGAGGGAGGTGGGGGGCATCCCCCGCCCGGCCAGCTGCCCCGTCCGGGAGGAAGGTGGGGGGCAGCCCACGCCCGGCCAGCTGCCCCATCCAGGAGGGAGGTGGGGGGTCAGCCCCCGCCCAGCCTGCCGCCCAGTCCGGGAGGGAGGTTGGGGGCAGCCCCCGCCCGGCAGCTGCCCCGTCCGGGAGGTGGGGGGCGCCTCTGCCCGGCTGCCCCGTCTGGGAAGTGAGGAGCCCCTCTGCCCGGCCGCCACTCCATCTGGGAGGTGTGCCCAACAGCTCATTGAGAACGGGCCATGATGATGATGGCGGTTTTGTCGAATAGAAAGGGGGGAAATGTGGGGAAAAGAAAGAGAAATCAGATTGTTGCGGTGTCTGTGTAGAAAGAAGTAGACATAGGAGACTCCATTTTGTTCTGTTCTAAGAAAAATTCTTCTGCCTTGGGATGCTGTTAATCTATAACCTTACCCCCAACCCCGTGCTCTCTGAAACATGTGCTGTGTCCACTCAGGGTTAAATGGATTAAGGGCGGTGCAAGATGTGCTTTGTTAAACAGATGCTTGAAGGCAGCATGCTGGTTAAGAGTCATCACCACTCCCTAATCTCAAGTACCCAGGGACACAAACACTGCGGAAGGCCGCAGGGTCCTCTGCCTAGGAAAACCAGAGACCCTTGTTCACATGTTTATCTGCTGACCTTCCCTCCACTATTGTCGTATGACCCTGCCAAATCCCTCTCTCCGAGAAACACCCAAGAATGATCAATAAATACTAAAAAAAAAAAAAAAAAAAAAAAGAAAAGTAACAGCTAAGAAAAAAAAAAAAAGAAAAGTTTGCAGAATGTGCAAAGAAAAAAAGAAAAGGAAGGGTCACAAAATTGTAGCACATTTGTTCTTGGATAATTATGTGCACATTTCATAGTGATGAACAGTATATCACGACAAAAATAACTGCATATAAAACATTTTAACAAAACAGGCACAGTGTTGCATACATACTGTAATTACAATATAAAATAATAGGTATTAAGAGTAACAGAGAAGAAAAAAATAACTTTGCTTTTAGTGTGGTAAAATTATAGGTGAGATTTTTTCTCTGCAAGTATTTACATTAATTTTACAGTTTAAATAAAATTTTTTTCCTCTATTTTCCCAATTTTCTACAATGTGTTCATGGTGTGTGTGGTGGGGGCTGAGAAGTGTGGGATGAGAGAAAAACATGTGGACCCAATAATCTCAGCTCCATTACTTCTGTATGGGATCTCGTCAAGATGCTAACATCTTTAGTCTTAATCTCACCTTCCGTAAAACGATGAAAAAACTGACAGGTTCCAATGCAAAAGCCTACTTTTTAAAATGTAAATTACATATCTTAAGTGTTGGCTTATTAAACTTCTAAGGCTATTCTTTACTTCCCCAAAGAACGTATCTGCTTCCATTTTCTTGATGCACATAAAACACTCATTCTACCACCACCAAGATTTTATTAGAGCCACATTTTTTTTTTCTGCTTCAAAAATGTCAGCAGGACAAATATATTGAATTCTGATTCCTTAAATTGGTCTCCTGTGTTGAGGAGACAATATAGAATAGTTGAGATATGGTGAACTGAAGCATGTATATTTGGCTAAAGAATAAAGCAACTATTTATCTCCAGAAAAAATGTATCAAGTCCCATTACAATAAAGAAACAAACTGTATACGTCTTAGAAATATACATTTTTAAAAATAAATCCACTCCTTGAGCCATGAATATGCAATCTCAGAGCTACATGAGATGTAATGGATCTTTCAGTTCTGTGGTTGATTAGAATTTAATTAGTTATTATGTCTTTGAGGTCTAATAGAAGGACATGTTCATTGAATACAGTTTGTTTTTGTTACCCAGCATTCATTTACTCTTCTTTTGCAAAAATCTCAGATTTTATTTGAAGAGTGGCATCTTTCCTCCACTCTCAATCTATATATTCTGTTGGAGTTGAGTCCATCTGTAGCTCTAAGGGGAGCTTAAGGAAATAAAATGCTGCATACTGCTAATAAGATTGTTTCAGGGATAGATATGTTGCTACGTCAAGCTAATCAGAGACAAAGGACTAAATTCTGGGATATATTTTAAGCTATCAGAAAAGCAGACTCACTCTTTTTTTTTTTCTGTTAGATAGGATTTAAAAAAGAGGTAACCCCAGAAGATACTAGAAGCAATATTAGAACCATGGGAAAACAAAATTCTAAGAAAATAGAGGCAAAATGGAGAAAAATACATGATTGGGAAGGAAATGATGAATTCTCATCATATCATTTGTGCCCCTATATCCAGCATTGTCAGAAACTAGTAACCTTGATTTTTCAAACATGGGATCCATTAAACATTTTTAACCTATGTTAAGCTAATTTGCATCTGGGTTTCTGTTAATGGAAACCAAAACACCAAGCTGTTACACAGAGGGAATGATTGGGGTGGAATGAGAAACATCTTTAGTCCTGAATATCATTATTTTAAGAAGGAAGAAAGGAAAAGAAAAGAGAAAGGAAGAAAGGAAGGGAAAGAAAGAAAGAAGAGAGAGAAAGAGAGAGAGAAAGAAAGAGAAAGAAAGGAGAGAGAGAGAGAAAGAAAGAGAGAAAGAGAGGAAGAGAGAGAGGAAGAGAGAAAGAGGAGAGAAAGAGAGGGAAGGAAGGAAGGAAGGAAAAAGAAAGAAAGCAACCCCGTGATAGCATGTGTCCGCACCCTCTAAGATGTTGAACGTTTCACTGAAGCATGGCTGGGCATAATGTCACCATGTCCCAGCACAATTTCTAGATGTTGCTCTTTTGAATAAACATCATCAGCACCTTCTCTTTTTACAGTGGAAAAAGAAATGTTATTTTGCTTTCATCCCTGTTGCCATATTCCCCTGCGGAACCACTTCAATTTAGTGGAGTAGAAAGGGACCCAGCGGTTTGCGTCTACTGTTATGAATGTGGTACTTGAAATGCCAGAGTCAATGACATGAGACGCAGGGCTTCATTACTTCTCAGCTCACCCAGACTCAGGCTTCCCAGGACCCAGAGATAGTTTGCTGCCAGAAAGATACGTTTGAATTTCAATGTGTCAAGTCTTTCTTCCTGTACTTTCTATGTTGCAAGCTGCAAATGGCTTTTAAAATCTTGAACATTGCAGTGACTCAGCTCTCTGCCTTTTACCTCTGCCTAGTACTAAATTGGATATATTTATTTCCAAGTTGCTATAATAAATAAAGAAATACGTAGTCTAGGGAAGAGCATGAGTCTACAATCACAAAACATCCAATACATAAGAACATTTCATCTAGACAGTTCACACTTTAGAGGAGGAAACATGGAGAAGGTGAGGCACAGAGCACTTGGACTGTGAAGGCCAGTTCTGAGGCTCGGTTCTATCTTTTCCTAAATGAGTACATTTGATGAAATGGCTGAACCTTTCTCCAGCCTCAGTGTCATCATAAAAGAGGAATGATAATAATGCCTCTTTCACAAAATTGTGATAATATTTCATTATTGAGAGCTATTATTAATCATAACCAGTTTGCAGTGAAGAATTAGGACTAAGAAAGGGAAAATTTACCCATTCATTCAAGAAATATTAAAGGTGTGCCATAACAAAGGAAGGAAGGAAGGAAGGAAGGAAGGAAAGAAAAAAAGGAGGGAGGGAGGGAGGGAGGGAGAAAGGGAGGGAGAGGAGGGAAAAAAGAAAGAAAAGAGAATAAAGAAAAGAAAAGAAAGAAAAGTAAACATATAGCATCTAGAGCCAACCCAGTCATACCAGAATACAAGTTTTTGCCCTAGCCTTTAATAACTTTATGACCTAGGGCTTTATTTGTTCTGCCTCCCATTCCTTGCCTATAAGAGGACTTACCTCATTGGGTTATGGGGAAGACTTTATGAGATTAAAAGCAGTAAGTTGTCAGGGCGATAGCAGTCATGTAGTAAGTACCTAAACAAGTGTTAGCTGTTTTTATGTTTACTGATACTGTTGCTGTTTAGTAGCTGCTGCACTCTGCAATTATCTGAGGACGTGTTGCTAAACAACAGACATTAGAATGTGGCTGCTTTGAGTTGAGGTTTTGAATTTGTTTTGGACAACATGAATTTTCTACCCTAGCTCCAGGTCTCTGTGCAGATTACATCACCTCACTATGTCTTGGTTTTCTCATGTCTAAAATTGGAATATTAACAGCACAAAATTTATAGGGCAGATAGGAAGACTATAAAAATGTTATTTCATGTAATGCACTTAAGATAACTGATACATAATAAATAATACTCTATTATTCAGTCTATTATTAAGAATGGCTTTTTTCAAGGTCATATGGGAAATCAAAGGCATAAATGGGGAGTTTGCTCATATCATTATACGAAAAGCTGTTGACCGGCAAGCCTTCAAAAGCTTTCTGACTCCAAAATCCACATTCTTGCCCTTACACCATATTGTCTCTCTTTTTAAGTTGAGGAACATCAGAGCAAAGCCAAGGGCAATATTAGATTTATTTTACTATCATTTCAAACATAATCATTGTGGGGTGCCATATCACTTTTGAAATGTATATGTTTTTAAAAAGAAACAAAAATAGCTATGATAACCAACAACTGCTTGCAAAGTAGATTGTGCTAACCTCTCTACTCCCCATTTGCAAACATATTTGGATTACATCTGGAACAAAATCATTAGTGGCAGGAAGACAGATGTTCTTCAAAGTTCGGGTGTGCATATAGACATCGAATATTTATGTAGATGTTATTTACTCATTTGCTTCTTTACTGTTCCAAAAAGATGGATGTTGAGCTTTCTCAAGATTTATTTCTTCTTTCTTTGGTTCCCAAGGTGACAAATCAAAGTTCACCCCAGGAACTTTCAAAGTATATCATGGTGGGAGAAATCCGTCAGACGTGGAATAATATTAATAACTAACATTGTGCAGATGTCAATCAGCATAGAGTCTTTTCTCAGGAATAATTTAAAGATCTTCTTCAAACCAAAGCAGTATGTATATGGTAAAGAAAACACAGTGCATACTTCCATTAATAGATTGACTAATATAACAAATTTTACTCTAGAGTTTACTTTTAATTATAATTAATGGCAGGTGTGGTGGCTCATACCTGTAATCCCAGCACTTGGGTGGCCAAGGCAGGAAGATCCCTTGATGCCAGGAGTTCCAGATCCGCATGGGCAACAAGGCAAGCCCCTGTCTATACAAAAATTAAAATAAAAAAGGCCGGGAGTGGTGGCTCACGCCTGTAATCCCAGCACTTTGGGAGGCCGAGGCGGGTGGATCACGAGATCAGGAGATCAAAATCATCCTGGCTAACATGGTGAAACCCCGTCTCTACTAAAAAAGAAAAAATACAAAAATTAGCTGGGGGTGGTGGCAGGCACCTGTAATCCCAGCTACTTGGGAGGCTGAGGCAGGAGAATTGCTTGAACCCAGGAAGTGGAGGTTGCAGTGAGCCAAGATTGTGCCACTGCACTCCAGCCTGGCAAAAGAGTGACACTCCATCTCAAAAAAAAAAAAAAAAAAAAATTAGCTAGGCATGGTGACGTGCACCTGTAGTCCCAGCCACTTGGTAGGCTGAGGCAGGAGGATCCCTTGAGTTTCCTTGTGGCCTAGGAGTTCCAGGCTACAGTGAAACGTGATTGCTTCAGCTAACTCCAGCATGGGTGACAGAGCAAGATCCCATTTCTAATATATATATGCATCATATATCTCATATATATATATATATGTACACACGTATATATATATATACACACACACACACACATATATGTATATATATAGTATCAGGTTTATTTTGAAGGCACATACTTAAGGGAGGGAATGCATGCAATATGATTGCCTATGACTAAAAACGTACATAATGTGCTATGGATGATATAAACAAATAGGAAATTTGATGAGGGTAAGTGTAGAAGAATAGGAGGCTATGTCCTTGAGCTATACCTATTTAGAGTGCTATAAAATTCCTGCATTTATTTAATAGAGTATATTGGAATTTGTATCACCTTGAGATAGTTAACTACAGAAAGTGAAAAAAGATTGTATTCTCAAAAGGAACATAATACTTTAGCTATATTGCTTGGTAAAGCCCATTTTGAAGATACCATATGAATTTATTTGTGGACCCTAATCAATATGTGTAATCTCTAAGTCTTCTCTGCTTCTATAGAAAAGAACTAAATTCAAACTCACATAATAAAATGCTTTGGAATCCATGGAAAAAAGAAAGTGGTTAATGTCCAATAGAATGGCTATTATAGATAAAGTGTGTCCCTCCAGAGTTCACAGTCTTAACCCCCATTGTGATAGTATTAGGAGGCAGGGCTTCTGTGAGATCATGAGGGTGAAACCCCCATTAAAGGTAATAGGGCCCTTCTAATAAAGACCCCACAGAGCTCTCTTGCTCTCTTTCTGCTATGTGAGGGCACAAGGAGAAGAGGGCTGTCTGGAAATCAAAAAGAGGACTCTCACCAGGCACCAAATCTGCCAGCACCTGCATCTTGAAATTCCTACGCTCTATAACTTTGAGAAATAAATGCTTGTTGTTGAAGCCACCCCGTCTATGGTATTCTGTTATAGCAGCCTGAACTGATAAGACAGAAGCCAAATCCAAGTATTTATTTGTTTGTTTGTTTTTATTATGCATTACAGGTTTCCTTTGTATATTTTCTCATGCTGTCACTAAATGTAGAGTGTACTTTCCACCCATATCTGCCTGTCTAATGTATTCCAATTTTAAATTTAAGCTGCATTCCCAGCTTAAACTTCACTCCACAGAAAGCTTGCTCCAAATCACTTATTTGAGTTACAGCCTCCTTTATCTTTGTTTTCAAAGCACTTTGTCTATTCTTATATTTTAAGATTTTATAAATTGTATTTGGGTTTTTTGCTCACATCTTCCACAGTCATCTGTAACTTCCTCAAGAAAACAGGCTATGATTTATTCATCTTGCTCAGCATGTCACATGTCACATAGTAGATATTCAAGGAAACCTTGTTGAGATAAAGAATACATCTTTTTGTTTGTCTGTATGTTTAATCTCTGACATCATCTAGCCCAGTGCCCAACATATAAAAGGAACTAAATGACTGTTAGGTAAATATTGATATTTGACCAAAATCAATTTTGCTTGTTTCACAAACGTTATGATTGAAATAAACCTTTTTTTTTTTTTCCAGTTTATCATGATCCAAATCACAAAATTACCCATTTTGGACTTTTGGTTTTTGTCTTTGACTTTCTCACATCTACTTCCACGAGTCCTTTTGTTCCACCGAAACACTTGTTATTCATGGAAAACAATGTCCTACGGTGACTAATTATGTAATAAATGAGAATGACCCAACATGGTCTTTTTCACACGCACTCTAGTACCAAGTGTTTTCTCTTGTAATCCACTGCACTCAAAACACAAAATAATTGTATTAACTGGGGGCTGTTGAGGGTATTTTTTTTTATTTAAAAGAAATGTTAATTTGTTATTAAATCTCTTGTTGAAAGACTAATAGCTTAATGAATGCATTAAATGTGTACAAATTAGTTTTTTTTTCTGAATGCATTACTTAGTTTCAGATTGAAAGGGGGTGATACATCATCGTCATCTCTGCGGGAATTAATGAGGCATTAGGCCATCTCCTGTCATGGAGGCCAGACTTACGAACGATTCGCTGTATTGCACATGCAAGCCTTGTCCTATCCTCTCTCTCCACCCACCGCATACATCTTTTCTGGGCTTTCTGCTTCTGCAGCCTAAGCTTTGGTACTTGAAATACAAATGCCAGCTCACCATCAGTTTGGAAGTGAAAAGTAGTCTATTGCAAGTGACAAATGTTGTTTACCGTTACTGGAAAACAGGGTGGAACAATGAGTGCATATATTAACATCACAGGGGATGGGTTTGGTAGTCATTCAATTGCTATCTTGCCCTGTGAAGACACATAACCTCTCTCCATTTCCCTCAATCACCCACTCACTCTCAGACATCTACATTAAAATAAAGAGCCTAAGGCAAAGCAAGCTATCTTAACTATAATAAGTGACAAGGTGTTCTCCACTCAACAGCTTTTCTCACCAGCTCTCAATCTCTCCCCATCACAAGCACAGCTTTCTCTGCCTGCATCTTTTGATACATTTGCCTAATCCTGCAGTTCCCAAATCAGCAGTTCCAAACCTCCATGAACAAGCAGCATTTAAAAGCCTTCAGTTTAATTCAATGACATAAAGTATGTCTTACTTGCATTTATTTTTATAATTAGCAGGTATGACATTTAATTCTGTTTCAAGAATCTTTGAGAAATTTTCAGTGTATCTTGAGATAATTGAAGATGTCACGGCCTATTCAAAAATCAGAGGTGAAGATCACTGGTATAGACATTAGATTAAGCATAGTAATAACATCTGTGCAGGACATGGAAACATTATAACAATGTTCACCAATATTTCTTTTACACTAAAGAAACAATGTTTCATGCTGCAGGGCTTCTTTAAAAAGATTTGTTCTCCCTTGTATAAATACTGCCCACCCCATGGAACATCATTTTTCTTACCTGCCCAGCTAGAATCACAAAACTTCAGGCACCGATCTATGTCTCTCACTAGCCACCAAATTTGCCCGTTGTCTTCCATTCCTATTTTCAGTTCATACTTTACACTTAATGCAGGTTGGTCCCTATTTTATGACATAAATCCCATTCCAGCAATTCTCTCTCAGCAGCTTTGGGTAATTTGCCTTCAGCTTTGGTATAAGTTCATTCTCTTTTGCCATATTGGTCCTTAGAAGCAGATTTGGGATAAGTGTGTCCACGACCATTATCAATGACATAGTTAATATTGAGTAATCACACACTCTTTATCCAACTAATGGTTCTTTTTTAAAAATAGGAACATGCTTTATTAATTAACATTCTTTTTGTTGTAAGCAACAGAAACCTATTGCCTAGTCTATTAGATTAAAAGGAAACTAATTTATTAGAAGGAAAATGGGGTAGTTCAGAGCATGGAAAACTGGATGGAACAATCTTCAATCTTAGGAGTCAGGGCAGATCCCAGAACCTCAGCAACTTTAGCTCTTGGATCTTCTTTTAGAGCTCTGCCAATACTGTGACTACATTTCTGAGACGCGTAGAAAGCGTGTCTTCAGAATTTCACCTGCCAACCTCAGAATATGTATCTATAACTTGATCAGTAAAATTTAGCAAAGGGCCGGGCACGGTGGCTCATGCCTATAATCCCAGCACTGTGGGAGGATCACTTGAGGTCAGGATTTCAAGACCAGCCTGGCCAACATGGTGAAACTCTGTCTCTATTAAAAATACAAAAAAATTTGCCGGGTGTGGTGGTGGGTGCCTGTAATCCCAAATACTTGGGAGGCTGAGGCAGGAGAATCACCTGAACTCTGGAGGCGGAGGTTGCAGTGAGCAGAGATTGCACCATTGCACTCCAGTCTAAGCAACAGGAGCGAAATTCTGCCTAAAAAAATAAAATAAAATGTGGCCAAGGAAAGAGAGCATCGCTCAGTGGAGACAAAGATTTTGAGGCCTATTCAATTTGAATTGGGGACTTTGACAGAGAAAAGAGCAGTATACTGAATGCACCTATTTGAGAAGCATAAACCAAATCTTTCCTTTCAGTAGCCTTGGAAGTTCCACACTTCAGCTAACACACACATCCCTCTCCACCATCATGGATCCAATTTCTTAACCATTGCATTTAATGTATAAAAATAGCAGTGCCCAAATGAAGAAACTTTCTTACTCAAATTGGGAAACAAGAACTAATTGGACATGGAAAATCCTATTTCTTACTTTGTTATTCCTCCTCCCCCAATTAATATAAATAGAAAGATAGGCCTGGTGCGGTGGCTCACACCTGTAATCCCAGCACTTTGGGAGGCTGAGGTGGGCGGATCACCTGAGGTCAGGAGTTCGAGACCAGCCTGACCCACATGGAGAAACACCATCTGTACTAAAAATACAAAATTAGCCAGGCTTGGTGGCGCATGCCTATAATCCCAGCTACTTGGGAAGGCTGAGGCAGGAGAATCGCTTGAACCTGGGAGGCGGAGGTTTCGGTGAGCCGAGATTGCGCCACTGCACTCCAGCCTGGGCAACAAGAGCAAAACTCCGTCTCAAAAAAAAAAAGAAAAAAGAAAGAAAGAAAGAAAGAAAGAAAGAAAGAAAGAAATAAACACTAACATGTATGAGGTAATTGTCAAGGTATTGGATAAGGTCTTACATCTATGAAACTCTGAAAATCAACTGATATTCCTTTCAGAGTATCCTTTTAGAAAAATCAGCTGTCCTGGCCGGGCGCGGTGGCTCACGCCTGTAATCCCAGCACTTTGGGAGGCCGAGGCGGGCGGATCACGAGGTCAGGAGATCGAGACCATCCCGGCTAAAACGGTGAAACCCCGTCTCTACTAAAAATACAAAAAATTAGCCGGGCGTAGTGGCGGGCGCCTGTAGTCCCAGCTACTTGGGAGGCTGAGGCAGGAGAATGGCGTGAACCCGGGAGGCGGAGCTTGCAGTGAGCCGAGATCCCGCCACTGCACTCCAGCCTGGGCGACAGAGCGAGACTCCGTCTCAAAAAAAAAAAAAGAAAAATCAGCTGTCCTGCAAGTAATCAGAAAAGTATCTTCACTTGAATAGTAAATATTGTGAATTGAATAAAAATGTTTCTAATATGTAAATATTGCTTCCTCATGTTTCATTGATGTATTTTAGTGCTTCTCCTCTAATTATAAATGTAACATAGGCTGGGCTATGTAATTACTCATGTAATCCCAGCACTTTGGGAGGCTGATGGGGTGGGGGTGGGTGGGTCACCTGAGGTCAGGAGTTCAAGATCAGCCTGGCCAACATGGCGAAACCCCGTCTCTACTAAAAATACAAAAAATTAGCTGGACGTGGTGGCTCACGCCTGTAGTCCCAGCTACTTGGGAGGCTGAGGCAGGAGGATCACTTGAACCTGGGAGGTGGAGGTTGTAGTGAGCCGAGATCACGCCACTGCACTCCAGTGTGTGCAACAGAGTAAGACCTATCTCAAGGAAAAAAAAAATACAATGATACATACTGTTCTAAAACATGTATTTTTATTATTATACATTAATAATAATACATTGTTATGTATATTAGTCATAAATTAATTGGAATATTTAGAGGAGCAAAATCAATAAAACACCAACAATTCTATCACCCAGTGTTGACTTCTTTTAACAATGTGGTATACATTCTTTTAGATTTACTATAAAATGATTTTAATGTCTGCAGACCACTCCACTATATGGATGTATTTGAATCTACTTAATAATTTTTTCTCATTGAATATCTAGCTTATTTTCAATTTTCTTATCAGTAACACCATTGCAATGATTTGTTTTATGCAAATTCTGTACATATTCTTTTTCTAATAATTTTTTTCCAGTTTGAAAAAAGTGGAAATTTTTGTTCAGGATACATGGATTTTTAAGTCGCCTCTTAATACACATACCTGTATTTGTTTTCAAAGATTTTTCTGCATGTATTATCTCATTTAATTTTCTCAATTGTACTGTGAGGGAGGCAAGTGAGGTATCATTATCCTTTCTCACAAGTGGGAACACTGAGATTACAAGCGTTCTGCCCAGATCATGCAACACTTAAGTGACAAAGCCAGGCATCTATTTCAGGTCCTTCTTCTCCAATTATTTTTTAAACACAGATGTGCTGCTGTCAGAGTAAAGGTCCATTTCTAATCCTAAAAGAAAAACATGGCATAATAAGAGAGCTACGCTTATTGTCTACCTATTCTGTACCAGGCACTCTGTTAGACATTTTAGATACATGTTCTCATATAATCCTCACAGCAAACTTATGTGATTGGTTTTATTGTCTCCTTTACAGATTACAGAACAGAGGATTAGTAAGGTTAAGTAACTCCTTCAAGGACACAGATAAAAGGTGGAGCAAGGATTTCAACTCCAATTCTGAAATGCATGCTTTTTCTTAAGCTATGCTCCTTAATTATAAAATGCTAACCAAAATGGATTTTCTTCCATTAAAACCAATGTCTGAATGAGCTTTGCTGTCATTGAGTTTGAGAGAGTGAGAGAGAGGCAGAGAAAGAGAGAGAGAGAGAGAGAGAAAGGGAAGGAAACAGAGAGAGAGAGAGAGAGGTGAATATTGTAGAATAAAAGCAAGGTCAGGGAGAATTTTTTCAAGGTCGAGCACAGAATCAGCCAAGGTTGAAAAGGAAAACTCTAAGCCCCCCACATCCTCTGACTGCACTGGAGGCCGAAAGAGAAAAGGAAAGAGAGCTGGAGATAAACTGTATGAGGCACAGTACATGTTGTACTAATAAATGTTTAACAGCCAGAGTGGAGAGGGTAGTGATTTGTAGTGCTTACCAATCTCCTTGGTGTAAATACTCCCGCAAGGGCTGATTTCCATCTACCATCAAGCTTGTAACACCAAGAAGGGTGATTTTGTATAAACTTTCATGATTGGATTTTCATGAATGCAATTCTGTTGGGTCTCAGAGAGGCAATTCTTGGAATTTGACATTTGTTACAATGAAAAATTAATAAATAATGCTTGAATCTTTATTTCATAATTTATATCAGGAGATATGCTAAGCACTAGGGAAAGTGAGTTAAACCAGATATAGCTGTAACCTGAAAAAAAAAAATCTTGCAGGCTAGTAGTGAGAAGGACATGTAAACAATTTAATGTGATATATGAGTAATAAGAGAAGCATGGCCTCAAAATGGTGATGATATATTAGCATATTAAAATGATCAGCTCCACTCCAGAAGGCCATCTGATTCTTTTGCACTTTGGTCTATAAATTTGGCCCCATTGTGACATTGCACAATCTACAGTAATCAAGAAAAATACTGTAAATAGCCGGCATTGAGTAAGTGATCTGCACAAAGATGTCTTACGTCTCAAGCAATGGGGTTCCCTTCGGTCTCCCCACTTCTACTGACAAACATGCAATGTAATGACATTCTCAGTGGCTCTTCCAACTGTATTACACTTGTAGATAAAGACTGAAACTATTTTTAGATACTTAAAAAATTACCAAGAGAGGCACTTTCATCATTTATTAATATGCAGGCTCTTTATTTTTATTTATTAATGAAGTTTAGAAAATGTTTCTTGTACAGCATCAAGTGGCTTTCTTATAAAAATAAAATAGGACTAATACAGGCTCCAACAGTCTTTTCCAATCTAGTGTTCACCTTTGTAATATACAGCTCTTCTCCTGAGAATCACAAAATACAATTACTGTTTTGATGCTTCTGAGCACCAGCAAAGGCAACTGAGTTAAATTCACAAGACTAAGATAATTAGGCAAAGTCTTAAGTATTTCATTTATTTGAAAAAAATTGGGTGTATTTCTCATTTATTGAGGCTGTTCAAGACAGGACTTGATAATAATTTGACAGAAAAGTTTTTTAAGCATTGGGGGTGGAGGGGATGGGTTAAACTTAATCAGTGTTTCCCAGGCTATATTCTGGAAACTGGAAAAATTTAAGAGATGTGGCACAGAAGAAAGGAATACTATTCAAATAAGTTTGGGAAACACTGTATTTTATCTAGAACTCTGTCTGAGAGTTTCACAATATGTTTAGATGTAATAAAGGATCTGAAAAGTTCTTAAGAAACTAGTTTAAATTGGCCGGGCACCGCGGCTCATGCCTGTAATCCCAGCACTTTGGGAGGATGAGGCAGGTGGATCATGAGGTCAGGAGTTCAAGACCAGCCTGTCCAACATGGTAAAAACCCTGTCTCTACTAAAAAAAAAAAAAAAAAATACAAAAATACAAAAATTAGCCGGGCAGTGGTGGCTGGCACCTGTAATCCCAGGTACTCAGGAGGCTGAGGCAGGAGAATAGCTTGAAACCAGAAGGCAGAGGTTGCAGTGAGCCGAGATCATGCCACTGCACTCCAGCATGGGCGAAAGAGTGAAACTCTGTCAGAAAAAAAAAAAAAAAAGAAAGAAAGAAAGAAAAGAAAGAAAGAAAGGAAAGAGAAAGAAAGAAAGAAAGAAAGAAAGAAAGAAAGAAAGAAAGAAAGAAAGAAAGAAAGAAACTAGTTTAAATCGATTAGCTTCAGATTTTCCAAATTGTCGAGTTTCAGAGAACTTGTTAAAATCAGGGGACTATTAACTTACAACATATTCTTGCATCTCACAAAGCATCAAGTTATGCTAACTATGAACTAGAATATCATTAAAGTTTATTTTAACATTAATACTTTGTCTTCACCAGTTTCACATTCTATTAAGATAATAGTTCAACCAATATAAAGTTACCTATAGCCATAGTAAATTTAAGTGGAATATCAGCCTTTCTTACCTTTTTTTACCTAGTTAGTCTAGCTCATTGTTCAGATCTCAGTGTAATCAATACTTCCTCAGAGGAACATTTTTACTCTGTGTAGCCCTTTCAGGACACTTAAAATTAATTTGTATCATTATCTGATTAATAAATTTCTCCTAGTTGTAAGCTGAAAATGCCATGACAAAATAGAGTTTATTTTGGCCAAAAGTTGTATTTACCATGGCTAATATGATGGCTGTCCAGCATACAATTTGCTTAATAAATATTCATCAAATGCTTAAAGAATGAAGCATCTCCTAGAAATTTAAGGATACTTCCCTCTCAATGTCTAAGTTCTATCTTGGGCAGAATATGTTAATGACTTAAATCAAGGCTAGAAGACGTGTTTATCAATTTTTTTTTTTTTTTGTAATTAACACAAAGTTTGGAAAGTGGGTAGGGAATGATGAACGAGGGAGCAAAGCAAGTCTCCTCAGGCTGGGTCAATGGGCTGGATCCCTAAATGCAGCCTTTAATAAGGATAGATGGTTGGCCTGCAAAAACAAAACCCCATGGAAGAATTCCAGTATGAGGAAAACAAGGCGTTATGGCATAAGATATTTTCTTCTAAAACAAAACACACACACATACTGACACACACAGAGAAACAAACTGTCACTGATAGCTCAATATCCATCAAGAGTGAGCTATTACTAACACAAATGTATGTTAACTCAGACTATATTAAGAAGTAAAACATCAAGATTTGGGAACTTAGAATTACAGCATAATGCTTCAGAGTGTAGACTCTTGAGGTGGACTTTCAAGATTTGAATTTTGTATCTCCTGCTTCCTAGCTACACGACTTTGAGGTAATTACTTAATATTACTGGATCTAGGTTTCCTCATCTGTAAAATGAGAACCTACCTCAAAGTCGTTATGAAGATTCAAATAGTTAACAGAGTCAAGAAGCTAATCTCAGCTATTCTTATTAGTCATAATAGTAAGATTAGTACTATCACTGATGCAGGAATTCTGTTTTGAGTTTGCACAAGAGGACTCAGTTAAAGGGGGCATTAGAAGGCAGTATAGTATATTTGTCAGCTGTACATACTCTGGTGTTAAGGAGACTTGGATTGAAATCCCTTGCATGCTGCTTACTAGTGAACTTAGGTTGCTGAACCTACTTCTGCCCTTACTTCATTCTTTATTCGGGTTAACTGAAAGAAGTAAATGGGAGGCACCTGAGAATCGCTTAGTTCTGTGTCCATAATAAGTGCCGAAACCCAACAGCAAGTGAGAATCTCAAAGGGAAATGAGAAGATGATTGAAAAAAAGAAGCCAAGCAAGAAATCTAAGACAAGACAAAGAACAATGTCCCCAGTATTTTAAAACACTGGAGGGGCAAAGAGAAAAGTGGGCTACAACTTGAGGTCTCACCAAATAGGTATAAGCTACAGAGAGGCACATCTCAAGGTTAGTTCATTAAGAAAATAAAAATTAATAATTAACAATTTCAAGTAGTCATAGCTACCCCTAAACAGGATAGGAAGCCTTAGAAGATATTAAGTTTTTACTACAGAAATTGCTTATGATTACACTGCACAACAATGTGTAGGAGTTAAACTACATATTCGAAAGTTCCTCCCAACACTCTGTATCTATAGTTCTGAACATCCCATTAATAGTCATACGTTAATGTCCCTTTGTTCCTAAGTGCTCTGACTCAGTTGATCTTAACATGGAAAGAGAGACAGGTGAATAGGAAAGACCAGGGAAATTGATTTTCTTTCCTTAAAGCAAATTTCCATTTCACCACCTATTGCTCATAAACACCTGCATACATTTCTGAACATCCCAACACATGCCTGGGATGCTCTTACTCATTAGCGGGTTGGGATACTGACACGGATTCATTGCCACATTAGTACTGCATGTTGTGCTAACTCTATAGAGTATCTTCCATTCTGGAAGTCTGTGCAAATAACATCAAAATGCCACACTTCTAAGGTGACAGGGGGCAACGATGCTTAAAAATGTTAAATCTCTTTTTAATTTGAAAGGGAGATTTCCTTGATGTTGAGGTGAAAGCAGGAAAAAGCAAGGAAACAAAATGCAAATGTCAGGGCAGGATTTTCCCTTCACGCAGGGTAAAAGACAACATTTAAAGGAAGATTTAAAACATTTAAAGATTCAAAACATGTAAAATAAACGCGTGGAAGCTGGAAATACTCCTCATGGAAGCTGGTAATACTCCTCATAAGAGTTGATTGAATCATGATAAGTAAAATATAATAGCAATATCGGTTTTCTTCTTAAGGTACAACAGGCACTATGCTATGAACTTCACCTACATTGTCTCAAGTTTTCATCATGCAAGTGTCAGGATTTTCAATATTATTTTAAAGATGAGGAAACTGAAGTTTGGAGAAGGGAAGTTGCTGAAAATCACAAAGCCCAGATGGAGTCCAACCAGGATTCAATATCAGTTACCTTTCTTTCTTTCTTTTTCTTTCTTTTCTTTTCTTTTCTTTTCTTTTCTTTTCTTTTCTTTTCTTTTCTTTTCTTTCTTTCTTTCTTTTTCTTTCTTTCTTTCCTTCTTTCTTTTTTTCTTTCTTTCTTTTCTTTTTCTTTCTTTCTTCCTTCCTTTCTTTCTCACTCTTTTCCTTCCTTCCTTTCTTTCTCTCTCTTTTCCTTCCTTCCTTTCTTTCTCTTTTCCTTCCTTCCTTCCTTCTTTCCTTCCTTCCTTCCTCCTGCCCTCCCTTCCCTCCTTCCTTCCTTCCTTTCTTTCTCGGAGTCTTGCTCTGTCACCCAGGCTGGAGTGCAGTGGCACAATCTCGGCTCAACGCAGCCTCTGCCCCACCAAGTTTCCAGTGATTCTCCTGCCTCAGCCTCCCAAGTAGCTGGGATGACAGGCGCCCACCACCATGCCCAGCTAATTTTTTTTTCTTCTATTTTTAGTAGAGACAGGGTTTCGCCATGTTGGCCAGGCTGGTCTTGAACTCCTGACCTCAGGTGATCCACCCATCTTGGCCTCCCAAAGTGCTGGAATTACAGGTGTGAACCATCTTGCCTGGCCTCCCCCTCAAAATTCTATAATATTCTTATTTTAAATGACTTTCTCCCCTTCATATCCCCCCTTGTCTAAAGAACCATGCAAGTGTACATACCACCATCATAGCATTTAGGTCTCCTGTGACTTACAGTTAGTTGGAACACAAACTCCTTTAATAATGAATGCCTCAACCAAATGATGGTCATTTTTATGTTCTTCAGGCCTAGGTCGGGCGCAGTGGCTCACGCCTGTAATCTCAGGACTTTGGGAGGCTGAGATGGGTAGATCACCTGAGGTCGGGAGTTTGAGAACAGCCTGACGAAACATCCATCTCTACTAAAAATACAAAAAAATTAGCTAGGCTTGGTGGCACACACCTGTAGTCCCAGCTGCCTGGGAGGCTGAGGCAGGAAAATCACTTGAACCCCCGGGAGCAGAGGTTGCAGTGAGGCGAGATCATGCCACTGCACTCCAGCCTGGGCGACAGAGTGACTCCTTCTCAAAGATCAAATAAAATAATTAAAAATATATATATTATTCAGGCCTAGTCCTTAGAAATAATACTTGTCCATAGACTAGCACATAGAAATAATATCATTAATATTTATAATATATGAATAACTGCTAATGTTTATCAAGAGGTTAGCATATGTCAGATTCTATTCTAAGCACTTTTCACGCACTAATTCATTTAACAGTATAAGAAACCAATGCAGTAGGTATAATTATATCCATTATGCAGAACATTTAAGTACCTTAGATACTCAATTACGTGAACATTTCTTTTCTTATCCTTGCAAACTGCTATAATTTTACTCTAAAGTTTTGCTCACCTCTTGCCTTCTGTCTCTTCCAAACCATCATTTACAAGGCTTCCAGAATTATCTCATAAAAGCCAAGGTTACATCAGGCCATTCCCCTGATGGTCCCATTTTCTGCAAGAAAGAGTCCAAGCTCCTTAGTCTGTCCATTCAGCGCTTCTTAATCTGACCTCAGCCTGTCTTGCATGTGTGTTTCCACCCTCCTTCATTTGCCCTGTGCCCTAAATCACCTCTGGAGAGCTCAGATCTCTAAGCTAAGTTTAATGATGTTCTTCATCTCATAACATCCTTTCCTGAACTTGTGTGCTGAAACAAAGCAAATATTCCACTGAAGCCTGATTATACATAGGCCAACTGAACATCATGTCCTACCTGGAATGCTGAAATAGTCTTCGGCCTGATTTTTCTACTTCTACACTTGACCCTGCCCTCCCAGAAAGGTCCTCAACTGTAGCCTAAGAGAACATTTTTTGAAAAGTAAGTCAAACACAATTTACCTATGTAACAAGCCTACACATGTTCCTCTAGACCCTAAAATAAGAGTAGAGGAACAAAAAAATTCAAATCATGTCACTGCCCAGCTCAGATCTATGACTGGCTTCTCATATAATCGGAATAATATCCATACTCCTTACTTTGCCCTCTAAGACCCTACGTGGTTTGCCTCATGCCTTCCCTTTCGCCTCCTCTTCTCTGTGCTTCTTGTTCATTCTTGTCAACTATGTGGTTATTCCTGTTATTTTGAGACCACGAGCTCACTCATTGCTCATCCATTGTTGCTTCAACAGTCTTCTACTTATTCTCCAACCTGGACTTTTGGTTAGATCTCTCCTTGACGTTATTCACATCCATGCTCAAATATTATGCTTTCAAGATAGGACTTCTCTGGTCTCCGTATTTTGAATGTTCCCTGTTCTTCCATATATTCACTAATTCCATACTGGTTTATCTTTCTTCATAACATTTCTGCCACTTGAAATCATAGTGTATACTAATTTGTATATTTCTTTCTAGACTGCCTTCACACTCATAAGTTCTAAGCTTTATTAGATTTAAGGATTTGGCCTATTTTATTCTTTGTGTTTTCTTAGCAAATGATACTGGGTGCATCCTAAGTGCACCAGCATGGCACATGTATACATATGTAACTAACCTGCACAATGTGCACATGTACCCTAAAACTTAAAGTATAATAAAAACAAACAAACAAACAAACAAACAACAAAAAAAAAGAATTGTTGAATGAATGCTGGTCCATGGAATTTTTCCCTTTACTCTAAGACAAATTATGTGTTCTTTATCACTTTGCTTCTCCTCAATGGATAGTGTTGGCTAATTCATACCCCTCAGTTCATGACAAATGTTTATGATCCATCCTTACAAAGATATGTTTCTATATTATTTATTTTATTCCCATGTGCCCCCATTTCCCTCTCCACATCACAGGGTTTAATGAGTACCCTTTTGTATTAGTCTGTTCTCACACTGCTAATAAAGACATACCTGAGACTGGGTAATTTTTAAAGGAAAGAGGTTTAATTGACTCACAGTTCCACATGGCTGGGGAGGCCTCACAATCATGGTGGAAGGGGAATGAGGAGTAAAGTCACATCTTACATGGTGGCAGGCAAGAGAGCTTGTGTGGGGTAACTCCCCTTTATAAAACCATCAGCTCTTGTGAGACTTATTCACTATCACAAGAACAACATGGGAAAGACCCATCCCCATGATTCAATTACCTCCCACTGGGTCCTTCCCATGACACATGGGAATTATGGGAGCTAAAATTCAAGATAAATTTTGGGTGGGGACACAGCTAAACCATATCAGCTTTTGTTTATATGAATTTTTGTATGTATGTTATTATTTTGTAGTTAACATATTTTTAATATGTATAAATGAAAACAGTATGATTCTCATTCTATTTGTCCTGTTTTCTGGACCCATCCATGTTACTATGTGCACATCTAGTATGTAGTGTCTCCTGACCTTCTGGTTCTCCATTGGACAGCTGACATATCTTAACCTGCCTCATTCTCCAAGGAGGTGCTCCCACACTCCTTGCAACAAATCCTACAATGAACACCTTTTACTCATCCCTTTGTGTAGGTCCATGAAAATTCTTTCTTTCTTTTTTTTTTTTTTTTTTTTTTTTTGAGACAGAGTCTCACTCTGTCACCCAGGCTGGAGTGCAGTGGCACAATCTCAGCTCACTGCAACCTCTACCTCTTGGGTTCAAGCAATTCTCCAGCCTCATCCTCCCAAGTAGCTGGGAATACAGGCACATGCCACTGTGTCCAGCTAATTTTTGTATTTTTAGTAGAGACCGGGTTTCACCATGTTGGCCAGGCTGGTCTCGAATTCCTGACCTCAGGGAAGATTTGTGGAATGGGACTATTTCTACACTTAATCTGACTAGGCATAGTTGCAATGCTCTCCAGAATGCCTATACATCTATTCTACAACCAGTGGTGCATGGTGGCTTCCTATCCTCATATCTCTGACAACATTTTCCATGATTGAGCTTTCTAATTACTTTTTCAATGCACTTTCCACATTATGGCACATTATGGTGCACAGTACTTCATGTTATCTGGTCACCATCTCTGTCATTGCTGTATGCTGTGCCTCCTAAGGGTGGGGTTACACTGTTATTTTTGTATTCCAAATACAAAAAGTCTAGTCCAGTGCCTGTCACAAAATGTGGACTTAATAGAATGCGTTAAATGAAAGAGTAAGCTATATTTCTTCACTTTAGCTCAGCCCCATCTAGAACATGTATTCACTTTAAAACTGCTATATGCCAAATGTTGTTTTAGATGATACAGATGCATTTTTTTCTAAATCTTTGAGTAAGTTTCTATTCTCTTCTACATATGAGGAAACTGAGGCTAAGCCTCAGTTTTAACATCACAGCTGAGGTGGTTCAAGCACGGGGTTTGAATGCAGATCTGAGTGACTAGAAAGCCAAAGCCATCCCCCTCATTTTTCTGTTTATGTTGATGGATTCTCATGGTAATAAGATAAATGAATCAAGTAGAATTTGTTTTTATATTTTTATATAAGTACTCTCTCTCTCCCCTACAAGTAAGATGAGATTTTCTCTGTGCCATAAACCACAACTCCTGAACTCTATGAAATAACAATATCCCACATTCAGGACGTGTTTAAAGTCACCACCACTCGCAATAATCCTTGGCATTTAGGAACACATTTTTTTTTTTTTCTGGAGAGTTTCTTCTTTAGGGATATCAACACAACTAGCTGTTAATCTGGACATAAAATCCTTGCTTATCTATAGAACCCTAAGCTAGAGGATTTTTTAAATGTCTGGTTGAAGTATATCAAATCCATGTATATATGTTAATTTCTTACTTTGTGCTGGACACTGCTAAATTCTGACAAATGATGATGAATAGGGCAAACATAGTCTGTTACTTCAGAACTCACCAAAGGATATGAGCATGCAGAAAAGGTAGAGACAAAACTAACAGAGAAGAAGTGATAGGGCAAAATGTGAAAACATTACAGGGACACTTAACCCAGCCCTGGAGCAAGGGAGACTTTTGGAAGTAAATGATGGAGATTAATAGGAGAGGAGACAAAGGTGGAAGAAGACAAAGGTGGAGGAAGAAGAAAAAGTGTATTCTAAGAAAAGAGAATGGAGTGTGCAAAAGTCCAGAGGGGAAAAAAAGCCTTGTGTATGCAAGGAAGTAAAAGAAGTTGAACAAGGCTGGAGCGCAGATTGTAAAGCGAAGGGGAAACTCTTACAGTTAAGACTGGACAGCTCAGCAGGGTCCAGGTCACACTGGCTGATTATAAAGTGATTTTAATCTATGTCTGAGGACAGTGGAGACCTATTCGATGGTTAGCAAAGCAAGAAAATGACATGTTCAGATTCGTGTTTTGGAAGATTCTCTTGGCCACAGAAAAAAATAAGATTAAAAGTGGGAATGGGGATAGGAGTTGATACTAGAGGTAAGAGGACCACTTAAATGTTTATTGCAGTGATGCAGGGGAGTGATAATGATGTGGACAAGAACAGATGGGATAGAACTAACTGAGTAACATAGTAAGATAAACCTAGGGACTGATTGGATAAAGGTGGGGAGAGTTAAGGACCATGCCTAGTGCTCAATATTAATCCCCTCACACGCCATAGAATGTAGATTCTATGTTCGTGGTCTCTGTGATGAGCTTTCTGAAAGGCACTTCAGCTAACTCCTAAAAGTACAAAGCACAGCACATTTCTAGGACAGGAAAGGTAATCAAATTAATTTTTTTGTGCTCAGCTTTCATTTTAACTTCTTATTGAACCTGAGTCCGTGATGTTTGAACTTCTAAGAGTTTGCTTCTGGTTCCTGTTTCCTTCCAACTCAAATCAATAGAGCAAATGGTGAGTGAAGGCAATCAACCTTTAGTCAGGATGGTTTAGCAAGACAGTTATTGCAGAGAGTTTCTGTTTTCCTGATCTTGGATCTTTTCTTTGTGGGACCTTCACTAGTACCACCTCATGACCTCTTTCTCTGACTCATTCTCCCAACAGAAGTTGGAATGAATTATTCGATTGGTGAATTCGAAAGGAGAAATAGAGTATGTATGTGTTAATTGCTAACATTTTCAACATCTCCAAAATACCACATTGACTTCTCTAGATGAGGTAGTTCAGATGAGTTCACAACTCTCTGGAAAAGGGTCCTTTTCAAAGCTTATTTTTATATAGTCAATTGTACCGTTATTCTTTTCCTATTGTCTTCTATTTACATTTTCTTTTAAATTTCTCTTTCTCTCTCTTTTTATTTTTGCTCTCTCACCTTTTTGTCTCACTCATGTCTCCTTTAACTGGATTCTTATTCCTTTGTTTCAACATTAAAAATACCAATTTTAGTGATTATTTTAAAACCATTTTGTGTTTTTAATACACACACTCTCTGACCCTCTCCCGACCCCCTCCCATTCTCTCAGAAGAGATCTGAAAGATGGCATATCTATTAATTAACAAGTCTCGCTTTGTCATTCTAACTTACTTCAGAATCAGTGTTAATTTATAAATAACTATCTAGTTTTGTAAAAATGACTAACTGGGAAATATCCAAACATTCAAGATCTTCCTTCCCAAGCCAATTATACATCTTTTATAGTAATTTTCATTACGTCCATATTTAAACCTGCTAACCCTGCCCTGAAGCCAAATCAGCCTGTGGAGAATCTAAGATGTCCTAGAATGTTTCCTGGAATGTCTTTCTATTTTTGTGTTCTTGTGCATCTGTCATTACTAACAAGAAGAAGCTCAAAACACACGGTTTCCAAGAAGCTGCCCTTGATATACTTACATATTTATATACTGTGTTGCTCCAAACATTTTTATTCTATACAAAAACCTCACTAAACATTTTCTACTTCTTCTAAAATTCTCCCCATATCCACAGTTTTAAAATCAATCACTCTATCTATCTATCTATCTATCTATCTATCTATCTATCTATCTATCTACCTACCTATCCAATTTATCTATCAATTGAGAGTAGAACAAATTATTTCCTTTTTAGAAGACTTACATCAGGCTCAGGAATCATTAAGCTTACAGTCTGGGTCAGGGATGATGTAGGAATGATTGTCTCTCCCCACAGTTCAGGGAAGTATACATGTACTTGCTCTAATAAAGCCTATATTGGTTTTATAACCAATCATATTAGGTTCTTGGCTTTGATTGCTCTGGGTTTGATGTTCACTAACTCAAGAGCAGAATTCAGTAACCATTTATCACATTTCTCTTTGGTCTTATTGTTAGACATGATGCAGAATTATAATAAAATATAATAAAAATACTTTTACATTTGCATCTGGTTAAACTATAACCATTCTACTTCTGTTCCATTAATGATTTCAACTCCCATTAGTGTCTATACTTTCACAGGTACCATGTCCTTTATTTATTTTACATCTTCCAACACAATTCATTTGGCATTCCGTACTCAGTAAGTGATCAATACGTGCTTGTTAACTGAGTTAGTGAGAAATTGAGTCCTTGGCATCTGCCCTTGCAAAGGAGAAACATTTCCCACCCAGAAAGTGTGAGGAAAAGAAATCTAGAGAGAGAGAGACTATTTGGAACCTTGGCAACTCACATGTTGTCATATTGCTTCAGAGTCCTGCGCCCTGTGTTTAGGGAGTAAGGAAAAAGGATGATCCAACCTCTGATCAAGGACAAATGACGGCAAGGAATCCTCAGAGCAGCAAACAGGAAAGTTGATGCTAGACAGAAGTTCAATCTCCCAGGGAATCTCAGGCATTGGAAGCTATCCTCGTTGTCTGGGCTCTCTAGAGCCACTGACATGGGAAATTCAAATGTTAGAAGACACAAGTTCAGAGCAACATTTGTCATAGGTGGCTATTTCTGCCACAATTACCCGTGGCTCCCAGACTCATCATTTGTAATTAAAGTAGGGGTGTTTGACATTTTCCATCATTGCAATTTCTGCTACCCTATGACCAAATGACATGGCACCCCTTGAGCCTTGATGACGGGCTGAGAAAGAAAGATCCCTTGGTTTTAGACCACTCAGCCTGCGTGGCCTACAAGTAACCATTTGTCATTATCTTCCACCATTTCATTACCTGCACTGCACTGCCACCTCCATGCTTCTGCTCATGGTTTTTCTTCTGTTTCATAAGCCCCACATCACTACATTTCTCATCTCTTAAGGCCTATTTTTTTAAAACTTATTCTCTATGAATCCAGGTAGCAGAATGTAATGATTGCCAGTGTGAACATAAGAGGCAGGCTTCTGGGATTAAAATTCCAGCTCCCTTACTCACTAGCAATATGACCTTAGGCAAGTTAGCCTCTCAGCCTCAGTTTTCTGGAAGTAGACTATTATGTGCATACGAATTTACCTTCCTCATGGATGTGATCGGGAATAAATGATTATGTGTGTATGTCTATATGTGCATTTACACATGTTTATTTCTGTATCTATTATTATGTGCATACTAATTTACCTTCCTCATGGATGTGATCAGGAATAAATGATTATGTGTGTGTGTCTATATGTGCATTTACATATGTTTATTTCTGTATATATGTACACACCCATATACACATACAAACTTAAAATAGTGCCTGACATTTACTAAATCTTAATAAATGCTGGGTGTTTGCTATTATCGCTCTTTAATTTCTTACTGTTGAAATCCTTATAGTTTTTGTGTTGTTCTCTCTGTCTCTCTGTCTCTCTCTCTCCCCCTCCCTCCCTCTCTGTCTCCCTCCTTCCCTCCCTTCTTCTTCCTTCTCTCTCTCTCTTTTTCTCCCTCTATTTATTTCTCACTTCTCATATACATTAGTTTGTAGTGTAGCCTTGAAGTCATGGAATTTATAAATATCACCGAAGTGGTATTAGTATTAAAACCTCATTCTCAAAATAAGTCTTCAAAAAGGTGACTCACATGTAAACACAGACTAGCTGAGGCAATACGCTCACCTTGTGTGTTCTTTCTTTCCTGCTCAGCCTCTTGAATTGTCTTTGCCCCTACCTGCACTAAAGGAAGATTTGCTTTCTGCTACCATTTTCCACCATAGAGGTGCTAATGTTCCTGTCAAGAATCTCCACATTCTGCCAATCCTACCAATCCTTGTGATGCTGACAGAATATTGGACCTGTATAGGAATGAGTGCAGAGTAGAAAGTGAAAGACACAGACAAGAGGACAGAGCTTTTCTTTCCAAGCTCTGTATCCAATCTTAGCTCCTGGTATTCAAAGCATTAATGCTTGTGCTCAGGGTAGCTCAAGTCCTGGTAACATCCATCTTTCAATCACTTTCCATGATATTTTTTTCTTGAATCTTCTCAGCCCCTTTCTTTATTGAATTGCTCTTCTCCTCTCCTACTTATAAAATTAAGACCTCTCCTATCCACAAAACAAAATACATGTGAATTAGCTACAGATTTGTGTGTGTGTTTGTATAAATGCTGACCACTTGCATCAACCTTATATGTTTTGAATATATAACAAAGAGAATGAAATACAAAATACATAGGAATACTACAGAAAACCCCAAGCCTTCTTTGACTCTTTAAGAAAAGTGCCAATAGCAAGAATATTTCAAAGGCTTTGTGTGTATGTTTGAATGAATAACTCACATCAAAGCAACTCACATACTAAATATCATTCCATAATTATAACACATCCGGAAGTAGGCAAATTTAATATTGTTTGCTCTTTCATAAGGCAACTGATGATTAAGTGATGAATCAAGTCCCAACAGTGATTAATCGGCAAGGCTAAGATTTGAACTTAAGTTATCTGATCCAAAGTCTAAAATTTACTACCAGACATACTAATTCCCCAGCATAGCAATGGCTGTCATTCTTATAATATCAAAATAATTTCCACCTGCTTTATAGTTTTATTTGTAACTCATAAACTTGAATTTACATAATATAATTTTGACATAGTATTTTATTCAAAGAAATGTAGTGCAACAATAATGGATAATTATGAAATTTAAAACATTTCTGGGAGGACCTCAAAGAAGATCAAAGAAAGTAGTCATCCTTCCAGCCTGCATAGATATTCTTGTTTATTTTCATTTTACTATTTTACCCCCATCCTGGGTAAATATAGCCCACTCTGATCCAAATTCATCATAATGCCAGGAAATAATACCAGAGTTAATACCAGGAAAGGGGCTGAAAAAGACCAACTTCACTTTATGGGATGAAACCATGTAAGAAAATGAATGACGAAAGACAGATTTTTTCTTTTGAAGTTAAAATAAAAGGGATGGTAAGCATTTGCAATTTAATCTCCCACTTAAGCTCCATCAGATATCCCAACAACTTCTTGTGAGACAAGTGTGTCTGGCATAAGTATTTTACAGAAAAGAAACCATGCGTCGAATATACTATTTGGATTATGTGCTTCTACTGCAAAAATATAAAGACCTGAGTATACACAAATATAGAATGGTAGACGCATACTCCACCACACTTCATTTCCCTGACATCCTTCAGCACATGCATTTGATGCTCAGTTAATTAAGATCCAAAACATGTAGTGAAGGAAACAGATTCTCTGCTTATTTACCTAAGTTGTGATGTACATAGCCCTGAAATTATAGCTTCATCTTATGATTGTGCCAGCCTCTAATTCCTGGTATTAATCAAAGGCTGGATAAATGACAGGCTGTGGTAGATGGTGAGGGACAGCTATACTCAGGTCTTGAATTTCTTGAATGAGCTACACTCAGGATGAATGTGAAATGGCCTGCCACTCCCTACAGCTGCCTTCAGGAGTTCCAATCACAAACTTGACCACAGCCCCTTTACTGCAGTTATTCTCATGGTTTGTCAGTCACAGCTCTTTCCTCTGGTTTAGATTTGTCATTTCTCACATCTAGTATTCTAAAGCTAAAAATAAATAAGAACAGGCATCTGACTTCAGACAGGAGTTTGTTTTCAGATAGATTTTTATGTCCTCTCACCAGGAATAAAGATGCTGGAGCTTCTTAGCTTCTTAGAACTACTTTCATCTGATCTAATCTTTTCCCCATTCCCATTATACTCCAGCCACACAGGTCTCCTTTTGGTCACTTGAGCATGTTTACTCGGGGCTTTTGCACAAACTCTTCCCTGTTCTTGCAGTATTTTTCCCCAGAACCTTTATACAATTTACTTATCATTTAACTTTTTGTTTAACTATCACCTCTTCAGAGAGATCTTGCCATATACCTTAGCTCAAAGACCCTGTGTTGTTAGACTGAGGACCATAAGGAGCAGATGCCAAGACAGAATTAAACGTGGCAAGGAATTTACCAGGGGTAGTGCGTGTCAGAGAAAATGGGGAAGGAGCTCAGATAAGCTGAAGAACTGTCAAACAGCAGAGTAGTTCTGAGAGTGAATGGAGGAGACAAAGAGTGAACAAAAGTTGGGTAAAAGTATCTTAAGATGCTTTGCAATTCTAAGTAAACTTTGGCATGTTCATACGTGGTTCCTTGACCCAAATTTGTATGTCAGAGATTTCAAACCTCTTTCAAGAATGACATTATCTTAGAATCTTTCTCAAGCTCAGTTGCTGGCTGGAAATGGCCCCTAGAAAGTCTGGCCCAGTTGCAAATGGGGTGATAGCATAAGAAGTAGTAACTTCACACATCTGGAGATCTGAGTGTTATATTCTCATGGCTGCCACATACCCTTCTCTCCACTTTCTATCTCTATCTTATCTCTCTGTTTCATTTTCTACCTGAAACTGTCTGCAATTACCTCATTTATTATTTATGCTTTTACAATTGGTCTTCCTTCTGAGGTTGAAAACTCCGTGAACATAGGATCATTATTTACCTTCATACCTAAAACATGTTTCAGATGCCTAGCAAGTGGAAAGTAAAACATACTCAACTTGCTAAATGACTGAGTCAATAATTGTTAACAGATCGTCACTGAACCCATTTATCTTTTAAAAAGTAAACATAAAATATGCTCCTAAATGATCTATGAGTTATTTCTAGAAATCCTCTTTTGCTTATTGTGACATGGTAGTTCCATCTCTTAACAGTAGTGTTTGTTCTTTTTCACCCACCTGACAGTAAAACATCAACTCCATAACTCTTTCATTAGCTCTATCCACATATTATAGCTAAATTCAAATCTCAACTAATACCAGCCAATGAGGCTAGCCTAATGATAAACTTTGGAAGAACTGTAACATTTATTAAATGCTTACTTCTAAATGAATAGCATTATAGATTGCTCAATTTTAGCACTTGAATGTATAGTGGATACTTTCCAGCCCAGTTAATGATCCAGTTCTTCCATTTTATCCTGAGATTTCACATCCAACCAAACATTTCTAGTGATTTCAAAGATTTACATTACTCACAATTTAGATATTAACAAAGTACTTTTTGTCTCTGTAGATTTCTACACCATTTTGGTAGTGCAGAAAGTATATATCAGATACACTTTCTTCTCTGAAGCTCTTTTTAATTATTTCTTTTGTACAGATAAAAACTTTATGAAGTAAGAGGCTAGGACTAGCAGTAAGTTCTACATTTGCAAAATGCTTAATCGGTGTAAAATGAATGTCAATGATCCCAAATATACACTGTGCAACTACTACGTGCAACTTTGAATTCCCATCAAAATCTGCCTCCTTCTGTTACACTGTACATATACAATTCTCTTTATATTGTATGATAATCATCCGAGATAATTCATTTTGGGTTTTGAGACTTTTTCTTAAAAATATCCTCAAAGCTATTTTATTTTCCACTTTTCAATTTATTTATGTATATATTTTCTTTAAAAATAAAAGGAGATCAATAAAATATTGTGATTATCAGTGTCCTTTGTATTTTCAGCCAGATCATTTCTCCCCCAAAAAACAAATTCAATCATGTCACTCACTTCAATGGTCCTCAATTTTCTTTGCCCTTGGAATAAATTCCAAACCTATTATATGTCTTCATCTTGTAGCTATCCCTTCTACTGCTCTGGTCTTACTTATCTTCATTTATTTCACAGCACACTGTTGGTGCTCACCACACTGTGTTTCTATTTTATTTCTAGACCTTCCCTCTTAGAACTTTCCTTATCCCTACTTTTTTCCACTGTTTTAGTCAATTTGCTACTTCTATAACAGAATATCACAGACTGGGTAGTTTATGTTTAAAAAAATATGTCTTGTAGTTCTGGGAAATAGGAAGGCTAAGACCACGATGCTGGCATCTGCTCCCCTTCTAGTGGGGGCTTCGTGCTGCTTTATAACATGGTGGAGGGCCTTGTATGAGGAGAGGGCAAGAGTATGAGTGTCAGCTCAGGTCTCTCTTCCTCCTCCTAAAAAACAACCAACCAACACATGAATTTGGGGGTTAAATTTCCAACACATAAAATTTGGGAAACACATTCAAATCGTAGCATCCAACCCCTGATCCCCAAAACTCATGTCATTTTTACATGCAAAATACAATCATTTCACCCCTAAAGCCCCAAAATTTTAATTTTCTAGCAATAACTTAAAATTCCAAAATTTGGAGTCTCACTAGATTGGATATGGGTGAGAGTCAAAGCACAATTTATCTTGAGGTGAATTCCTTCCAGCTATAAACCTGTGAGATTAAACAAGTTATCTAGTTTCAAAATACAAAGGTGGGACAAGCATAGAATAGATATCCCCATTCCAAAAAAGAGAAATAGGTAAGAAGAAAGAAGTAAACAGGCCCCAGTCAGTCCAAAACCCAATAGGGAAAACCACATTTTGTCCTAAAGCTGGAGAATAATCTCCTTTGACTCCATGTCCTACATTTTGGGCACACTGGTGTGGGGGTTGGGTCCCCAAAGCCTAGAAAAGTGCCACTCCCATGGCTTTCCTGGGCTCAGCCAACACATCAGTTCTTGTGGGTTGGAGTCAGATGTCTGTGGTTTTTCCATGCTAGAGCTACACACTAGGGCTTCCACCGTCCTGGTCTCAGAGGTGGCTCTGTCCCCATGGTTCCACTAGACATCACTCTAGTAGGGATTCTCTTCAGTGGCCTTGCTTCCATGATTCCAATAGGCATTGCCCTAGTTGGAGCTCTCTGTGGTGGCTGTGGCTCTTTCCCCACATTTCCACTTGCCATTGTCCTAGTAGGGCCTCTCTGTAGTAGCTTCAACCCTGTATCAAGTATCAGCCAGGGCCCCCAGGTTGTTCACAACATTTTTTGAAAGCTAGGTGGAGGAAGCCATGCTCCCATAGCTCTTGCAGTCTGTGATCCTGCAGACTTAATATCAGATGGATGATGCCAAGACTTGCTGCTGCTTGCATCTTCCAGCACAGCTAGTTGAGCTACGTTTGGAGTTGCTTGAGCCACAGCTGGGAGGACCAAGAAGCACTGCACCCATCAGTGTAGGGAGTGGAGAGTTGAGGCAGTCATGGGCAATAAACTCATAGAGGGCATCCCAAGCCTATTTCCTGAAACCATTCTGCCCTTTGAGAGAGCTCTGGACCTGTCATGGGTGGGGCAGCCTTGAAGATCTTTTAAATGCCTTCATGCTTTGTTCCCATTGCCTTGATGATCACTTCAATCAGTACTAATCTTCTTAGCAAATAGTCACTGGGTCACACCCTTGGTTTTCTCTCCTAAACATGCTTTTTCATACTTTACATGGCCAGGCTAAGAGTTCTCCAAATCTTTTTGCTCTGCTTCCCTTTTAATTATAAATTCTATCTTTAAATCATCTCTTTTTTCTATTGTTTCACTATAAGTAGTTAAAAGTAGCCATGCAGTAGTCTCAATGCTTTGCTGCTTACGTATTTCTTCTGCCAGATATTCCAGCTTGTCAATGTTAAATTCCATCTTTCGTAAAGCCCTTGAGCATGAACACAGTTCAGCCATGTTTTCTGCCAGTTCAAAACAAAGATGGCTTTTACTCAAGTTTCTAATACCTTGTTTCTCAGTTCCATCTGAGAGGTTGGAATGGCTTTCACTGTCCATATTTTTATTAGCATTCTGATTATGGCCACTTAAATAAACTCTAGGAAATTCCAGACTCTGTAATTCTCTTGCCTCCTTCTGAGCACTCACCAGAATCACACTTAATGCTCTGTTAATGGCAATGCAGACCTTTTCTAGACTTCTCCATATTCTTGCAGCCTCTGCCCATTACTCAGTACCAAAGCTTCCATATTTTAAGGTATTCATTATTATTAACAACCCCACTCCTGGTACCAATTTTCTGTCTTAGTTTGTCTTCTCCTGCTATAACAGAATGCCACAGATCAGGTGATTTATAAAGAAAATGAATTTATTTCTTACAGTTCTGGAAGCTAGGAAGTCCAAGAGCATGGTGCCAACATCTGCTTTACTTTTTGGGCGGGTCCTCTTGCTGCTTCAAAACACAGTAGATGCATCATATGGGGAGAGGGCAAAAGCAAAAGCAGCTCAGATCTCTCTTCCCCTTCTTATAAAGCTACCGGTCTCATCATGGGGACCCCACTCTGATAACCTCATGTAATCTGAATTACCTCTCAAATGTCCCACATCGAATCAACATACAATATTTGGGGATTAAATTTCTAACACACTAAATTCTGGGGGCACATATAACCTCTATTAACCTGGTATTATTTCTCTTTAATTTCTTACTCTTGGAACCCTTATAGTTTCTTTTTGTGTCTCTCTCTCTCTCCCTCCCTCTTCCTCTCTCTCTCTCTCTTTCTCTCATATGAGGACAAACATAACCTCCTCAATCTGGTTTGCCCTTGCCAGTGCTTCAGATTTCAGCTTAGAAGTTCACTACCTTCAAGAAGCTGACTCTGATCTCTTCTCCATCCAGGTTATACTAGATGCTCATCTCCGGGGCTCCGATAATAATTGTTAGTTTCCTATCATTTTGTATTTCACACTGTGTTAGAGTTAACTGACTATATGCACAAAAGATTAGTTTTGGTATAATTCTGGGGCTTGCAGAGTGCCTAATAGTAAGCAGACGTTTGTTGAAGAAAGAAGAAGGAAGGGAGGAAGGAAGGAAGGAAAGAAGGAAAAGATGGGGGGGAGAGAAAGAGGGAGGGAGGGAGGATGGAGGGATGGGAGGGGAAGAGGGAGAAAGGAGGAGAAAGGAAGAAGGGCAGAAGGAGGAAAGAGGGAGAAAGGGAGGGAGAAAGGAAGGCAGGAAATAGGGAGGAAGGAAGAAAAGAGGGGGAAGGAGGAAGGAAGGCAACCAACAGAAGTCCTGATATATACCCAATGCCCTTAGAGCTTATTCATAATTGAGTGAATCAGAATCTGCACAAGTTTAGTCTTATTGACCATAATTACTCTGTAAAATAAAGAATATATAGATTTTATATTGACAATGGGTCATTAGTAATCTATGACAACTTTAAGAAAACTATACTTATGTTTTGAGGAGTGCAGTAGAGAATAACTACCACATACTCACATAAATCACCCCTTAGTGTCCCTTAATTCACTCAATAGAAAAGCCAAGTACTATAGCTAGAAGAAAAAAGCCAGCCCCATCAAAGCATTTTCCTACTGACGAATGCAGGGTTACAGGGCTGACTTGAGTTATAGGGACATTTCTTTCATACTCTCTAACTAATCTATTAAGACAGCTTCAGGTACAAATCAAATCCACCAACCAGAAGACCACTGAGCTGTGTGTGATTCAGGAATCACATACTTGCTATGCAGTTTTGGGATTCTCATATCCCCTCTCTGGGCCTTGATCATAATACATGCCAGATTAATGAGTTTAACTAAATGATATCTGTAGTCTCTTCTGGCTCTGAAATTCTGTTGTTCTAGGTTTCCAACACCCCATCCGCTTTGAGAAGACATCAGTGTCCCTCTATAGCTGATTGCTCCCTCCTCCATCATGCACTGTCCTCCTCCCACTGAGGACAATGCATCATCCTGGACCCCCAAAGTGGTATCAGGCAGCCAGACAATCTCATTTACTCACAACTAGTTCCATCATCAGGACCCGGTATATCCAATGATGATTTACCACATGTCGTTAATATGTTTGTTATATTTTGTTGGCAGAATATGAAAGTTCATCAGCAAGCCAGCACACAGGGAAAGCATATTGAAATGAGCATTATGGATCTGTCAGGCTGGAGTTTATGGCCTTTCTCAGTACTACACTGTAAGTACAACAATCCCTGATTGAGTCAGCAGCCTCCTGGGTACTCATTTGCCAAAGTGTAGGGAATTTTAATGCTAAGTTTATCTGCCTGTGTTAGGCAGGCAGAATTGTGGGTAGGTGGGAAGATTGCCTTGGCTTAGGAGTTTTATAAACAACTCTGCAAGTTCCACAGATACCAGGAGTGAAGCTTTCAGTGAGTTTGGCCTCTTATCTTCTTATCTTCTTATAGATTTTGGAGATGTAGTATCCTGGAATTTTAATACTCAGTTTGCAAATCCTCCTTTTAAAACCAATGCATTGAATTGCAATGAAAAACAGGGAGGAAGAAAGAAATAATTCACAGGGGACGGAGACTGTAAAAAAAAAAAAAAAGATGAAGAAAAAAGGGGGAATGAGAATCATTAAAATCCCAGTTACTGAGTATGATTGTTGCAAATATCCTCACACCTTTTTTCCTTTACAGTCAAATTCCACGATGGGTTCAGGCTACCTCACTGGGGAATTGGGTTCTCAGAACAGGACTTGGTAGCTGCCGACACTGTCTAAAGAGATTACACAGCTTTGTAAGTCCAGACTAATGCATTGGGAGAATGGATTTTGGGAACAAATTTTCTGTTTCTTCTTTCTGTAAAGCATAGAAAGCACGAAAAGAGGGGAGTGCATTTCTACCTATGGGAAGAGATCTGATTCTGTGATTTGGGGGAGGGTTGGATATTTTTCAGTGGGCAGTTCAAAGAAGTTTCCCTGGCTCAGACTCAGGTGTTATTAGCATTAACAGAGTTATCTCATAGTAACAATGTCAATCACCACCATTTCTTCTTCCTCAGCAGGAAGGCTTATCCATTAATGTTTCGTTTTCTTGTTCTTGAGCAGGCACTTAGTATTCTAGGAGCTGGAATCTATTTTTCATGCCAATGCCATGCAGCTGTTGGTCACCTGGCTAATGCTGGGGCCACTCTACATTCCACAAGCAGGGAGCTGTGGTCACTTGGCATTCCAGAGGCATTCCAAAGCTGCAGGTCATTCATTATGCCAAGGTTAGTTTGTGGGCCTGCAGAGCCCAGAGCCCTGCGTGCTAGCCTGTGCTAGTTGCAATTGGAAATTCTGAGGGAGATGTAACTCCACTGGTGGCAGAAGGCCCATGATGGACAGGAGAGAAAATAAAAATTAACTTCAAGGAAGTCTTAACTAGCTCTCAGAGAGTATGATGAGGACAATATCTGGGGCACACAAAGTCAAAGATGGATATTTTTTGAGAAGAGAAAGAAGAGTATAAATCTAAATCAGATAATACATTGCTTTTTCTTAATTAGATGAAAAGCAAGATATGACATAATTATAAAGCATGCTAGTTCTAAAATCAGTCAAGATTGGGTTCAAATCCTGCCTCTGCTTATTAATTGTATGACTTTGAGTGATATGTTTATCTTCTTTAAATATTGGTTTCATCTGTAAAATAGAAACAAGATAATCTACCACTTTAAGATAACATCCTTGAAAGACAGTGCCTAACTCAAAGAAAATACTCTATGGATTTATTATTATTTATTTATTACTATTATTGTTGTATTTGTTGAAAAATACCTGAATTGAAAAGATGAAGATAGCGCTAACCTTCCTTAATGAATTATGAATACTCATTCACTCCTTTCCAATTTCTTCTATGCTAGATCAGGCATTGCATTAGGCATAGAAATTATTTTTGCTGAATCTGGACAGATTAAGCCTGGCCTGTGACTATATGACCATAGATTTAATCCAAAAGGCACTCAGTGACTATATTCTGTGTACAGTCCTCTTTTCCAGTCTCTGTGGTTAGCACAAAGATCAAGGGTACTTACTCTTCACCTTAAGAAAACTATGATACATATTTAGGAGAGAATATGTGTTTACAATTAGGCACTCTGTAACCATATATGCTGAGGAACAACAGCAACAGAAAGTACATAGTCTTTAGTACCTGGAATTCAGAGAATGATCAGACCAGACAGTAGTTCTTAACATGTATGTGAAGACATTTATTTGGCCCCACAGTTCCAAACACTATTATGGTGGTGGCATGCTGGCTGTACCGTCTTCAGTATTATCTCATCATAAATTAAAGTCCAGCAGAACAGGTAGCTGAAGCCAGATAAGAAAGAACCTTGATTTTCAAGCTAGGAGTATAAACCTTATTTACAAGGAATAAAGGGAAAAAGAAAAAAATAATTTGTTTGCTTTTCTTTTTGTTGTTGTTGTTCTTACAAATAAGTAGCATAATTTTCCCTCATGTATCTCCCAATATTGAAGTGTTCAATATTGGAACAGAATATACATGTACAATATATCATGACCATCAACCCAGGACAAGAAATCTGTGATCTATGTTTTATGGGGCAAAAGTTACAAGCCAGACTCTGCGGATAGACAGCAATAGTGGTGGGGATAGCACTACAACTACAGGGAGGCACTCTGTGACCTGCTGTACTGTTGGGAGCCAGGACCCCAGAAGGGTGCTACACACAGGACACCTGAACTGTGCATTGGCCAATAAGATCAGACAAGCAAGAGAAGTCTCTGTATACATGGGGTCCTACTTCAGAGGGTCTTAAACTATGGCCTATGAATACACAGAGGTGCATGTTTCTGTTTTTGTTTTTGTGACTCAACAGCAAAGGCAGGCATATTGCAGACACCTGCAGAAGTGGGGGACCAGCTTAATGCAAGAGACCACCACCTCTTACAGGCTGGTGGGTACTTACAGGTATGGATGGAAGGGGTCTGGGCCATATGGCTTGCTGCCCATTAGATTGATCAGATTTTCCCATGATGAAATGGTTCTGGCCCTTGTTCCAGCGGAATGTGGTGTTCCTTGCACTTTCTCCCAGCAGAATATGATAGAGATGTTTTTTAGTTGGGCCTTTGCCCAGTAGGCTGTAAGAATGTTTCTTTAGTTGGACCTTTGTCCGCTTCACAGTTAGGTGGTTAGGCAGGATGTTTCTGATGGCGGGAACCTCCGTGGAATGTTTTACTTTGAACCACGGTCTGCAGAGTTGCAGGGGGCTTACAAAATGGTGCAATTTGGACTAACATTCTTGCCTTCTACTTTAGTATAAAAAGAAGAGGGGCGTTGTTGGTTATCTGGCTGCTTCCTGCTGAATAGGGACACTGTAATCAGGGTTTCAGTTTTGGAGCAGTGGGTGTCTGATTTCAGAGTTGTTTTCCTGGAAGCACTGATACTGGACTTGGCAGAGGAGAAGGATGGTATCAATGAGATTCTTGGTGGATGCCTGGACAAGGGAGTTCAGCCCATACTAAAGATGAGTCATTCTGTGAATCCAGCTCTCCCCAAGTTGGCCTTGTCTCTCCAACTAGACTGAGATGTCAGCCAGAAAAAAAAAAAAAGTCTGTTTTACACTTTATTTTGTAGTACCCAAAGTGCTAATGACTAGCTGGGTATGGTGAACACCTTCAGTAAAATTATCGACTTCCTGACTGGTCTTGGGTCACTGAAGTTACCTAGCTCAGTCTTATTTTTGCATATTAAGGTGCTACAGAGAGGCAAACCTATTTCTTAGACTCAACACTTTCCTTTATTCCAAATTCCACTGTGTCTCTCCACCCTCAACCGCATGGGCAGAATTGTTGCAGGAATTCAAAGGCAGTAGGAGAATCCAGGACCGACACAGAAAACTCCCGCCCACTACCTACCCTCCTACCCCTACTCCCCCACCCCAGAGTATAGCAGCCCATATGCACTTCCCATCCATTTCTGGGAAAGGTAAAATGTGCTCACCAACTCGGGCCCTCAGGGAGACCCTTAAAATTGTGGGTGCATGTTAAAAGTGGATTCTATAATTCTCACCAGGAGAACTTCTCCCTGGAACAATTCTTAATGACCTCAAAGAAGTAAGGGTTAAAGTTTCTATTAATTATAGAACCCTATTCCATTAATAGGGCTCTAAAAGAAACAGCAAATCGAGTTGAAAAGAAATTCTTAGAGAACATCTTATGATTCTTCCAACGATTTGTTGACTCTTTCCTTATTCTAAAAGCTGGGAATATAAGTTTTAGGGAAAAATGCATGTTTTCTGCCAGGGTGGGCCCATGTTTGGTGAGGAATATAACTCATATAATTTGGGGGGTTCTTTAAGTAAAGAATACCAAAATGACAAAAATTTAGACATAAAAATAATTCTTATGTAAATTTAGAAAGAACATTATATTAAATTACAATGTTTATCTGCTGACAATAATGAAATGCTGACAAATATTTTACAAAATTCAGAAAAACAATATAATTTGTGTTTATAGCCTGCAATACCACATTTCTATAATATTGTTTACATTTTATATGCATACTTTTGATATCTTCATATGGTGTTTTAAAGTTATTTTCTATAGAATGATTAGAAAGTTAATTAATTTTTTTCCTCTAGCTAGATCTTTTCTGACAATTTGAAAAAGTTCCATTCAGCTTCACAATTCATGATTGAAAATTAGTAAATAATTATTTAACATTGATATTATTTTGAAAAAACTGGTTCAAATTTTCTTGATAGATAAGGTTAATATTTCAGGGGATTTCAAAGATTTTGGTGCAATGATGTATCTATTCTTTGCATTGATAATGCGTTCACCATTCATTGCCAGTTTGTAATCAATGTCCATAGTGTATTGTATTATGACTTTTTATGCTAATTTTGTTGTTGTCTGTAGTTCATAAAAAATCAGCAAGAACTGAATAGAAACACACAAAGAGGGAGGCTGAGGTTGGCGGATCACGAGGTCAGGAGATCGAGACCATCCTGGCTAACACAGTGAAACCCTGTCTTTTCTAAAAATACAAAAAAAAATTAGCTGAGCATGATGGCAGGTGCCTGTAGTCCCAGCTACTTGTGAGGCTGAGGCAGGAGAATGGTGTGAACCCGGGAGGCAGAGCTTGCAGTGAGCCAAGATCACACCACTGCACTCCAGCTGGGGCAACAGAGCAAGACTCTGTCTCAAAAAGAAAGAAAGAAAGATACAAAGATTTGACTGGGTGAGGCAATTTTAGAATTTATGACTAAGTCCTCAAAAGCATTTCAACGAAAAGAAAAATTGACATCTGGGGTCTAATTAAACTAAAGAGCCTCTGTACAACAAAAGAAACTGTCAATAGAGTGAACAGACCACCTACAGAATGGGAAAATAATATTTGCCTACTACACACCTGACAAAGATCCAGTATCCAGAATCTGTCAGGAACTTAAACAATGAAACAAGCAAAAAAAACACAACCCCCTTAAAAATGGGCAAAAGACATGAACAGGTACTTTTCAAAAGAAGATACACATGCATATGAAACAACAAAAAAAGAAAAACACACATATGAAACAATACTCCACATCACTAATCATCAGAGAAATGCAAATCAAAACCACAATGAGATATCATCTCACACCAGTCAGAATGGTTACTGTTAAAAAGTCAAGAAACAACAAATGCCAATGAGGCTGCAGAGAAAAAGAAATGCTTATACACCATTGGTGGGAACATAAATTAGCTGAACCACTATGTAAAGCAGTTTGGAGATTTCTCAAAGCAAGATAAATCAGATAATAAAACAGAATGAGCATTTGGCCCCCAAAATCCCATTACTTGATAAATATCCAAAATAAAACAAAACATTCTACTAAAAAGACAGATGCACTCATATGTTCGTCACGGCACTATTCACAGTAACAAAGACACAGAATTAACCTAGGTGCCCATGAATGGTGAAATGGATAAAGAAAATATGGTATATATACATCATGGGATACTATTCAGCCATACTAAATAATGAAATCATATCCTTTGCAGCAACATGGATGCAGCTAGAGGCCATTATCGTAAGCAAATAAATGCAGGAACAGTAAGTCAAATACTGCATGTTCTCATCAATAAGTGCAAGCTAAATATTGGGTACTCATAGACATAAAGATGGCAATAATAGAAACGTGGTACTATTAGAGGAGAGAGGGAGGAAGGGGAGTCAAGAGTTGAAATCTACCTTTTGAGTACTGTGCTCATTACCTAGGTGATGGGATCATGTGTAACCCAAACCTCAGCATCAGGCAATATACCCAGGTAGCAAATCTGCACATGAACCCCTTGAATCAAAAGAAAGAGTTGCAGAATTACATAGTTTCAAATGAAAGGAATCAGGAACAATAATTAGGAGAGAGTGCAGTGAACAAGCAGGGCAAAAATGGTTTATGAGACTGGAAACATGTCATGCAATGTAGGAAGGCTGGTTGGCAAGTGGCTGAAAACATAATCGTATTTCCAAATTTTAGAAACGGACACCTGTTATCACTAAACTTACAAAAAGTCATGGTTTAATACTAAGATCATTAGCATTAGAGGCAGACAAATATCCCTTTGAGTCTCTGCTCTACCCCTTAATAATCTGTGGAATCTAACAATAGCTTAAGACACAGAAGTGATGACAAACTACACAAAAATGTACCCCATCAAACCCTGCAAATTATATACCCACTTAAAATTTCCTTTAGCTAGATCCCAAAATGCCCACACCACTGGACACAAAGCAAAATATAATGAATGGAGTGTCAGGGTAAAAATAAACAGTGGTCTTTTTAATATAATGAAACACATACTTTTTAAAAATTCTGGAAAATAGCCCCCAAACCCATAACCACATGATTACATTGCTATCATAACCTCCTGGGGTCTTGAAACTTAAATTTCATTTGCCTGCTGGTTTATCTGCCTGCCTGCATTCTTTGCAGTTTCTATGGAGCTCACATTCTAGTTAGAGAAGACAGACAATAAGCACATCAACAAAATAATAAATAGACCATTTTAGATAGCTATGAAGAAAACAAAGTAGTACATACGACAAAGAGTTACTGTAGGAAGGGAAAGAAGCAGTCCCTTTGATGGAGGGGTTGGGGAAGACTTAGCAGAGGAAACCAACATTAAGCTGAGCTCTGTGTCTGCAGAATTCCAAGCTTTTACATCAGCAGACTGAACCATGAGGCCCAGAGCACTGGCATGGCTAATCTAAACCTGCCACACCAAACCCCCAACCCTGGCAAACCACTGACAGAGCTGGGACTATGGCTGAAATATCTAGAACCAAATTAAAATTTTTTGCTACCACTCAGGGATTTCACATAAGGTATTACTTTAGATATTTTTAAAATATAGAAACTGAGACAGCTCTTACTGCCTCTAGGAAGTTCCTGGTAAAAAGCGTTATTATTGTTATTTTTTAATCATCAAAAAGCCAAAGAAAAGCCGAGCAATCAATTCAATGGTCAAGCTGCCATTTCACTTTTTAAAGATAATCACAATGGTCAGTATAACCAGTTTCAGGGCCATAAAATCGTTTATAAAATAGAGCTATGAAGTCTGTAAGGGATCAATTAGGCAAGTCTTCCCTAGATTATTTTGATTACATGTTTCTATCAGAATACATAAATCAGTCAATTAGTCCAGGGGCTAGGACTGGTACCTAATGCCAACTCTTGTCAGATCAGTGGTGGCATTAGATTCTCATAGAAGTGCAAGCTCTATTATGAAATGCACATGCAAGGGATCTAGGTTGTATGTTCCTTATGAGAATCTAACAGTTTCATCCTGAAGCCACCAGCCCCTACCTACACCGCAGTTTGTGGAAAAATTGTTGTCTATGAAACCGGTCCTCATGCCAAAAAGTTTGGGGACCACTGATTAGTCAGTCAACTGATAAAAGAGACCAAAATATAGACAGGGAGGACACACAGTCAATATAAACTTATTGATTGATTGATTTGCTATTTATATTAAGTGTATTACAAAAACATATACAAGAAGCATACATTTTATTTTATGTATTTATTTTTTGAGACAGGTTTTGTTGCCCAGGCTGGAGTGCAGAGGTGCAATCATGGCTCACTGCAGCAGCCTTGACTTCTGGAGCTCATGGGATCTCCCACCTCTGCCTCCAGAGTATCTGGGACTACAGACATGTGCTATCACGCTTGGCTAATTTTTGTATTTTTTTGTAGATACAGGGTTTTGCCATGTTTCCCAGGCTAGTCTTGAACTCCTGGGCTCAAGCAGTCATCCTACCTCAGCTTCCCAAAGTACTGAGATTATAGGTGTGAGCCACTATGCCTCGGTGGAACATGTATTTTAACAGATGCACTAGAAATCAATGAAAATAAAGGAGGTCCCAGAATTGTTTTCCACACCCCAATAGATCATTATGATGCACTTTGCAAAGGCTTTGTCTTTCTTTGGACACAACTGATTTAGTCTATTACTTTCAATTTAAGCATAGAAAAACTGAGGCCAGACAAAAGAGATGTGAAACTAATAAGGATGACCCAGTATAACAAGTGAGCTAAAGGACTTTAAAATAAACTCCTCTTTATTTATATGCACAGTCTTTTAAGCTATCCCTGTTATTTGTTAAAATTGTAGTTTTTCACATGCTTTCCTATATTCTTTGAAATCTCCTCCTTATTCCCTAGAGATGTATGCTTTTCTTCTGATCTCTTCTCAACAGTGAGAAATCCTGGATCAGCAAACCTCTGTCGCCAGATCCCAGCAAAGAGTAAACTTCCTAAAGTCTACAGGCACAACATGATCTCAATCCATTTCTCTTAAGGATTCCCAGAGCAGACACAGCCTCCTAGCCTGCTTAGGAATGCAGCACTGCACTTCTCAATAGCATTTTATGACACATTACTCAAATCAAATTTAAAAGCATAACTGAGCAGAATTAAATTAATGCCGTCTGGTAATGTCAGCAGCACCAGAACTGCAACAGACTGGCTTAACTCCTAAACCTGCTAAAGCTTCATGATACATATTCAGTTTCCTCTGTTATTGAAAGAATTTGTGTATACCGTGTGTGTGCCTGTGTGTGTGTGTGTGTTGTGGGGGTGGGAGCCTGGTGTATGCCTGAGCAGTGTTTTAAAGCACACAAGTAGTTACAAATACTTAATAATCACATATGCCTCATAGCCATGATGTTTTTGAGTTGATATTTACATATTTTTGATGTCCCACAGAGTATGTTTAGCTTCGTTATATCATTTGGTCATCATAATCACCCTTTGAGGAATTTATCTCCTTTATTTATTTATTTGTTATAGTTGAACTTAAGTTTCCTGACTCCAAATTCAGCATTCTTTCTACTCCCTAAGTTCAATACTAATGATAACACTACCTAATCTTTTGAAGATCTCCTCAACCTCCCTGTTGCTAAAGCCAATATTCCCTTTGTAATCTTCATCTTAATTGACTCAACAGAAACATTTACTTCATGATTACAGTTGACCCTTAAACAACATGGATATGAACTGTGTGGATGAATTTAGATATGGATTTTTTTCAATAAAACTTACACCAAATGTGCCTGCCTTTCTTGTCTTCCTTTCAACCTTCTCCACCTCTTTTGTCCCTGCCACCCCTGAGACAGCAAGACCAATACTTGTTCCCCCTCCTCTTCCTCAGCCTACTCAATGTGAAGATGAGGATGAACACCGCTGTGATGATCCACTTCTGTTTAATAAATAAAAAGTGTTTTCTCTTTCTTTTAATTTTGTTAATAAGATCTACTTATTTCTCTAGCTTATTTTTACTGTAAGAACATAGCATAGGATATACATAACATAAAAATATGTGTAAATTGACTTTATGTTATTGATGAGACTTCTGGTCAAGAGTGGGCTATTAGTAGTTAAATTTTGGGGGAGTAAAAAATTATACACAATTTTTTGACTGCAGATCGTCAGAGATCTTAGTCCTCACATTTTTTAATGGTCGACTGTACTTTCTCATTTCTGAAACAAGTTTAGTTCACTTGGTTTCAAGATACATATTCTTTATTTTTGTTGGGAACAGGCACCCCAAAATCTGGCCATAAACTGGCCCCAAAACTGGCCATAAACAAAATCTCTGCAGCACTGTGACATGTTCATGATGGCCATAACACCCACGCTGGAAGTTTGTGGGTTTACTGGGATGAGGGCAAGGAACACCTGGCCAGCCCAGGGCGGAAAATCACTTAAAGGCGTTCTTAAACCACAAACAACAGCATGAGTGATCTGTGCCTTAAGGGCATGTTCCTGCTGCAAATAACTAGCCAGACCCACCCCTTTATTTCAGCCCATCCATTCATTTCCCATAAGGGATACTTTTAGTTAATCAAATATCTATAGAAAAATGCTAATGATTGGCTTGCTGTTAATAAATACATGGGTAAATCTCTGTTCAGGGCTCTCAGCTCTGAAGGCTGTGAGAACCCTGATTTCCCACTTTACACCTCTATATTTCTGTGTATGTGTCTTTAATTCCTCTAGAACCACTGTGTTAGGGTCTCCCTGATCGAGCTGGTCTCGGCAATTTTTCTTCTTACCTCAGTGAACAGTTAAAGAGTCTTTTTTTTGGGTCCCTTTTATCTTCTCACTTCTAAACACTGGGTGTCTTAGGGCTCCATTTTTTCTCTATCTACAGTCCCTTCTTGGTTACCCCATTGAGTACATTGTTTTAAATGCCTCTTTACACTAAGGACTTTTAAATTTACATCTTTGGTTATGATGTCTCTCTGGAGCTCCAGGTCTCTATATCCAACTCTTCCAAGCATCTCCACTGCATGTCTAACAGGCATATCAACTATTACCGATGTCCCAATCTTGCCCCCCAAGACTTGCGTCCACAGTGTTACTCATACTTTTCAATAGAAACTTCACCCTTTCAGTTTCTCAGGCCAGATGACTGTGGTATCCTTGTATCCATGTATACCTTCTTTTGTATATTTCACATGTTATCTGTCAATGAATCTTGTTCACTTTATCTTCAAACTATGCCCAGAACCTGACCATTGCTCATTTATCAACAACTATCACCCGACCCCAGGACAGCATCATCTTTTGACACAGTATCCAGAGAATTCCTTTCAAAAGATGGCATCATTCCTTCAATGAGTGTCCATCTTACTCAGAGTGAAAGCCAAAGTTTTATAGTGACTTACAGAGTCTTACTCTGTCTTTTTGACCAACTCTGGCATTACTTCCAAATAGTCTCCTTCAGTTCACTCTAACTCAGTCACACTGGCCTCCTTACTATTCTAGATCACATTAGACATACTCTCACTTTGATACATTTGAATGTACTATTCTCTTTTATTTGTTTTTCAAACCTGAAATATAATTGCCCCATATATCTGAAACACTTGTTCCATCATCTTCTTCAGCTCTGTGATCAACTGTTATCTTCTTATTCAGACATTCCCTCATTACCCTACTTAAGATTGCATCATCCTCTCCACCACATCCTCTATATTCCTCTCCTGCTTTTGTTGTCTTGGCCATTATTGTGTTGGAGGTGGTATAGAGTGAACCACTTTCTAATGCTATGCTATTCATTTTACTTATTTGTTTTTTTATAGTCCATCTCTTCTCCAACAGATTATAACTTCAACTAAGGCAGGCAATGTCTAAGCATAGTGTCGCCAATGCTTACAATAGTATCTAGCACATAGAAAGTATATAAAGCAGATTTATGAGTACATGAATGAATGCTTCACTCTTGTGTCATGACTTACAGTTTCCAAAGTTCATTCATTTCTCCCTACAGTCTTATTGTGTTGAGCCTCATGAGCAAATCTGGGTATTAAAAAGACAGATTAATCTGGGTATTAATTAATCTGGGCAAGATTGGTATTAATTAATACCAATGGGTATTAATTAATCTGGGCAAGATTGGTATCTGGCCAATACTTAGAAAAGTGGTTGTCTTTATTCATTTTAATAATCATATGCCAGGCAGTTTCCACATATTTATGCATGTTATCTAAATTTATCATCACAACTATCCTATGACCTAATTGTAAGTCTGTTTTATTAATTCATTTATAAATCAATTAATTTATTAAGCAACTACTTATTAACCTTCTACAAAGTACCAGGCTCTGTGATCCAGAAGCAAACAGCAGAGCGTTGCACATCTAGCAAGGGCTAGAAACAATATTCTGAGTCTTACTCCACAGTGTGTAACCATACACTATAGTAATAATCAAAGCAGCGAAGTTTCTTTAGGGTACTTTATTTGTTAAGATGCCTCTAGTGGCCACCGACAGGGAAACCATATCTCAAATGGGAGCTTATTTCACATACCAAGAGACCCAGAATGTCCAGCCCTGGAATGCCAGAAATCTGGCTTCCCTCTGGGAACAAAGCAGGTGCAATTTTAGCTTTCTATCCAGATATGCCAACATCCATTACAAGAAAGTGAACATTTCTTTTGGAATCATCTTGGGAAACAACAACAAAAACCTTTCCCAGAAGTCCTGAGTAAATCTCCTTGCACTGTCCCGAGTATGGTCACAGGATGCTGCTAAGCACATCCCTAGCAAAGACATGATCAGTGTTCCCTAGGTATTCTGGATTTATTGCTGGAGTCTGGAATAGAGTTTTCCTCCCCTATATAATATGGTTTGGCTGTGTCCCCACCCAAATCTCATATTGAATTATAGTTCCCATAATTCCCTCATGTCAAGGAAGAGACTTGGTGAGAGGTAATTGAATCATGGGGGAGTCACTTCCATGCTGTTCTCGTGATAGTGAGTTCTCATGAGATCTGATGGTTTTGTAAAGGGCTTTTCCTGCCTTCGCTCTGCACTTCTCCTTGCTACCCCCATGTGAAGAAGCACATGTTTGCTTCCCCTTCTACCAAGATTGTAAGTTTCCTGAGGCCTCCCCAGCCATGCTGAACTGTGAGTCAATTAAACCTCTTCCCTTTATAAATTGCCAAGTCTTGAGTGTGTCTTTATTAGCAGCATGAGAACGGACTAACACACTATGTAGAGCAAAGGAGCAGTAATGATTTTAACAAGAACTGTCAAAAAGAAAAATGGAGGTTAGGCAACCACCAGCATTTGTCATTAATACAAACCAAGGTTTATTCATGGTCTAGTCATCAACAGTGGACACATGAAATACATTTTATAAATAGTTGTTGATTTGAGTTAGAGTAAGCAACAGAAAAAGCAAATACAAGGAATAGAGAAGCGGGAAAAAAGGGGTGGGAGAGGAGAGGGATTTTTGATCCTAATGCAAAGGGGAGAGAGACCACAACTCTGAATTGGGAGTGAGGGAACCCATTCCTCATGATTGCCCTGGCATTCAACAGCTGTGTGACTCAGGGCTAATCACATAATGTCTCTGTGACTCAGTTTCAGCACTAGCAACTCCAATCTAATAATGCTTATTTGTCCACATCTCATGAACACCAGAAGATTTAATAAGATGCCTGTGTTCAGTGAAAAAGAAAAAGCAATACCTGGACAGTCCAGTTTAAAGTGTGGTTGTTCTCCACTTACAAATATGAAGAAAACTAGAGTGTCTACAGCACAAGGACAATTTAGTTAAGCAGATGATTAACTGAACACACATACATCAATACATGCATTTACGCCCCTATACATGCACACAGCCCTACAACACTTTCTCCTTTAAAAGTATTATTATTTATTGACCTTTAAGCAATTATTGTTTTCTAGAAACTGGTTAAATAATTGATAAGCATGGTCTCGTTTAATTTTATAACTTATGGGTTAAATACTACTATAGAATAATTTTCAGTCTGAACGATCTAGATTCTTTAAATGTCCGCTTCATTTTATATATACGTACTTTTTCTCCCCCATTAAATGGATGACATTTCAGTGAATGGCTATGTTTTTCACTGTTTCTCCTAAATTTAAACACAGAGCTTCAGCCATTTTCCTTGCACCAATGAACCACCCTATGGTGCCTTGAACTGATCAGGTAAAACTCACTGAGGAAAATTTAGCACCAGCCAGTTGCTAAATGCTGAGCTGGGTCTGTCTATTTCTTAACTGCTCTGTATTTGCTCATCCAGTCCCAGCATTGGCACTTGGTGCACATTAATCCCTTGTGATATATCCCTCTCAGCAATTCCTCAACAAAAACCTTGACTGTGGAATCTTATTGACGATAGCAAGCTAGTGTTTCACAATGGACTCCTCCTCAAAACACTTTACTCAGATGATATGCATATCATATATGAGATATGAAAGAGAGAAACGAGGTCAGAAAGAGATTCAGAAAACTTGAGTGATTTGGCAGGTCTCCCATGAGAACTCTGAGGGAAGGACCAGGGTGAGGCCAAGAGCTACAGATATGAAATCAGGAAAGGTGGAGACTTACCCACAGCTCTGCCAATGTCATACTGTGTGTTCTTGGGCAATTCATTTTAAATCTCCCAGCATTAATTTTCTCATCTGTAAAAATGGGAAGAGAGAATTAAGCTAAATTTGGAAAGTACCTGGCAGAGGTGTCTGAGGCAGACACTGAGAAGCAATCATGATACTTTTTCCCATGGAGTTAGCGATGGGTCCCCATGTTTTTCTCAACACACACTCCAGGCTGCCTGGAACAATCCAAGCTGGGCCATCATTTAGAATATATCTGTCATTCCTGGACTAAATAATTATTAACATCCATTGTAAATCTAATATTTTAAGAATATATTGCTGCTGTGGAAAGAATCATGAACTTGAGATCAGAAGACCAGGTTTAAATTCTGGTTCTGATATTTATTACTTCTGTGACCTTAAGTAAATCAATTCATACCTTTGGTCCACTTTATTTTTGTAATCTGAAAAATGGGAATAAAATATCAATGCCTTATGATCAATGTGATGACCAAATGATATATAGGCGAATGCACCAAAATGCACAGCATAACCTGGCACACTGTAGACATTTGATCACCCATTAAAATTTAAGTTGATGGATATCCCAGTTACACTGACTTGATATTTACAAAAATATACATGTATCACTGATCACATGTACCCTGAAAATGTGTACCTCTATTATGTATCAATGAAAACAAATTTAACAAAATTTATTTTGAAGATGACACCTGGTGTGACAAATGCACACGTGATGAAGTTGATACGGATGCTGGAAGCTAACAGGAAAGTGGAGGAGATAGGGAGGGTAAGTCCTTCTGTAAAATTTCAGCTCTTCCCTTTTTCCACCACTGCTGCTGATGGGTCCTACAGTTCTGGACCTGGAGTTATTATCAGTGGCCCACACATATTTCAATGCCCCAAACCAATTAAGAGGCTATGTCTTCCTCCTTCAGTTCTAGATATCTGGCTCACAAACCCACTTCCGCATGGCCTGTCTAGGAACTGCCAGCATCTGTCAGTTCCCTCCTTGCCTTTTCCCCTCCCCTAATCTCCTATCTTGATACTCAATGGGATAGAAGTTTCACCAGTATCTTAACTCAGTGGGTATCTTTGCTTGGTTCATCTATATTTGTGTGTATCTTGAGAAAAGATAGCTTGAGGTCAGGATGTGGTGCTAGGGGCTGCTTTCCTTCCACATCATCATCACCACCCTAGATGTCTAGGCCCTTAGTGTCTCTTCCCAAAGTTTGTAATTATGTTTCTGTTGAAAGATAGTTGTTTGGCAGTCATGGTGGCTCACACCTGTAATCTCAGTAGTTTGGGAGGCTGGGTTGAGAGGACTGCTTGAGGCCAGGAGTTCAAACCCAGCCTGGGCAAAATAATGAGACCCCCGTCTCTACAAAAGAATAAAAATAAAATAGCCTGGTGTGGCATGTGACTGTAATCCTAGGTACCTGGAAGGCTGAGGCAGGAAAATTGCTTGAGCCCAGGAGTTCAAGGCTGCAGTGAGCTATGATGGTGCCACTGCACTCCAGCCTAGGCAACAGACTGAAAAAAAAGGAAGAAAGATAGTTGTCCATACAGCATAGTTATTGGTGTGTTTGTGTGTGTGTGAGAGAGGGGTGTTAAAAGATTAAGGTGCAAGTAGAAGTTTCCCTTGACAGTTGATCATAGACTTATTGCTAGCAATTACAAGTACTCCTCCAGAGCTCCTCAATCCAGATGAAATGTGCTGCATGCTACTGAAATAGAGATGGGATGGTCTTTAGTCCACACCTGTCCCTGTGCTGGTTGCAGGTGCTCCATCTCAGGCAAAACAGGGCAATCTCCTTTTGATGACACATCTCACTGTTCCTCCTTTCTCATTTTGCCCCAATCTATAGGATGTTATCTAGTCTCAGGCTGTGTGTATGTGTTGCGCCGGGGGTTGTGGGGTGAGGTACTGATTATGCATGTGTACATTTTATATATTTTTTTTCTAGTTCAGAATCACTTTATGACTTTCTCTGCTGTAAATGTAGTGTTGTTTAAAACAGGACAGGGCTTATGTCCAGGAGTGTATGCTGGGGGGGCACTGGTTCTGGGTCCAGAGAAGAAATTTGATGAGTTCCTAATTAAGTAAAAAATTAATATTTGTAAAGATTTTCCAGTCACATTACTTTTACTTGGACATCTTTAGTATATCCAATGAAATAATAATTAGCCTATAAATCATAAATATGTTCCAAGCAGGGCAGATGTTATTTAACAAATTTGTATAGCCAGTGGTGGCATGGAGCTGAGTCAGGAGCAGCAGCTGGGAAAAGCTAAATTATCTTGAAAATTTGAATAAATTTGATTTTGAAGTTTGTGAAGGAATCTGGGAGGGATGGTGTCTGGAAGAATCATGGAATAGAAAGAAACGAGAGGGGTAATAAGATAATATGAGGCCTGGATACCTTGTAGGATGAAGCAGCCATGAAAAATCCTCAATCAAGCAACAAAGGAACTCTTATAACCAAGAATATGTAATAAACAGTTTTGAGTGGTGAAATGGTTTGGCTGTGCCCCCATCCGAATCTCACCTTGAGTTGTAACAACCCCCATGTGTCAAAGGCAGGGCCAGGTGGAGATAATTGAATTATGGGAGTGGTTTCCCCATACTGTTCTTGTGGTAGTGAATAAGTCTCAAGAGATCTGATGGTTTTATAAATGGGAGTTCACCTGCACAAGCTCTCTCTTGCCTGCCACCATCTAAGACGTGCCTTTGATTCTGCTTTGCCCTCTGCCATGATTGTGAAGCCTTCCCAGCCATGTGGAACTGTGAGTCCCTTAAACCTCTGTACTCTATAAATTACCCAGTCTAGGGTATATCTTTATTAGCAGTGTGAGAACAGACTAATACAAGTAGTTTGAATTATTGTGATCTAAAATTCTTCTTAGCTCCCCAAATTTTGCACTAAATATTCTGCGTATAAAGAATATACATTCCTTGTAAGTTGTATTCCTAGATATTTTATTTTCTTTGTAGCAATTCTGAACGGAATTCACTCATTTTTTTGGCTCTCTGTTTGTCTAATACTGGCATATAGGAATGCTTGTGAGTTTTTCACATTGATTTTGCTTTCTGATATTTTGCTGAAGTTGCTTATCAGCTTAAGGAGTTTTGGGGCTGATGACAATGGGGTTTACTAAATATACAATCATGTCATCTGCAAACAGAGACAATTTGATTTCCTTTCTTCCTGTCTGAATACCCTTTCTTTCTTTCTCTTGTCTGATTGCCCTGGGCAGAATTTCCAATACTATGTTGAATGGGAAAGGTGAAAGAGGGCATCCTTGTCCTGTGTGGGCTTTCAAAGGGAATGCTTCCAGGTTTTGCCCATCCAGTATGATATTGGCTATGGGTTTGTCATAAATAGCTCTTATTATTTGGAGATATGTTCCATCAATGCCTAGTTTATTGAGTGTTTTAGCATGAAGGGGTGTTGAATTTTATTGAAGGCCTTTTCTGCATCTATCACTGCTCAAGGAAATAAGAGAGGACACAAACATATGGGAAAAAATTCCATGCTCATGTATAGGAAGAATCATTATCGTGAAAATGGCCATACTGCCCAAAGTAATTTACAGTTTCAATGCTATTCCCATCAAGCTACCATTGACTTTCTTCACAGAACTAGAAAAAAAACTTTAAATTTCATATGGAACCAAAAAAGAGCCCGTATAGCCAAGACAATCCCAAGCAAAAAGAACAAAACTGGAGGCATCACGTTACTTGACTTCAAACTACACTGCAAGGCTACATAACCAAAACAGCATGGTAATGGTACCAAAACAGATATACAGACCAATGAAATAGAGCAGAGGCCTCAGAAATAATGCCACATGTCTACAACCATCTGATCTTCAACAAACCTGACAAAAACAAGCAATAGGGAAAGGATTCCCTGTTTAATAAATGGTGCTGGGAAAATTGACTAGCCATATGCAGAAAACTGAAACTGGACCCCTTCCTTACACGTTTTACAAAAATTGACTCAAGATAGATTAAAGACTTAAACATAAAACCTAAAACCATAAAAACCCTAGAAGAAAACCTAGACAATACCATTTAGGACATAGACACGGGCAAAGATTTCATGACTAAAACACCAAAAGCAATTGCAACAAAACCCAAAATCGACAAGTGGGATCTAATTAAACTAAAGAGTTTCTGCACAGCAAAAGAAACTATCATCAGAGTGAACAAGCAACCTACAGAATGGGAGAAAATTTTTACACTCTATCCATCTGACAAAGGTCTAATATCCAGAATCTACAGGGAACTTAAATAAATTTACAAGAAAAAAACAAACAACCCCATCAAAATGTGGGTGAAGGGTATGAAGAGACACTTCTCAAAAGAAGACGTATATGTGGCCAAAAAACATGAAAAAAACCTCATCATCACTGGTCGTTAGAGAAATGCAAATCAAAACCACAATGAGTTACCATCTCATGGCAGTTAAAAAGGTGATCATTAAAAAGTCAGGAAACAACAGATAATGGAAAGGATGTGGAGAAATAGAAACACTTTTACACTGCTGGTGGGGGTGCAAATTAGCTCAACCATTGTGGAAGACAGTGTGGCGATTCCTCAAGGATCTAGAACCAGAAGTACCATTTGATCCAGCAATCCCTTTACTGTGTATCTACCCAGAGGATTATAAATTATTCTACTATAAAGACACAAGCACACTTATGTTTATTGCAGCACTATTCACAATAGCAAAGACTTGGAACCAACTCAAATGTCCATCAATGATAGACTGGATAAAGAAAATGTGGCAGATACACTCCATGGAACACTATGCAGCTATAAAAAAGAATGAGTTCGTGTCCTCTGCAGGGACATGGATGAAGCTGGAAACCATCATTCTCAGCAAACTAACACGGGAACAGAAAACCAAACACTGCATGTTCTCACTCATAAGTGGAAGTTGAACAATGAGAACACATGGACACAAGGAGGGGAACATCACATACTGGGGTTTGTCAGGGGTTAGGGGGCAAGGGGAAGGAGAGCATTAGGATAAATATCTAATGCATGCGGGGCCTAAAACCTAGATGACAGCTTGATGGGTGCAGCAAACCACCATGGCACATGTATACCTATGTAACAAACCTGCATGTTCTGCACATGTGTCCCATAACTTGAAGTATAATAATAATAAAAAAAGAGTATACATGAAATACGTGTAGTGTATGTGAATACATGTGTATGTATATATAAGGGAAAAAAATTCAAAGACAAATGTTAATTTGACTCAGCTCAGAGCAGTCTCTGGGTATGCGAATAATGCATGGGACACAGAGATGACTCATACATGTCTAAGCTATGTATTTAAGCCATAAACCTCCTCAGAAACTTGATGATATCTCATGAGATTTAGAATTCCAAAGGTGGCAAAATTTGGGACCTGAAACAATCTTATGAAGATCTCAAGCATCAGGAAAGCTCATTGAACATCCGGGTCTGAACAATTCCTGTAACCAAGATCAAATGCCTTGTCCTCTAAGGAGTCTTCTTCAAATACTACTTGATAAAAATTAATTACTTTTTGAAGCTCTTATATAACTTTGTGTATATAACTTGTTATAGATTTTTATGTTTGTGCCTGTCTCCCTAACTGATCCTCAGTGCTATACCTATTTGTTAGTATTTTTCAGAACTCATTCCTATGTTTTGTGCAATGAATTAAATGTTTCTATGATACTACCTTTCTCCTTGCTTCTTAATAAAAGGCTGCATCCTGTGCATTGGCTTAAGACTAGAAACAATAATAATAAATCCAGTCAGAAGCAGCAAGGAATGGAAGAAACTGTGAAAGCATGTGAAGAAATATCCAAAATCTGCAGAATAAAGTAAAAGACTAACCAAAAAATGTGAACCTCATAGATGAATGCAGAGATTTTACTAACAGGAAGAAAATCTCTGCATTACATCTCTGCATTCAAATGATTGCATCTTACTCTTCCATTTTCTACCGTTTTCTTCCTCCTACCCTATTCTATTTAAACTCTAGACAAAAACTAAAGGCTCCATTCCCAGTAGCCTGCAGTTAGGTGAGATCCACTTCTATGGTGATGAAGTAGTAGTCAGAGTGGGGTCACAGGTGCCACTGCAGTGGGCAAGCAGTCTCAATGTGGACCTAAGTTGGCCCTTGAAGACATTTCTGCTCAATGACTCTAATAATCTGTGGCCATGATCAAACATTGAACTTTAGGCCCACTACAGATTCAATAAGTTTTGGTGCATTGGGAGGAACTGAAAATACAATATGCAATGCTGGTTTCATGTTGAAAAGTCCACTAAGCTTTAAGTAATTAACATAGCAAACTTTGGAAACATACTCTGTTGACACTTCAAGTTTTTGTCAGAAAGCAAGCTTCAATTGTTAAATTGCACCTTCCCCCATCCCCAACCCTAGGAAGTTTCCATACTATGTTCAGTGGTCATTGGACATAATTTTCCCGTTTTCATTCTCAGGAATATTCATGGAATACTCTCTGCCCCACCCTATTCTACTTTGGCTGAGGGAAGATGTTCAAATTGTTCAAAATCAATTAGATGGACTATTAGTCATTCAGAGGCTAATTGCTGTTATTATCTCATTATTCATCATAATCCCAATAACATAAGAATAATGCAAAATTGAAAAGTTAAATCCAATTTGCTATGCAGTCATCAGAAAAGATCCTAGTGATTTCTAAACATGGACCTCAAGATGGAGTTTCAAGTCTCTTGTCCCTAGTCAGTTTAGCAACTGTTGTCAGACCTGTACTGTTCTAGGTATCAGGCCTAAATTTTCTACTGGAGTACAGCCCTGTGTAGGGTGAGAATGGGGTGGTGGGAGAAAACAACCATAAAAGGGATGTGGTCATTGACTCAATGAAGCTTTCTGTCTTCAAGATATTATGTATCTCTTTATTAATATAAAAAGACAGAAATAATAAATAACAAATTAATTAAATGTTATGTGTGCAAAGTGCAGGGAATAATTTGTCCTTTTTTTTTTTCTGGGATCCAGGTAATTTTAAAACCAGGTCTTAAATGATATCTAGCACTTTATTTTTTCAACAAAGATAAGAGAAACTCTTTTTTGCAAAGGAAACTGAATGCACAGAAGGAATGCAGGTGATTTTAGGAAGTGGTGGTATTTCTGATGGTCTAGGCAAACAATGAGTGTGTCAGAAGAAGATGGGATGGACAGAATTTATAATTGAAGATGAACCTGAAAGGAATATTGGAGTGGGACTGTGATGAGTCAAGAAGGTAGGCCCAGTGGCTTAGATTTTATATTGGGGGCAGTTAGAAACCACTGAGACTTTTAAGTGGGGGAAATGTTAATAGAATTCTCATATTCAGAAAGAGAACTCTGGCCCCTATTATGAAAGTTGGTTTAGAGGTGAAAGAATCTGGAAGAAATGAAGAACAACATGTAAGTCATTGTAAAAATTTGGGTGAGATTAATAAATTGAATCTGTGCTCTTAAAAATCTTGTGATCATGAATATTCTTTTAAATGACTCCACACAGTGGAAGGTTCTATAGCAGTGAAAATGAATATATTGTAGGTATAAATGATATAGATGCATTTTAAACATAACATGTTGAATCAAAATAAAACCAACTGTTAAGACTACTTACAATGCAATAGCATTTTTAAAAAGCTAACAAATTAGCAAAGCTAAATAATATGCTTAGAGGCATGTATATTGTGATAAACTACATTTTATAAGTGCAAGAAAATCAAGCAAAAATTTCAGGACAGAATTTATTTTTAAGGAGGAGGGAGGAAGAAAAGATCAGAATGGGACATACTCAGGTATTTCAAATAGAAACTGCCATTGCTGTTTAGACCTTAAGTTGGGCAGTAGATTGAAGTGTTTCTTTTATTATTATGCTTCTGAATGTATATATACATTTCATATGTCCTTTTGTGTTTAGCAAATATTACATTAACTAAAAATTTTCCTCAAATATTAATTTTAGGAGATCAATTTTTCCAAGCAAAAACAAGTGAATGATTGAGCAAATTACCCTTCTGTCCTCTGACCTATTCTTGTCTCAATATTCTAAATTATTCAGGAGAAATATTTCTGCTTTTTTATTATTTGGTGAAAGTAATTTGGAAATGGGTGTTATTTATGATGACTACCATACTGCCTCTGGCCCTTTAAATGAAGTCAACTCTTTCACACATCTTGTGGGAATTTCACAGAGAATACCACTGTGAAATCATGGGGTCTAAACAAGTTCTCCCTTGTCTCACTTACATGCTTCCACGCTCCCAGCACCCAGATCTTCAGCCCTCTAATCCCTGGTCCTGGGACCTGGCTTTTCACATTTGCTTCTATAACATGTACAGTAATGATGCTGAAGGGCCTGCATAAGCCAAACAATATATGAAGCATTTTACAAGATTCCACTAGCAACTCCAGGAGACATTATAATCTGGACTTTGCAGGTATAGGTTCTAGGGCTCACAGAAATAAGATAGCCTGCCTCCTATATTCAGGTGGTAAATGGTAGTACCTGGTTTTGAACACAGGTAATATGAGCCCAGAGTTCATGTTTATAACCACTTTGGTAAATGCCTCTGTCTGATTAGCATTATAAACTAATCACCTCCCCTTTGGCTTTGATGGGTCTATGCCATTTTCAGAGAGAGCAATGCTATCCACCAGCCCACTGACAGGTCTAGATACTCATGGAAGGAAGAGAAGGTTCAGAAAATATCAGCCAAAAAAGTAAAGACAACATTGAAAGCTGATCCATCCCAGATTTTCAAACCCATTTTCTGGGCATATCCATGATGGAATATAATAGTATAATAATGCAGAGACCAGAAAAGGGAACTAAGATATTGTCTGGACCATGATGTGTGCTATGGAATAAGATAAGCATGGTGGGAAGATGAAGGGTGACAGTCTAAATCACAGTGCCTACAGGAACACTGCAATTTAGGCATCTGTTGGAGCAGGAATGTGTCTCTAAAGAGATACATTATCAGAAGTCTTGGCAAAAGAGGACAGAAGAATCCAAATTCTGAGCCATCTGTTCCCTGTGGAATAGAGACTACCATTGTGACTCTTTGCATTAGGATCAGAGCTAGGCAAAGGAAAACCAGGCTCATTAAAAACAAAGGCCATGGATTCAGCCAAGCCAGCTGGAGTTCATGGCTGCCATGCAATTCTGGGGACCAAGAGCATGGACCCCAGGGGCAGACAGCCAAGTTCATTGGTCAGGCTTAACATTTCCTGGTCAATGCCTGTCTCACTGGCATAAGTATAAATGAAATAATGAAAATAAAGCTTCATGGTGTGATTGGAATATGCAAAGTGTTGAATATGTAGTAGGTTCAAGAAAAAGAAAGTAAGCATGTTTGAGAAATATCATCATGTTTAAGTTCGCTTACCAGGGGCAAATATGGAAGTCCATACTCTGTAGCTTTGCTAGTTTAGGAGTGATGCTGTTCTCCCTAGCTCCTGCAGGGCAAAATCACTGGTTGAAAGCTCATCTATTCCTTATACCTGAGTGTGGCTGGTGAAGACATGGGCAAACAGAGGTGAGAGTTGGGTGGCCCCACCAAGGAGAACACAATGAGGACTGGCACTAAACTCAACTGGAAAAGCTGCTCTCAAGCCTGAATTATAATTGCTGGGTTTTCTTGTGGTGGTCGTTATTTCTTTGTTTAATCTCTCCCAGTTGACAAATCTGGTAGAAATACCTCCTGGGGCCTGGTTGATTGAATACTTAAAAGTTCATGAGGGGAGATTATGTTTCTATTTAATTCTACTGATTACCTTTGGTTCAAAGTCATTAGGTAAGCTAAGGTAAATTATTATTAGCAGGAATCTTATTAGTTTTGTCCACCATTTCATGTATTCAGAAAGCATCAGGAATCCAGGAAAATGTTAAAAATAGAAAGAATACTGATCAGAGGGGGAAAGTCATAGCTTCTGGCCCCTCTTAGTCAATGTTCTTGTTGAAAAGCTTTGCATCTTTCCAGTAGGAATCAGAAAATCATAGAAACACTATCACAATTACAACCCTCCAGACTATGATAGTTGTTGCAATGAGGTATTACAATGCAACATGAACTAATAAAAGGAAGGCATCAAATAAAAGGGATGATGAGAGTGAAAGCCTTCATGGAAGAAGTGGCTTCTAGGCTGGGATACAGAGGAAGGATAGCTCTGAGAATGTTCACACCATGGTGAGTCTTGGAAATAAGGCCAAAAACTGAGTTTTATCTCCAAAAGTCAAGAGACAACATACCGACCAGAAAAGAACAATTGAGCAGATTAGGAAACAGAATCCTGATGATCTGTGTGCCGTTGGGCAAGCTATTTATATTAGCTAACGTATGTATGAAGAAGGAGGTCCAAGACAATATTTGTGTGATTCAGAGACTTTGGAAAGATGTATTTTATATGTATATATGTGTATGTGCTCATGAGATAAGTAGCACTCTTTCCTTTAAGCCATAAGCCATCCCTTTAATTGCTGATCAGCTGTCCATCAAGGCCAGAAGGGTGCTCTTGCTTGTCAAGTGTCTGTTCCATCCCTGTGTAATTGGCTCCTGAATGTCCTGATACATCGCTGGCCATGATCCTGCTTGTTACTTACTGGAAGATATGGGTTGGGGGCAGAAAAGCAAAATGGCATCTTCAGAAGATAAAAGAAGGAACAAAGATATTTACGTTTCCCTAGCTCTATGGGTCCATCAAAAATTAAGGTAGCAAATTAAATGTTTCTGAAAGGTAATGCTAGGTGAGGACACAAGAATTGAAAGAGTTTCAGAATCATAAGAAGGATGCATATAGACAATTACGTGGTTGCACCTTTGAAGAAAAAGGCTACCCATAAAACCCTGAAGAGGCACTGCAGTGTAGAAAAACAGCCAAGACCACGATCTTGAGGTCAGAAAGTTTGCACTGTAATCTCAGGCCTGCTGCAACACCATGTGGGACTCTGGTAAATGACTTACCTTCTTGGAGATTCTGATTCTTGTAAAATGGTCATAACAATGTTTATGATGAAACATTTCTAGGAAGAGTCAATGAGTTACTCAATGAGTTGGTATACCTACAGGTGCCAGGTAAAACATTTCGCATGCCAAAACAATTCAGAATTGTTGGCAAAGGTTTATTTGGGCTTAAGTATTAAAAACAAAGACTGAATCTAAGGTAGACTCTTGAGGCAGAGGATGGAGTTTAAGAGTAACTATGATTGATCTGAAATCTTAGTGGTGTTTCCATATAGCAAGCTGGGTCACAGGAAAATTGGAGTGTAAGGTGGTTCCTTGGACTTTAAAACACGAATCTGTGCTTCCTCCCTCCAAGACGTCATTGTTCTAGTTTTTTTCACCTACTTCTTTATTCTATACTTTACATCTACTCTCTATAGCCATAGATTCTGTCTGGTAGATTCTATTTGCTGAACTCTATCACTCAGTAATAGCCTTTTATGGCTGGTCTTTTGGCTTCTCGTTGCACCTTTCATTCACTTATTTATTCACTTATTCAACCAACATCTAACACATATTTATTGTGTAACAGCAATGTCTGCCATGCTAGTGATACATTAATGTCATGAACAGACAATAACCCCTGCTTACAGACACTTTGCATTCTAGGTAGGAGATATAGACAGTAAATAACCTACTAGATTAGAGGATAATCCACACAATAGAGACAAGTCAAGCAGGGACAGAGGATGAGAAGTGACCTGGGTGGGGATAAGTGTTTACAGTTTTTAACAGAGTGGTCAGAGGTCTTCCTGAGAAGGTGAAATTTGACAAAGACCTTTATGAGGCAAGAGAGTGAGTCATGCAGATATGTCAGAGAAGAACATTGTAAAGGAAATTAAAAATGAATGTGAAGGTCCTTGCATGGGAGCAAGTGGTCGGAACATTAAGGAGAAAAACAGAGGCCAGAGTGGCTGGAGTGAAATGAGCAGGGAGGGCAGCAGTTGTTGGAAGTGAGGTTAAATAGGTAAGGCAGGGATCCAGGTTGTGGAGAGCCTTGCAAACTATCTTAAATGCTCTGGTTTACTTTGAGAGGAATGGGAAGCTATTGAACAAAGGAATTACATTCTGGCTGCTATGCTAAAAATAAATCTAGTTGAGGCAAGGGCAGAAGATAATGGAATAATTCACAGGAGAGATGCTGATGGCTACAAAGGGGGCAGTAGAAGAAGAGGTGGTAGGAAGTGGGCAGATTCAGTCTCTTTTTAAGTAAGATCTGCCAGCCTTTGGTGGTGCACAGACTGTGCGCTGATAGAGAAAAATCAAGGTATCAACTGCCTCATTTAATCTGATTTTGCAGTACACATTTCCAAGAGTAAGGGTGTGACTCTGAGTAGAAATTTTCCTACCAAGCTAACTCATACTCTTCCAGTTTGCATATAAGTTGGTTGCTCTATCTAGAGCAGTTGTGGTGGACAAGCATAGGGGTAGGAAATGTTAGCCTGTTCCATGCTGGAAATCAAGGCTATTGTGCTGTTCTTTCAGCAGGGGATGTGAACAGAGACAGTTAACCATAGGAGGGACTTGAAGGGGCATTCCCTTAGACAGGAATGAGTTATCACCATGATTGGAATGTCTTTTCAGTAAGTTAAAAGTCTTGTTATTTGCCTCCTTTTACATAATGGAATATGACGGCTATAATGGTCACATAATAAACTCAACTTCACAAGCTATGTCATGATTATTTAAGACTAGAGTCTAAGCCCTCTGTTTCTTTTTTTTTATTAATTTTTTTCTCTCTTCCCTATGCTCCAATATTCATTTTTAAAGGTGAATCTTTCCCACTATTCATGTCTCTGCTTCTCAGATTACAAAATCTTCAAGTGATGGTTTCTGTTCTTGACACCAGCATAAGGCAAATGGGTGTGCAGTGGCACTAGTGTCATCCTGCTGGGGAGCAGACCCCAAATCTGCCAATTATTAATTAATTGATTGTTCTTGGGCAGGACACTTCATTGCTCTGAGTCCTTAGTTTGGGTTTAATGTTTTTGTGTGCATTTTACAGGGCTTTTTTTTTTTGTTTTTAAATTAACAAGATAATGTATGTGACATAGTACAGTACCAAGACCTATATTAAATTCTTTGAAAATTATATACTAATACTATTTATTATTAGTAGTAATAGTATTCATATCTTGGCTAGGCAGATGAACAGATATACAAATAGATGAAGAAATATCCTGTGATGTCTTTTCACAAAACGCCACTTTTCCTTGATGAGAATCGCTTGTTCTTTGATCTGTTTTGGCAGCCTAGCTAAATGGGTGGGAATTCCAGTTTTAAACTATACCCCCCAGGTTACCTAAATAGAATGGGTAAAGCAGAGAAAATGGCCAATAATGTCAAGAACAGAGTCCATCTAACAGAAAGGACCCCAGCTGCAAGATCATTAGCCCCGGAAATTATCTACGCTATTGTTGATCCAGAATGCACTACTACAATTTTAAAATTAATTTAGCCTAATTACCCCCACTTAATAAGACAACTTGTCAGTTATCACCACTCCCATAATCTTCTTCATTTCCATCTCTTTTTAGCCTAAATTATCCTCTTCTAAGCTTGTTTTTAATGTATTGCAAAAAAAAAAAAAAACTCCTTGGAGGTATAATTAACTTTTTCATTCAGAATCCTAATTTCCTCTCCAGCTCTGTTGCTGCAGTATTTAAACTATTTATTATGCAAACTTGCAGAACTTAAACTATGAATTATGTACAAATCTCTGGATGAGAGCTCTGTCCTAAAAATGGCATTTCAGTGTCTTTCTAGTCCAAGGTAAGCAAATGTGGGGAAATGAATGTTGTAATTTACAAATGGGCTTACATTCGAGAGTAAGCTTTTTAAAAAATGATTTATCTATGCCAAGTATTTTAAAAATCCTTTGAAGATACATAGTTACTTAACTCTTTCTATCAATTTTATTTGTTGCTGTCGGAGATGGAGATTTTGTTGTAGCTTTTAGTATGGAAGTCTAATGACAAATACAGTTTTTCATTCATTCATTCACTATGTCAATCTTTTATTCATCAAATACTTATTGAGGGAGGTGCAATTCAGGATCAACTGAATGAGGCATGGAATTTAAACAGTAAATGCAAGGTACTCAGTCCCAATTCTTAGGGAGTATATAATTTAGTAAGAGATAAAGACACTTAGACAACTACAGTATGGTTTATATAGCACAATAAGTGCAATGGTAAAGGGAAATAAGGCAATGCAGAAGACAGAGGAAGACATCCAAACAGATTATGGAGGGAGGCAGGGAAAGTGGCCGAGATAATTTGATGTTAAATTTGTGGTTGAGCGTAACCTGTAGAAACCAGATGGGCAAAGGTAGGGGCAAGGTATTTGTTTCTGTGTATTTGTAAGTTGGAAAGAGTGGGTAGAACTGAAATAAGCAGAGAGCAAACAAACATGTATACAAGTAAAGAGGTCAGAAGCAGCATGACCTATTCAAGGATTGGAAAAGAAAAATAATCATCACGGTTAAACTTAGAGAATGAGGAGATGCATGAAATGGAGCCATGAAATAAGGAATCGATAGCCATATGTTTACATTGCTTACATTTATTTTCCGGTGTATATAAAAATTCAACTTGCCTTTCCAGAGGCAATATTTTAAAAGATCTCTATACTGAAAGCTAGAATCTAAAATTAATAATTTTTAGAATTATCTGGTGGCATACATAATCAGACAGAATCCCAGCAACTAAAAACTTGAAAAAATTCCTCTAAATCTTGTTATCTGTGTCTTCTATGAAATTATGTGACTTCTCTAAGCTCTAGTTTCTTCATATGTCTAAGAGCAAAGGTAATGGTACTAGTAATTCATGGATAGTCAGTTGACAAAACTATTAAATTTTGTTATTAAAGTTCAAATGTGGGACATTTGACTACTCAAATACCTGTTCATTACCATCTTCACCACCTTCTTCTAACAATTTCCTCCTAAAGTGGAGGAAAGTAAAGCACAGAAAAAGCAATGAGTATTCTTACTTTGCTCCAGGCACTGTTCTAAATTTTTAACACCTATTCGATTACTTAAACTTTGCAACAAACTATGAAGCTGGCACTATTATTCTCCCCATTTTAAACATGAGTCATAGAAGCATAGAGTTTTAAGGAATTTTTTTCTAAAATTAGCTAGTGGTGTATCTGTGATTTGAATCCAGGCCATCCGAGTCTGCAGCACCTTTGCTTAATCACCACATAATAACCACGCATTAGAGTTGAAATAAATACGCAAAAGACAGCACATTATGATCTATGCTGAATTAATTGTGATTGAAATTTCACGTGACTCGTCATGATTTCAAACAAGAGAGCCCATTCTGATCTCAATGGGGCAGGAACCCAGTGTATGACACAGAGTAAAATCTTCTTGATATTTGTGAAGAGGGATGCACGAATGAAGAAATAAAAGCTAGAGAGGAGGATTCCAGTGAAATAGAAAAGAGGCTCAGCCAAAGTCATGTGACCCGTATCTTAATTTGAACTACTCAGTGGTCTGTCCTGTGTTACCTTTGGAAAGTACTTTCTCTGTCTACAAAGTTAGTTTGCACCATTGAAAAACAAATAGGCTATTAAAACTAACCACTCAGGTAACTTTCACATTGGATATTTTATTCTAAAATATCAAAATGAGTAGTTCAACTTCTTAAAGTGATATTCTTGAGATATAACTTGATGTTGAAGAAAACTTTTTTTTGGCAACTTGCCTAATATCATTGAAAGCAATTAAAACTAAAGTATTTTTTCTTGAAATCACATTTTATTGCACCAGCTGTGGAGTTTATTTGTTTGCTCAAGTTCGCCCAGTTGGAGATAATATCTTTCTTTTATATCCCTATTGCACTTTCTCAGTCCCTTTGTTATGACATTTATAACAGTCTGGCTAATATTAAGATTATTTGTGTACATTCCTGTCTCTTCCATTGAATCAGAGCCCCCTAAAGGCAGAGACTACTTTTATAATCTTTTTACCTCCCACTGTGCCTAGCATTGTGCCCAGCATGTCATAACAACTCAGTGAATACTCATTGACTTGAATGAACTCACATTTCTGAAACTTGACTCAATTTAAATTTTAAAAATCATTCCATTTGCTTTTTTGTTGACGTTTTCTTTATAATGGCAGAAATCAGCTTGCATTTTACAAAAGCTTTGCAACTGAATTTATTTTTTCTTATTTGTCAAAATCTATATAAAAAGAGAAAAAAATTCTAAATGAAATCAAAAGATAACAGCTATAATAAGATTAACCTACAGCAGCTGCAGCACCAGTAATAACACTAAAAGAATTCTTCCTATTCCAGAATGCCTAAGAAATACATATATGAATCTCTTAAGAAACTTAATTTTAACCATGGCTAAATTAAATGGTATTGTAATATCTCCAGATGGATCTCAATGATTGCACACTGATTAGTGCCTACAGTGGGACAGGGTATACTAGTTACATATTATAATCTGGAGAGAAATGTGTATGTCAAATCAGAAGACAGGATTTCTAGTCTATTCTTCACCATTTACTTTCTAAGTGATCGTGAGCAAGCAAACCAGCTGATTCCACCAGTTTCCTGATCTATAAATATGAATGGTAACATTTATCTTGTATGATTACATGGTAGTTAAGGGTGCATATTCCATAATTAGAATTTGAGGATACCAATTTCTAGTTCCACCACTAATTAGAGACATAATTTTGGGCAACTTCCTTAATACTCCTATATTTTATTTTTCTCGTCTGTAAGATGTGGGTAATAATAGTACATTCTCCAAAGAGTTGGTGATAATTGTTTGTATAAGATATACTAAGTAATAAGCATTTCATGATTTACAACTGTTATTATTATTATGCCCTTATATTACTGAATCATGGTGGGAATCAAATAAGATAATTTATGTCAGGAATCTTGAAAGTGACTTTAAAGCATGCAGATAAGAGAGATTATTATTAATAAAATGTTTACATGTAGCAAATAATTCAACATATTTTTTCTTTTAAAAGAAAATGAGTCTCTCTCATTCTCTGTCTCATGAGAGAAAAATGTTCATAAAGGTATGCATAACTATGGAAATAGTGCTTCTAAATTTGAAAAATAATAATAAAATAATAATATTGAGTAATATGTGACACAAAAGTAATACATTTCATTAATGTCTCATGACTTGGCAAAGGCGGGACAACATGTACACTGTTTCCAGAAATGGCCTGATTTCTAATATGTTTTATTCCCTCCAAAACTAAGCCTTAAAAAGGTTCTTCAAAATGGTGCCTTGAATATGCTACTGTGATGAGCAGAACTAGGACAAGCAGATATGCAGCATCTAGAGAGTGTTGTCAAGCCTCAGCTTTTCTCACAATCCTAGTGGAAACAAATATGAGGAATGGATTCCCCTTCAAGTCAAAAGAAAGCCTAGAGACTAGTGGGCGATCATTGTGAATTGTTGACCCACCATGTCTTTTGAACCTCCAGAGGTGTAGGTTTATATGGGTCATGCTTAGTGTGTTGTATCTGCTGGCATACTTGGGAGAGGAATATTTGAAGTGAGAAGAGAAGAGAAGACTAGGGAACACAAGAGTCTGGGCCCTGCTTTCTATCAGGGCATGGACTATCAGCTGCAACTATGCATTGTTCTACAGGCCAAATATTTACGCACTTCCCATCTCATTAGCCTCCCCTACTTAAGGTTTCACGGGAGCTCCAGGGAGCAGTCAAAAGAACATAACAAGACACCCAGTAGGGTCTGCAACTAGATAGAGAGGAAGCACGGAAAACAAAAGTCTGCAACTAGATAGAGAGGAAGCACAGAAAACAAAACAGAGTTGGAGGTGAAAAGAAGTCAGCCTAAACAACTAAAACATTATTAAAGAAAAAAATATGTATAATCATATACAATCTTATTGCAATATATACCCTTGGATAAGATTATTTAATATTATAAAACATCACTTTTCCAGTAACTAATATGTGAGAGTAATAGAGAACACAGAAAAAAATCACAAAGTAAAATACATAAGGTAATAAAAATCAAGAATGCAGCTATAAGTGACTTTGATAAAAATACAAGATCTTTAGTACACCATTAGTAGAAGTCTCAAAATAGGAAAAATAAATAAATATAGAAGAAAAAAATTAAACAAATAATAGAAAATATTTAGAAAATCATTTTGAAGCTGGATTTATTCTTTGAATGTAAGGTTCATTCTAATATATCAACATAATTCTCTATATTATCGTACGAAGGAAGAAAACTAGCCGAATATAGTGAAAGATTCTAAAAAGATATTTAATAAATTCATGAACCATTCTTAAGAAATTGTAGTTAAATAACAATTGAGTAAGATTATGTAATATGATAAATATCAGGAAAATGAAAAAAAATGACTGCTACCTACATTAGCACTCAAAGATGTTTTGTATTCTACCAAATATCAAAAGCAGAAAAATTAAATAATTTTAATTAAATATTTGAGGACAATAGATTTAAAATTCTTTTGCTTTAACAAGGTTATATACATAGAAAACCTCAAGTTTCAGTTAAAAAAAAAAACTAAGAAATAATAAGAGATTTGGTAAGGTGGCTGGATATAAAATAAATGTACAAAATAAGCATATTCTTTCTATTCTTGCAATAAGCAATGGAAAAGGGCAATCAAAAAATAATTAAAATAGCCACCAATTTATAAAATGATTAGAAATAAATTTAACATAAAGGAACAGGATCCCTATATAATTTTAGTGAAAGATACAAATGAAACAAAACGAAATAAAACGAAAACCTGTTAAAAAGAATGGCATGCCTTTGTATGCGAAGACACATTACAATAATGGACCAATATTAAAGTAATTAATATAAAATATGAGATTAAAGTATAATATAAAAATTAAGTCAATTCCAATTGGAAGGACCCCATGTAAATTTTATCTTTCTATCTAAGTATATATTCATCGCTTATTTATTAGGCAAAGAAGACCATTTGAAAATGATGTTAAAGTTTATATAAAGTCTTAAATACTATACAAGAAAAGCATCAAAAGAAGAATAGCAAATGTTGCCTTGCCTTACTGATATTAGAATGTATTATAATAGCCCTGTGTTTAACTCAGAATATTGGAATAAGAATAGAAAATGAATTAGTTTGTCTAGGCTGATAATTGACTACGTATTCTGACACATTATGCAGTCACATTAGCCTTGCCATTTTTTAGATAAAGCATGCCAGGTATATTCCGGTTTAAGGACGCTTACATGTGCTGTTCCCTCTACTTCAAAAGCTTTGCTATTAGACATACACATAAATTGCTCTTCAGCTCCATTCAGGTGTCTGTTCAAATGTCATTTTATGAAAAAGGACATCACTGGGCCCCCTTTCTAAAAGAACATTCTTGAATCTTTATCTCCTACGTTACTCTATTACCATCAAATCTTTATTTATATATTTAGCTAGCCAGTTGTTATTTTCTGATTTTTCCATCTAGACTATAAACTCAATGAGAACGGGAAATTTAGTTCTTTTGTTATGTATTAGAACTTTAGGACTTAGAAAATTTCATGACATGAAATATACATTCAAAATCCTAAAATAAGTCAAAATATTTATATGAGAATTTAAAATGGAACAAAGGCAGCATATTAATGTTGGAGAAAAGAATGGTTAAACTAAATGATGCTGGCACAACTGGCTACCCATCTGGAAGAAAATTAAGTTTGAGTCTGTTTCACATCATAGATAAAATAAATTCCAGATGGTTTAGAAACTTAAATACAAAAATAAATGATTAACTAAATAAAAGTATCACAAGACATTTTAAGCATAGGGAAAACCTTCATAATCAAGAAAGTAAAGGGAGGAAATAAAAACAAACGTATTTGTTTAATAAAAAATTAGAATATTACATATGTATATATAGTGTGTGTTGTTAATTATAGAATATTATATATATATATATATATACACACATGCACACACACAGTAAGTAGCTAACATTAGACTGGGAGAAATATAAAATATTTTCCAACCTTATGACAGAAGAAATGGTTTGAAATCATTTTTGAAATTTATTACAAATTTAAAGAAAAAGGACTAAAGAAAAGTAAGCAGTTGTCATTATCAAGTCTAAATAGTAAGTGAAAATATGAAGTAATATTTATATTTTTTGTAGTCCAGGAAATAAAACTTACAAGTATATTGAGCAATACCTTTATGGTCCACCACATTAGCAACATTTAATAAGAGATCATTTTTAATTTCTAGTAGAGTAGCAGAGTTTCAGAAGAAAAAATACTCTCATACATTGTTTGTATGAATTTGCATTGTTATAGGACTTGGAGAACAATTTGGTAATATCTACTAAAACTAATTATATTCATATTCTATGTGTTAGTCAGCTTTTGTTGTGATAGCAAAGAATCTCTCAAATCACTGTGACTCACAGCAAACACTTATTTTCTAGGTCTGAGGATTACCATGACTCTGCTATTTTTGGTTGTTTTTCTTTCTGGAAACTAGGCTCAAAAAGTAGTCACTATCGAGGCCCTGTTGTTCTCACGAGGTAGGGCAAAACTCAAGAGGGTGCTCAGAATTTACGCTTTAAAGTCAAATTCCTTTGATTATAACAAGTCCAAATTCACTGAGATGGGAAAATGCACTCAAACCTTAGGTATGGGGAGGAACAGAGTTAATATTTGCTGAGTAATAAAGGAATCCACCATAATATTCAACTCAGAATTTCCAGTCCAGTTAATCTATCTTTTGGAAGTGAAACATAATATTCAACTCAGAATTTCCAGTCCAGTTAATCTATCTTTTGGAAGTGAAACATAAACATCTATTTGTGTGAAAAGCTGACCCCCAAGCATATTCATGACTTGATGTCCAGACCTGTGAATAGGTTACCTTACATAATAAAAAGGGCCCTGTATACGTGATTAAATTAAGGATCTTGAGATGGGGAGGTTATCCTAATTTATCTGTGTGCACACAATGGAATCACAAGGGTCTTTAGAAGAGAGCAAAGAGGACCAGAGTTAAAAAATAGGATATGTGATTATGAAAGCAAGAGTTTGCAGTGATGTAAGGAAGGGACTACCAGCTAAGGAATGAGGCAATTTCTAGAAGATGAAAAAGACAAGGGAATAATTTCTCTTCTACAGCTTCCAGAAGGAACTGCCAACCCATTTTAGGACTTCTGATCTCCAGAATTATAAGAGAATAAGTTTTTAAGCCACTAAATTTGTGCTAAATTGTTACAGTGACAATAGAAAACTAATTATCTCTCTCTCTCTAAATATATAGATATATATGTGTGTGTATGTTATATACACAGGAAGTATATGTAATTACATACACACACTCACAGACACACCCACTCATATAAGGACGCTTATTTTAACATTGTTGCAAGTGTCAAAAACTGGAAAAAAGGCAAATTCCATTCAGTATTAGAGGGGATGAACATTGCACTACACTACAGAATATGTCCAAACTGCAGAATTCTTTCAAGCAAGTAAAATATCAGTTATAGCTACAACAATTTACTTGGAGAATATCCCAAATGTATTATTGAAAAACTCAAGATGTTAAAAGTGTATGTAATACAACCCTATTTTTTTAATGAACCAAGATGGTAGTATTCATTTTTAACAAACAGAAACATAGTATTTACATTACTGCTCATCTTTGCATTCTTTCTTTATATACACATACTATATATAAATCATACCTATTCTAACATATATGTATGTACATATATATGTTGAATATGGCAAAAATGCATAAAATTATATCAAGGTGTTGTCATGATTACTTAGTTGTGAGTGGGGTGGGGGGAAAGCCTGGTATCAAATTGGTTGGAGGGAAAATAAGAGAGGAGGAGCACATAGAAAGCCAAGCTTAAAAAGAAAGGCTGTAAAATATAATTCTGATAATATAAATTATATATATGTAATTACATGTGTATTAAAAATTAGTGGGTTACATATTATAACCATGTGCATTTCCCTGTGGGGTTGCATATAGCTTATTTTTAAGTGGAGAAAAAAAATGCAGAGATGTAGTATAATGTAAATAATGTAATTATATATGGTAAAAAATTAACAAACATATGTATTGTATGATTCAATTTATATAATATTCTTAAAATGACAAGATTTTATGTATTTATTTATTTTTGAGACAGAGTCTCACATTGTCTCCCAGGCTGGAGTGTGGTGGCATGATCTTGACTCACTGCAGCCTGTGCCTCCTGGGTTCAAGTGAGTCTCCTGCCTCAGCCTCCCTAGTAGCTGGGATTACAAGCATGCCCCACCATGTCCAGCTAATTTTTGTATTTTTAGTAGAGACAGGGTTTCACCATGTTGACCAGTCTGGTCTTGAGCTCTTAACCTCAAGTGATCCATCCACCTCGACCTCCCAAATTGCTGGGATTACAGGCATGAGCCACCACACCCGGACAAATGACAAGATTTTAGAGATGTGTAACAGATTTATGGTTGGCAGAAATTAAAGAAGGGGAGAAGGAAAGGAGGAGGGGATGGATGTAACTATAAAATGGTAGCATGAGGGAATGTTGTGGTAATGAGACAGATCTATATTTCAATTATTGTTGTAATTACATGAATATGCATGCTATAAAATTACATAGAGCTACCCAAATTTACACACTCACACACATGAGTGCCTGTAAAGCTGGTGAAAACTGAATAAGTTTTCTGGACTGCATGACTGTTTGATATTATACTATAATTATGTAAGATGTTATTGACAGAAACCAGGTGAAGGGTACACTGAGCCCCTCTGTACTATTCTTATGAATAAACTTCTGTGAATCTATAATTATTTCAAAATAAAAGTTTTTTAAATGAACAAACAAAACTCTTAAATATTTGCAAATGCTTGCATAGGTCAGTATAATCAAAGAGAAATATGAGGAAAGATATATAGTACATGGTTATCTTTGGTTACTTTAGTAAGGAAGAATTGGATAGAGAAATGTTAGGTAACTGGTTATACTTTTTTTGCATTTATTACAACAATTTTTGTATCATAAAATAGGGCAAACAAATATGTTTAAAAAATGAATTAAGCTTTTGATTAAAATTTTAAATAATGAAGTAGACATGAAATATTTTCCGGTTTTATTTTCTTTTGTTTTAACTATCAAGTAACTACTATTTTCTTATCAAAAATTGATGACTCATCAGTATATTCTCAGGATCACTATGCATTAATTAATGCAAAATATTTATTAAGAACCTATTATAAACCAACTATAATAACGGGCCATTGTTGTACAGAGAAAATGTGAGGATTTTTTCTTCCTGCATTTGAAGAATTTATAATTCAGTGGGAAGCAAGACTGGAGAGATGGGAAAGCTACTACCAACAGGCTTCCTACCTTACTCCATTATAGTTTAGCTCTAAAGGAGACATCCCTGAGCTAATATTTCAAAATAGCTAGAAGAGAGAATTTGAAATGTTTCCAGCACATGGAAATGATAAATGTTGGAGGTGATGGATATCCTAAATGCTCTGACTTGATCATTATACATTCTATGTATGTAGCAAAATATCACATGTACTCCATATATTTATGTCTAAATATTGTATATTAATTTAAAAAGAGGAACAGAAATAGTTTAAGATAATCTGTATTTTTTGTTCATCATACAACTAATAAGTACTAATTGCTTTTAAGACACTGGAAAGATACAGAAAAAATATGCAGAGACAGTCATAAACATTTTGGATTCTTTCCTTTTGCTCTTACATATAATATAACAGAATTATATTTATATAGTAGACTACAGTGTAGTCTTATAATACATTATACTTTGGAGGGGTTTAACATTTAAATTAAATTAAAACAAATTATCAGTAATTTTCATTTTTTCTAATACTCTTAGAAACATCTTTTATTTCTGTTTTTAATAGCTTTATTGAGGGGCAATTGATACATAAAATACTGCACATGTTTGATATCTACAATTTGACGTGCTTGAACATATATATACACACATGAAACCATCCCCACAATCAAGGTAATAAACATACACACCACCCCCAAAAGTTTCTTTCCACTCCCTTTTTTTGAGTGTGTAGTAAAAACGCTTAACTTGAGATCTACTCACTCAAACATTTTCCATGTATAGTATTGTTTTGTTTTGCTTTGTTTTGTTTTTTGAGACGTAGTCTCACTCTGTCGCCAGGCTGGAGTGCAGTGGTATGATCTCAGCTCACTGCAACCTCCGCTTCCCGGGTTCAAGCGATTCTCCTGCCTCAGTCCCCAAGTAGCTGGGACCACAGACACGCACCACCATGCCCAGCTAATTTTTGTATTTTTAGTACAGATGGGGTTGGTCAGGATGCTCTCGATCTCTTGACCTTGTGATCTGCCCATCTTGGCCTCCCAAAGTGCTGGGATTACAGGCGTGAGCCACTGCACCCAGCCATAGTATTGTTAACTATAGGAGCCATGTAGTACAGCAGATCTTACTCATCTTGCATAACTTAAACTTACTCATCTTGTATAATTTAACTTCACACCCGTTCAGCCATTTCCCGTTGTCCACTCTTCCAGCCACTGGTAACCACCATTCTACTCTTCGCTTTTATGAATTTGACTATGTTACATACCTCATTTAAGTGGAATGATGCAGTATTTGTTTTTCTGTGACTAATTTCATATAGCATAATTTCATGGTTGTTAACATTGTAAAATTATTCAGTTTCACAAATACATATTGAATCTTCAACCAGCATTGTACTGGGGACTGGTTCTGCACAGTTAGTTGAGCCAGCATAGCTGCTACTGGCCTTCAGCTTGAGTTAATCATTCCCCTATTGTTATAAATGAAATTTGTTTACACATTTTTATTGTGCATATAAGGTTGTGGTAAACATTTCAGTACATAAAATTTTTTCTGGTTGTAGGATTACTGCCTCATGATATATTCCAGGAAGTAAAATTATTGCATCAAAGGGAAAATAAAAATTTTTAAGACCTTTGATATCTCTTGCCACACAAATGAGATGAAGAAGTTCACAAGTTCATTCCAAAAAGTGGCCAACACCCAGGACACACAATCAATCACTGTGACTTTGATGTAAAATATATTAAGTAAAAAAGGCTGGCAACGATGTATAGATACATTTTTCTCTAATATGTGCTTGCTCTATGGATGAGACCCAAGTGAAGCTATCTTGTCCTCAAAAGGGGAAGAAATTTAATATTTACTTACTTGGGGTTAACTATGTGTCAGATACTACTTTACATTTGCTATTTTATTTATCACAATATAAAAGCATCAACAAATCAATTGATAAACTTTTGCATGTATAAAAGGCTGTAGTTTATATAGTGCTTTCATTTGCATGATTTTGTTTATGACTAACACAGTTTGTCCATCTAAAAATGTGTTTTCATTTATCTGTATTTCCCTCGAGTTCTTTCACTGAATAAACTTGTAGGTGATTTTTTAGAATAATATAAAAATATTCAAAATGTGATTTACATTTGAAAAAGGAGGGAAGAAAAGAAAGTCAGCGAAAATGTTTTAAGGGAACTTTATAAAAGCATTTGAAGATTTGAAAGGCGATTTGCCCTCCTCCTCAACAATTTCCAACAAAAGCTCAATTTGGTACTTCTCCTTCTTGCATGTGTCCCTTTAATTTTGTGGGACTTTAGCTTGCCTTCTTTTCTGATATACCAATGAAAGGGAAAGTCAGACAATGGGACTATATTGATCTGAAATGCTTCCTTCTCTTATTCCCCTCCCACCTCCTCCTCACAACTAGATATCCATCCCAGAAACACTTTTCTTTCTGATAATGAAATTCTATTATTGCAGTTAATACTGTCAGCTATTCTATAGGAGGATGTGTAAAATAAAACAATTTTTTTGATGTAAAAGACCCATTCACAGAACATAGATTTAAAAGAAAGAGAAGAAAATTGCATCTTAAAGATAAATAACAGTCAACTTCTGTCCAGAGTAGTAGCAGCCAAATATAAATAAAGATTATTTAGTGAAGTTCTTGAAATGCTTCTCCAGGAGGTACAAATAATGTCAGTGAGTGGTTTAGGCTGTGAGGCTGTTGAACAGAAGATAATAGAAATCTGGTTCGTAGTCAGATGTTTGATGCTATGAAGATAAAAGCTATATAGTGATAATAGCAATAATTATAGCACTCTACCGTCTATGAAATAGACCTATTTGCTGGCTTTAAGTGCATTCATAAACAAAATTTCATTTAGGTGTCACAGAAATCCTGTATGGTAGACAAATCAGTTATTATTAAGTCATCTTGCAGACAACCAAACTCGGAAAAGTTAATATTTGCTCAAATGACCCAGTTAGTTAGTGTGGGAGCCTGAATTAAGTCCAGGTTTTATAAATCCAATTCTATTTATTCCCTCCTTTTTATAGCGTGATGGGAGGTAGGGGGGCAACTTTGTGAAGGAGGAGACTATTTGTATATGCCTCTATTATCCCTGAACTATTCACTGTAATCTTTGCTGAATCAGGGAATGTGTATCAGAAGATAAAGACAGAGGATGGAATATGAGAGACAAATGAATGTCCTTCTTATTTTCGAAACATGGAAATATGTTGAGTTTGACAAAATAGAGACTGGTGGTTTTGACACCCATCTTAAGCATGATTCTAGAACAATAAGTTGTTAGAAAGATTGAGAGGTCCCTGAGAGAGCTGCGATGGCATATTCACCTTATCTCTCATTATCTGGGGCTCAGCTTGACAGTGGTTAAAGGGAAACCAGTGATTCCTAGGGCTCAGCATAGTTTTATGTAGTAAAACTCCTGGCTGTGGGCAGTATTTTGAGGTGCCCTGAAAGGACCATAACTGCTTAAAGTTCTTATAATCTCCACCAACCTCCTCCAGTTACTTATATGAATAAATATAGAATGCTCGCTCTGCTCACTGCTTTAGGAAAAGTGTCTAGTACCCGGCCCCTCCAAATTAATTGCTATCTTCCACATAAGATTTTCAGAGCTGCCTCTGTGTTAAACTAGCCTCATTTTCTCCTATATTAAGTTTACTAGACCAGAGAAATTTGGTAGAGAAGATATATCTGCACTTGAGCAAGGCATTTGTCAAATAGCTCTCCTAATATTCATGTGAAAAAGGCTAGTATAATTAGAAGAACTAGTGACTGGTTGAATAATTTTATCCAAATGAATTCATATGTATCTAAAGTAAAATTTCTAATTGGGTGCCTTGGGAGGGGGTAGGAAGTAAATGTATCTTTCTGTTTTTAGCTTGAACCTTACAATTGTGACAAATTGTGACAAAAATTGGAGTTGGGTTTTTTTTGTTTATTTGTTTGTTTTTGTTGTTGTTGTTTTTGTCTGAGTAGGAAAGACTCTTCCCTTAACCCTTTGGAGAAGTGCTCATCCCAGGTGATTCTAGGGGCACAGACAGTCATTTTATTCCCACTCCTCTGGCCACCAGCATAGGCATAGGATCCAGAGAACCCATCACCTCTGGATCCAGTAACTAATGAGATCCTTTACTATGTTTCAAAGCCTGTTCTATAGTACTTAGTGTCTTCATAATCTAGCAAAGTTGGGCATTATTCTCCTCTAGTTTGTAGTGAAAGAAAGTATAGAGGGGGAGAGGGATCGTTTTTACATTTACTCAAAGATTACTCATTTAAAACTTCTGAAAACTGATGCATACCTATGACATTTTGTTTTCCAAGCTCTTCGCCCAGGATTGAAGTTTCCATTAGGCACAGTAGGCACAGGCTCACAATACTTTTAGGGGCGCACAAAAATATTTTGATTTTGATCGGTTTTTAAATAAAAAGAAGAAAATATATAATAATATTGAATCTATAACAATGAATTCAGCCTAGATTGTATCCTTGTTTATACCAAAGTGGCCAAAAAATTTATTTAAATATTTTTTATGGGGAAGAGTTCCCCCATGCAAAGTACCTAGGACATACAAAAGGCATGATGCAACCCTGCCTCCATGCCAGCCCTACTTCCTTGCAACATGCAAGGGAGAAGAGGAATTATATGTTTAGTGGAGAGTGGTTGGGTATGAGAGAGGAAGATTGGAACAGTGGAAAATGTGTTGGAATAGATTAATGAAGAACAAAATGGGCCTTTTGCAGAGCAGAAGGAGGTGCCATGGCTCGCCCATGCTTTGTGCTTACTTTGCTTGTATTGTCTCAATATCCTCAAGAATGCAATGGGGTGATTCCTATCTTTCCTGGCTCCCACATAGGTACCTGGGGGGCCTTCAAGCAATTTTTTATTAACTGATCAAGAATGATTCATTTTTGTTTTTTCTGAAGACCTAGTCAATGAACTTTTTTAAAAACCCAAGCAGTCTGAATGTATCACCAATAGCTACAGCAACTGATATTTGTGTCATTTAACTACTTCATAGTTAAAAAGTGCAGGCTTGGCCGGGTGTGGTGGCTCACACCTGTAATCCCAGCACTTTGGGAGGCCAAGGTGGGCAGATCATGAGGTCAGGAGATTGAGACCAACCTGGCTAACATGGTGAAACTCCGTCTCTACTAAAAATACAAACAAACAAACAAAAATTAGCCAGGCATGGTGGCATGCGCCTGTAATCCCAGCTACTTGAGAGGCTGAGGCAGGAGAATTGCTTGAACCCGGGAGGCAGAGGTTGCAGTGAGCCGAGATCACGCCACTGCACTCCAGCCTGGGTGACAGAGCAAGACATCGTGTCAAAAAATCTAAATAAATAAATAAAAGTGTGCAGGCTTTGGATTCCAATAAACCTTTGTCCAAGTCCAAGTCCCACCCTTTCTCAGCAATTCACAGCCCAGATATCTGTATTTTTGCCAGTGCAGTCTTAAATTATAGTTTTCAATTATGTTTTTATAGAGGAAAGGGGCCAGGATGGCAAAATAAGTTATTTAAGTTTCCCAGCAGTATCCTTGGCTGTTAGGGAGATACAGAAAAACCATCCCAGAGTTGGACACTCTGTAGTTATTCAGTAAATGCTGGCTATTGTCTCTATTTGTATGTACCCCCATCTTGCAGATGAGAAAACAGATTCAGATAGCAAAAATGAATTGCTCAAGATCACTAACAAAAAGGCAGGGTTCAAATTTGGTAAAGAGTCACTGAAATGGCCGAGGCGTCTCTGAAGGTGAGACTGCTGGCAAATACATCAGAAGATTGTAGGTTGCTGTGAGAAGTCAAGGATTAATATAAGCTCAAGAGAAAACTCCTCCTACCTCTTATACCTTCCAGTCCATTTTTTTTTTTCCAGAGACAGAATTTCACTTTTTCATCCATCTGGAGTACAGTGGCACATCATCGCTCACTATAACCTCCAACTCCTGGGCTCAAGCCATTCTCCCACTTCAGCTTCCTAAGTCGCTGAAACTACAGGCTAAAGCCACCATACCTGAATACTTATTTTTTCTTTTTACTGATTTTTTTTTTGTAGAGATGGGGTCTCACTATATTGTCCAGGCTGGTCTCAAACTCCTGGCCTCAAGTGATCATTCTGCCTTGGTCTCCAGTCCCATTCTCATCTGTTATTATTTCTGAGTAGCCAATAGGTTGCCTGGATTATACATGTTTATTGGTTCTGGCTCTGTTAGCATTCTAAAGATTTCAGATTTTAGTTCTTGTTTCATTAGGAAATTTCCAAGGAGACCAAAAGAACATGGCCATTTTTAATACAGTTATCTCTTATTTACCATTTTTACTATAAAACTCCACCAAGTTCAGAATTATAGTTACGTAAACCACATGAGATTTTAGAGAGTTATGATGTAGTAATATAGTCATGCATCGCTTAACAATGAGGATAGTTTCTGAGAAATGCATTATTAGATGATTTTGTCATTGTGTAATCATCAAAGGTGTACTTACCCAAACCTACATGGTATAGACCACTACACACTTAGGCTATATGGTATAGTCTATTGCTGCCAGACGACAAACCTGTACAACAGGGTACTGTACTGAATACTGTAGGTAATTATAAATTATGGTAAGTATTTTTGTATTTAAACACACTTAAATATAGAAAAGATACATTAAAATACAGTATTATAATCTTGTGTGACCACCATTGTATATGTGTTCTGCTGTTGACTACAACATCATTATGTAACACATAACCGCAATTACAACAATAATAAAAATAATACTCAACCTTGACCTATCTATAGTGCTATATAGTTTGCAAAATGCCTTTAAATGTTATCTCATGCCATCCTTACAATCATACTGGGAAGTAGTTAAGACAAGTACTATCATCCCCAATTTACAGATGAGAAAATTGAGGCCCAGTAAAGTGAATTGATTGCCTAAAGTTATATATTTTGAGCAGTCTCATATCCACGATTTCTGCTTCTGCCTCCATATCCTTTGTGATAATCTGGTAAATTTCCAAGTATTTCTGTAGCCATTTTCTCAAATAACTCACAATGGACACTCAGTTTTTAGACTTTATGTCTGGAAGAACACAGGTAGTGTCTATGGTTACAATTTAACATGACATAATCAATGGTGAATAAGAACTTTCTCTATGCAAAACAAATTGTGTAATTTTACTGGAAGAAAAAGGAATGGTGAAAACATAGCTCTTGCCCAGAAGAACTTAACTATTTAGTAAAGGAGGTAGATATACTGATAGCAAATCACAAGTAAAAGCATGCTGAATTAAGAATCATAGCAAATACACATGCACACATCAGGATGAAGAGAGGGAAGAGAAATTACTTCTTATTAAGAGACTGGTGAAAGATTATAAAATAACAACACTGTTAGGCCTTGAAGAAAAATTATTGATAGAGAAAGAAGAGAGAGAACAGATTAAAAGAACCACCATCAGAAAATGTATGCATGCAAGTACCTAACATGCTTGCACATTGGCAAATATTGTAATTCCCATTTTATGTAACACATCAGCCAGCATAGGCACAGGAGCGTTTATCAGCTTCTCTAAAGTTTTAGATCCTGAAAGCACTAGATGTAACTTGCTTCTCAATCTGATGTTCTTCCCACAACTTTAACCAGGTCCTGAGAGGCCTAACGTGTCTTTTTATTCAGGGCTCAACCACTGAATTTCCAGATGCCTCTTCCACTCTTTCTCAAAGATTCACAGGGTGACAGTGGTTCACACATCTTTGCAGCCAGTATCCACTTCCCATTGTAAGCCATCTGTTCACATTAGTGAGGAAAAAGAATCTGTACCTTACCTCTGTTTGTTCCTACTTATCCCTATTACCAAGATCCCACAGAGCAAATGGCCTTGTTATGTGGTAGAAATAGGCAATAAAAATATGTTGCGTTTGGCATTCAGAGTACTTTAGAACCAAGAAACTCCAAGTAGCTTTTAAAATATTCATCATGTTTAACCATATTTAATCACCGAGTTAACCCATGGCTAAAGAACACTAGACGGGGAATAAAAAGAACTGGGTTCTGGCCACTATTCTGCAAGGTCACCCTTGCCAAGCTTTTCCTCTGTGAGCCTCAGGTGCTCATCACTTAAAAAAAAAAATCATGAACCAAAGCTCATGGGCTGTAAGATTCTGTGCTAATTGTCTAAATGAAGGAATCACAAGGGCATCAAATACAAAGATTTGGTTACACTTCAGATATCTTTGGCAGGCTTAGAATAAGCAACCAATCTTTTCAAAAGAAAAGTTGTTTTACTCGTTTGTCCCAGTGACTCTTGGGGGAAAATTGCTAAAGAATAGAGACAAAGAATTCTGTCTTTGAGGTATTCTGTCCTTATCAAAGTCAGTCCAAAAATTCATTTTTGTATCTGATCTATGTTTGGAGTCAGTTCTCTCTCTCTCTCCTACTTGCTCCTCTGCCTTTCTTCTTCCTCATCTATTATAAGGCAATTGTAGCATAGTGAGCAACTCTGAATATTAAAGACAGACAAGCACAGAGCCACAGGATTTCATATAGCATTTGTTACTTCCTTGCCATATGGGCTTGCCTGAATTACTTTGCTTCTTTCTGAGGCTTGGTTTTCTTATCAATTAAATGGGACTAATAATACTAATTTATAGAGTTGTTGTGTGGGTTAAGTAGGATGAAGTATTTAAAGAGCCAATATAATGCCTGGCAAAAAGAACCCAGTAAAAACTCCAATGAGAAAATCGGTTAGATATCCTTCCCTTTCTATTTTTAGAGGCAATCAGTAAAGTGACTGAAAGTGAAGTCAGACAGACCAGCCTTCAAATTATGCCTGCACAGCATCTACTTACCACCTCTAAACCTGAACTTCTTAAGCTAAAATGGAGATCACTCTTTCTAATGGGAATTTTTGGGAATGTAAAATAAGGTAACGACTCTGTAATACTTTGTGTCTGGCTATATACACAGTAAAGTTTAATTATTTTCATTGTCACTGATTATTCATTTATTACCTCATTTGCATTCTCCATTAACAGTAGTTCCAGCCTACAAAATATTTCCTGGGCACTTAATAGGTGCTAAGTTCTGTGCTGTGCACTGGGCACACAATGACATACATGTTCTATTAATTCACTTACCCAGTATAAGCTTATAGTCTAGAGGTAAAAAAATAGACATATAGATATTTCTGATACAATAGCCTAAGTAAGCACAAGAAACTATGGAATCCCTAAGAAAAATCTTTAACTTGACTAGAGGAGTATGTTCAGAGTTGATTTCTTCAAGGAGATGATCAGTGGGTTGAGTCAAGAAGGATTAACAGCTATGGCTTGGCCAAAGGAGGATAAGAAAATGTGTGTTCTAGAAGGGAGAAAACCAAAGAATAGTGATTCTAAAGCTTTGTGTTCCATTAGAATCACCTGAGGAGCTTTGAAAGCTCACGATGCCTGAGCTTCTTTCCCTACCAGTAAAGCAGAAGTCCTGGGGATGGGACTCAGACATCAGTGCTTTCAAAAGCTCCACAGGTAGTTTCAGTGTGCAGCCAAGTGGGGAGCCCCTGGCTTAAACCAGTGTGTGGATGGAAACTGTTCTGTCCTGGAATAAGCAGGGGCCAATGAGGAAGCACATGAGTAACAGGGCACAGTCTTTACACTTGACTTATGTGTGGTGATTAGACATTCGGGAGTTTAAAAGGAGAGAGCAGAGGGTCAATCATATTTGCATTTTGGAGGGATTGCTTGGGATGTAACTCAGTACTGAATTCCAGAGGAAGCAAAAATTTTAAAAAAAGTAATGTGATGTGCAATCTTCAGAAAGCATAGAATCAGTCAATCACGACTGGAAGAATGTGCTTTAGAAATTCCTTAGTGACATGTGGGGTTTATAAATATACTGATGCCTAGGGCTTTCCTCAGACATCAGAAAAAGTTTTAGGGATGTGGTATTTTGGTATTTGCATTTTCATGACGTTCACCTAAAGGGATTGAGAACACCTGCCAATGAACCTGAGTGACCATCTCATGAAGGATATTTAGTCACTGAGGTAACAAAAGTTCATGGCCTATGTGTGGGTCAGGCTGGGTTAGTAACAGGGTCAGTTTTTGGATAGAAGGTTACTAGAGCACTCAGCCGTCTCTAGTAACCTTTGATCTATCTACCTTTGATCTAGTAACCTTTGGCCCGTCTCTCCTTTGATCTATTTTTCTCCTTGCCCTTCAAAGTGCTAATGCCTACAATTCCACCTGTCTTTATTTCTATCAAAATCAGTACTCCCATTAAAAAAAAAAAAAACCTGAAATGTGCCACTGACCCTTGACTGAGACTGAAATCACAGTCTGAATCTGGAACAAACAGTGGAATGGAAGGGCTTATCTGCTCTGAAGAGAGCTATAAGTTTCAGCAAGTCCTGGGTATGCGGGGGAGACCTCTTTGACTAGGGTGGGGGTGTGATCACTTACTACATACATACATAAAAGCAGACCCCTATCAGCACCATCAGGCAGATCAAGGATGGATCAACTCATTAAACAGCAGCTAAAGCCCACACTGACATGGGCACATCTGACTCAATACTTCTTAGGGAAAATCTGGGAGAGGGATGCTCTATCTTGACCCTAGTGAAGAGACACAGACCAGGAGGAGACAGGCAGCCACCCCAAACCTCCTTCTCCTAGCTTCTTTAAGGAGCCAGACTTCTATAAGCAAGCGGCCAGTGCATTTGTATGACTCAACAGTGACACCCAGTGACTCTCTCTGTCAGTCCCAGGTGGCTGTTCCCGGAGGATCTTCTGAGGAATACATTTCAGCCTCCATTACCTAGTACTGAATCAGCAGAAGCAATCACATCAAATTCAGTCTTGAAAGAGACAAACATAATAAAAAATCCCAGTTTGTATTAACATAATCATCTAACTGTTGAAGCATATTCTTCTCCCCTGTTGGGCCATGTCTGATGTCAAACATAATACCACCATGTAGTACTGTAGCTTCTTGATGTTAGAATCACAAGGCAGTGATTATTTATAATGTAAGTAGGACCATAGAGACAGGCACGTAACAGGGCCACATCATTACATATTGAGCCAGCCGAATCTAGACATGGAGAGAGAGATTAACAATTTGTATTATAACCAGATAGAAGAGACCAGCATAACCCATGGGATTCTAAACTATGGCACACACACACACAAAAAGATAACCTGAGCACTTTTAGCCTAGAAAAAAAAAACTTCTTCATGGAATGGGGAGAAGAGTTGGGATGCTTTCTTTCGGATGTCGGATGGGCGGGTAGAAACAGAAGGGATTTTACTGGTTTTATTTGGTCCCAAAGAGCAGAAATAGAGTTGACGAGTGGAAAGTACAGGGAAACTGCTTTACGTTCAACATAAGGAAGCACTTTATAACAACTGGATCTACTGGGAAATGAAAGAAATTCAGAAAGCAGAGAATTGTATGTCATTTAAAACATAGTGCAGGCATGTCTTTTAATAATTCCAGTTTTTAAAAAAGGGAGAATGGATCAGGTAAATAATTCAGTAACTTTAATAAGTCAAATGACAGGGACGTGGGTGGTCAAGGGTGCAGGAAGATAATTGGGCATAGCATTTAGGGCTGATTGAAATCTTTCTCCACTTATCACTGTTTTTTAAATAATTAAAACGTGTTTCCTTCCTCATTCTCATTAGACCAGTAATCTTTGTTTATCCATTTACATAGTGGAAGATGCTTGCACCTTCCACCTACATTCACCTACCTGTCACATGAAAAACAGATACCCCCTACTTGCCTCTTCCAGTTTCCTTTTCCCTCATTGTTTCTATACCAAGAACAGCTTAGCTAGAATCAGGATCTGATCCTTAGCGCAGTCAACAACGGCTAGGGAAGAGATCATTACATTATACAAGTGTAGATAAGTGATGATTGTCCAATGCACTGAATGATCTATTGTCAAGAAGCTTAGAAGGAAAAAAAGTACATTATGGGAGGGAATGAGTGCACAGAAAGGCTGTGCTGTGGTTTGAATGTGTCCTTCCAAAAGTCATGTAGAAACCTCATCCCCATTGTGGTAGGATTAAGAGGTGAAGCCTTTAGAAGGTGATTAGATCATGAGGGTTGTGCTTTCATGAATGGAATTAGTGGCCTTACAAAAGATACTCGAGGCGGCTCTTTTATTCTTCTGTCACGTAAGGACACATAGAAAGCACCATCTATGAAGCACAAGCCCTCGCTAGACACCAAATCTGTTGGCACCTTGATCTTGGGCTTCTCAGCCTCCAGAATGTGAGCAATAAATATCTATTGTTAATACATTATGCAGTCTAAGATATTTGTTATAGAGGCCTGCATAGACTAAGATAGGCTAGGAGACTAAGATGTGCTATTTTCTCTTTAAATATTAACTTCCCTGAATCTCTGATTAATTTTAAATAATGTCAAATTTATCTCCCAGTTTAGCCATTCCTGTTATTCTCTGCTGTGCCTTACCCTAATCTGCTAATTGGAATGGATTACGGAAAGAAAAAAGTATAAAGAGAAAAATGAAACAACAGAAGGAAAGGTGCAAATCGAGAAACTGGAAGGTACAAGAGTTAGTTTGGGGTACTGACTTGGTTGTAGACTGGTCTCCAATGAGAAAAAGCATAAGTAAAAAATTATGAGGCTTCCAGTTCAAAATTGAGTTAGTATTTGGTATAAAATATACCTGGACTAGTGTTTGAGGTCCAAGCAGCTGGAGTCTCTGGTAAGTAACTAAGCAGGGTATCAAGGCTATAGCCAAGCAAGTTGGAGTTCAAGATTAGTCATCAGATAAGGCAGAGATATAATCGACCTAGAACTGAGGCATACACCCTGTCTAAACCCAAGTGTCCATTGAGATAGTTTCAACTACTGGAAATAGCCTGTGCTATATATATATATATATATATATATATGGATTTCAATTTAGGTCTTCATGGGTAATGTAAATTGAGGAAAGTCACTTCCCTTTCCTGAGCCTTAGTTTCCTCATTTGTAAAATGGGAAAATGGGATTATAGGTACTAACCTGATGATAGGATCCTACTGATTTAGGGATTAGAAAAGACATTATGTTTAAAGTGCCTAATACATTGCCTGGCACATTGATAATCGTTATCAATGTTATGAGGAACCTAGGTGGGAACTGGGAAGAAGTTGGGCAATGGAGCCCATGCCCACAACAATTCTGTGCGTTTGTAGAAATGTTGGATATCGAAATTTCCTGACATAGTCCCCATATGTTCAGTGCCCTGGTAAAGCTGATTTGACAAAAATTCTTGATATCAGCATTAGACAACATTGAGGAATGCAATGGCTTCTTTGTTGCACATATATTTTCCTTTCATATTCTCTTACTCTACCAATTTTTCTCTAGTCTTTGCTATAGCAACCAGCTGTACTCAGGTGTAGCCTAATAGCACCTGATCTCGGCTGCACTGCATATATCTTGCTTTTTCTCCCAGGGCTTATCTGGCACAATCACATGGATCTACCGTAAGAGCTTGATCAGCCATTCTGATGTCTGCACACACTGGGAACAGATAGGGTGTTAACATTTCCTGGAACAATGCTTTACCAATGGGCAGGAACTAGTAGGTAAGTATTCTCTTTTTTCCAATCTCAGAGATTTCTAAGGCACATTCCATACAGCTGTTGAAATATCACAAACAGGATTAAGCTCCAGTTTTTCTGTAGTTGTAATCAGCTCAGTAACCTTGGATTGGCTGCTTTTCTTCTTTCCCAATTTACACTTCACTAATCCTCCAAGCCTGTGGCTTGGAAATAAACCTTCCCTGGTTTATTTCTCAGGCCATCCATCATGTACCACAGGAGCAAATGACCCCAAATAAACTACCTCCACAAAGGCCCGTGTCTCAGGCTCTGCTTTTTAGGAAGAATTCAAACCAGAATTCTACAATGCTAGCATAGCACTAAGAGCTGCGTAAGACATCAGGGATAATTTAGTCAATTACCACATTTCATGGATGGGTATGCAGAAACAGAGAGAATTAGTGACTCCTTCAAAGTCACAAACATAGGCAACTTGTGCAAAGGGGAACCCAAAATGTGAAAGGGGAGCAATTGGGGGATGGGAGAAAGGGACTGAAGAGAAAAGAAAGACAAAGTTGCCTGGGTGATGGAAAGAAGAAAGAGCAAGCCATTAAAACATCTTAGCACAGTGGGGATGACATGTATTGAATTTACCCTGTCAGCAGAGCAGAGCGCAGCACCCACCCTGATAAATGCCAGGTCCCATTGCTGACACTTGATAAAGGTTCCATCTAACAGCAGAGCAGCACTGAGAATGGGGTGATGGTGGCACTTGCTGTTTTAATCTCCACTGCTTTCCAGTGTGTAACATGGAGTAGGTGCTCAATGAATGTCTGTGAAATAATGGGCAAATTAGTGAGGCAAAACTCCTTCAGCATCTCCATCATGAATGCCCACATACCTGGCCTTTCTGTGTGCAGTTAGGTATCTAGCTATATATGAGTGCACACTTTTTTTTCTTTTTTATTATTTTGTGCTGTACATTAAAAAAATAGTTTCAGGGGTTTGTATCACAGTGAGTGTAGCCGCCCTTGGGTTCCTTGAGTATAAGTGTGTGTGTGTGTATACACACACAGTGTATTATATATATAATACTCTGTATATATATATATACACAATACCTGTATACATGCATGTATGTGTGTGCATATATTTATAAATACACTCATACACAGAGTTATGCATCACTTAATGTCAGGGATACTTTCTGAATAATTTGTCAGGGGATTTTGATGTTGTGCAAACATTATAGAGTATGTATAACATAAGCCTACAGAGTGTGTATAACACAAGCCTACAGGGTATAGCCTACCACACTCCTAGGCTCTATGGTATAGCCTAGTGCTTCTAGGCCACAAACCTGTACAGCCTGTTATTGTGCTGAATATTGTAGGCAATTACAACACAATGGTAAGCATTTGTTTATCTAAACGTAGAAAAGGTACAGTAGAAATACAGATAAAAGTTAAAAAGTGGTATACCTGTATAGGGCACTTACCATGAATGGAGCTTGTAGGACTGGAATTTGCTCTGGGTGAGTCTGTGAGTGAGTGATGAGTGAATGTGAAATTGTAGAACATCGCTGCACACTGCTATAAACTTTATAAGCACTGCACACTTAGGATACACTAAACTTATAAAACACATTTCTTCAATAATAAATTAACCTTAGCCTACTGTAATATTTTTACTTCATAAACTTTTTATATTTTTACTTTTTGACTCTTCTGTGATAACATTTAGTTTGAAACACAAGCACACTGTACAGCTACATAATTTTTTCTTTATATCCTTCTATACCCTTTTCCCAATTTTTAATTTTTTTTTTTTTACATTTTAAACTTTTTTGTTAAAATCTAAGACACGGATTGGGTGTGGTGGCTCACACCTGTAATCCTAGCACTTTGGGAGGCGAAGGCATGTTGATCACCTGAGATCTGGTGATGGAGACAAGCCTGACCAACATGGAGAAATCGTGTCACTACTGAAATTACAAAAAAACAAAAAACAAAAAACAAAATTATCTGGGCATTGTGGTGCATGCCTGTAACCCCATCTACTCTGGAGACTGAGGTAGGAGAATCACTTGAACCTGGGAGGCGGAGGTTGCAATTAGCCGAGCTTGTGCCACTGCACTCCAGCCTGATTGACAGAGTGAGACTCCATCTTAAAAACAAAAAGAAAAACAAAAACAAAAAGAAAACAAACAAAAAAAGCCTAAGACATGGCCATACACATTAGTTTAGCCCTACACAGGGTCAGGATCATCAATGTCACTCTCTCCCACCTCCACATCTTGTCCCACTGGAAAGTCTTCAGGTGCAACAGCATGGATGGAGCTGTCATCCCCTGTATTTCCTATGATAAAAATGCCTTCTTCTGGAATACCTCCTAAAGGACCCGACTGAGGCTGTTTACAGTTAACTTTTTATATATATGTGTGTCTGTGTGTGTGTGTGTGTAGAAACAGTATAATCTAAAATAACAATAAAAATATAGTATAATAAGTACATAAACCAGTAACATAGTTGTTTATTGTCATTATCAAGTATTAAGTAGTGCACATAATTATATTTGCTATACTTTTATATGACTGACAACATAGTAGGTTTGTTTACTCTGGCATATCCACAAACACATGAGTAATACATTATGCTACAACATTAAATGTCTACAAGGTCACTAAGTAACAGGAATTTTCAACTCCATTATAATCATATGAAGCCACTGTCATACACGCTGTCTGTTGACCAAAATATCATTATGTGGCACATGACTGTATAAATATTTCTGGTTACTCAAATCTTTGATAATCCTATCACATCACATGACTGTATATTAGCAGCTCTTTACTCTTCTTACATCAAGGATTTGGAGATTCAGAGCTCTTCATATGCTCATTTGTGTAAACATGCTATCTTTACTTCCTTTTCCTAGTCTCATATAATTTTTTAATTGCATCAATACTAATTTTCACAAGTTGCAGTTTCTCAAAATAGCTACTATTCATTTAAAGAAACCAAAATCAGAAACAGACATAACCTATTAGGTACCATGTGTCAGGCACTGTGCTGTTTATTAGAGCTAAACTGGTAAAGACGGTGCTTAGCTTTGGAAAGACTATAATGATAGAAACTTGTCTTCTTACTTGACCCCTGAACACCTTGACTTATTATGGTAGGCATTAACCTGAACTGATTTTCACCCTGAATACTTCTAGAAATTCTGCTGGGCAATCGTTTTATACTGACAAAATGCTATGCTTTGTCTTATGGGGAAAAAAAGCTACCAGTGCTGAACTTAAAATTATTCTGCTTAAAATTGTACATATCTTTCTTTCGTAGCCTATGTTGGATAGAGTATAGTAAAGAGTATCCATGATAATTTTTAGCTCTTACAACACTTTGAATTACTTGGCCAATATTTTGTCTTTATGGTGAGACGCAACAATATGAGAAGCGTGTCTGCCTCTTTCACAACTGTACACTTACCCCTTGGCATAAGACCTAAGACATTTGTTTTGAGCTTTACACAACAGTATCTTGATTTTCTGATAAGATAAATAAATAAATAACATATTGTGGACATATTTCTCTCTCTCTTTTTTTTTTTTTTTTTTTTTTTAGACAGAGTCCAGTTCTGTCACCTAGACTGGAGTGCAGTGGCACCATCTCGGCTCACTGCAACCTCTGTCTCCTGAGTTCAAGTGATTCTCCTGCCTCAGCCTCCTAAGTAGCTGGGATTACAGGCACCTGCCACCATGCTCGGCTATATTTTTTTTTTGTATTTTTAGTACAGATGGGGTTTCAGCATGTTGGCCAGGATGGCCTCAAACTTTTGATCCTAAGTGATCCACCCACCTTGGCCTCCTGAAGTGTTGGGATAACAGGCGTGAGCCACTATACCTGGCTGTGGACATATTTCTCAATGGTGAGAAATATATAAATATATATTATTTATCATCATTAATGAAGGAATTTTGTATCATAAAGACCAATGCTATTGTAACTGAGAATCTTTGGATATGATGTTGAGATTGTCACAACGTGTAAAAGAGATGTAAGGACCCTATGTCCTCTTCAACTTGCAAGCTCTATTTTTACCCTTGATAAATTATAATCTGGCTAATATTTTATTAGAGAAATAAGGGTGATAAGTTACCAAAAAATATAAACTCTAATTTTTTTTTTTGTATCTTGCCCAAATTCCTATCTAAAGGGTCTGGGGAGTCATGACCTACAAACCACAAATTCTCATCAGATGGGTTTCATTTAACCCTACATATTGTGACTTATTTTTCAAGGCTGACTCTGGCATAACATTATGAGACAAGGAAGAAAATCAAAATATCTTACCTCCAAAACATGTTTTTTGTCACATTTTGAAATGGCCCTGCAAGCCGTCCTTTGTGGGAGAAAATTCACATCTGTAAGGAATCCCTATTAACATAGCTAGACCTTTTCCTTCCAGGCCCCTCCAATTCTGAATAGATTAACTAAGAGTCTAGCACCCTTTAAAGGATCTGAATAGGAAACATTTTTCATCTATTGTTTCTAAGGGCAGCGGCTATGAGACTTCAAAAGAACCTTCGTCTCCACAATCTTTTACCTTAACCTGAACATTTACTTTCTATTGATCCCAGGTCCTTAGACAAAAACTCAACCAATTGTCAACCAGAAAATGTTTTATAGCCTGGAAGCCTCCTTTTCCCCCTACCCCTGCTTCAAGTTGTCCTGCCTTTCTGGAACAAACCAATGTATTCCTTAAATGTATTTAATTGATATCTCATGCCTCCTTAAAATCTATAAAACCAAGCTGCACCCCAACGACCTTGGGCACATGTTCTTAGGACCTCCTAAAATCTGTGTCATGGACCATTGTCACTCACATTTGGCTCAGAATAAATATCTCTTAAAATATTTTAGAGTTTAACTCTTTTCATCGATATTCCAATAACCTCATGACATATGAAAAAATGAGGCTGGATGGGATACAGTGACTTACCCAATAGCTCACTTTTTACCAATGGAAACCTAGGTCTCAAACCAAGATCCCCCAATACTTTGGTTCTTTTAATAATAGCTTGCTATCCCATCGAGTCAATTCCTAGTTTTCCTGGTCACTGGATGTACTAGTTCGTTTTCATGCTGCTGTGAAGAAATACCCAAGACTGGGTAATTTATGAAGAAAAGAGGTCTAATTAACTCACAGTTCTGCATGTCTGGGGAGGCCTCAGGAAACTTACAATCATGGCAGGAGGGAAAGTAAATACATCCTTCTTCACATAGAGGTAGGAAAAAGAAGTGCAGAGCAAAGTGGAGAAAGGCCTTTTAAAACCATCAGATCTCGTGATAACTCACTCACTATCAGGAGAACAGCTTAGGGAATAACCCCCATGATCTAATCACCTCCCACAAGGTGCCTTCCTCAACACATGGGGACTACAATTCAAGAGGAGATTTGGGTGGGGACACAGAGCCAGACCATATCATTCCGTCACTGGCCCCTCCAAAATCTCATCTTTCTCACATTTCCAAACACAATTACGACTTCCTGACTGTTCCTTCCTGACTGTTCCCCAAAGTCTTAACTCATTTCAGTATTAACCCCAAAGTCCAAGTCCATAGTTTCATCTGAGACAAGGCAAGTCCCTTCTGTGTAGAAGCCTGTAAAATCGAAAGCATGCTGGTTACTTTCAAGATAAAATGGAGCTACAGGCATTGCATAAATGCACAAAATCCAGATGGAAAAACTGGCTGAAACAAAGGGGCTAGAGGCCCCTGCAAGCCTAGAATCCAATAGAGCAGTCATTAATTCTTAAAGTTCCAAAGTGATCTCCTTTGATTCCATGTCTCACATCCAGGTCATGCTGATGCAAGAGAGGTGGCCTCCCACGGCCTTGGGCAGCTGTTTCCCTGTGGCTTTGCAGGGTACAGCCCCCTCCTGCCTGCCTGCTTTCACAGGCTGGTGTTGAGTGTCTGTAACTTTTTTCAGGCACACAGTGCAAGCTGTCAGTGGATCTCCCATTCCGGGGTCTGGAGGATGGTGGCCCTCTTCTCACACCTCTACAAAGCAGTGCCCCAGTGGGGACTCTGTGGGGAGGCTCTAACCCCACATTTGTTTTCTGCACTGCCCTAGCAGAGGTTATCTATGAGGGTTCCACCCCTCAAGCACACCTCTGCCTGGACTTCCAGGTGTTTCCATACATCCTCTGAAATCTAGGCACAGGTTCCCAAATCTCAATTTTTGTCTTCTGCACATCTGCGAGACCAACACCACATGGAAGCTGCCAAGGCTTTGGGCTTGCACCCTCTGAGGCCATGGCATGAGCTACACCTTGGCCCCTTTTGTCCAGAGTTGGAGCTGCTGGAACACAAGGAACCAAGTCCCTAGGCTGCACACAGCAGAGGGGTCCTGCACCTGGCCAAAGAAACCATTTTTTCCCCCTAGGCCTTGGACCTGTGATGGGAGGGGCTGCCATGAAAGTCTCTGACATGCCCTGGAACATTTTCCCAATTGTCTTGGTGATTAACATTTGGCTCCTCATTACTTATGCAAATTTCTGTAGCCGGCTTGAATTTCTCCCCAGAAAATGGGTTTTTCTTTTCTACCACATTGCCAGGCTGTACATTTTCCAAACTTTCATGTTCTGTCACCTGTTGAATGCTTTACTGCTTAGAAATTTCTTCTGCCAGATACCCTAAATCATCTCTCTCAAGTTCTAAGTTCCACAGGTCTCTAGGGCAGGGGCAAAATGCCACCAGTGTCTTCACTAAAGCATAGCAAGAGTGACCTTTACTCCAGTTCCCAAAAAGTTCTTCATGTCCATGTGAGACCACCTCAGCATGGACTTCATTGTCCATATCACTATCAGCATTTTTGTGAAAGCCATTCAACAAGTCTCTAGGAAGTTTCAAACTTTCGCACATTTTCCTGTCTTCATCTGAGCCTGCCAAAATGTTACAGCCTCTGCCTATTACCCGGTTCCAAAGTCGCTGTCACATTGTTGGATATCTTTATAGCAGTGCTCCACTACTTGGTACTAACTTACTACATTAGTTTGTTTTCATGTTGCTATGAAGAAATACCCTAAGACTGGGTAATTTATAAAGGAAACAGATTTAATTGGCTCACAATTCCACACGGCTGGGGAGGCCTCAGGAAACTTACGATCATGGTGGAAGGGAAATCAAACATGTGCTTCTTCACATGACAGCAGGAGAGAGAAGTGCTGAGCGAAGTGGGGAAAGGCCCCTTATAAAACCAACTGATATCATGAGAATTCACCATCAGAACAGCATGGGAGAACCGCCCCCGTGATCTAATCACCTTTCATGAGTATTCTCCCCCAACATGTGGGAATTACAATTTCAATTACAATTTGGATTACAATTCAAGATGAGGTTTGGGTGGGGACACAGAACCAGGCCATATCACTGGATAACCAGTGCAAAAACTATACAATAGTAATTATATTAGCCTAAGATTTCTCATATATTCATATGCTCTTCCTTTTGGATGCATTTTTTTCTATAATAAATTTTTTCCTATAATAAATGTTTTCTATAATAAATGTTAACAATTTTATTCCTCATGAGATTTTGATTATAAGCAACATTATTAAATCCTTACTGGATGTAGTCTGAGACACAGATAATAAGTAACTCAAAAATAAATTGTATCACTTAACTTTTTCATATACAAACTTTCTTTATTTTCCTCCATTTATATATATAGTTTTGCCTCCCTTTTTAACTTCTCAGTCTTCATTTTTTTGAAAACTATTAAGAATCTCAAAGTTACGATTGTAACTTACAATTGTCCTAGAAGCTGGTTGTCTTTGCCTCATTCCGCTCCCTTCAACACACTCACTTTTGTAAATGATGATTACTAAGCATTAAACCAAAATTGGGCTAAGTATTCTCACCGTCACATAGATGAAAACAAAATAAATTTTACTCTAGAGTCTGTGTCAAAATAAAGGAGTAAAAGTGTAAAAGCACAGGTAACAGTAAAAAATCATGTTGATGAGGTTGATGATGGTGATAATAGTGTTTATTAGGTGCTAGACACTCCTCCAAGATTTAACATAGTTTATCTCATTAGATCCTTATTGCAGATAGTTGTTGATGCACCCATGCCATGTCGCTTTCTTTGTCTCAACTAAATTCATCTTCAATTGAGGTGGACAATTTTTAGGATGCTGTTTCTTCCCTCAAATGCTGCATCTCTCTGGTTTCCTGACTGCCTTTATCCAGAGCCACAGGAGTTTTCTCAGCCTGCAGCCAGGGCATCGTGGAAATGTCAGGACATTGATGCATCCAGTGGTAAACCTTAACCAATGAAGGATGAGAGTTGTTTGATGAATACCCCAGTTTCTCCACCCCTTGGTAAGACAACTGTGCAGCACATTCAGCAAAGTTACCCAGAAGAATTCAGTAGCCCGCAGGGGTAGTATTCATTGATGAATAGTTTATTTCTCTTTTTCTATCTCACATCCCCATCCCTCCTTTCAGTACTTTCAGGTATTGAAGAACTACCTGCTCCTAAGCCTGTCTTGGCATTTGCTTTGGGGGACAGAGATGGGTCTAAACAGTAAGCCTCAGGATGATATTCTGGAATAGGAACATTCACTAGCCAGATAAAAACAAGGGGCTGATGGCTGCTCTTTGGGGTGGTGATAACTCATGTCATGTTGAAGCAACACAATTACTGACTTTCACATGTGGTGAATTGAAGTGAAATACAAGTGGAAGGGAAATGACTGGCACATAAAAGATATGGGGACAATAGCAATTATAAGGTCCTAAAATTGGAAGAATTTTGGTAAATGCCCTAAAGGCCAAAAAAAAAAAAAAAAACCTCTGCTGGCTTAGTTTAATCACGATCGAATCAGGGTGTCCTATGAAATAGGGAAAGACCTCCATGACAGTATTTTTTAATTCCGAAGAGACCAATTCATTATCAACAGAGAAGCTGGGCTGATGCTTTTCTCAAAAGTCAAAATGCTCCTTAAAGAAAGTAATGAGGGAGGAAACTAACATGAAATTGCTTATCTCCAGCAGGCAGATGGCAGACCATGATGAAAATCAGGTCCAATATTAGATATACAGCTACTGTAAGTAACTACAGAAGAGACGGATTATTTAGTCCCATTAGGTCTCTTATGCTAATTAAGTGCCCCCGTAAAGAGTAAAACTCAAAGACTTAGAAATCATATAGCTGGGTAAATGCCCCTAAGAAAGTGAAATTTCTAAATTTCTGAACTTTCCAGTTTGGAAAACAGCCTCTTTGCCCTTGCCAAAGAAGAGTAGATTCTCATTGTCTAAGACCATGCGTAGACATAACCTAAAACAGATCTCTGCCAAGATAGCACTTTTCTTCAAAAAGCTTCATCATCTTCTCTCATTATGTCTCTACTAGTAACTAGAATCATATCTTAAGATAGCCCATATGAGGAGATATTGGAGGAAATAGATTATTCAGCAAAAAAAGAAACAGTAGGACCCGGCTAATATCTACTGAGAAGATGTAGGGAAAATGTGAAGGTAAATCTTGAATGTGGGTTAGAAGGCTGGATAAGGGAGAGTTGAGTTTATTGATATGGGTATTTTTCCATGATGAGGAATTAATATCTTAGACAAGACAGAATCAGTCAATACGATGCAAGGACGGATCACTGATGCTTAGGCATGCTGGTAGCTTATGGAAAATAACATGGATATGTAGGAACTACATAGGCAAAGTATTGAGAAAGAAGTCAGAAAGCTCATGTCAGTGAACATATTAGCCAGAATATATTAGGTGAGAATAGAAAAGCCACTGAGTGACTGTGTTCCCAAAGAGAGCCGAAGGCACTCCCTTTAAGAAACAAATAAATAAAATGCTATAGTGGTGATATGATAACAGTATTGTTAAGCTCAATTCTATTTTATTTTTTATTTTTTGGTTGGCATATTCTGTAGGCTATTTTTGATTAGGGATACTGCTATGGAAGTAGAATCCATTGTGTCAATAGGTGGTAGACTTTTAGAAAATATAAGACCAAGTTGTAGCACCACCAGACAAAGATTATTGGAAGTAAGGTCAAGTTAACATTCAGAAGGCCTTGAACCTCCAGAGATTTGTGGTAATGGCCAGTAAATCCTGGTGTCTCTAGGACTGATATAAATGGGAAGCTCACAAACATATTTCTTGATTTTCTAACAAAAAAATGTTAAGAGCTGATCATCACAAAGCTATGTCAGCTGCTGCAGTGAAAAAATCATGGTCACATTAAGTTTTCGGTCTGAGGCTGACAGTAGAAAGGAAGATAGAATGACCTTGATAAAGAAGCCTATGATACTCTGCAAATGTATGCAATAAATATAATTCCCCATTTCTTCTGCAAAGGAACATATAATCAGTGTTGTGCTGGAGCCAGCTTGTACCAGCATTAAGAGCAAATTGTGCCCATCTCCTCCTAACTTTATGTCTAATGACATGATGTTGGTAGATTTAATTAGAACTTTATAAAAGTTCCACAGGGGTGGAACTTTTTATACCATGGGAATTAGCAAATGCTATAAATCAAAGTTTTATTTTTTTTGTCAAAAATCTGATTGTTAAACATTTAACAGGCCATCACTACCTGTTACACTAGAGTACACTAGAGTAACTGTATTTTGGAGTGAATGAAAATATTCAGATATTTCTAGATATTTAGAATCTGTGTTACGAATTGATAGTGATACCAAGGGATTCAAAATGTCCTCTTTTAAAATCATGGTATATGGTAGGTATAGGGTAGGTAATAAGTGGAGTCATGGTCCCAGGCTATATCACAATGACTCCATTGGGTATACAAACTCACCTTATGGTAATTTCCCCATCCTTGAGTTTATAATTGGGATAGATATACTTAGCAGCCGAAGTAGGGAGCAAAAATTATTATGCTCTAAAAGGCCAAGTAGAAGCCCCTGAAATTATCTGCCACCCCTGGCCAAGAAAGTAAGTCAGAAGTAATTCAAGATCCCAGCTGAAATTTCAGAAATCGATGCTACTCTAGAAGACTTAAAGAATATAAAGTGGGCCTATGCCATATTCATTTAATTTAGTGAAATGGCCTTCGCAAAACCCAGATGAATAATGGCAGATGTTAGTATATTACTATAAACTTCACCAAATAGTAGCCTCAACCACAAGTCTCCTATATGAGCCAAGTCCTACAAAGGACAGCCCACAATTAATCAAGTTTCTCAACACAGACAGTGAGCCACCATGAATGCATTCCTTATCAATTTAGTAAAAGCCCTATACAGATCGGGGTAACTGTCCCAGTTATCATGAGGATGTGGTTTGGTCCTCTGAAATGGGGGCAGAGAGGAACATGTTTGAAACATGGATGATTCGCTAGGGTTTCTTTTAGTGCTTTCATGCCTGTTGGTCCATTCCAGCAGTAAGGGGATAATAGCATGACTAGTGTAAACTAACCAGGGCTATAACCCTCTGTGGATAAGTTTTAGGATCACTGTATTGGTCAATATAAAGATAAAAGAGAAAATCATATTGAGTGACAGAAAAGGAAATTGATGAAGATCAATTTTGGTCTTGGGAAGGAAGCATCTGAAACAGCAGTTTATTCCATTTATCCTCACATTTTAGGTCTTTTTAAGAGATTGTGGATGACCTTTATCTTGGAGCATCAAGTCAACAGAGTGGATCCAACATGTGGTAGGAATAGATCAGTTTGGTGTAAGTTGTGAGATTTTTTTAAAAAATTCTGCTGTCTGATCCAGAATATTTCCAGATTAAAGCCATCAGCCCAAATCTGGCTTTAATCACTGCTTTGGTGGACATTTTCTGGGATTCTGACCGCTTTCCATCTTGAGTGACTGCATCTCACTGCCATGCTGTCTGAGGGTTTGCTCTATCCATAAGAAAAGGTCTAACCTTCAACCAAATGATAGATGAGACTCAGTGGATAAATGCCCGAGTTTTCTCACCTCTTGGTGCAATAATTGTCAGGCAAATTCTACATAGTTCTTTAAGGGATCCCCAAGACTGAATAGCAGTATTTCATTTATTGATGCAGAATCTGAGGCTTTTCTCTTTTCCTATCTGACATTTCCCACTCACTTCCTTGTGCTTTTGAGATCACTTCACATAAAAACTATCTGTACCCAAATTTCATCCCAGTGTATGTCTTGGGTTAGAGTTGGGATAAGTGTTCTTCCTTCTCCTTAATGTATTTTTTAGATCAACACCCTGTCATCCACCTTCTTAAACTGCCACCCTCGGCTTTCAATCTTCTTTTTAATCTACACCTTTATTGATTCTAGATGATTTCAATACACAGTAAGCGATTCTTCTGGCAACTTGGCATGTCAGGTCTCAAACTCCTTTCCTCTGGTATTGGCCATATTCTAGTTGCATTAGCACCACTAATTGTAAACCTTCCATAATCTCAAAATCACCCATTTTATTGCTACCGTCTGCCAATTTTCTGTTCACTCTCACTAGTACTCAGATTCTACCAATTCTTCAACCATAGTTCAACTTAAAATTTAATGATACAATGACTTAACTATATTTCCATCCTTCTGTACCTTCTCAAAATCTTCTCTAGGAGACTAAATTCCATGGATTACCATTATTCTCACTTTCACACTCTTTTATCCTTTTATTGTATGGCTAAGCACTAAGTCTGATAAGCTATAATTCATTGTGTACATTTTTTCTATTCTGAAGCAGCTAAACATGGCTGAAACCAAACATTCATGCCAAAATGATGCATTTTAAGCCCATGTTAACATGTCTCAGATAAGTTCCTGATGATGTCATGTAAACCTCCTATATTTTTCTATCCCATGCACTCTTCTACACACTCAGATGCCCAATGATATGTTTTTTATTCTCTTTTCACAACTTCAGAACCTGCTTTTTCATCTTCATATGCAGCTTTTGATTTTGTATCCAGCACTGCAGATAAAATTCTAAGCAATTAGATAAGAATTTCCACAGTACCTGTCACTATGTGTACCTACATACCTGCTTCTGTTCCATATTCCCTCCCTTTACTTCTGTTGTTATGAAAGAAAAATCAGAACTTCTTTGTATGGCAAAAAATGTTATTTGAGGAGCAGGCTTCATCTCTTCTTACCTATTCAAGGTAATTGATGTAGAAACAACATTCCTCCCCTTTCTTTCCCTCATCATCATCATCCTCTCCTTACTAGATTATCTCATTTAGCATAGATTTTTTCTCCAATTTATACATGTAAACATGTTTAAACATGAGAGTGGGTATATTTGTGTGTGCAGACATGAATATAGATGGAAGGAGAAATGCTGTATAGATGTGGCTTTGATAAATTAACATTCTCTTAATCATACTTCCCCAGATTATTGTGTCATTAATATTCTCCTCATTAGAGAAAACAACCCTATAAAGATCTATATGTAGTCACCACCCCTAATTTTTCTCTTTTCTCTTAAACATACCCAACAAAGATTTCTTTTTCTCCATCATGTTCACAAAAAATGTTTCCGACTGAGGTCATTAGTGACCTCCACATTGCTAAATCCAATTGCCACTTCTCACTCTTTGACTTTTATTAAACTATAAGCACTGTTTGACACAGTGTGGCACTTCATCTTCTTTTCTTTATTTGGTCTCCAGGATACCCTGTTTTATGGATGTTCATTTTCCTTCATTGCTTGCTTCACATTCTCTTCAGTCTCTTAACACTAGTTCCCCACTCTGTAGTCTATGGTCTTCTCTATCTACATTAATTCTCTTGGTGAGCTTATTCCACCCAAGAACTTTGCATTCCACCTATACACTGACAGTTACCATGTTAATATCTCAAGTTAAAACATTCCTCTGAAAGCTATACATGTTTATGCAAATGTCTACTCCTCTACATTTAGAAGTCTGGTAGACATCTCAAATGAACATGTACAAAACTAAAGCTCTGTCTCTTATCTTAGGCCCCCATATCCAATCTATCTGTTATAAATCTTTTAACAACTACCTTCAAAATAAGTCTAGAATCTAACTTTCACCATTCCCACCACTCTGTGCTAGTCTACAGTTTTCGGATGTGTTTCCAGAACATAGACCAAAGACTGGAACATAGTCATTTCTTTAAAAATATTTTCTAAAAATAAAATAACTATTTATGACTTCCTGTAATAATGAGTAGCTTGGATTTTCCAATCTCCCTGCTGATAATAATTGCAAACTCCAGGCGAAATACATTTTTAAAAACTACTTACAGACATGGAAAATAAATAAAAATAGGCAAACTTGGAAGATATTTGACCCATGAAGACAAAGGTCAAATGCATTAAGTGCTACCCAAAATGACATGCTTTTACTACTGAGGACACTGACTAGTCTACATAACATGTAGCAACCAGAGCTCAAACAGAAAGCTGCAGTCTTATTGGCTAATGAGTCATAAGTTGGAGTTTGAGAATGCTACAGTGACTAGACATCCAGGAGGAAATCCAAGAAATGAGCCCCAAACCAAGTTAAAGAGGAAAAAGTTCTTCAAATTTTAACTTACACCTGAACTATGCACTTGTGGGTGAGAATCCAACAAGCCCAGAGTGGAAGCACTGGTACAATGCCATAATGGTAGAGCAGAGATTTCAGTGGCTGCCCATTGCAGGGAGACAGAAATTACAGTGCAGTCCCACATAGGTAGAGTGCCTTCCTTGGCAAATGCATTGAGTTTTTCATTGACGCCTAGAAAGACCACATATTAGAAGTACAATCTACATCCAAGATTAATGGTTTACCCTAGGACTGAGACCAAAATGGAACTAGACCTGATCTAAAATAAATAAACAAATCAATAAAAGCCTCCACAAATGTAAGGTAGTATGTTAGCAATTTAAATGCCCCAGAACATAAAATCAACATTCTTCCAAAGGAAATAGCAGAATACAGAATTTCTTGGTGTCATTCACAGTATCACAATGTTTAAAGAAATTTACTAGACATGTGAAGAAATAGGAAAATATGGGTCATAATCATGAAAAAATGAATAAAATCATAATTACATGTTATCAAGAATTGGCAGAAAAAATTGAAAAATAATTATAAATTTAACAATCCACAAAAAATGAGTATAATAAATTTTTTAAAAGAGCATATTATGAGATACATGTTAAGTCAAATACACATTCCATAAGAAAGGTGAATATAAGTGAATCAGGGGAGAGAAAGAAATTAGCAAAGCCTCAATAAACTATGTGTCATTATCAAACCATAACATATTTGTAATTGGAGACCCATAAAGAGAAGAGAGAGAAAATGGAATAAAAATTATATATTAACAGAGATATTAGCCAAATACTTTCCAGAGTTCATCAAAAAACAGTAATTTACATATCTAAGAATCTCAGTGAATTCCAAAAGCGATAAACAGTGAGAAAACTAGACCTAACCACATCATGTTGAAACTGCTTAAAACTAGAGAAACTTAAAAATAGTAAAAGAGGCAAAAAAAGAAGAAACTTTACATAAAGAGAAACAATGATTAAGAAAGAGACAGACATAATAAAGTCAAAAAAATGTTTTAAATTACTGAAACAAAGAAAAACAGAACAAAACCAGCAAACAAAATGCCCCACAACTTTCAACCAAATATTTTCTCTTTAGTAAAAATGTTGAGTTAAAGAAAATATAATTTCAGATAAACAAAATCTGAGAAAATGTATCATCAAGCAATCCACACTACAAGTAAAGCTAAAGAAATTTCTTATGCTGAAAAGGAAATAATACATTCTTGGAATCTGAATCATCAAGAAGGAATGAGAACACTGGTCATGTGAAACATGTGGGTAAATATAGAGAATGTTTTATCTTTCATTTTAAAAAAATCTTTAAAGGTCACTTGAATGTTTAAAGAAAAAAGAAAAAAATCATATAGCAGGACGTATATGTAGAAGTAAAATATATGGCAATAACAGTACAAAGGCTGAGAGAAAATTTAGGTCCAATTATTCCGTTATATGGTCCTTACATTATATATAAAATATTCTGATATTGATTAAAATAAAACTGAAAACTAAAGGGTGAATATCTTAATCCCTAAAGCACCTATTTGGGAAAATAAAAAACAAGCAAGCATAGAAAAATAGCTAATACTCAATCCAAATGAAAAAAGAAAAAGAAAGAAAGAAGGAAAAGATAATGAAGAATAGGAGCACAGTAATTGGAAGAAAATAAAAAGAAAGATAAAGAATAAAAAACCAAACACAAATATTATGAGCAATATCAATAATTACACTAAATGTAAATGGAGTAAACACTCCTTTTAACTGTAAACAGGCAGAGATTCAGAGATTATCTGACTAGATTATCAGACTAGATAATAAAGTCAAGAAGCAACTATAAATCCATGTGTCTGTTTTTGTACTAGTATTATGTTGTTTTTGTTACTGTAGCCTTATAGCTTAGTTTGGAGTGGAGAAATATGATGCCTCTGGCTTAGTTCTTTTTGCTTAAGATTATTTTGTCTATTCAGGCTCTTTTTTGATTCCATATAGAATTTAAAAATAGTTTTTTTTTTTTCAAATTCTGTAAAAAAAATGTCAGTAGTTTGATAGGAATAGCTTTGAATGTGTAGATTGCTCTGAGCAGTATGGCCATTTTAACAATATTGATTCTTCCAATCCATGAGCATGGAATGTTTTTCTATTTCTTTGTGTCATCTACGATTTCTTTCAGCAGCATTTTGTAGTTTTCCTTGTAGAGATCTTTCACCTCCTTTGGTAGATGTATTCCTAGGTATTTTCTTTTTTGTGTGTGGCCATTGTAAATTGAATTGCATTCTCAATTTGGCTCTCAGCTTGAATGTTATTGGTATATAGAAGTGCTACTGATTTTTATACAAAACAGATATGTATACCAATGAAACAGAGTAGAGATCCTAAAAATAAAGCCTCACATCTACAACCATCTGATCTTTGACAAAAAAGTTGACAAAAATAAGCAATGGGGAAAGGACTCCCTATTCAATAAATGGCACTAGGATAGCAGGCTAGCCATATGGAGAAAAATGGAACTGGACGCTTACCTTTAACCATACACAAAAATTAACTCTAAATGAATTAAAGATTTAAATGTAAGACCTTAAACTATAAGAATTCTAGAAGAATACCTAGGAAATACCACTCTGGATATTGGCCTTGGAAAATAACTTATGACTAAGTCTACAAAAGCAATTGCAACAAAATCAAATCTGCCAAGTGAGTCCTACTTAAAATAAGAGGTTCTGGACAGCAGAAGAAACTACCAACAGAGTAAACAGACCACATACAGAATGGGAGAAAATATTCACAAATTATTATGGATCCAACAAAGGTCTAATATCCAAAATCTATAAGGAATTTTATCAATTCAACAAGCTAAAAACAAATAACCCCATTAAAAAGTGGACAAAAGACATGAGCAAATATTTCTCAAAAGAAGACATACAAGCAGCCAAAAAACATGAAAAAATGTTCAACATTACTAATCATCAAAGAACTGCAAATCCAAACCACAATGAGATGCCATCTAACACCAGTCAGAATAACTATTATTAAAAGTCAAAAAATGACATGATTATGAGGCTGCAGAGAAAAGGGAATGCTTGTACACGGTTGGTGTCAATGTAAATTAGTTCAGCAATTGGGGAAAGCAGTTTGGAGATTTCTGGGAGAACTTAAAACAGAAACCATTCAACCCAGCAATCTTATTGCTGGGTAGCCAAATGAAAATAAAACCTTCTACTAAAAAGCCACATGCACTCATATGCTCATCACAGCACTATTCATGATAGAAAAGACATAGAATCAACTGAGGTGCTGATCAATGGTAGATGGATAAGTAAAATGTGGTACATATGCACCATGGAATACTAAACAGCCATAAAAAGAACAAAAACATGTCCCTTGTAGCAAGATATATGCAACTGGAGGGCATTAGCCTATGTGAATTAACACAGAAACAGAGAGCTACATACCACATATTCTCACTTATAAGTGGACCCTAAAGATTGTGCAGACATGAACATCAAAATGGAAACAACAGACACTGGGACTACTAGAGGGGCACAGAGAAAGGGGGGCAAGGGCTGAAAAACTACCTATTGGGTATTATGCTCACTACCTGGTTGAAAAGATCATTTGTACCCCAATCCTCAGCATCACACAAGGCATCCATGTAACAAACCTGTACATGTACCCCCTGAATCTAAAATAAAAGTTGAAATTACTTTTTTTAAGAAAGAACCAGCTATAAGCTGATTATAAGAGGAAATTTTAAATACAAAGAAACAGACAAGGTGAAAGTGAAGGATGAAAAAACAATATGCTATGAAACCACTAAATCTGTGAAAGCAGTTATAGCTATATAACATACAAAATAGACCTCAAGACAGAGTATTATTATAAACAGTCATTTTATAATGATGAAAGGATCAATTCACCAAGAAGATAAAGAATCATGAATGCATAGGCACCTAGTAACAGAAATTCAAAATACATGAAGACAAAATTAACAAAATTAAATCTTAATTTTTGATTAAGTTTTTAATAATCCTTTCTCAGAAGTTAATAAATAAGAAAAATTATCTCTCAGTAAAGATATAGTAGACATCTACCCAGCCTAGTTTAATAGGTGTTTCCAGAATTAATTCAACATCTGCACAATACTAATTTGTTTCAAGTGCATATGAAACATTCGCTAAGATACGCCACATGCTGGACCATAAAATATGTATCAACAGATTAAAATAACTGAAATCACAAAAAGGCTATATCTTGACAATAAGAAACTAAGTTATAAATCAATAACAATAATATCTCAAAAAATTTTCAAATATTAGAAAATCTTTAAAGATGCTTCTAAATTACATGTAGGTCAAAGAAGAAATTATGATGGAAATTTTAAAAATTTGACAACAGATAATACTGAAAGTACAATATGTCCAAATTTGTAGAACGTAGCTAAAGCAGTTCTCAAAGGGAAATGAATAGCTTTAATTTCCTATATTATGGAACAAGAAAACCTTAACATTTATTATATAAGTTTCCAACACGAGTAGCTAGAATAAGAATATTAATGTTAAATAAATAGAAAAAGGAAATTAAAAATGAATTTAATATAGCACAGATTATCTATAGGGAAAAATCAAAAATGTCAAAATTAGCTCTTTTAAAATATTATTAAAATGAACTGATAGATTATTAAAATAAAGAGAGAAAAGATAAATTACCAATTTCAGGAAATGAAAGATTTTATATAAATTAAAAAGAACAATAAAGAAGTATTATGAGGAAATGTGTGCTAATGACAGCGTCTAAAAGAGACAAGTTATTTGAAAAACACAACTTTATAAAAGTTGAATTAAAAACATAAAAAATAAAAAATCTAAATAAAAACCTCCCTATACTGAAAAATCCAGGCTTAAATCACTTCACTGATAAATTCCTTCAAATATTTAATTGTACTTGACACCAATATTATTCAACCTCTTTCAGAAAAGGCAAAAGGAAAGGGTATTCTGTAATTCATTTTCTGAGCCCAGCATAATCCTGTCACTAAAATGGAACAAGGACATTATAAAAAAAATGCAGTCTAATATTTATCATGAACAGACATGCAAACATCTTCAATAAAATATTAGCAAATAGAATTCAGCCATATTCATAATAACCAAGTATGTTTTATCTCAGTAATGTAAGATTGGATTAATGTTCAAAGTTCAACAATGCAATTTGCTGCATTCACAGAATAAAAGAGATAAAACAAACAAACATAGTAAAGGTAGGAAAATCATTTGAAAAGCTCAATGCTTGTAAAAACTATCAGCAAAATTGAATAAAAACATTCTCTTAAATTTATAAAGACAATCTGTGAAAAATTAAAACATCATAATTGATGGTAATATATTGACTATTTTTCTCTTAAGATTTTGAGAAAAGTAAAATAAATATGCTTTCATCACTTCTATTGAATATTGTACTACTGGTATGATAAGGCAAGTAAAAGAAGTGAAAATAAGGATCAGAAAGAAGGAAGTAAAATAAACTGTGTTTACTGAAAGTATAATTACATAGAAAACTATAAAGAATGTACAATGCTCAAACACACCCCAACATACAAACTAGCACAAATAAGTAATCTTAGCATAGTCATTAGATACAAGGCCAATATATAAAATCAACTGTTTCATAAAATTTCAAGAAGTGGAAAACAAAGTTACCACAAAATAATGTCATTAATTATGATCGAAAGTCATAATACTTAGGTAAAAAATTTAATGAAAAAATGTAGAAAACCTCTACACCGAATACTACACATAACAAATACTTCAGAGAGAAATCTAGACCTGAGTGAATGAGAGATATACCTAGTTCAAGAGCTGACTATATATTAAGATATTAGTTTCCCCCAAATTGATGTTTTTTCAATGCAATTCCAATCAAAATCCCAGCAGTGTTTTTTGTAGAAATTAACAAGCAGATTCTAAGATCTATAAGTGATTACAAATAGCTCAGAATAACCTAAACAATATTTCAAAAAGGGACATAGCTGGAGACTCATATTTCTTAATGTAAAGACTATGAACTACAGTAGTCAAGATGATGTAGTACTGGTGTAAGGACAGGCAAGTAGAATAATGGACCAGAGAGATTCCTATAATAAACCCACATATATATTGTCTACTGATTTCAAGAAATGGTGCCAGGTAATTTAGTAAGTAAGAATAATTTTTTCTCAACAAATGATGTGTTATAAAATTGGATCTGATTTAAACACACACACACACACACACGCTTACTTCTACCTCACACCATATATAAAAGTTATTTTAATATTTATCATAAACTTAATTGAAAAAAGCTAAAACTATAAAATTTTCATTAAGGAAAGAAAAAAATCTTGAAAACTTGTGGTAAACAAGCATTTCTTTTAGAAAGGATAAAAGAAAAGCCCACTACAAAAGAGGGAAAAAAGGTAAATTGAACTTCATCAAAAATAAATATTTCCGTTCTTCAAAAGATACTGTTAAGGAAATAAAAAGACAAATCAAAGACCTGAAGAAGATACTCACTATATATAAGTGTGTGTGTATATCTAGGAAAAGGAGTATATTCAGAAAACATGGTCATCAGCCATCAAATGTAATAAAAAGATAAATAATCTAATTTTCAGTGGTACTGTTGCCCAATCATACCTCAAAAGAAAATACATAGATAGCCAATAAGCACAATTAAAGTTTCTCCATTTATCATCACAAAATTAAATTAAATCCATAATTATACTTTATATTCACTAGAATGGTTGATATTAAAAAGTCTCTAAATACCAAACATTAATGAGGATGTGGAACAGCTGGAATTTTCGCACATTGCTAGTAGAAGTACAAAACACAATGACTACTTTTGAAAACTTCTTAGAAGTTTCTTATAAAGGTAAATTTACACCTACCCTAAAACCCAGTAACTCCACGCCAATGTGATTACATGAAAACACACATCCACAAAAACATCTTGAATAAGAATATTCATATTAGCATTATTCATAATAGTAGAAAGCTGGAAACAATCCAAATTCTACCAACAGAGGATTGGATAAAGTAATTGCAAACTATTAATACAATGGAATATTATTCAGAAATATAAATAATTTTTCATACACATAATAATACTATTGATTTTCAAAAACATATTGAGTAAAAGAAGACAGATATGAAAAATAGCATTTGGCTATGCTGAAATGAATTTCTGGAACTGGCAAAACCAGGCTATGCTGAAAGAACTCAGTTAAGTGATTGCCTGAAGGGAAGGGTAGATGTACAGCAAAGGTGCCTGAGACAACTTCCTCAAATATGAAAATATCTCGATTTGAGTGTTGGTTATTTTGGGTATAGATTCCCAAAACTCAACAAACTGTAAACTCAAAATATGTGCAGTTCACGTACATTTATCTCAATTAATTTTTTTTTTAGATAGGGTCTTGCTCTGTTGCCCAGGTGGGAATGTAGCAGCATAATTACAGCACACTGTAGCCTCCACCCCTAGGCTCAAGGGATCCTCCTACACTACCTTCTGAGTAGGTGGGATTATAGGCACATATCACTGTGCCCAGCTAATTTTTGTATATTTTTGCAGAGATGGAGCCTGGCTATGTTGCCCAGGTTGGTCTTGAACTCCTGGGCTCAAATGATCCTCCTACCTTGGCTCCCCAAAGTGCTGGGATTATAGGCATGCGGCATGATGCTGGGCCTCAATTAAATTTTTTAGTTGAGGTAGCTAACATGTGTTTATTGAGTGCTTCCAACATGCCAAGTTATTATTTTAAACACTTACATCAATCATGTTACTTATTTCGCAGAGCAATCTTATGGATGCTCTTTCTCATCGTACAGAAGAGGATGCTGAGGCACTGGTAAGTTTGGCACAGTCAGAAAGCAAAAACATTGCAGAGCTGAGAGTCTATTCCAGGCAGTTGTATAACAGAGCAAGGACTTTTAATGTCTACGCTGTAATCAAACCCTTCCAAAAACATCTACAACCTTTCACAATGATTGACACTCAGCTCTGAAGGGTCAAAGTTCATAATCATCCCCTGCCAGGACTGAAAAGTTGCCATCACATAGTGGTTGTTTGGAATGGAAATGAACGCTGAAGGATGTCTGCAATGAATGGTGAGGAAAGATATTACAAGTTAAATGGTGACTAGAGGCTCCAAACAGCATCCTTGAACCCCAGGCAGCGAGGCAGGCTGTCAAGAACCATCAAGGGGAGAGAGCCGCTCAGCATGAGGCTGATAAGATAGCACCTAGAATACTGTAAACAATTCTGGGCATCTCAACATGAGAGAGCTGTCAAGGAATTGGAAGAGATTCAAAGAACATCAGGGAGTATGATGAAATGACTGGAGGGATTTATTTATGAGAAAAGATTAGAAGAATTAAGTACTGTGTACATAGATGGGGCATAACTAAGGAGGGACATACTAACAACATAAATATTTGAAGGACACACACACAGGAGAAGCAGAAAGATTGTTAATGTTGCCCCATGGAGGTTTAAATAGAAATTAGAAGATGTAACATAGAAATTAAAATGTTGTCCAAGTATCAGGATACATGTCCTGACAATGAGGTCAATTAAACTTTGAAGGAGCTCCCCAGAGGACACGTAGAAATGCAGTTGTCAGAGCTATTGACCATTAGTCCTGACACAGAGTAACAACATTCTAAATACTCTTGGCTCTAGAAGGAGAAAAATGTGATCTGTACAGAAATTATCCCTATCTCTTTAGGTATATCACGGATAATAACAGTGAAGCTATTTGCAATGCTTCAAGTACCTTATTTTAAATACTAGCAGTGATTCTTTGTGAGAGGTATTCCACTTTCTTTACAAATCAGAGATGCTGAAGTTCATAGAAGTTTTATAGATCTTGCAGATGTTAAGGTACAAGGCCAGGAGTCCATTCCAGTGTTTAGAACTTCAAAGCTTATATCTTTTCCATGAAGAGATAGGTATGAGCAAGTCTTGCGCTGAACATTCTGAATATATGGCTTGTAATTCTTTGTAACAAAAAAACTGGTTGTCAATCAATGCCTGAAGTGCCCAAGAGAATACTTACCTGACACAAGACAATCTTAGGCAACAGCTGGATTTCAGGACAACAAATATGTTTTAAAAGGTGTTATCAAGCTTCATAAACTTTTCCCTGGGAAATGTCTGTTTCGTCACACATCCCTGCATTGTGAAATTGCAAAGTCTCACAAAACTTTATGTCTCCTTTGGCTCATTAACTTACGCATTCATAATTTATTTACTTGTTGAGTTTTATATATGCATTGGGCATTGTAGTGAGAATACAGCTATGAATAAATCAAAGTTCAGGCCCTCAAGAAGCTTACATTCTAGTTGTGGAGAAAGGTAATAAATAAATACAAATGTAAGAAAATGACAGGCCATGATAGTTGCAATTAAAAAGTTATAAAACAGAATGAAGAGATGGACTAGGAGGGGGATGGCAGTTAGCAAGTTTAGACCTGGAGGTCCATGAATGCTGCATTACAGAGAAGTAGCATTTAAAAAGAGACACGACTGAAGCAAGGAAGTGAGCGTCATAAAAGTCTGGAAAAAGGAATGTCAGGCAGAGGAATGCGCAATGGCAATTTCTGGGGTTGGAAGGGTTGGTCTGTTTGAAAAACAGTAGTCAAGAGGTCACTGTGACTGAGTGGGAGGAGGGAGTAGAAAAGGTTGAGATATGAGATGAAGACAGGGACTGGACTCTAAAGGATAAGCTGTTCTTACTCTGACTGCAATCAGAAATTATTGGAAGGTTTTGAGCAGAGAAGTAATATGATCTCTATTATGTTTTTAAAAAAAATATTTCTAGGGGCCAGGCGCGGTGGCTCATGCCTGCAATCCCAGCACTTTGGGAGGCTGAGACAGGTGGATTACCTGAGCTTGGGAGTTCGAGACCAGCCTCACCAACATGGAGAAACCCTGTCTCTACTAAAAATACAAAATTAGCCGGGCGTGGTGGCACATGCCTGTAATCCTAGCTACTCAGGAGGCTGAGGCAGGAGAATTGCTTGAGCCTGGGAGGCAGAGGTTGCGGTGAGCTGAGATTGTGCCATTGCACTCCAGCCTGGGCAATAAGAGCAAAACTCTGTCTCAAACAAAAACAAACAAACAAACAAACAAAAAATCCTTCTAGGTATTGTGTTGAACAAGGACTGTAGGTAAGTAAGGATGAAATCAGAGAGACCAGTTAATGGACTACTGCTCTAATTCAGATGAGAGATAATGGTAGCTTGGACCAGGGTGGCAGCAGGAGAGCGAAGGAGAAATGATCAGATTTTTATAGTATATCCAAAAGAATTGTCCAATGAGTTGGGATGAGAGATAAAAACATATAACATTATATAATACATCATGTTCCATTGCAGATACCTTTTCTCTGTCTTCACTTCCAGATCACAAATCCCTGAAAAACAAGTGTGACTCATTATGCTTACAGCACTTAGCAAAGCCTGGAACATATTACCAGGTTGATAAATGTAAATGTGTTGAATCAAAAGTTCATCTTCTATGACTATGTAGCACCAAATGCAAAAACCGAGAGATCTTGTTTATGTCACTTCACAAACATATATCAGTTTCTTCATTTTTATTTTGAAGAAGTCTGCTTAGATCATTGGCTTTGCCAACTATTTTCAATTTAAGGTTATAAACTTTTCAAAAGGCTTGATTATAGCAGAGTCAGTAAGAGTCATTGTTCAAGATTAAGGCAGCCTATAATCAAATCTCAGCTCTGCAATTTCTTTGCTGTCTGACCATGACTAATGTAATAGTCCCTCTGCTTCTTCATCTGCATAACAAGAAATTCCCCAGGGGTTCACACAGGTTTTATGAGTGGGAGCAAATGTACCTGAACAAGATTCTGGGCTTAGCCCCACTCCCGTTTCATTCAGGACAGTTATACTTTTATAAGTTTTTATATTGATTTTTTATGTAAGATTTCATTATAGAAGATGATTTTGTGTGTAGAAGTTGAATAAGAAAGCCCTGGATGAAATAGAACCTACATTTTCTTCTAATGGAACATCCATTTGGTCAATCAAAAGCTTATGGAATACTATAATGAGGCAGGTGCAGTTCTAGTTGCTTCAGACAAATCACTGAACCCAATAAGCAGAGCTCTTACTCTCAAAGGGCAGTGGGGACTGTGTTCTTACATAGGAGATCCCTGGAGCCCTCAAGGATGATATGCTTCAGAGAGCCGTTGACTGTCTAATGCTGTACACAATATTTTGTAAGCCTGTACGTATGTTTGGTTTGCCTAGAAAGACCATGTGTTGTTTTCATTAAATTTTGTTTTTTGTAAATGAAAGAGCACATTTTATTAAAATATAATTAATCAAATTCTTTAAAAAGTTTTGGTCTCCAAAAATTAACAACCACTACACATAATGATTAAAATATCTTCTAGCTTTCTTATCCTGTGTTTCTATTTTTTTTTCTGCAATATTGCTAAGATAGAGGATCTACTGGCAAAATAAAATATGCACTGTTGTTTCCTTTATACCTATAAACCTTAATTGCCACAAAAGTATTTTTTAAAATGCAGGCAAACTGCATTCCAGATGAGTCCAAATGTAAAAAAGCATCCCACACTTTCCCCATCTATGCAAGTGAATGGATAAAAAATAAAGTAGAATGTGACTTATATCTGAAAATGTTCATTCAATTAAGCGTGTGAGTGTTTGTCTGTATGTTTTCAACATTGATTTCTTTTTAACAAATAAATTTGCTTAAAGATCATCTACTAGAAAGATAAGGAAACCGGCGAAGATGAGGGTGTGTTCAAAACAAGAAACCATTAAAAATGTTGAAGGCCACCGCCCATTGGAAATCAATCAGAAGTGAACGTAAAGCGTTTCTACCGTAATAATGGAAGCTGGCAGGAAATGGGATTCCATTTATGCAATTTTGATTTGTAGGCAAGGCTTTCTTTTTTTTAATTATCAGAGAGCTGAGGTCTATTCCCAGCTTTACCACAAATTAGTTTTGTGATTAAAAGGTAGCAACTTGGTTATTCTAAGTTTTCATTTCCTCATCTGTAAAACCAGAGCTAAAACTCCAAGATCACTGGAAATGTATCTATGGTTTTCAAAACCACACTTCTAAAACTTAGCACATAATAGGAACACAATACAGTAATTTTTGAATGAATGAATGAAGGGTTTGGAAGCCATGTGGTAGTGTAGAAAGAGCTCAAGTAATTAAAGAAATTAAAAGTGATGATTTCCTCATCCTGGTTTCTGCAACCACCGTATGCACAACCTTGTGAAATACGATTTCTGATTCTCAGTTTCCTCCCATGTAAAATTAGCCTCAATGAGATATGTAAAAATATATGAAAGGCATTTTGCCAACAAGAAAATACTTACACAATCTACCCATTAACAGTGATTTCTGAAGCAGATTTTGAGCTCTACTATTCTCTGACTGCACCCTTCACCCATCTTCAGAGTCTAAGGACAAGCCTAGTAATTTCCTGCATTCACAGTTAGCCACCTGCTAGAGAGTAAATTTTAGCTAATAAAATTCAGAGCAAACACCAGAAAGGTACGGCTGCTGCTGAAGCCAAAATTTTCTTCTTCATTTTTCCCTTTTCTGTTCATTCAATTCTCAGATCACATAAAAAAAAATTCTAAAAAAAATAAACACAAAAAACTCTCTGAACAGTGAATGTGTCTGAATTATGTTAAAAGATATTAAATGTAATAAATATGTATTGCTTTTCTCATGAAAGTTGCCAGAGCTATTTTGGGGCTTGATTCAACTGCAACCTCCCTCTGAGACTTAAAGATTTTTAAAATGTGGTTTTATAAGATAAGAGAATTTGGTTTTATATAGTATAATTCTTACTCCAGATTTCCAAAGGAGCATCATAGAACAGCATGTTAGATCCTTGCCTTGTGGGGAGTGCAGCTGGATTCCAGATCCTTTGTGGATCCAGTAATGCATCATGTTGAACTCGGATCAGTTGACTTTATTTAACCATGTAGCAATGTCATGTTTTGCTGACCTGGGTTGGGGCTCAATAAACACAGTCAGTTTACAGGAGGTATGCGTTTTGAGAAGTGGACGTTTGAGATTAAATCAGCCAGCAACTTAGAAGAAAAATTTATGGACAATGAAAAATAGAAAATATGCTAAAAGTAGCAAAGTGAACTGACTCTCTCTGAGGTTTCTGCTGTTGCTTCGGTCTAAGCAACATGGATAGGTGAGAATTCATCAACTCTTCAGATCTAGTAGTATTGTGAAGTGATTCTGTTTCTCTCCATGGCAGAACTAAAATGTGTAATGCAGTTAATTTGCCATAAGCACTTGCTGAGCTCTTTCCTTGCTCCCAAACATATAGCCAAGACCATTTCTTACATACATTTGCTATCTTGTTCCTCTCACTGGGTACCCCTCACAAGTTCTACAGTTGATTCTCTTATTCCTAACTTCAGCATTTCTTTTAATGGTCTCTTGCTACCAAATTCACAAAACACAGACCACCAAATTAGGCTACTCACGCCTCTTTTCAGCGAAGTCTATTCTGTCTTCCAACAATCCTATGGAGAAAGTATTATCATTCCCGTTTTATGAAAGAGAGACTAATACATTTTAAACTAAAGGGGAAAATTGATTCGCCCTGTTGTGTGCTCTCAGAATCTCTTGTTTTCATATTATTGCCCTTATTACATTATTTTATAATTTATTCATCCAAATGCCCATTTTCTAATCAGACAGCATATTCCTTAGGGACTAGGATTCTGTTCATTCATCTTTGTATCTGTAGTGCTCAGATCACAATGAATGCTAGTCAAAATTTTGAATGACTATATAAATATATGCATGAATGAATGAGTGAATATATTAATGAATTAAATATGAATAACACAGATGGTTATATAGTTCTTTCAGGAAGTGGGAGTGCATTATTTCCTAAAGTATTTTGTAAAACTACATTGATGTGAGAATCTATGGAAAACAAAAGCTTTGGATAAGTTTGTAAAATTTAAAGCACCTTCTTCAGAATATTCTCAAAGAATATTTTTACTCTACAAAAAGTCAGAAAGTACAGAAATTTGTTTACTTTCACTTAATCTAGAACTTTCTAAATTTATTTGGCCACAGAGGCCTCTTCCTTATAATTTTTCTCGTCTTCTTTTTCATCCTCCTTTCTTCTTGTCCTTGGTTTTCTACTTTTTGCATAATAATAATTAATATCCCCTCCTCCAAAATAATTATTAAACAAAGAATCACTGGGCTGGAGCGTTATTTGTTCTCAGTCTTTTGGATACTGTTTGTTGGCAGCTACCTCTCCAAGAGATCTCTTAGAAGTAAGAGATTTTATGGAACTAGGAAGAAGACACCTCATAGGTTCAGGTTCAGTCCTGCGGCAGCTCTGCTCTGAATAACTTGTCATGTGCTTGAGAGTTTAATCTAAGTCTTTGATAGTATACTTTTCTCCAATGGATGAAAGATTCCCGGGAGTGTTAGAAACAACTGAGCTGAAGGATTATGGATCCAGGTAAGACACAGTCTTGATGCCTGCATCAAACACTAGGAATGCTTTCCTGGGCAACAGAGACAGACACAAGCCTGTGCATTTTCCAGCCTAAAGAAAGTTGATGAAATCACAAGTCAGTTCTAAGCACTGACTCATAGTCCCTGAAATGGTTAGGATGGAAAATCACGGCTCTGAGTAACAACAAAATGAAATATTTCAGAACACCTTTTCCTGACAGGTTTAAAAAAGCAAAGGAAGCAAAGGAAGGGGGTTGCTGGCTGTGAAAAGTCTTGGATGAATGTATTGAGAGCAGTTATTTTAGTGGTGCTGGTGATAAAAATTAAATGGGGTCCTTACGGGAAATGTGCATTTCTTAGGAAAGTGTTGGGACAAATGTAGGTTTTTAGAGGCATTTTCAGAGGCTGGGCAAAGAGAGGTGGCAAAGAATACAAAGCCACAACAGGGACTCAGTGAGGACCAAGGGAGATGAAAAAAGACACACTTTGCAAAAGCAGAGAAGATAACATTTAGGGACATTTAGGACAGCCTGTAATATTGTCAGTTGTAGCAAAGCTAGGGAGAGATAGAGGAAAGGAAAAAGATAGGAAGGAAGAATCAAGGGAAGGAGAAAAACGGAGGACAGAAAAAGGGAGGGAAAGGGATAGAGAGAAATGCATTAGGAAAGGACATAAGGTGGGCCAGGGGGCAATAGGAGAGAGGATGGCATGAGTGTATATCATGGCAAATTAATGAGACATAGCTTAACAAAATTGCAAAGACCCTGGGGTCAGACAGGCCTGAGCTAGGAATCCACCTCTGCCAATTAGTAGCTTTAGGCCTTAAACAAATTATACAAATTCTCTGATTACTTGTTTCTCATTTTTGAAAGGGGGAGAAGACTCTATCTACCTCACTGAGTCATTTTATTGTTTAAATTATATAATGTTCATGAGGAGTCTATCTCCATAGCTGGCATATTGCTGGCATTCAGGCATAGTCACTTTTTAAAACTTTAGCAACATAAATACTTACGTAAAAAGGAGAAGAAAGCAATGTCCTCGATGTGATTAGCTTCAGATATATACATTAACTTAAATTATTATTATTAGTAGCAGCATCATCAGTTATTTCAGATAATCTTAAAACATATGCATGTGATTTCAACAGTGTGTTATGTAAAATATTAATCCTGTTGGTTGCTCATGAAAAGAGAGGAATGCATTGATTGTATGACCTTTATCTAAATCTGCTTAGTAGATACTGAATAGCTTTGGTTGAGGAGATTTTGGGTATGATCAAAGGTTGGCAGAGTATACAAGTTCAAAAAGCAGTACTGGGTCTCACAATGGTCCAGATTTAGGTGTAAAAGGGGTCCCTAAATAAAGCAGGTTTCCATCTCTTTGAGTAGACACTGCCATTCAGTTCTGCTTTTCTTTATGCACCCCAAACCTCTTTGCCTTTAGATGCCAGTGGGTTGAATCCTGCTGCTCTGTGGTGAAAGTTGCCATTGTTTCCAAGTGTTTACCAGCAAAATTGTAAAAAAAAAACAAAAAAACAAAAAAACAAAAACCAGACTAAGTCTCAGTTTCCAACCTCCAACAAAGAATCTAGTCCTTCCAGCTTGAGGTGGGAAACATTCATGGTCTAATACACTGAGAGTGGAGGGCTTAGGGAAAAGTTATCAGGAATGGATCAGAAATCTGGAGGAAAAAAAAAATTTTTCCCCTGAGTTGTTGGTGAGTCATTATGGCTGTTTGCATTTTAAAGACACCAAAACATCCCCCACAGAAAATAAATCTGTTCAGCTTTGTTCAACACAGCTTTTTCAAAACACACTTTATCCCAGAACCTTTTCTTTTCTTTTCGAGATGGAGTTTCACTCTTTTTGCCCAGGCTGTAGTGCAATGGTGTGATCTTGGCTCACTCTGCAAACTCAGCCTCCCAGGTTCAAGCGATTCTCCTGCCTCAGCCTCCCAAATAGCTGGGATTACAGGCATGCACCACCATGCCCAGCTAATTTTGTATTTTTAGTAGAGATGAGGTTTCGCCATGTTGGCCAGGCTGGTTTGGAACTCCTGAACTCAGGTGTTCCGCCCACCTAGGCCTCCCAAACTGCTGGGATTAGAGGCGTAAGCCACTGCACCCGGCCCCCAGAAAGTTTTAATCTAAGAGCACATTATGGAGCTGTATGTGATCTATGGGGAAGGTGGGGTTTTAGAGCTAAAGGAAATGGCATGGAAATTTTAAATGCAGACAGACAATAATGATCAGTGGTTCTACACAGTCCCATTTCTAAAGTGAGGACAGCTGAGACTCAAAGGCATGAAATATCCAAGGTCACATAACTAGGTGGTGGCAAGGCTAGTACAGACCCGATTCTCTGAATTTCCAGTTTAGTATTGGTCTGTCTCATCCTGGTAATTTCCAAGAGTTACTGTTATTGATGTGTTACCAGATAATCTATGAAGCCGGCTATGACTTGAACCCCTAGCCCATTAAGCCTTCAAAGGTTGGTATGTTGGGATTGTATCTCTAAAAGGAGCCAATGGAAAAATCACATTTGAGTCACTTGGCTGAGATGCAGTAAACCTATGAAGTGAAGGGGGCCTGGAGAAAGAACCAGTAGGATACTCCTTCTAACTACGACGTTCTTCAGCTACTCTATTTGTTCAAAGGTTTCTAGTTTCTGTGAGAGAGGTTAGTAGTAATTATCAGTCAACAGTGACCTTTTCTGGCATGAATTCAGTGATGAGCAAGTGAGAAGTAGTAGAGAGAATGTGGCTGAATTTGCTATCCAAGCCACCCCCTTCTCTCAGTCAGCCTCTGTATTCCACACCCCCCACGTGTAAACAATTCTATATTCTAGCTTCTTAACTTTGTTGTGAGTTTTCATCATAAATCTTTAAATGAATGAGCTCCAAGATCATCCCATAAAAGGTAATTAGATGTTTTTGCAGCCAAAGTGCAGCTGTTTTGCAGGATTGGGCCATTTGGCAACAAAAATTTTGAAATAGAAGATTAAGATCACAATAAAATAATCATATGTATTTATGTATGTATTTATTTTATTCATTTTGAGACAGAGTCTTGCTCTGTCGCGCAGGCTGTAGTGCAGTGGTGTGGTCTCAGCTCACTGCCACCTCCACCTCCCAGGCTCAAGTGATTCTTGTTCTTCAGCCTCCAGAGAAGCTGGAACTACAGGCAAGTACCACCACACCCGGCTAATTTTTTTTTCTTTGTATTTTTATTGCAGATGGGGGTTTTGCCACATTGGCCAGGCTGATCTCAAACTCCTGACCTCAAGTGATCTGCCCGCCTCGCCTCCCAAATTGTTAGGATTACAGGTGTGAGGCACCGCGCCTGGCCGACATCATCTTTACATGTTTAATTTCTTCATTTGATGCCTTGCTGGGCTCCTGCTACCCTCACCTTTTCTTTACTTTGATAACTGTCTTAGCTTCCAAAGATACATGCTTAGCCTCATACGGAGAACTGGGACCAATTCTCCCTAATGTAGAAGGGCTCAAGAATGTTCATTCAGTCATGAGCAAGACTGAACATAAAGCTAGTTTTACTGAGGTTTAGTTCCAATGTGTCTCACTTTTAGTAACGGTGTTCTGCTCTATTCTGATTAGATATCTCTCATGTATTAAGGTTTCAAGAGCTTGGTCACTTTTTTTCTCTTACGTGCCTGAGTTCCAGTTTGGATAACATGCCAGGTAGTGATGTGATTATGACTTTGAAATCAGACACTTGGATTTGAATTTCCTACTACCACTTACTAGCATTGTGACTTGCCTAAACTCAATTTTTTGTTTTTGAAAAGTGGGGCTGATTATAGCTATCCTAGAGAAACTCAAAATAGATATTGCATATAAAACACCTGCTGTTCTATATGTATTTAGAAATGATAACTCATTTTAGTATTTTCCTAGGTCTTTCAGAATCGAATATTTGTTAATTATTTTATTCCTCTTGTTCTTCATTACCGTATTCCACTTAATTTTTGGCACACATGTCTGCCACCTCCACCTAGATCTCCTGAATGCCAAAAGGTCATGGACTCTCTGGACATAGGTTTATTTATTCTCCATAGTCACGGAGATTCGTCTTCAGCTTTTTTTTCCAGTGGGATGAGTTTGTGTCTGCTGACACCACTGAGTATGTCTAGTTTTCTAATCTTAAGCTCTTCCAAACTGGTCTCTTTATCAAGGATTTGGCTTCAATTCTTAGTCTTTATGTTGGATATGCACCACACAAACCATATGCCATTGTCTGTGTTCTTGAGAAATTAGAAATTGCTTGTCTTATAAAACACATACTAAGATTTTTAAAAATAGAATTGATAAATATGATATTTATATAATTTATAATTTTCAGTTCTATCTTTAAATCAGTACACTTTATATATTCTATCAAAATTCCTCAACAATTTAATATAGTTTGACAATTCTCTTGTAATGAGAATCAGGGACCAGACATCACATAAGTCATTTAAGCAAGCTTTGAAATAAACATCCAACAGGCAAAATACATGAACTTTGCTTAGAATGGTTTGTGAATTAGGCGTCATACTATTTGTTTGCTTTTAACTTATTTTATAAACATTTAGGCACCTGATATGAGCAAGGATCCATGATGGTTGCTAAAGGGGAGACAGAAAATTGCACCTTGTACTTACAGGTGAGAGAGACAAAGTTTATATAGATCAATAATCCAATCACTAAACAAGATGAGATGAAGAAAATTCAGTATGAAAGCAATTAATCTCAGGATTGCAAATTAAAGCATTGGCATTTGAAGAAAAGAGGCTCTTTCAAATACAATCTGAATGGTGTGGTCAAGAGTAAAAAAGAGAGATGATGAGGACTTCTCTTCAATTTCATGCCAATGGGCTTTGAGGCATTCTCATACCAATGTAAAAGATAATTATTAATAGATGACAGGATAAAAAAAGGAGAGTGACTCAAGATTTTAACCAAGAAGCTTATGATAAGGAGACCTAGTATGCATATGTGATTGAAGGCAGTATTATACTAGGAAGGTATCAATTTCTAAAACAAAAATGATATACAACTGATATTGTACTGAATATTATAAATTTGAAGAGGAATCTGTCAGCCTCCAGAAAGCACTCAGTCTAATGAAGAAGACAAAAAGTCTGCTGAAATATGAATGAAGTTAGAAGAGTCAGGGAGGTAAGAGAAATGTACATGAGTAGCAAATTGAATACAACATACCTAGGCACACGAGGTAATATTTGGGAAAGGACAAGTGTCACTGGAAAGATATTAAAGAATCAAAGTAGTCTTTGTAGACAGAGAGAGGATACTCCAAGAACAGGGAACAGTTTTAAGAATAAAGAGACATTTATCAAAGATAATAGGAAAAAGTATGTCTAATTTACAAAAGGCTCTATTGTTACCAGAACTTTATTCAAACTATCTGAAACCAACTTTTAGGTTAATGCCATGAAAACCATCTAAGATGTGTTGTAGGTGAAAGTAAAAATTGCCTCATAAATTTTAGGAGGAAAGTATCCTATGCATTGTTAAGAGAAACCAGGTACATCTTTGAGGGCAAATTAATCTTAGGAAATTTAGATCAAAAGAGACAGACATACAATTTTAAAAAGTATTTCTCAGTGTACCTTGCGGACAACAGACCCTTGAAGATTGGATGAGGTTGTCACATTATGGAGATTGGGCTCATTGTATTCTTGGAAGGGTCAGTCACTCATAACTCCTAATGTGAGTCCTTAATCACTGAGCTGAGACTGTGACCTTTGAGCCACTGAATATTATTACTCATTTACTCACATACTTTAAGTCACAGTAAGCAATGCTTGGATGCAACTCTGAAGTCTGTGAAAATCTATTCAAAGAACAGAAGTCCATAAAGAATAATTGACTTTAATTTTTACCACTCCCTTTTAACTGGTCTTTTAATGTCACTCTGATCTTCACATTGATAAGTCAAATGATTGAAACTTGAGCAGAACTGGTTACTCTGCCATGCTTGAAATATCTGCAAGGTTTTATACAGGTGAGCACTCCTCCCTCCTTGATCCATTCTCTTCACTTCTCTTGTGGAACATCATACTCTCCTGGTTTCTTCCACATTCACTGACGATTCCTTCTCAGCCTCCTTTGCTAACTCCTCTTCATCTCACTGACTATTGAACATCAATATACTTCCAAGCTTAAGATTGAATTTCTCTTCTTGATACCTAACTCCTGTAATAATGTTACCCCATGATTTTAAATATCATCTATGTTCTGTGACTCGCAAAGTTTCACATTTTCTTCTAATATCAAATTAATATATACTAGTGCCTATTCAACATTTCCCCTTAACTTCCTAAAAGTCACCACAAACATTAAAAGTCTGAAATTGAATTCTTTTTTTAAAATTATACTTTAAGTTCTGGGATACATGTGCAGAATGCGCAGGTTTGTTACTTAGGTATACATGTGCCATGGTGGTTTGCAGCACCTATCAACTCGTCATCTAGGTTTTAAGCCCTGGATGCATCAGGTATTTGTCCTAATGCTCTCCCTCCCCCTTGCTCCCCACCCCCTGACATGCCCAGGTGTGTGATGTTCCTCTCCTTGTGTCCATGTGTTCTCACTGTTCACTCCCACTTATGAGTGAGAACATGCAATGTTTGGTTTTCTGTTCCTGTGTTAGTTTGCTGAGAATGATGGTTTCCTGCTTTATCCATGTCCCTGCAAAGGACATGAACTCATTCTTTTTTATGGCTGCATAGTATTCCATGGTGTATATGTGCCACATTTTCTTTATCCAGTCTATCATTAATGGGAATTTGGATTGATTCCAAACCTTTGCTATTGTAAATAGTGCTGCAATAAACATACATGTGCATGTGTCTTTACAGTAGAATGATTTATAATCCTTTGGGTATATACTTAGTAATGGGATTGCTGGGTCAAATGATATTTCTAGTTCTAGATCCTTGAGGAATCGCCACACTGTCTTCCACAATGGTTGAACTAATTTACACTCCCACCAACAATGTAAAAGTGTTCCTGTTTCTCCACATCCTCTCCAGCATCTGTTGTTTCCTGACTTTTTAATGATCACCATTCTAACTAGTGTGAGATGGTATCTCATCGTGGTTTTGATTGCATGAAATTGAATTCTTATTCTGCTCTTTCTCTACTTCCAAATCTACTCTATTCAGAAATTTTCTTATATCAATTAATGATAACTCTATCTCTACTTTCTCAGACCAAAAGTATTAGAGCCATTTTTGACTTCTATATTTGTTTAAAACCCCATTTCCAATATTTTAGCTCATTCTGTTTGTCTTACAGTCTAAGTATATCAAGAGCTACTTCATTTGTCACCACCTCCACTGCTACTGCCATGGTGCAAGTCACCACTATCTTTCATCTGGACTGTAAATAATAACCTCCTAACCACTCTCCCCACTTTCATCCTTACCACTCCCTCCACATAATTTGTAAACAAAGAATTCAGATTCATTATGTTAAAATGTGATTAAAATAATGCCAATAGTCTGTTTTAGTTCTCCTAACAATTAGGTCCCTATATCACAGAGAGTGCAATGGCTTCTACGGCCCCACGTGACCGTGGGTTCATACCTCTCTGATCTAAGCTTACTCTCCTCAGTGCTAGATTCATTGCTTTCCTTGTTCATTAAACATTAAGGCACATGTGTATCTTGATCTTTGAACTTGCTGTCTTTGCCTGAAGTACTCTTCTCCACACACGCAACATTTACTTCCTTGATGTATTTGCCTAAGTCTCATGGTCTTTTTGGTGCCTACCTTCACTACTATATTTTAAATTGTATTCCTTACTCCCTGAGGTCCCTTACTCTTCTTCTCTACTCTATTTTTTATTGGATCTATTACCTTCTAACATATCATATATTTGCATTTGTTCTCTTTATTATGTGCCTCCCCAACACACCGTAATTCCATGAGGGCAAGAATTATATTTTTTCTATTGATTTACTTCCAGTGCTCAAAACTGCATCTAAAACATTTGTAGCAGAAACTTAATTAATGTTTGCCGAATTAATGAGTGAGAAAATAATAAATGGAAAGTTGAGGATATACAGTATCCTAAGGCCAGGAATAATCTTAGAAACCATCTACGGTAATTCATTTACTTTTCTACAAATAAAGAATCTGAACCTTTGAGAAATAAACGAATCGATTTGTAATTAAGAACATAGGTCTCCTAATTGTTCAGTCTGACATTTTTTTCTTATTATGTCTACAGAGCTAAATTCAATGCCTGACTTTTAGCAAGTGTCCAATGAGTTCTTATTTATTTGTTTATTTATTTATCTTAAGAGACAGGGTCTTGCTCTGTTGCCCAGCCTGCTGAACAGTGGTGCAACCATAGCTTACTGTAATCTCAAACTCTTGGGCCCGAGCAATCCTCCTGCCTCAGTCTACTGAGTACCCAGTAGCTAGAACTACAGGTGCACACCACCATACCTGACTGTTTATTTATTTATTTTAATTTTGAGACAGGGTCTTGCTCTATCACCCAAGTGGAAGTGCAGTGGTACCATCATGGTTTACTGCAACCTCTACCTCTCTCCTGCACTCAAGCGATCCTCCTACCTCAGTCTCTCGAGTAGCCAGAACTACTGTGCACACCACCATGCCTGGCTAACGTTTGTGTATTTTTTAGGGACAGTTTTTGCCATGTTGCCCAGGTGCTAGTCTCAGACTGCTGAGTTCAAGTGATGCACCTGCTTCAGCCTGCCAAAGTGCTGGGATTCAGGTGTGAGCCACGGCGCCTGGTCCTGGCTTTTTAATTTTAATTTGCATAGGGACTGAGTCTCATTATGCTGCCAAGGCTAATCTAGAACTCCTGGCTTCAAGCCAGCCTCCCACCTTGGCCTTCCAAAGTGCGGGAATTACAGGCAGGAGCCGTCATTTCGTGGCATCCATGAGTTTCTTTTGAAAGAACATGTCTAGTGTTCTTTCCAGCACACAATATTGTCCATGTTATCTTGTCATTTCATGAAGCTGTGAGAAGTGGTTAAATGGAATATATTATTTCCAAAGTTTATTTTAACAGTTAGATTTTATGGAAAAGACATTCTAAATATCCTAGCTAATAGTTAAATAATAATTTCTTTTTTCTATTTGTACATTACCTCACACCATTTCTAATGTCTATGATAAACTCCCTCCCCTCCCAAAATAAAGGATATAAAAAATGATCTTTCTTTGGAATGTGAAATAAGTAACTTTTCAGTAAAATCGGAGGTTAGCACTTCTAGCTACCTGGACTAGATTCTTGACCATAGTTGGCATAATTTGGGGAAGATGGCAGGACTGATTTAAGTACAGTCAGTGTTGTTGATGGGAATGGAGATGAGTGTCAAGGAGATTTATGTTGGCTCATGTTTACAAGGAATATTTCAATTTCTGAAATCCTATTTTTAACCAATAATCACATTTTCTTCTTCCTTCTCTAGTTGTTTTAATGCAAAGAATAAGCAATACATAGTTTTTGTTCAATATATATATTTAATACCTAATCATCTTTGTGCAATAATGCTGAGCATAACAGATACAGCATCATCCTTATTAAGTTTACAGCCCACAAATGACAGTGAGGGGCAGACATTAATAAAATAATTACACAAGCATATAATTAATATGAATTGTGGTAAGGGCAATGAATGAAAATTGCAGATTGCCATGAGAATAAATAACTGGTCTGGGGATGGAGTGGGCCATAAAAAAAGCCACCATTGAGCTAAGACATAAAAGATAACATTATCTTTCAGGTCTTTGGGGACAAAGGATGAAGAAGAGGTAAAAACCCATGAAAAGATTCTGTAATTGGGTTGCAGGGAGGTGACAGCTTGGCTCATTGAGTTACTGAATAAAGGCCAGTTTTGCAGGAGTAGAGAATAAAGAGAAGACACAGCTACCCATGTAATTAGGTCCAAGTTTTAGTCCTTAGGAGTATTGGGGAAATTTTGAGATGGAAAAGACTGAGTTCCCCAAAATTCAATTGTGTACATGAATTAACACATTTAGGTTTTCAGATAGAAAGTGTCATAAACAGTAGTTAAAATGAGAAATTGTTTTGGAACATTATTTTTTTCTAATTCGACCTTTTCCCAGATGCCAATAGAAGTCTAAGTGCCTTGGTATTTGTTAGTATTGCCATGACATATGCACACATCCTAACTTATGTCTTCTTTGCTTTCTACAGAATCTCAGCTTAAGTAGATTCCCCTGTCATTGTTTCTCAGAAAGCTCTCCCAGTGTCTGAGTTTTTAAAAAATGAGTTCAATCTTGGTTCAGTTTGAGGTTTCAGTTATAGTTCAAGCAGGTCTTGATTTGCCTGAACCAGTTTCTCTTCCCTGGGCAATATCAGTCTTGCCTAGATCCACTCTTTAGATGAAATAGAGTTGATAGTTTCAATTTCACAAGAACTTATATTAGAAGCTATTTCTCTTTTAAATAATAACAGAATTCCAGGCAAAGATGGTCAGGCGGCAAAGTTTCATAAACCTGTGACTGATAGGCTAGTACTGGAATTGATTCAAATGTTTAATTATTCGTTGAGAGAAGGTTGGCTAGAGGCTTCACACAAGAAGAGACTTTATTGATTTTATTATTCAGGGAAGGTAATAATTTTGATATATATATATATTAAAAAAAACAAGGACCAATTCCTCCATTAAGCAATAATGACAAAATGTTTGTCAAAATACTGCTGGCAACAGAGAAAATGAAGGGGCCAAAGAGGCCTTCTTCTTTATTTTATGTCATTAATGTTGTGGTCTCTAAACCTGCAGGGGAATGTCACAATAATATAGGTTTCGTTCAAGATATTTTTGAAGTTGAGAAAAGATACACCAATTTGTTTTGAATTTATGTTAGTATCAGACTAATGTCTTTGACTGAGTACACTGTAACCACAAACCCAGTAACCAAAGACATCAGGCTATATTTTTAAGGAGGCTTACAGTCATTTAGCATAGGTAGATAATGGCCATCTGAGATCCAAGGTAACTAGGTCAGGCAGTACAAAAAGATTAATATACTTCATATATTGTGAGTGAACAAAAGCAGATCGAATTTACAGAGGGCTTAAGAATAGGTAAGAGATGAAACAACAATATAACAAATAAATTGTAATGCTCAGAAGCAGCACAAGTAGGGAAAAAATTATTCACTAAATTATATTTAGAACACCTAAGTTTTAGGTCTATTTCTACACCTAACTAACAGCCTATTTTTGGGAAAAGAATTTTGTCTTTTTGGCTTTCAGTTCTTGCGTCTCTAAAAGAGGGCTAATAAAAAAATCTCTAAAACCCTTTCCCAGCTCTATGACATTATAAAGGATTATTGTGAAAATGACAGTAGGGTTTGGGAGTTACTAGTAAAGCTGGCTAAAGGAAAGTTAGATGAAGGAATGAAATAGGAAACATTAAGTGTATTTCCAAGGAATGAGGTATGGAGGATGTAGTATGAGGGACTATGTGGATGGGTAGAGTTTATAGAAGAAGAATAAACTGGAAAGGGTGAAGTTCTTTCTTAAGTAACTCGTTCCAAGACTGCAGCTATCCATGCTAGAATTTGGAATTCCAGGATTAATTCAGTAAGCACAATTTCAAAACACTAAATTTTAAAAGTAAAAAAGTAATCTTAGTCAGTTACGCAAACATTCAGGTTGGTTTACACATATGGCTAGGATTATAAAGATACAACAACAGAACAGTAACCAGCAATGCCAGAAATTTTGTTTATCCCTCTCAGAAGGGAATCAGATTTGGCAACTATGTATACAATCTCTTTCCTCATATCTATTGAGCACCCAATAAAGGACAATATGCCAAGATCTCACATCTCATGTAATCCTGAAATATAAGTATTACTATTCTCACTTTATATATGAATAGGTGAAATGCTAAGAAAGTAAGCTGGTGATAGAGCTAAAATGCAAATGCATATGTCAAGCACTAATTCACAGCTCTTTCCAGAACTATGCAAGAACTACCTCCAAAGTGCTCTACCTCTTCTTATTGGTTTGAACCCATTGGATTTTCTAGACTACTAATCATTTCAGGTATGGAATCAGCAGGTCTTCAGTGAAAGATACGTAAACCAAAAAGATGCATCCAAAAATAGCTGAGGTGATAAGCATTTAGGGAACAATATTTTATACTGTATAGATTGGTTTTTAAAATAGTTTTTCCTGAGCTTATTTTCCTGTGAAGTTTATAGGAAATTAATGTTGGAGATACCATAAAGATGCTTTTAATAATAAAGGAAGGGCATGAGTTAATGATCTTCATTGCAGATATGGTGTTGGCACTAGAAGAGAGGTGAGATATATGGCAGACAGTTTAAAGGTGATTTAACTAAAATTGATGATTTATTGGATGTGGGAAAATGAGGGAAAGGAAAACTGGGTTTGGTTTGGAAACCAGGATGAACAGCACTCATAAACAGGAGGAATTCAGTGGTGTAGAAGGAGACCCTTTCCTTTTCCAGCCAATCTGCCTTAATAAGGTGTTGATGCTTATGTGCTAGTTTGAGCCACCTGGTGATACATACATAATTGCTATTCTCCTCTCTAGATATATATATAGTACAGCCTCACTCTAAGCTACAATTCCTGGCTTGGCCTCCCTCACAATCTCATTGAAACCAGGAGAGTTATCCTGAAGTCCTACCCTCCTTTACCTTTTTAATAAAAGTAAAGAAGGTTGTCCACTGACAACTGAGTCAGGTATGTACCTTTCAGTGTGAAATATAGTCGTCAATCGTCCCAGAACTGTCTTTGTAGTCAATCAGCCTAAAAATGTAGATCCTTAACTTTCATTTAAGTAATTTCAATAAAACAAAGCTTTGGCTAAAATAATTCAAGTCTTTGTGGCTCATTTAGAAATACATCTTTCTCCATTCTTTAGTTTTCTGTATATTGTTTGAGACAGTGTCTTCTGTGAGGGCTCGTTCCAACTACTTCTTGAGACTGCGAGTCTTCAATCACTTGAGACTAGGCAAGTGTGGACAAGTTTAGTAATTTCTCCAGGGTTTCAGAAGATTTCCCTGGACTCCAGGAATGAGAATGCATCTGTTTTAGGTCCTCACCTCCCTATAAATTGCCTAGAAGTCACTGTAGTTAGTATTGATACATTTCATGAGAAAAGAATGTGGCCCTGTTCACTCCTTATTATTCTGAGGAGTGACAATGCCCATGAATTGAAAGAAAAAAAAAACTTCCCATTACCATTGCACATTGATATGACATCAAGCCTTATAGTAGGTAACAGCTTAAAGGAAGAAGGCATCGAAATAAAAAAAAAGCGTAATAATATGGGTTCATGTGCTTTGGGAAAATGTAAACAGTTTGAATTATTAAACTGTCAACTTGTCGGAACAGAGACAAACTCTAGTCTGGAGCTAAATCCCTCTGTGGCCCAAGCCAGGGCAGTGCAGAGCACAGAAGGAAGGGAGTGGAAAAAAGATTTTAAAATTCAAATGTCTCCTGTCCTGATTGTGAGTTTCTATTGTAATTCCCCAAGAGCCAGATAGCTAGTCTGTCTCTTTCAGTCATAGGTGTATTTACTTATTCTGAGAGCTGTCCATAGGGAGAAAAAGAACTAAACAGGAATAGAAGCATGTTCTGGAAGAGAAAAAGAAAGGAAGGCATCATCATGGCAAGGTAGAACATTTTTAAAACAGGTGTTGTGGTAGGCTGCTTCTACAGAATCCAAAAAAGAAGCGTTTATTTAAATGCACATGGATTTATGACATACAGTCTCTTTGTTATATTCCCTCATTACAGGTTATAAAATATATTCGGAAACCTTTGGAAATTAAGATCTATTCATAGAACATGGCTTGTTTAAGGCTGCACGGCATCTGTTCTATACACAGTATACACACACTCACACACACACACACGTATAAGAAAGACAGATAGATGGATACATACATATCCATATGCTGACATATACAGTATCACTTTGGCTTATAGGTCAGAGCACTTACCATCTACTTTCTCCCATGACAGACTCCCCACCGGAAAGTGAAAAATTCTGAAGATGTACCCCTGTGTTTCAGAGGTTAGGATATCTGTATATCTGCATACCTTGAGAATTTCTGGAAAATTTTCTTCTCCCAAACAAAGAGGAATAGGATGGGTGAGAGGGGCAGATTTGGGGGAGAGAAGTCATTTGATTATTTTACCTTTTACTTATGTATTTTTAAACTTTGTTTTAGGTTCAGTGGTATATGTGCATTTGTTATATAGGTAAATTGTGTATTAAGGGAGTTTGATGTATAGATTATTTCAGCACCCAGGTAATAAGCATAGGACTAGATATGTACTTTTTCAGTACTCATCCTCCTCCCATACTCTACTTTCAAGTAGGCCCCACTTTCTGCTCTTCTCTTCTTTGTGTTTATAATTTACTAAATTTCTAGCTTCCACTTACAAGTGAGAACATGCAATACTTGATTTTCTGTTCTTGTGTTAGTTCACTTAGGATAAAGGCCTCCAGCTCCACCCATGTTACTGCAAAGGACATGATCTCATTTTTTTATGGCTGCATAGTATTCCATGATGTATATGTACCATACTTTCTTCATTTAGTGTACCATGGATGGGCATTTAGGTTGATTCTGTGTTTTTGCTATTGTGAATAGTGTTGCGATGAATATATCCATGCATGTGTCGTTATGGTAGAATGATTTATTTTCCTTTGGGTATATACTCAGTAATGGAATTGCTGGGTCAAATGACAATTCCATTTTAAGTACTTTGAGAAATTGCCAAACTTCTTTCCATAATAACTGAACTAATTTACATTCCCACCAGCAGTGTATAAGCTTTCTCTTTTCTCTATAACCTCACCAGCATCTGTTACTTTTTGGCTTTTTAATAATAGCCATTCTGACTGGTGTGAGATGGTGTCTTATTGTGGTTTTAATTTGGATTTCTCTAATGATTAGTGATACTGAATATTTTTTATATGCTTGTTGGCCACATATATGTCTCCTTTTGAAGACTGTCCATTCATGTCCTTTGCCGACTTTTTAATGGGGTTGTTTGTTTTTTTCTTTTTCATTTAAGTTCCCCATAGATTCTAGATATTAGACCTTTGTTGGGTGCATAATTTGCAAATATTTCCTCCCATACTGTAGCTTGTCTGTTCACACTGTTGATGGTTTATTTTGCTGTGCAGAAACTCTTTAGTTTAATCAGGTCCTATTTGTCAACTTTTGGTTTTGTTGCAATTGCTTTGGCATTTTCAAAATGAAATCTTGGCCAGGTCCTATGTCCAGAGTGATTATCTTCCAGGGTTTTTATAGTTTTAGATTTTACATGTAAGTCTTTAATCCATCTTTAGTTGATTTTTTTTTATGATGTAGGAAAGGGGTTCAGTTTCAATCTTCTGTATATGGCTAGCCAATTATGCCAACACCATTTATTGAATAGAGTCCTTTCCTCATTGCTTATTTTTGTTGACTTTGTCAAAGATCAGACAGTTGTAGGTGTGTGGCATTATTTTGGGGTTCCCTATTCTGTTCCATTAGTCTCTGTGTCTGTTCGCTACCAGTACCATGCTGTATTGCTTACAATAGCCAAGTGAGGTAATGTGATGCCTTAAGCTTTGTTATTTTTGCTAGGATTGTCATGGCTATTCAGGCTCCTTTTTAATTCTATACGAATTTTAAAATAGTTTTTGTCTAATTTTGAGAAGAATGTCATCAGTAGTTTGATAGGAATAGCAATGAATCTGTAAATTGCTTTCGGCAGTACAGCCATTTTAACAATATTGATTCCGCCTATCTGTGAGCATGGAATGTTTTTCCCTGTGCCTGTGTCACCTCTGATTTCTTTGAGTAGTGTTTTGTAATTCTTATTGTGGAGATTTTTACCTCCTTAGTTAGCAGTATTCCTAGATATTTTACTCTTTTTTTGACTGTTATGAATGTTAGATTTTTCTCCATCTCTTTACTTTGAACCTATGGTTGTCATTGCATGTAAGATAGGTCTCTTAAAGACAGCATACAATTGGGTCTTGCTTGTTTATCCAATTTGCCACTCTGCCCCTTTTAACTGGGAGGTGTTAGCCCATTTACATTCAAGATTAATATTGATATGTGCAAGTTTGAAACTATCATCGTGTCGTTAGCTGGTTATTATGCAGACTTGATTGTGTGGTTGCTTTATAGTGTCAATGGTCTATGTATTAAATGTGTTTTTTAATGGCCAGTAAGAGTCTTTCCTTTCCATATTTAGCACTCTCTTCAGCACCTCTTTAAGGCAGGTCTGGTGGTAATGAATTCCCTTGCATTCGCTTGTGTGAAAAATATCTTATCTCTCTCTTACTTAGGAAGCTTAGTTTGGCCAATATGAAATTATTGGTTGGAATTTCTTTTCTTTAAGAATGCTGAATATAAGCTCTCAATCTATTCCGGTTTGTAGGGTTTCTGCTGAAAGGTCTACTGTTAGCCTGATGAGGTTCCCTTTGTAGATGACCTGCCTCTTCTCTCTAGCTGCCTTTAACATATTTTTATTTCACGTTGATCTTGGAGAATCTAATGACTGTGTCTTCGGGATTTTCATCTTGTGTAGGGGTTCTCTGCATTTCCTGAATTTGAATGTTGGCCTCTAGTGACGCTGGAAACATTTTCATGGATGAAATTTTCATAGAAAAATTTTCATGGATGATAACTTGCAATATGTTTTCCAAGTTGGTTACTTTCTCTCCTTCTCTTTCAGGGATATCAATTAATTGTAGACTTGGTCTCTTTACATAATCCCATATTTCTTAGAGGTTGTGTTCATTCTTCTTTAGTCTTTTTTCTTTATTTTTGTCTGACTGAGTTATTTTGGAGAACTGGTCTTTCAGCTCTGAGATTCTTTCCTTAACTTGGTTAGTTTGGCTGGTAATTATGAGTTTTTCAGCTCTATCAGAATAGTTTATTTCTTAAAATGTTGATCTCATCTTTCATCTCCTGTATTATTTTATAGTATGCCTTAGAATCCTTGCATTGAGTTTTGACTTCCTCTTAAATCTTGATTTTTGTTTCTATCCATATTCTGAATTCTATTTCTGTCATTTCAGCCATTTCAGCTTGATTAAGAACTGTTGCTGGGAACTACTGTGATCATTTGGAGGTAAGAAGAAACTCTGGCTTTTTGAGTTGCCAGAGTTCTTGTGCTGTTTTTTTTCTCACCTGTGTGGGCTGATGTTCTTTCAATATTTGAAGCTGCTATCCTTCAGATTTTAAAAAAAAATTTCCTTTTATCTTCTTCGATGCCCTTGGAGATTTTATTATAAGGTGGGTTCAGTCAACTGGCTTCGTTTCTGGAAAATTTTAGGGGGCCAAGTCTCAGCTCAACACTCTTGGGCTGTGTACTTTAACTTAAGGGGGCTTGTATTGGACCCCCAGCTTTGTTCTCTGGTCCCTTAAGGTTAGGAACCTGAGGCACTGGAGAGGCTGAGGTGTTGTTCCTAAACAGCTGACCCCAACACTCTAAGCCAGCCAAAATGCTTAATCAGGGTGGTGGCACATGAATCTGTGCTTATTCACACATGCCAGCAGCAGTGGCAGGGCAGCGATAGTGCAGCAGGGTGCATGCTTGTGAGTTGGTGTGGGGCACTAGCAGGCATAGGGCTACAGACTTCCACAGGTGCATTTGCAGCAGTGGCAGAGGCAATGCAGGGTTGGAGATGGAGCTGCTAGTGTCCACTTGCACATTCATACCAGTGGCAGTGCAAAGTGGATTTGTTGGTGGATGCAGGACTGCCAGACTCCATGCATGTGTTTATGGTGGCAGCAATGGTGACTCAGGGCAATGGGTAGGGCCACTGGTCTTCATGTGCACATTTGCACCAGCAGTGGTGGTGTGGGGGGAGGTGTACTCAAGTAAGCAACGGTGGTGTGGTAGGGTGCATGTGCATGTGCGTACTTGCCTGCAGGGTAGGGAGGTGAGGTCCTGATATGGTTTGGCTGTGTCCCTACCCAAATCTCATCTTGAATTGTAGTTCCCATAATCCCCATGTGTCATGGAAGGGACCTGGTGGGAGGTAATTGAATCATGGTATCTGGTCACCCCCACGCTGCTATTCTCGTGATAGTGAGTGAGTTCTCACAATATCTGATGGTTTTATAAGGAGCTTTTCCCCTTTTGCTCAGCACTTCTCCTTGCTGCTGCCATGTGAAGAAGGACGTGTTTGCTTCCTCTTCTGTCGTGATTGTAAGTTTCTTGAGGCCTCCCCAGCCATGATGAACTGTGAGTCAATTAAACCTTTTGTAAAAAAGTAAATTGCCCAGTCTTGGGTATGTCTTTATTGGCAGTATGAAAATGGACTAATACAGGTCCACCTTGGACTAGTCTATGCACACACCAGCAAAGCAGTGGGGTTGGTTGTGGATGTGTGTGTACAGGTAAAGTGGCTCAGAAGAGACTGTGATGGAGTGTGGGGTGAGCTAGTGTGTGCCAGTGGGGGCTGCTCTGATGGAGCTCTCTGATGGTCAGGCACAGTCTTCTGGTGATACAGCTCTCTGATGGTCAGGCACAGTCTTCTGGTGATACAGCTATTAAGTGGGGCTCTAGGAGGGACCACAGTTGGGCATCTTAGGCTGCACTGCAAAGGGTGCAGCCAGCCTGGGGTTCTGGGAAAAGAGAGCAGACAGGGAGGCAATCAGATCAGACTGGCCATGTCTCATGGGCAAGACTGCCCTGCCCTGTCCAGGTCTGATAGTTCTCTGAGGCCAAATCTCCTAAGGGAGCATAATGAGACTGGGGGAATGGGCATTCCTCGCCATGCTCCACTAGAGATGTTTCTGCACCAAATCCTCTGGGGCTCTGCACAGGCTGGAGTCCTGCCCCTACCGTCTCTCTAAGCAGCTCTCTCTTCCAGCTCAAGTGTCTATGGTGGTCATGGGGTCTCCTACTGCCAGGGTTCCAAAGGTCCATAGTAAGAGCTAATTGCTCCTTGCCTGTTCAACTCATCTCATCCCCAGGAATCACTGGGGGCCAGGAACAAGTCCCAGTGCATGGTAGCCCTATGCTGTGTTCCCAGTTTCCTCCCCGTTCAGGCCAGTGTCTGTGTTCTCCCTTCATTCACCTTCAATGCCTTCCTTCTGAAGATCTGCTCAAAGTGTATCAGTCTTGTCAATGTCCTTGTCCTTTGACAGCAGATGTTCCTTCTGGATGCATCCAATAGGCAATCTTGTTGTGAGCTAGTTAAGTTGATTCTTTTAAAGTGACACCAAGATCTTGGCAATGTGGTCTTCAAATCTTGTTTAAAGTCTACCGTGAATAATTATTTCTCTGAACCTTGTCCTATTTCACATTTTGGAATGACCTCTCCTGTCCTCTTTATGTGACCAATGGCTACACCCAAAATAAACGAATAAATGAATGAATGAATTAGTTGATTCAAAATTATTTGCCACCGGGTGCAGTGGCTCATGCCTGTAACCCCAGCACTTTGGGAGGCCAAGACGGGCAGATCACCTGAGGTCAGGAGTTTGAGACCAGCCTGACCAACATGGAGAAACCTTGTCTCTACTAAAAATATAAAATTAACCGGGCGTGGTGGCACATGCCTGTAACCACAGCTACTTGGGGGGCTGAGGCAGGAGAATCGCTCGAATCCGGGAGGTGGAGATTGCAGTCAACTGAGATAGCACCATTGCTCTCCAGCCTGGGCAACAAAAGCGAAATTCCGTCTCAAAAAAAAAAAAAAGTATTTGCCACATTTGAAGATAAATGTCTCATGTGAGTAACAAAAACAACATATGAATTAATTATTAGGCAGTGTGTGTGTGTGTGTGTGTGTGTGTGTGTGTGTGTGTGCCTGTGTGTGTATTTTTTATTTCACAAAGCTGTTTTTAAAATACAGGTATATTACCTGTTTGTTTGTTTTGTTTCCACAGCATTCTCCATGTTAACACAGAAACGTGGGCATATTTCATATTTTACGTGAACATCTATTCGCCCAACACATGAATCTTGAGTGTTGTAGTTGGAATATGAATTAGTGACTTTTTGCTCATGGGTCTGATTTTCTATATTTCTCTTCATGGTTCTCATAGAAACAGATTTTTTGCCAGGATAATAGGATCATCTCCCTTTTTATTCTTTGATTGTTTGCTGTCTGTGGCTTTTCATCCTTGTGTCATCATTCGTTGGTAGAAATGTAATTACCTATCTTGTATTATTGTCAAAATGTAATCAAGAAAGTTTGATCGAGAAAAAGGGAGAATTCTGCCTCAACCAATTCAGTTTTACCATGAGGAAAATATTTTCTACTAACGTTGTTTGGCTTTCTTTTTTTAAAAAATAATACATTTCCTCCTTCTTTCTCTTCATCACTTTGGTTTATCTTTTCTTTTTTCTCTTTATTTTTCATTCCTTCTCTGATCTTTTCTGCTTTTCTCAGATTATCTTGTTAGATAATTTATTTCATTATTTTCATGAGAAGAATTATAATCAGTTTATTATGTATTTGTCTCCTTCTACTAAGTTATAGACACTTAGAAAGCCAAATTTTGCATACCTCTAAAAACCAAGCCCATATCTTCCAATTATTAGTTTCTAGTAAGTATCAATTAATTAAATGACATCCCTGAGAGCTTCTGAAGATCAAATTTAATATCTGCTTCTGATAGTATATGAGCATTTATGGGATGTGGTTCAGTTATGCTGAATTATTTTCAGCCATTTGCATAAACTATATGCTTATTTATTTACGTTTAACTATTGCACATGCTTCTCCCTATCTCTGAAATACCTTACTTTTGCTCTCCACCCTAATCCAAAGAGTGTAGCTATCTAATTCCCATTCTTTTCTCAATTCTCAAAACACATAGTATCACTTGTAGAAAGACTTCTTCATTCACCTAAATCCTTATTAAGGTTAGAAACCTGCTTGATGCTGACATAGCATTGTAAGCCTTCATCACCACAGTCTCATTATATTCATTACTATGCTTTTTTTTTTTTAAACTTGTCATTATCTTGCACAAGAAAGTAAACATCCTGTGAGTTTAGGTGTCAAAGGAGGTAGTAGTGGTTGTGTTTGTCCACTCACAGAAATCACCCAAAAATCTGTCATCATGTTTGGCCTATAGAATATGCATATAAAATAAATGAATGTTTGCTAAATCATTAGTGTTTGTGAACAGATTGCTTACCTCTGTGTCTACAATGTACATCAAACTAGATTTGCTTGCTCTATTTGTATGCATTTGCTTTCAGATGAGACTTATTTTGTTAATGAAAAAAAAAGAGTGTTATTTAGTCAGTCTCTAGGGATTGTGCCTACATCTGGATACATCTATGGAAGTGGGTCATCCGTGTGTGTGTTACCTGTCAGGTACCTCTTTTTGAAAAAACATTAAGAATTATTGGATTAGACAATGTAAGTGGAAACGTTTTATGAACAGTCAATTCCCTATAAATGAGCAGGGATGTGACTAGTATTACTTATTGTGAGGCCAAGTGATTTAGATTTTCCAAAATGTAACTGGGACGAACAGATAATTCGACTGGAGTTTCTGAGACGATACACAGAACACTCTCCATCGAAAGTTTTCTATAATTTATAAAGCTCTGCCTTCCGCTATTCAGATTTGAATGTTTTACCCTGCAGAGGACTGCCACACAGATGCAATTAGGGGGAGCAACTCTTATGAGCATACAGTGATCATCTCTTGTTGTTCTAGATAATGACTGGCCACATCATTTTTGCTACTTAAGCTCATTTAATATAGAGACTATGGCTGATTCAATTAAAATCACTGAAGACACTAAAAGAAAGCACTACAGAGGAGTGAACTCTCAATCGAGATAATAAAGTGACCCCGAGATGTAGAGGGGCAGAAAAAGTATGAGAGAATGACAGACAAAGAGAGAATATCATGCATTCGCATATGACTGGTTGAGTGAATGAATGGAATAATACAACCAAATATACATTTCCATTAGGTTGAATAAAGAAGTCAATATTGAAGAAACAAAGCTTAAGGTAAGTATCAAAGTGCATTTAACTTTTTCCTTAATGCTAAAAGTTTGCTCTATACAAGGTTGTCACATGGCTAGCTTTACACTATTAGTGAGTCAAAGCATGGATAGTGTTTAGTAAGACTCAAATACACAATCAGAACATGAAGAGTAATTGAGCAATTTACATTCTAAAATTGTTTATTGATAATTGAATAATTACACTTTGCTTTACCTCTTCCAAACTCTTGATGGAGTGAGGCTCAGGGAAGAAAAAAATTGGAATGGGAGAAAGAAAAGAAAAATGAAGGAGGCAAAAGGTAAAGGGATTGATTCTTATTGAGGTTGTTATATAAATCCTTATACTACAGGATGCTTTGAATACCTCCTCTTTATATTTTGTTAATACAATAGCCATATGAAATTATTTTTTCCTGTTTTACAGAACAGAAGAACAAATAAAGAAAGAAGTTTCCTTTATGGTGTTGTAGGAACTGGTAAGGATAAGCTGACTGCAGCATTGAATCTGATAAACAACATGAGAGGCTATGGAAGGGAAAAGAACTTCAAACAAGGAAGATGTCAAAAACAAAATTTCTCATGCAAATAGGCACCAGGACTTGTATTGCAGTAAAATAGGAAACAGATAGCTATAGGAGAGGAATCCAATAATTAAAGTACCTAAAAAATATTTCAAAAGCTCCATTCCTCGACCATATAGATAACATGACAGGCCAAATCAATTTTGTACAAATTGTAGCATAGATTCAAATTGCCTGTCCACAAGCTGAATCCAGCCCACTGTGACCTGCATACTACTCTGAAAATGGGGACATTCCAATTAAAAATTCAACTGCTGAATTTTCTTGAAGACCCAATTCTATTGGGCCTATGTTCCCAGATGGTAAAATTGCCTGGATAAATATATTTTTCCCTGTTAGATACAGTATGCAGCCTCTACTTGTCAATAACTCTACCAAACCTGGGTAATTATTTCTGTTACTTATGTGGTACACAGAAGATTCTGAGTTTGTGACCAGAGGCTTAGAAATAGACTTTCATGAATTAGAAGGATGGTTGAACAGCTGTGTATTACATCCTGTGATAGTTATTGAGTAGGAGGGAAGGTAAACATGATTAAGATGCACAATACTCTCCTGGAATTCAGAATCCATCACAATAACTTGAATGATTGAAAATATGCAGAGGTTAGTGGAAAGTGCCATGGAGCTGCAGAGAAGGAAGAAATTAGTTTTTGAGGAAGAAAGGCAATATTCAAGAGTGGAAGTAGCATCTCAGCTAGATCTTAAAGAAGAAATAGGGATTTACACATTTCTGATTGTAAAAACATCCCACGGAGGAATCAACAAACACAAAGCATATAAAAATATATACCAAGTATATAAAAATATATAGCATATATAGCATGTATAAACATGAAAAAATATAGCATGTTGAGGAGGAAATGGAAATATATTGTGATTATAATACTAAGTGAAAATTGAGGGAAATGACAAATGAGTCAACAAATGGAGATGGAACAAAGGTGGATGGTCTTTAAAATTTATGCTAAATTATTTAGGCATTATACTATAAGCAATGGTAGCCATTGGAAGGGTTTTGGGGTTTCAATGGGGAATCACTTAACTTAAAAAATGTACTGAAAAAATTTTATGTTTGAAAGTGAGAGTGAAGGAGGTGAGAGGTAACCATGAGTTTTGGTAGTGATAATGAAGTCAGAACACAGATTGAACCGTCCTTTCTCAATTAATTTGATATTTAATTAATTTAATTTAGCATTAATCAGTTCAATATAACATTTGTTAATCATACTATAGGTGTAAGGAATCATGGTGGATACTGGTGCTAGAATTCTGAGCAAGAATGGTGCAACATCCACCATCATATTGTTGAGATTCTAGTGTAAAATGGGATTAAATTAATGGAAATAACTGAGACTGAGAAGGGAGAGGCTGAAAGAAGCTTTTAAAAAATTTTTAAATACTTCTAGCTTCTTTTCACCACTCTGAAACCATGCTACTTTCTATTTCAATTGTCCCTGCAATTGAGGCCTAAGATGAAACTACTGAAATATTGCATTTAATTGTCCCTAGGAATGGACTGGAAATACAATTTCAAATATATCCAGTGATTGATCCCAGAACTTTTATTCAATTCAACATCTTCTGCTACAATTTTCCTTGCCTTGGACTTTAAGCTCCAATTGGAAATGTATGTGAATGTGATTATCAATATAAGCGCATGTGTGTGTGTATATATATATTGATATAAGTGCGTGTGTGTGTGTATAAATGACTTCATGGCAATTTTGCTTTTATGTTGTACTTCATTGCCTGATCTTATAATAATGCAATATTTTATAAAGACAGGTGTTTTAACTCTGAGAGCAGTGCCTGTGCCTTTAGAACTCTTGCTGTTTTAAGAAGGAAATGTAGAGAGGAATAAAGAAAGAAGAGAAAATAAGGCTTTACTTTTTCATCAGTAATCACTCTTTGGCACATATTTTCTTATCTGTGTACCAGACGTATTGCTCAGATTCCTAACTTTGCAGTATTTTCTTTGCTACTTCTTTGTTTTTGAAAGAAATGCTCCAGGGAAATGAGAACAGGGTTTGTGATTTGAACACTATTGTTTTTTCCAGCAAATTCCAATCCCTTCTTGCCTAGACCTCTGTGGATGGAAAATGACTAAAATGATAGTAACTTATCATCTGGTATGGAGTACAAGGGGTGTTAGAAGCCTGTATACTTTTAGCTCTACGATACCAGTAAGCGACTTCCCTCTGTAGGTGGCAGTTTTCTCATCTGTAAGCTGAAGAAGAAAGCTGAGTAATTGTAAGGCAGCTCTGAGGTCATATATAAGAATAATTGAATATTTGAATAATTTGAGCATTATATGGCATGTGGTGAGGCCCTTTGCCAAACAGGAATGAGAACTTTCAAGGCATTGTTTAAACAGGGAGATTTTCCTGTCCAAATACACTGTCTAGAAATTATTGCCCAGTCACTTAGGTTGAAATTATTCTTATCTGCACTTTAGATTAATAAATTCTTGTTCATATATATATATGTGTGTGTGTGTGTGTGTGTGTGTATAGTCTCACTTTAATTATGTTTTCTTATGATCAATGCTGTAAAGTGCAAGGATTCCTGGCTCCATAGCTTTTGCCTCAGTTTCCTCATTTATAAAATAGAGTTAATTATAATAGTTGATGTGAAGATTGAATGGGTTAATTTACTTAAAAATGTCCAAAGCAGTGCCTGTCACATAACTGGCACTACATAATTATTTGCTTTAATAGCTATCATCTGAAAGCATAAAATTCCAACAGAATAAGTGATTTAAAGTGTCCCAGTGCCACATAACCATGTATGACGTGCAGGTGGAGGGTGATGGTCAGTGATGTGCATGAATACTGGGAGATAATATTGTTGGTAGTAAAACTAAGGGCTTAAAGGGCAATTCTTGCAGGTGATGGAAATTTGATAAAATTAATAAAAGAATCTTAAAAGATAAGTGTGATGGTTAATATTGAGTGTGAACTTGATTAAATTGAAGGATGCAAAATATTGTTCCTGGATGTGTCTGTGAGGATGCTGTCAAAGGAGATTAACATTTGAGTCAGTGGACTGGGAAAGGCAGACCCACCCTCAATCTGGGTGGGCACAATCTAATCAGCTGAGCTGCCAGAGTGTCCAGAATAAAAATGAGGCAGAAGAATGTGAAAAGACTAGACTGGCTTAGTCTCCTGGCCTACATCTTTCTCCTGTGCTGGATGCTTTCTGCCCTCAAACATTGTACTCCTAGTTCTTCAGCTTTGAGACTCTTGGACCTTCGACCACAGACTAAAGGCTGCACTATTGGCTTCCCTACTTTTATTGAGACTCGGACTGGCTTCCTGTCTCCTCAGCTTGCAGACGGCCTATTGTGGGACCTCACCTTGTGATAGTATGAGTCAATACTCCTTCATAAACTCCCCGTTATATATGCATCTAACCTATTAGTTCTGTCCCTTTAGAGAACTCTAATACAATGAGGAATATAATAGAATTAAATAAAATCTTAGTTTCAAGTTCAGAAGAACATTGGCCACACCCTGTCTTCCAAAGTATTTCATCACTCCACGCAGCAGTTAACAGTAGAACATGGCCTAAACCTGAAGATCAACAATGGGTGGATAACCTAAGGGTTCTCCAAAGTTTAGATTGAAGAATGTCTTTCTTCTCTAACTTCTCAAACTTCTCTAACACTTTCTCACTTTCCTACTCAGAGTCTATATTTCTTCACAGGTAATTTTATGTTATTCTCCTCTGTTATGCAAAGTTCTGATTACTTCTGCCAGAACAAATCTGTTTTTGCTTTATTTTCTTTCTTTTTTTTTTTTTTGAGACAAAGTCTCACTTTGTCTCCCAGGCTAGATTTCAGTGGGCATGATCTCAGCTCACTGCGATCCCCACCCTCCTGGGTTCAAGCAATTCTCCTGCCTCAGCCTCCCTAGTAGCTAGGTTTACAGGCACCTGCCACCACACTCAGCTAATTTTTGTATTTTTTAGTAGAGATGAGGTTTCACCATGTTGGTCAGGCTCGTCTCAAACTCCTGACCTCAGGTGATCTACCCGCCTCGGCCTCCCAAAGTGCTGGGATTACAGGCGTGAGCCACTGCACCCAGCCTGCTTTAATTTCAAAGCACATCCGGTAGACTAAAATTCAGCACATAATATCATGTATTATCATTGTCTTCCTTGTATAAGTGAAGTAAAGAAAAGTAAAGATATAACCTAAGAACTGGATTTAGGTAGTTATATATTTATCAACTAATATACAGAAATCTTAATGAATTGGCTAATTCTGTGTAACTAGCAAACTCTAGAGCTTTAATTTAGATCCAGATGCATTACACAAAAACCCATCTGCTTTATAGAGTGTGTTAGTAGTGTTTTTTAAAGTTGCTTCATATTATAATAAATCTAACATCATCAGTAGGAAGTATAAATTCTTGATTGGGACCTAGTAATTACCTAGTAATTACCAGGAGAGACCTGGTAATCTCTTCAGTGAACAAGTGCTTTCAGATGATTGTTAAACTGTTAAAGAAGTTTAAAGACACTGGTTGTAGGGATGGAAAAGGAAAGCATGAAAAACATCTATGCATAGAAAGAGAGGTGGACATGTTTGATGGATCTGCATCCATTTCCAATTAAGCAAATTTTAGAAAACAAATATGTTTAAATAATGTTAGAAAATATAGTAAACCATTCCGGGGAGGGAAAAACAAAAAAATAAGTCAAATAGAACTGATGGAGCTCACATATACCAGACAATCTTGGAAGGCTAAATGCCCAGCAGAGATTACAGGATACCCCAGTTTCTGTGATATGATCAGCCATTTCCAAGAGTCACAATTCCTCTCTAGGGAAGGACGAGGCCTTAGGCATAAAGGGTACAACTGAAATAATGCTTTCAGAGAAGAGAATGTAAAAAAATGCGCCCCGAGATAATTTTCCAAGCCGACAATGGGGATTGAAGGGAGGAGAGAAAGTCATTTTCAGGTCAATAATCCCTACTGCACAGCCACTGTGAGCTGTGTGAATCACTGAGCACATTTCAAGGAACGGCTGTCATGTGTCTCTAACTGATTCTCACTGCAGATGGACTCCAGGGTACTTGGGATCTATTTTGAGGAGGCTGCAAGCAGTAGAAGCCTGCTGGTTCCACTGTAAGAAAACCTCAGCCACCCTTGAAAATGTGGGGAAATAAAAACCTTCAGTCCAAGCACATTTCCCCCTTGTTATGATACATATTTCTTATATTTCTTTTCCTCCATTACTGATCTCACCCTCCCTTCTCTGTGCTCCTTCTGTAGGCAACGCTATCATTTTTCTTTCTCCTAAGTCTGTGGGCAAAACATGCAACTTGGAGTTTTCTACATACCCTGAAAGAAGAGAACAAAACAAGAGTTCATGTACATATTATATGTTTTTGTCAGTCCGCAGTCATAAAATCCTCCCAGGGGCAAATATTTCTCTCTTTCTCCATTCCCCAGGTGAATGTTGATACTCAGGGCTACCTTAGAAACCTTCTATGGAAGTTGGAAAATCCTTCTTATCTGTGGTTCTTGTGGTAGGCAGAATAATGGCACTTACTCACTAAAGGTGTCCGTGAACTAATCCCTGGACCTATGAGTACACAACCCTCCATGGCAACGGGATTTTGCAGATGTGACCAAATACAAATATTGAGATAGGGAGATGGTCCTGGATTATCTGAGTGAGTCAATATAATCACAAAGATCCTTAAAGGAGGAAGGGAAGATGGTCAGGGCAGGAGAAGGAAATGTGACAACAGAAATAGAGGCTGGACTGAGAACAATGCAGCTCCACAAACAAAAGGCAAGGAAACAGATTCTTCTCCAGAAGGAGTACAGACTTGTCAGCCAATTTTAGACTTCTCACCTCAAGAACTGTAAGATAAAATATGTGTGCTCTTTTGAGACACTAGGTTTGGGGCAATTTGTTACAGCAGCAATAGGAAAATAATACGGTCCAGAATGACTGAGAAAAAGATGGCATCCTCAATTCGACTGACCAGGAACATTCATGTTGGACAATTATGTGTGTAAGAAATTAAGCTTTATTGTGTTAACCCATGGGAATGTTCATATGTGCTTTTAAATTTGGGTAGTGCAATCCTAAATATTACAGACTTTACCCATTATGCTTTACAATATCCTGAGAAGTTCCATGGACACAAAGTTGGATGTTATTCAATCTATCTCCATCATTGTGTACTCCAGTCTTCTGTTTTCTTCTTACTTCCTCATAGCATCAAGTTCAATTTGCTTTTGCGTCCTCTTCTTATGCCTTTTGTGACTATGACAGCCTCACAATGAGACGTTGTGCCAAATCCTTTAAACACTTATGCATTTTTTTCATGCAAAATAAATAAAGTGGATAAATATGGTAAAACAAATGGAGCGTCTCAATGAGGAATTACCAAAAACACAATTTTAAAATGCAGTTATCTGCAGTGCATCTGTTCAAACATCCTTACTACCATTTTTCTCTCTAAATTTTGACTTGTCCTTCTGGTGGCCCAATTTTATCAGGCTGGGAGTAAGTTTCATTGGCAATAGGTTTGGAGTTTCAGGCAAGACAATGGGAATTATTCATATGCCAATATCATCTTTCTAAGGTTTTTCTGTTTTTTGTTTGTTTGTTTTGTTTGTTTGTTTGTTTGAATGTGGACATTGATAGGCTCACTGCAGAAACCAGGATGTATTTTCAAAGGGCTTTACAATTATTCCTACCTGCCCTTTCGTGCCACATTTATTCTGTCTTCTGTAGCTATCTGTGCTAGTCAAGGTAGCTTGGAAACAATACATGCCAAGGCTCTATGCAGCAGAAGAGTTGCAGGATGTAAGAAGCCTGGGCACCTGAGTCCCTGAGGAATTGCTTGGAGATGAGTTACTTGATGCAAAAGCCACTTTTGAATATTTCTGAGAGTGAGATCTAAACTTTCATTTTGTCAAGCAATCAAACTTTGGAGTTGCTTGTTGTAACAGTTGTTTTGCTCTTCTACACACAGATGGGAATGAAGGTATAGAGGACTGTTCAGGGAGATTCTTAAAAGAACAGACATGGCCATGGAACATATCACTTCTACCCAGAAACCATTGCATAGAGTTTGATGAGCACAGAATAATCACAGCAAACTGTTATCACTTAATACAATTCCTGGTACACAGTATCATGAGGGATGTCGTGATTTTAGTGAGTACAGAGCACTGGGGAGAGGGAGAAAATAATGAAATGAAGAAATCTGGTATAGTACTACCATGTCATGCCTCCCATCCCTTGGCACAGTTAGATGTAAGGTAAGCACTACCAGATCAAATAATCATGGTGAGTCATATAGGTTCCTGTCCAATCAGGAAGTGTTTTGTAGTTGAATGAGTCCAGGATAATAATTTAAAATCAAAAACAAGAAAGGAATCTGGACTTGACAGCTTCACGGATGTCTGATGTTTGGCTAATTATTCGCTGCATTCTAGGCAATGTCTGGTGGCAAGGGCTAGGGCCAGATAGAAAAGAAGGCAGGAAAAAATATAATTTAAGCCCCAAGGCAAGAATCAGATAAAGAATTAATAGAAGCATCAATTACAATGTAGAAGTTTCTTGTCTCATGGCTTAGAGGAAACTTGAGTAAGGAAAGAGAGGCAAAATAATATGTGGACTGGGACAGAGGCTAAAACTTACTGTGTATGTGTAGTTGTCCCATGCTCCCTTATTAATGACAATTTAATGAAAAGAGCATGGTTAAATGCTAGATTAAATGGCTTTTTCAGGATTGGATTAGAGACATGACAATCTGAGTGTAGAACTGCAAGGACCTGCTGCCTGCAACGAGAAGAGAAGGAATCATTATAAACACCAGTGTAAAATAAAAGTGCATACCAGATGACCTAGTGAACAGCCCAAGCCATAATACAAAATTCCTCTTTCCATTCCATTGACAATAACTGGGATAATGATATGGGTTTATTCCAATATTCCAGACTGTCTTCTAGAAAAATAATAATTGCCATGACACGACTGCCTATCACAGGCCAGGCACTGTATTGCCCCATAGAATATAAAGTGTGTAATTCATCTACTTTTGCAGAAGGGAGTAATAAAGTTCAAAGAGGTTACTTAACTTTCTCATGCCTCTATAATGACTAAGAGGTTGAGAAGGAATGTAAATACCAGTCTGCCTATTTCCAAGTTTCTGTTTTTCTTTTTTTTTCTTATCATGATATACTGTCTTCAAAATTCTAGGATGACAAAGAAGACTGTCAAGCAACGAACTGTCCTGAATTTCCCAGAATCAGATTGAGACTCGAAAAGACACTGGATTATATGTGGTCTAAGTTCATCATTGTAACATATAAGATGATCAATGTTGAAGTGATTTGCCCAAGGTCACATACGATGGTGTCCAAGCCAAGAGTTTCCAAGTCTCTTGACTCCCACCAGGCACCTTACCCACATGCCCAGCATCTGAGTGTTTCATATAATCATTTTCCAGTCCTTTTCATCCTTTATTTTTGGAGTGGGTGCCAAGTTCCTAGCTCTAAAGCAGCCAGGGAAATGTCTTCAAGCCTAGCTCATAGCACTCTCTGTTGCATTGATTTTTAAAGAGATTTATGGCATTGACCTGATCTCAATGAAGAAACTAAATCCAATTCGCTAAGGAATTACAAGCCTGTCTGATCAATAATCTATTTATCTCCTTCACTTTGCCATCTTTAGACACTCCAATCTTGTCATGGGAAATTGAAAGCAGTTTAAAAATATAATTATGCAGCCTCAGGAAATGTCTCCAACATTTCTGAAGAGTTTCAGTTGCCTTTAAGGAAATACTACCGTGGTTTTGGCAATTAAAATCACACTCTGGTCACTAGTCAAGTACCTAGCCTGAGTTCATTAATATAAATAGTGTCAGGATAACAGGAGCCCATAATTGCAGCATTTTCCGTACTGTCAGTATTCTATCTGGAATATTGGGTTCAATTAAAGGAGCCTCTTTAGAGCAACCTAATTTTAGAGCTAATTTTTAGATTTAATTTTACCTATTTTTTAGAGCTACCTAATTGAACTAAGCCATATCCAAAGGAAAACAACCAAAGTGGTAAAGAAAGTAGAATATTGTGAAAAATTAGAAATATTAAAGAAGGTAGATATTCTGCTGATATAGAAAAAATTAAATAAATCCAAGGGAACTTGAAAGACAACCTTAAATAATCAAAGACAGATACATAAAAAAGAAGCTTGTTCCATGTAGACGCAGATCGCTACTATAGAATACAAGCAGACATGTTAGCTGGGAAATTTTAGTTTGATATAAGAACAACCTTTCTTATGATTGTAACTTTTATAAAATGAAACAATCTTTCCTGGAGGTAGTCATCTCTAAAATGAGATTCAACCCAAATAATGACCTCAGGAGTAGAATGGATTTGAAATGGGAAACAGTGGGTTCAAGTTGAGGATGAGCATGACAGATGCTCTTTTCCTGCACACTGAAGGAAGCATTTAATGTGCAGGGTCTATTGCTACCTCCTCATTTGTACTGGCCCACTTGTCCTTGCTCTCTTCTTCTTGAAACTTGGATTTCTGGCTGTATATTATTGCTTTAGGACTGACTTCTAACTCCTTCAGAGAAGTGATGCTTGAGATACCTCTTTAGGACTGCTTAGTCAGTGACAGTTGGCTGTGGTTTCTACTGTAGCTGTATGTGTATGACTATATGATCATGTACATGTGTGCCTTGCTTATATGAAAAATGTCACTCTTTCCTCAAGAAAGTTTTGTGAATCTTAGTGCACTGGTTAATTCAAAGAAATGAAAATATTGAATATTATTACTACAATATTTATTCCATAAAGATTTTAACTTCATACTTAGATTCTTCCCCCTATTGCATACCATTTCTTTTGCCCATCATTATCACACTGTCTTGATTTGTAAGAGTATCATCCTTGCTGCTAGATACATTATCCTAATACTAACTTGGATTGGCAAAGTCTTTGGCTTAGAATTTTTTACATGCATAACCTGTCTGACCCCAGTTTTTTTTTCCATTGAATTGCCACTACTCCTCTTGATGTACACATTCCTTGAATTTAGAATGCCTTGAAAACCTCTCATAATTTATACCATCTTTTGCCTTTGTTCATGATATTTACTCCATCATCCCATTCCAATTAGGCAACATACTACCCATGTCTAAAGCTCTGCTCAAAAGCAATCTTCTCTTTGAAACATCAGTCACTCCTGGGCTCTCTACATTTCTTTTAGGTGTTTATCTCACCTAATTTTGGAGTAATTAGTGTGTTTTCATGTCTCCCACCAGAGCCTAGAACAGTGGTTCTCAAATTTGAGCACATATTAGAATCACATGGACAGCTTATTAAAACACAGATTCGTGGTTCAGGTTCCAGAGTTCCTCATTCTGTAGGTCTGCAGTGGGGACTAAGAATTTGGACTTCTAATGAGTTCCAAGTGAAAGCCAAGATTGCTGTTTTTGGGAACACACTTGCAGAATTTAGACTGGCATAGACTACAAATGCTTGGTTAGTTGGGCCCATGACATCTGTTAGAGATATCATTGAGATTGCAATGTTAACTGATGACATTATGGGCATTTTGAACTATATGTTTCTCTTATTTTGGGAACATGTCCTATGAATCACAGGCAGATCATGGCTGTCTACCCATTAGATGCCAGCAGCACTCCCTCTCCAGTTGTGACCACCAGAAATATCAGTACACATTGACAAATGTCACTGCTGCCCCTCAAATTGAAAGCCTCTGGGTAAGAGAATACAGAAATACCTGACTTTTAAAAATTCAAATAGTTTTCATCCTGAGAATTATACAAACCAAAATTAATATCAAATGAGAATAAGATAATATTTTTAAAGCAAGTATTCATGCCCTTTTCATTCCAACATGGGATTCCTATAGATTCCAGTTGAAATATACATAATTCTATCTCATTGTAAGCTATTCTTGGATCTTGAAATCTTACTGTGATTGGATTTACAATACAGAAACCCAAGTGATGATCAGTTTGCTTATTCGGTTTTATTAAAAGTGGATACAACTTGCTTGTATAGGTCTTCCCAAGATATATATTTTTTGTCCTTTTTATTAGACCAATAGCACAGAATTTGAGAGCAATGTAAGATATAAGTATGAAAAAGAGCACAGCAATTTAATACACAGTAACTCTGTCCAGCTGTAAATAGGGCCCTGTATGTTTCTTGCAATCTGAAGGATTTCCATTTTCTTCCCTTGGAAAAGAATAAAAAAACAGCAGACAGAGAAACAGCAAATGCTTCTTTCTCTGGTTTTCCCTCCTCCTATGCTTTTCACAGAACAGGCATCCTGTATTTGTTGAATAAGTAATTGAATGAACACAGATAAATGAAAGCTATGGAGGAAGCTTAGATAACATTATCTTGAAAGTACTGCTCAAATTGAAAATTCTATTATTCTATGAGCCTACTGTCTGATTTTCAGAAATGTGTCACAAGACTTACTAATTAGAGCCTAATATCTAGAGAACATGAGTGTGAAACCCAGACCGGTTTCACACTAAAGAGCAATCCCAGGGGAGTGCTGGCCAGGGTATTTCTAACCTTAGGGCTTCCTGACTTCCACCTTCCTTCTACCAGAGCAGCTCTGTGACAATTGTTTTATTCAGGGTAACGGTTCACTTGAAAAGGTATTCTGCTTAAATACAAGTAAAAGATTGAAAGCAGACTCCCAAGAAATATTTCTTAAATTACCAAGATGTGCTATGTTCTGCATTAACTATCTTCTAATCTATCCTTACAGAAGTTCTATAAAATTAGTCTTGATGACTACATTTTACTCATAAAAGAACAGAGCTCAAAGAGGTAAAGTGGCTTTCCCAAGGGTGAGCACCCTGGGATTAGCACCAGAAACGAAATCTGGGCCAAAGGTTTCCGATTCCATGTTATTGTTTCACTCACCATGAAGTCCTCTGTCATCAACACCATTAAGCCACACACACTTCCCCACATGACTCAGCTTCCTCCACTCTAAAAATATGTTATGGAGCTAGCTCCATCTCTGATAAGGACAGTATTTTTGTTTCTTTCTACGAGCTGAATTTATTCAGGCCTACATGTGTTGATCTCCTTTTCCTCTGCAAATCTCTAGATAACACAAATATTACCAACCCATTGAAACACAGCAGAAGACATAAAACCCAATACTCTGCCAGTCTGTTATAGTCAGAGTGTGATTCAGAATTATAACACTAGTTGAGACTTATTTATTAAGCACTCCCCACCATCAGGCACACCACCAAGATTTCAATGATGTTATTTGATCCTTAGGATGAGCCTTTTAGGTAGGCACCATCACTATCCCTCTGTTATAGATCAGAATAGCAAAGCTCTGTGTGGTGGTACCATCAACATTTCACAGGGGCTCAGTGTGGGTGAGTCACTTGTTTAAGGTCAGAACCAGAACTCAAACCCAAATCTTCTGATTCCAACTTTTACAACTATTTCCACTACTGCACAGTAGGACCAAGCTATGTATTGACCCGTGTGTCCTCCAGCTTTCCTCATGGGGTGACATGATCTACTACTAAAGGGTATCAATGAAAGATGCACATTGTATGTCCCTCAGGGTCATAGATAGTGAACATAAACTTAAAGAATTCAGGCTTTGGGCCAGGCGTGGTGGCTCACACCTGTAATCCTAGCACTTTGGGAGGCCATGGTGGGCAGATCACTTGAGGTCAGGAGTTTGAGACCAGCCTGGCCAACATGGCGAAACCCCCTCTCTACTAAAAATACAAAAAAAAAAAAAAAAAAAAAATTAGCTGGGCATGGTGGTGCACACCTGTAGTCCCAGCTACTTGGGAGGCTGAGGCATGAGAATTGCTTGAACCCAGGCGGTAGAGGTTGCAATGAGCCAAGATCGTGCCACTGCACTCCAGCCTGGGTGACAGAGTGAGACTTCATCTCAACAAAAAAAATTAAAAAAAAAAAAAAATGAGAATTCAGGCTTTGAAGTCAAAAAACAGTGTTGGACACGAATCCCAGCTCCAATTTATTATTTGTAAAATTTTGGAAAGTCACTTCTTATCTTCAAATCTCATTTTCCTCATTTGAAAATTGCAGATAATGACTGCATCTCCTTCATCATATAATAAATAAATCATTTTCCCAGTTGAACACACAATAACCATTCAAATTGGAAATAGTAACTACTGTAATAGCTGAAAAAAATTCAGATGTACAAAGAACACTGAAAATATAAAGAAAAAGTTGAAGTATCACATACTTTTAATTCTAACAGCTAAGGAGAGGGGTGTTTTATGATGAGCTTGAGTAAGATTAAACTATTTTTTGTCCTCAAAGTATGCTTTAGGGTTGCTATTTTGCCCCCTCTTTACATAAGGAAACTGGAGCTCAAGTATGCAAAATGATTTTATTGAAAAATAGTGGCCATAGGAATTTGAATTGTGTTCCGTTTGCTTCCAGTTTAGTGTGAGTGTGATCAGTGAAGGCCTTGTGGACTGCATATATCTTAAAATATAAGAAGTCACCTGAGCACAGGAATATGTGACATATATATATGGACAGGCCATACATTGAAAGAATTGTGTTTCACGTGTCCCTAATTTTCTTCTCTACTTTCATTCTCTGCATCAATGAAAAGGATTCAATATTTTCTGAGCAAACAATCTTTGTCTAGAGAATCAGATATATTATGTCATTTAATTACTCTCTGTGAGGTGAGTATTCTCTCCATTTTAAAGATAGAGAGAGTAAGGCCCAGATATTTTAAATCACTTGGCTAAGAGTATACAGTAAATAACTTCCAGATCCCGGATTCTGAAATTCAAGTCTTTTCTAATTCATGATCTCCTTCACACTACATATGTCTGCTAGAATTTTCCACATTACTCACTTTCCTAGGCCAAACATACTATCTCATGTTTTATTCTCTCTCTACAGGGGGTCCTCAGCTATGTCACATTTTTATCTTGTAAAGAGGAGAAAGAAATCCTGGAGAATTGATATCTAGCCCAAGAGACAGGAAAAGACCACTTTCCTCCAATGACTTCATTTATTTTTTTCTTTTTCTCTTTTTAATATCTAATAATGTTTGCCACAGAGGGCTGTTCTGTAGGTTGCTGTTATATGAATTGGTACCTATGGGAGAAACTAACTCTGCTTTGAAATAAGCAATTTGAAAATATATAATAGTCTATTTGGAGTTGCAAAGAAAGACTGCAATTCATAACGCTCCATATGTCCCCAAGTATGCTCCCTGGACATCTTTGTTGCTGGAATATTAGTGAATTATATGCTGCAGCTTAGATCACATAGTTCATGCATTATAATTTTGTTGTGAAAGATAATCTATTCTTTTCAAGGTGTTGATTGGACTTCCTAAATGTAATTGGCTTTGTTCATTTGCACATATATCAAGCTCCTATTATGATTCTCTTAGATAAAAGTTTTGATGGATCCCTAGTAATTAAAAGACAAACTCCACATTCTTTGGCACATGATTCAAAGTCTTCCAAATATTTAGTGTCTACCTAACCCAATGTTTCTATTTTCGTAGTCCTCAATACCATGTCTCCAGGCCTTCTCTTTTGTGTCTATAAAAACCTCACTCGTCTTTCTTGTTTCAGATCATGTATCATTGAAGGTGAGAATGAGAGTGGTTTTAGATATGTGTTCTATGTTCATGGTTGGGCTTAACAGGTTCCCAACCTCATAATTGTATATAAGGCTGTGAATGTATTGGACATGTGTACTTTTACAGGTAAAGAATTCATAGTGATTTGCAGATTCTAAAAATATTGATCACCATCTAAACATAAAGTAATTACTACAGGATTCACCAGTTACTAATATGTTGATCTATACTGATGGTGATACTCATTGTCTTTTGATTATCAAATCATTTATATTAAATTCCTAGAACTGCTCTAACAAATTACCACACACTTTATGGTTTACAAAAACAGAAACTTATTGTCCCATAGTTCTGGAGGGCATAAGTCTGAAAGAAAGGTATCAGAAGCATTGGTTCCTTCTGGAAGCTCTGAGGGAGAATCTTTTCTAGCTGTTGGTGGCTACTGGCAAACCCTGGCATTCCTTGGCATGTAGACATCACTCTCATCTTTACTCTCATTTCTACATGGCTTTCTTCTCTTCCTGTGTCTCCATATCTCAAATCACCCTCTGCTTTTTCTCCTGTTATTTAATTTTAGGCTTGCACAGTCTCATCTCACGTCCTTGAGCTGAATTGTATCTGTGAAAACCCTTTTCTCTAAATAAGGCCATCTTCACAGGTTCTAGGTGGATGACATAATATAATCATGACTGGAATCATATAATATTTGTCTTTTTGACTGGCTTATTTCACTTAGCATAATGTCATCAAAGCTATCTATGTTGTAGTATATGACAGGATTTTCTTCGTTTTTAAGACTCCATAACATTCCATTGCATGAATATGCCACATTTTTTTTTATCTGTTCATCTGTCAATGGACATTTGGGTTGTTTCTACCTCTTGGCTATTTTGAATAATGCTGTAATGAACATCGGTATTCAAATATCTCTTGAAATATTGCTTTGTTTTGGATACTTACCCAGAATTAGATTGCTGGATCATATGGTAATTCTATTTTCAATGTTTTTAGTAACATCCACACTGTTTTCCATAATGGCAGCATCATTTTACATTCTCACTAACAGAACACAAGGGTTCCAATTTCTATCTTCACCAACACTTGTTGATTTTCTTGTTGCTGTTCTTTTAATAGTGGTCAGTCTGATGGGTATGAAGTGATAGTTTATTCTGGTTGTGTTTATTTGTTTGTTTGTTTTCTTGTTTTAAGACAGGGTCTCACTCCATAACCTAGGCTGGAGTGCAGTGGTGTGATTATGACCCACTGCCAACTCAACTCCCTGGCCTAAACTGATCCTTCCACCTCAATCTCCTGAGTAACTGGGACTATAGGTGCACATCAGGCTAATTGTTTGCTTGTTTGTTTGTTTGTGTGTGTGTAGAGGAAGGGTTTTGCTATGTTGCTCTGGCTGGTCTTGAAATCCTGGCCTCAAATGACCCTCCCACTGTGGCCTCCCAAAGTGCTGAGATTACAGGCATGAGCCACCATGCCTGGCCCTCACTGTGGTTTTAGTCTACATTTTTCTTAATGATTAGTAATGTTGAACATATTTTCTTATAAATACTGGTCTTTTTTAATATCTTTAGTGAATTATCTACTCAAGTTCTTGCTCTTTTTTAAATTGAGTTATTTTTCTGTTATTGTTACATTATAAGAGTTCCTTATATATTCTAGATATTAACTCCTTATTAGACACATAATTTGCAAATATTTTCTGCCATTCTTTAGATTGTCTTTTCACTCTGTTGATTGTTTCCTTTTATGCTGAGAAGTTTTGAAGTTTGACGTCTCATTTGTTAATTATGGCTTTTGGGCCTATGCCTTTGATGTCATAACCAAGAAATAATTAGCAAATCCAATGTCCTGAAGTTTTTCCAATACATCTTCGTCTAGAAGTTTTCTTGTTCTAAGTCTTAAGTTTATATATTTAATCCATTGTGAGTTAATTTTTGTAAACAGTGTAAGATGTGGGTTCAGTTTCATTAATTTGTATGTGAATATCCAGTTTTCCCAACACTGTTTGTTGAAGAGACTCCTCTTTCTCCGTTGTGTAATGTAGGTACCCTTGCAAAGTTCATTTGACAATATGTGCATGGTTTTATTTCTGGTTTCTCTATTCTATTCAATTTATCTATATGTCTGTCTTTATGCCACACCATCTCGATTACTATTTCTTTGTGGTATGTTTTGAAATCAGGAATTGTTGTTTTTTCCTTAAGATTACTTGGACTATTCAGGGTCCCTTTAGATTTTATATGAATTTGGGGATGGCCTTTCTATTTCTGCAAAAACTGCCACTGGACATTTGAAAAGGATTGCATTGAATCTGTAGATAACTTGGATATTATAGACAGTTTAACAATATTATGTCTCCTAATCCATTAACAGAAGAGGTCTTTCCATTTATTTGTATCTTTTTCTTTTTTAAGGAATGTTTTGTGGTTTCCAGTGTACAAGTATTTTGCCTCTTCAGTTAAGTTTATTTTTGAATATTTTATTCCTTTGATTGCCAATATAAATGGGATTATTTTCTATTTTGTTGGTTAATGCTAGCATTTACAAGCACAACTGATTTTTGCATTGCTTTTATATCTTGCAATTGTGAAATTTATTATTTTTAACAGTTTTTTGGTGGATTTTTAGGGTTATCTAAATATAAGAATGTATGAAAGTTTCTGCAAAATTATTATTTTAGGAGAAGAGATTGTACATGTCTTTAAGGAGTTCAATTATTGGGGAGTCAGGCTTTTGATATATAAAATATTTAAAACTTCAAATTGGTCACTTATTTTCCAAAGTTTTCTAATTCATTCAAAAATGATTGCTTGACATCAGAGACTCTATAATTATTTTCCAACTGATATTTCCAATCATCTACTTGTCTTTCCTATCACACCCTACATTCTAGTTAAATGGGATATTTTAAATACTCTAATTAGACTTGACATTTCCCAATACCTGTGCTTTTTCACAAACTAGTCTTTATGTGTACAATTACCTTCATTAAGTTCTATGTCCTGGCTAAATCCTATTTTTTTTAATTGCAGAGATATTATTGGTTTCATATGTAACAGCCATTCCCTTACTTTAAGATTCTTAAATGTGCTTCAGAAAATGCTATACTCATTGTCACCATGGGGATTGAATCACAATGAATCTAAGTCAGTATGGTTCCATTTCTCTTAATAGTGATTGGTTTACATGTGGCCTTTTACTTAGTTTTAGCCAAGAAGACCATAAGAAAATAACTGTTGGAGGGGCTTCTGGAAAAATACAATATTGCTCTTAAAAAGAAATACATGAAAGAACATTTCTGCTTCTGCATGTACAGTCAGTCAATATGACATCTCATATTTTCTAAGATTTAAAAGAAAGATGGGGCAAATGTGTATGGGGAATAGTGTCATGAGATGGAGTGGAAGAGCGGGTAGGTTACAGGTCAAGTAGGACCTGGTAGGTCATGGTGAGAAGTTGAAAACTTATTTTAAATGCTATGGGAAACTATACAAAATTTCCAAGAGAGTTAGTAACACAAGCTTGTTTTTCAAAAATCACGCTGGCTGTTTTTGTAGTGCATGGATTGAAAGAGGTAAGAATTGAAACAGAAAAATCAATTAGAAGGTTACCAATGTAGCCTTGGAGGGAGTGGTATGATGGGAGGAGAAGACGTTTAATACTCATCGCTAAAATAAATGTACGCTGTATTGCAAATAACTATATATAACCATAATTATGTAATGTAGGCTGAATATATCACCACTAAACGGGTGGGCAACAGGATCAAGATTAGCATCAGAGAGAGGTCATCGGGAAAACAGAGAGCAGCTTATACTCACGCTGTGGGAGGAAGTCAGTCTCTACACCCCAGGGAGATGCAAGCAGGCTTCACTCTGTGTTTTTCCTCTGCAATCATTGCGTTCCCTACAGGACAGGTGCTGCTTAATATGACTACCTTCCCTTTATTCACGATTGTTTGTGGTTCTGATTAAACAGCCTCCTGGCAGGAGGAAGGCCTTTCTGGGAAGGGCAGTGAGAGGTTTGCCATTTCCCAGAAAAACCTGGCAGTCCTTAGGCCCTGCTAATAGTAGCTGATGAGTTAATTTTCCTTCCTAACAAGCCTTACTCCAAGAGGCAGAAATAAACACTGGCAGGGGTTGCATGAAAATAGCCAGGTGCTCTGGTCCAGCCCTCCCAGGTCAGCAAGTGATGTGCAATTTGCTGTTCTCGCTTAGGGTGAATTTGCTGGTTCAGGTCAGAAAGTTCAAGATGGTGAGGGGGGAATGGTTTAAAAGCAAATGAAAAGTCATAGTTTCCTCTCCACATGGTACAAGTGCACCTTGGCTAAAACCACTTCTGCTTTGTCATTTAAGCATCAGGCATTTCCCCTCTGTGGTCACCTGGAAGCTGGCATCTACAGCAGAGAGCAGCAGCAGAGGGGCCTGCTTAGTTCATCTGATCCACTTTGCTGAGCCTGGCCTCTACTGCCCCCTTTTGGCTGACATACACTACAGACTGCTCAGGCTCGAAACTCTTAACCCTCTACCGCCAGGTCTTCCACATAGCCTAGCAAATGTTTCTCTTTGGGTCTCAGGACCTTATTATTTATTTCTGGCTTGCTCTTAGATTTTGGCTTGGAAATTGGCCGGTTAGTATTTGCTTTCTGATATTCTAGGTCTAAGGGACCCTCTCTCTAAGAGGGATTTTGCTCATTCATAGCATGATAAAATGTTAGCAGTTGCCTCAACGTTTATCTAGTCCAAAAACAGTGAATACATAACTTTTGTATATATTACCGTTGTCATTTTCTGCGCACATAAAGAGCATGTCTAATCAATCATGCTATATGTTTTTGCTGATCCTAGACTTGCTCTCAATCCTTCTAACATGACCACTAATGTTTTTTTACCATCAATATTTTGGATTTGACTAGAGATAAAACCCATGCATTCTTTAGTTATTACATTTACAGATAAGAAACAGAGGCCAAGAGAAGGGATAAAAATTTGATATTCCATACATAGCAGGCTATTGTTAGACTCAGAACTAGAATCTAGGTCTCCAGAATCCCAGGATGAAGTTCTTTTCATTGAAAATCATTGAATCCTTTACAAAATTGAATACTTTCTGTGTTAGTCAATTTTGCATTGCTATAAAGGAATACCGAAGACTAGATAGTTTATAAAGAGAAAAGGCTTATTTGGCTCATGGTTCTGTAGGCTGTAGAAGAAGCATAGTGCCAGCATCTGCTTCTGGTGAGGCCTCAGGAAGTACAAAATCATGACAGAAGGCAAAAGGGGAACCGGTGTATCACATGGCAAGAGAGGGAGCAAGAGAGAGGGGAGAGGCACTAGTCCCCTTTAACAAGCAGATCTCTTGTGAACTAAAAGAGTAACAATTCACTTATTACCACGGGCAGGGCACCAAGCCATTCATGAGGGATCTACCACCATGATCCAAACACCTCCCACCATGCTCCACCTCCAACACTGGGGATTACATTTCAACATGAGATTTGTAAGGGACATGCATCCAAACCATATCACTTTCAAAGTGTGTTTTATGGTCCAGATTCTAACACTATATTTACAATTGTCCTGGCCTAGAGTAGTTATTCATTTACGGAAACCTTTACTCTTCATCTGCCACAGTGCTGGGCATTGGTCATGATGGAATCCTGAAATGAAAACACATTTCTCAAGATTTCTCCCAACAAAAGAACTGCTGGATCAAGGGACAAGCAAGTGAGGTGCTGATCGACAGACCTGGTAGTTGCTGTAAGAAACTCATGGCAGATATAGACTATTGTGGAGCAGAGGGAAGCCTAGAGATCCTATAGTTCAATCTTCCAATTTTTTAGATGAAACCTTAGAGACTTGTCTGCAGTTACATAATTATCAGCATGGGAACTGAGGCTATGGCTCAGTTACCTGGCTCAGTTCTAAAAAAGCACTATGCCTATGCCTCCACACTGTCTTTATCAGATATAGCAACCCAAAGAGGTTAATTTATTGGTCATTTGAAATCATTCCTCATAGTCATTGTCTTAACCACTGCCAAAATGCTGTGAGAAAGGTATCAGGTTTTATGTGTTTTTTTGTTTGGTTTGTTTGTTTGTTATGCCAATAAGGAAAGGAAAACAAATATTTCATGTAATTTGCCCAAGATCATCATGGTAGACACTACTGGTGCTCATTTTCCCCTCTTAGCCACAGGTATGGGGAAGACTTCTTAGCCTTTTTGCTTATGGATAGGGAGTTCCCACAAATTTTTGACAATGAACTGTGAACAGAAGTGACATACCTAGGTTGAAACAGTGAAAGCCCATGCATGATGTTCACTTTCCCTCTTTTGCTTGCAACAGTGATTGTGGAGAACTCCTGTTGCAATGATGAAGCCTCAAGACAAATCCTGCTGATATCACTGGTCACTTCTTGTAAGGGAACTGTCCTGGTGAATGCTGGAGCCACTGCTATTTGTTGAGCTATTGAGTTATTGATATATATCCAAGTTTATTACCACCACATAAGCTTATTCTGTCCTGACCAATGTAAACTAAAAAGAAATATGTCTGTTTACAAAACAAATTTTGTTGGGTTGTTTCATCTCTGCTATATTTAAATTACATCTTAGCTCTGCCAATTAGGTCATATCTAAATATCTCTGAGCTTCATTTTCCTCAAATATAGAAGAGCTACAGTGCTGCCAATATGGTTTGGTTCTGTGTCCCCACCCAACTCCCACCTCGAATTGTAATCCCCATAATCCCCAAGTGTCAAGGGCAGGACCAAATGGAGGTAATTGGATCATGGGGATGGTTTCTCCCATGCTGTTGTGATAATGAGTGAGTCTCACAAGATCTGATGGGCTTATAAGCATCTAGCATTTCCCCTACTTGCACTCACTTCATCCTGCAGCCCTGTGAAGAAGGTGCCTGCTTCTCCTTTGCTTTCTACCATGATTGTCATGATTGTAAGTTTCCTGCAGCCTCCCCAGCAATGTGGAACTGTGAGTCAATTAAACCTCTTTCCGTTATATATTACCCAGTCTTGAGTATTTCTTCATAGCAGTGTGAGAATGGAGCAATAAAGCTACCTATTTTAGGCAATAGTTGCAAGAATTAATAGAGAAAATATATATAAAGTTTGTAAAACATAGTAAGCACTCACTTGTTAGTTTGTCATCTCCCCAGATGTCTTTCTTGTTGAAATCAATAATCTCTTGCTCTATACATATTGTAGTTTTGTCAAAGATCACTATTTCAGAGGTCATGGGCTCAGATGCACACAGGGACAAGGTAGTTACGATAAAACTGTGTTTTAAGCTGGGCAGGGTGAAGTAGAGAGCCCTAGAGTGTTTTACACAGGACAGCTACTGCTTACATACAGCTGATGATTACTACCTAGGGAGTTAAGGCCCAGGTAAGGGAAACACCAGAATTTTCTGAATTTCTTGTGAAATGTTAAATATATTTTTTATTTAATTTGGGAAATTAATTACTAATTTTTTGAACCGGGGGTGAGACAACAGAGTTCAAGTCAAATACGCACATATCTGCAGGCCCTTTAGGCTACCAGTTTGTAACCTCTGGATTTGATCTCTATTGTTAATACTCTATATCTTGCACAAAGAGTGTCCATGTGAATGCAGGACACTAGACGGTTAGTCCCTGGAAGAGAGGGGCCTCATCCTTCCACTTCTGTCCTTCTCACTGTTCAATAACAAATCTGAAACAAAATAGAATGAGTGGCTGAAATGGGTTATATTAACAATGCTTTTTGAATGGTAAACTTTTCAAAGTGAGATATTTGACTTAAGCAAATTTAAAGTAATTGTTTCCAAATCAAAGACATAGTTGTCTCAGGTTGTTCATCCAAACAAAAGGCTATGGATTGTTCTTACTGTGGTATCAATTAAACTGTGCCCCATTCCTGTCTATATGCTTATGTCAGAGAACTGGTGAATAGCCTGCCTTATAATGGAACACCAAAATAAAATGAACATTGGAGAACGAGTCCCATGTTGTCAGTTGAAAAAAACACAGTTCCCTGAGGGCATGTAAGAGAATCTCCAAAGAGAGGGTAGGGGTAGGGTGGTTTATAAACATTCACTCTAAAATGTCTATTACTTAATTTTTTTTCAGGCAAAATAATTATTTTAACATATAAAGTAACATTAAAAGAGTATGTTGAATTTGAAAGCATGGTGTCTAATAATAATAATGATAATAATTAATATCCATTTCTATTTATTGAATGCTGTATGCAAAGCGCAATGCTAAATTTTTTACCCACGTTATATTATTTAATCCACAGTGCCTTTTGTGGTAGATAATGGTACTTTTTCTATTTTAAGATGAGGAAGTTCAGGCAGCTTAAATAACATGTCTATAATAGCATATCTGTTAAATCACTCAGCAGAGTTCTAGCTATATACAATTTCAGAGGCCATGATTTTATCAAAAATTTTTCCTTTTGCAATAAACAATGTTTAAAGCAAAAATTTCCTTTTCTATAAACAGTGACTACACCACTACCCCTTTCTTCCAGAACAATCTCTCCATGGAACTCCAATGAAGGAAATTGATTAAAAATCATTCACTTCATAATGAGACTTCAGAGACAACTCTGAGGGACACAGGTTGATGTAATATTTTCCTTCCTGAAGTCCTTGAATCCCTTGTAGCGTTAATAATATTATATTTTTATGTTTTCCCCTTATTTTAGATGGGCAAATTCAAGTACATGGCTGCTAAATATGTTCTCCATGATTTTCTTCATGTAAGTATTACAAAAAAGTAAAACAGGATCTCATTTTGCTGAATATTAGATGGATAGTTTTGGGCAAATTAATTGCTATATTGATGCCTGTTTTTATATTTGTCAAACTGGCATAATAATTGCCCATATGTTGTAAGATTGCCATGACAATCAAATGAGATAAGATAAAAACATTTATTAATTGATGTCATTGGCAATCAGCATGTAGTAGCTGCCAGAACAAATGGTAGTTATTTTTATATTATTACCAATATTGTTGTTATCTGAATATTTTAGCATGTTTTCTTGAAGAGTAGCAACCCTAAAATATTGATATGGATATAACAAACATCAGAGATGATCAGTTATGGGGTCAAGGGGAGGGAGAAAATTATGCTGGGTTTTTTTTTAGGGTATGGTAATAGAATGTTATAAAATGAGAACATTATATTTCCAAGCATAGGAATGTGTGGAAAATTTTGTAAGAGGCTCACCCATCATGGTTATCTCTCCCTTTCACTGTCTGTGAGTTATTTTATAACCCAGCAGGTCATTAGAAGATGATAATAATACAAACAATTTTTGTTCATGGTGGGGTGGACAGAATATGCCATCCCAAGATGTGAAAGATGGCTGAACTGAAAACAATTAAGAAGACACAGATATAGGAAAGCTCTCTGTACTCCATCTATTTGCCTAAAAGCAGAGCATAGATTTACAAGGGCAACCCCCTCACTCACCCCACCTTATACCAAGGAGAAAAAGGTTAATCGCCAAAGACAGCTTTACATCTTTATCGGTCTGGAGATGGTCCCAGAGGGAATCTACATTAAGAAGCTCTACTAACTAACATTTTTCTGCCAGTTATTTGCCTTCTTCCAAGTTGCAGTCCTTAAAGGCTCAAAGTCCTTTTCCTTCGGTTACTTCTCTGAAACTTTATTGCTCTTTGTTGAAGATGCTACATTAGCTAGATTTCAAGCCTCTTTGAGAACTACTGATCCCGAGTGTTTCTCATGTATATATGAAATATACATATTAATAAACATCTGTTTGTTTTTCTCTTGTAAATGTGTCTTTTATTACAGGGGTTTAGTCCAAATATAAACCTATGGGGGTTGAAGAAAAACCCCTCACATAGAAATGCAAATTATGCTCATGGAATGCAAATGCTTATGATCCTGTGTATATTGAACAGTTATTACATATTTGAAATTTACAAATTCACTTGTAATTTCATTTCAGCATTCCTTACTTGACCATAAATAACTAAAACTTTGAGTTTTTCTTCAAACCAGTTGTAACATCTTACTGGTTCCCTTATTAATTAGTGTGTTAAATAAAATATATAATGTATTCATTTTATATTTGCATGAGGCATAATTTTACTTTTAAATATATGTATGTGTGTGTATATATATGTGTATATACATAATATTTTAAGAGTAAAAAACTTTGAATTCAAAGACCTTTTAACACTTATTCTAGTATAACATTAGGCAATCATTTAACTTACCATGTTGTGGGTTTCTTTTTTAGTAAAATGGTAAAATAATATCTATATCACCCTACCCTTCTCAATGGTAATTCTGAGAATCTATTAAAAATAAAACTAGACACGAAAGTGATTTGAAACTGTAGCTATCTATACATATGCCAGGGATAAGAATTATTATATTTGATACATGAAAGTGGCTCATAGTCAGCAATTTGTTAGTGGAGATAGAAACACAGCCAGGCCATTGCTATCTAGCCTGGTATCCTCTCTAGATCACGATGCTTTCCCATAAAGATCAGAACACGTTGGCCTGGAACAAGAGGAACCTGGTAGCAAAGTGATTTTGTGTTATCAACAAGATGATAAGCTCAATAAAGAGTCCATTAGGATAGGGAATGTGAGGCAAGTGGATTTCCTTTGTAAATAATCCCTCATGGCCTCAAAAACAACCACTTATTTCTACCATGGCAAGCCTTGACGGGAGAGCCAATTCGGAAGGAATGAAGATGCTGAATTCAGAGCTCATATATGCAATTTTCGAGTTTAAAAAAAGCTCACCTTATCTTCCGTTTCTCTTCAATTTTAACAGCTTGGAGCTGCTAAATTGAGTAAAATGACTTTCCCAGAGAAGTGAACTCTTTGGGTCAGAAGAAACTTTAAAATCATAATAGCCAGTCTCTCTCTGATTATATAAGCTTCATCATCATCAGCTTAGTCTTCATCTGAGATGATGTTTGCATCAGATGCTTTTAATTTAGTCCCCTTTTCCCCAGATATGTCATATTCTAGATTCATATGGAGCTTAAGGTTGACCAGAGATCTCAGATCCTAAACCTGCAGAGGTATTACACAGGGACACAATCAGACTACTGCATCTCAATTACAGAGAAAGAAAAATATTCTCAATGCATGCTCCCTATTTAATCCTGACTTAATTTGATTTTATGGTTCTATTTACCTAACATCAGTAACCTTTCACCAGCAGTGAAATCATAAAAGGATAGACACAGAGACAGGAGTGGGAAAAGAGAGATGGGAGAAGAAAAAAAGAAAAGTAAGAAAAGAAATCTATTATCTGGCTTAAAGAACTCACCTTAGACAACCTAATGAGTAAAAACCTTGAGAAGTGATGACTCCTCCCCGGGCTTTAGTTTTCCTACGAATGGGAAGAGCTCACCAGTTGTACATGACTCTGAAGTTCTAGTCTAGAATGTGAAACAACTGTTGTTTGCAGGAATCACTTCAGAGTATCAAAATGCAGAAGCACTCTCCACGAGTACCACCCGGAGAGGGATATTTACTACCTCTGGGTGTGAGAAAAGACCAAAGCTCTACAGAACTCAGCAAATACTAAATGGCTTACTGAAGCTCCTTATAGGCCTCTTTCCTGGCTGCTAATTTATCAACCCTGAATTACCCTTTACATTACATGACTATGTGCATAAAGCAAAATGATATGTGGAATGAAAAATGGAGCTGCATTTAGGGAGCCTTTTTACAGTGGAGTGTAAGGCTGCTATGTATCTATTTCAGGAAAATATTCAAGGGTCCCCAGGGAGCACAGTAGAAGGATGAAACTGAGAGGAAGAATCTATTCCTACATCTACTGTACTAATTCATGAACATTCTCTGGTGTCAAAAGATTGACAAGATGGAGCGATACTCAAGAGCCCAAATTCACAGGGTAAGACCAGCAGTGATGTCACCACCACCAACTTCCACTCCACGGAACTTCTTTTCCCTCAGCTTCCCTACTTTTACTAATAGCATTACCACTCAGGCAACCATCTGGTTAATATTAAACACAACCCTATTCCCTCCATCTTATCAGTTTCAACAATGCTGTGGAATTTCCTTTTTTCATGCCCACATTTTAATTCCCGGTGCCTACCGTACTTTTGCATATTAAGTATTTTCTTGCACCCTAGGAGGTAGGCCCTGATTCTATGACAGTTTTTCTCTTTCTTTCTTTCTTTCTCTTTCTTTTTCTTTTCTTTTCTTTTCTTTCTTTCTTTTTTTTTTTTTTTTTTGATGGAGTCTCGCTCTGTTGCCCAGGCTGGAGTGCAGTGGCGCGATCTTGGCTCACTTCAAGCTCCGCCTACCGGGTTCAAGCCATTCTCCTGCCTCAGCCTCCCGAGTGTCTGGGACTACAGGCGCCCGCCACCATGCCCGGCTAAATTTTTTGTATTTTTAGCAGAGCCGGGGTTTAGGATGGTCTCGATCTCCTGACCTTGTGATCCGCCCGCCTCGGCCTCCCAAAGTGCTGGGATTACAGGCGTGAGCCACCACGCCTGGCCTTCTTTTTCTTTATTTTTGCTTTTCTTTCATTCTTTCTTTCTTTCTTTTTTTTTTTTTTAATAGTGGTGAGGTCTTACTTTGTCAACCAGGCTGGGGTGCACCCTTGCTAAGGCAAGACTGCTCACTGCAGTCTTGAATCTCCTGGCTCAAGGAGTCCTCTCACATCAGCTTCTTGAGTAGCTAGGACTATAGGTATGCACTGCCATGCCCAGATTGGTTTCTGTATTTTTTTTGTAGAGACAGGGTCTCACTATGTTGCCCACGCTGGTCTCAAACTCCTGGCCTTAACAATTCTCCTGCTTCAGCCACCCCAAATGCTAGGATTACAAGTACAAGTTACCATGCCTAGCCTATGCCCATTTTATGAATAAAAATATGTAAATAATGTACCCAAGTTTCTCCAGCTGAATCCAGCTGTCTGATCCAAGAGCCCTGATGAACACGTCAATCTTCTGCCCTCTGCTGTGGGGTCTTCCTTAACTACACCAGACAAAAATCCATTCCTCTTTTCTCTACTTGTTCCTCTGTTTCAGGTTTCTTGAAAGTTAATATGGATACAAACCTCCTAGGATCTTGTTAAAGTATAGATTCTGATTCAATGGGACTGGGGTGCAGCCTGAGAATTTGCGTTTCTAACAACCTCCCCCCGGTGGTGCTGAAGCTCCTGTTCAGGGTACATACTTTAGGTGGCAGGGCTCGAGGCAAAGTGCACTTTGTATGATATCTATAAACGCTGTATGACTTCAACTGCTTTGTGGAAATAATTTAGTGCTTATGTAATTGGAATGCTTAATTAAACTTAATTATCACATGCATAGAACATTTATCACATACTGATTTTTATTGTAGATAATTGAATATTTATCACTCTGCTCCAAATTCAAATTTATTAAACCCAGAAAATAGTGTTCTACAATTTTATGTCCCCTGAAACATCTATAGAGTTTTCCACATATCAGTCACCTATGTAACTTGGCTGAATGAATGAGGTTAGATAGGTAAGGCATTGCTAGTGATGGGAAGGTGATAAGGTTTTAGAGATGGTTCCGGTACATATCTCCATCCCTGTGATCTATCCTCTGAAGGAAATTTCAGATCTCTTCCAAAGCATGAGTAGCTATTGAAAACAAGCCTTAAGTACCAGAAAAGCAGAGAGACAGTATGTTGAAATAGAAGGGACATGTGACTAAGATCTTAGTGACCCCACATGTGTCCTAGCTATTCTCCTATTTCCCTGTATGATTAGCCGAGCGTCACTTAACCTCCCGGGCCTTCTTTTCTTCACCTACTAACTGATGAGTTTGGACTGCACTAGGTTTCATCCAGCTCAAACCATTCATGAGCCTCCAATGGCCCTTGTTGCGGGAATAGGAAGGACAGAAACACAGTCAGGGCAGTGTGCACTACGGTAGTTCATTCTGTCTCTTTCATTCTCAAAAGAGGTAAAAAGGGCATCCTGTGCTCTGGGCATCAAGGCAGCTGTAATTGCTGTGCTCTTTTTGGACTTAATCTGTCACAGTGGCCTGTAAACTGCCACTGAGTAGTGGGTGATGGGGGCTGCTGGAATGAGCTCCATCAACTATCAATTTACTATCCTCCAGCTATTCAAGATTGCACCTCATTTACTCAAAGAATGAACTGTTGCAAGACAAAACCTCTGCCAACATGACTGAAATAGGTCATGTTTCCACTGTTATTCAAGAAGCAGATATTGCTGGATTCCCAGGCACTACAAGGGCTACATTAGTGAATAAGTTGTGGGAGATACACTGTACCTGGTACCTAGGGAAAGTACTTCAGGCTCCTAATGGGGCCTGATAGGGAAAAAGAGATCTTGATATAGGTCAAATGAAGGTCATTGATTTATAGTCAAATAATTCCTAAATGTTGTAAACAAATGCTATAATAGTATGAAAATTGGGAAAGCAATCTCCTTATATTTTATGTTTTGAAATGGGGTCTTCCTATGTTGTCTAGGCCAGTCTTGAACTCCTGGACTGAAGCAATCCTCCTGCCTCAGCCTCCCAGGTAGCTAGGATTAAAGCGACATATCACCATGCTGGGCACTTTTTATTTTTCTCAAGACAAATAGCAGTACTGCAATATTTAGCACAGTGCTAAGTACACAAAAATATATATATTAAATGATTCATGTATTAATTCAACAAATATTTATTGAGCCCTAAGCTAGGAACTTTGTATACAAATAGTTTGGTTTTCTGTCCCAAAACTCAGTGGCTTAAAACAACCACTTTATTATCTCTCAATGATTCAGTTGGTTCTTCTGTCAACAGAGTCTAGTCATCTGGAGCATTGTCAGGGCTGGGATGTCTAAGATGATTCCCTCACATGGTGCTGGCTGATGACCTATTCAGAGCTCAGCCAGGGCAGTCAACCAGGGTGTCTCAGTTCTTCATGATACGGCCTCCATGTGTGTTGGGTTTCTAACAGCGTAACACATGAATTTCTAGAGTTAGGAAGTGGAAATTGTCAGTCTTATGAAGTCTTGTCTTCAAAAGTCCCAGAACATCACTTCTGTTACATTTTATTGGTTAAAGCCAGTCGTGATGCCAGACCAGATTAAAGAGGAGGGGACATAAACTGCATCTCTTGATAGAAATGATGGCGGGTACATATAAAGAGGGGAAGGACAGTTGGGAGTATTTTTTTTTTTGAGACGGAGTCTCACTTTGTCGCCCACGCTGGAGTGCACGGTCTTAGCTCACTGCAAGCTCTGCCTCTTGGGTTCATGCCATTCTCCTGCCTCAGCCTCCAGGGTAGCTGGGACTACAGGTGCCCACCACCACGCGTGGCTAAATTTTTGTATTTTTAATAGAGACGGGGTTTCTCTGTGTTAGCCAAGATGGTCTCGATCGCCTGACCTCGTGATCCGCCCACCTCGGCCTCCCAAAGTGCTGGGATTAGAAGCATGAGCCAATGCACCCGGCCGGGAATATCTTTGAAGACTTGATCAAATTTTGTATCAACTGAGTTACTCCCTTTAATTTGCATATGGTACTAGAATTAAAAGGTATCCACATATACATACACCTATGTTTAATAGAATTAAAACATATACCCACAAGAATGGCTAAAATTAAAAAGACGCAGTACCAAGTGTTGATGAATTTTTAGAAAAATTAGAGTTCTCATATATGTAGGTGAAAATGTCAAGTGGCACAATCTCCTTGGAAAACTGTTTGGCAAGTGCTTAGAAATTTAAACAAAAATGACACATCTACTCTACAGTGACACAAAGTGAACTCGTGGTTGATCAGTACCATAGGGAGGTGGGTTGGGTGGAGTGACTAACAAGCAAAGGCACAAAGGAAACTTCTGAGGTGAGAAAAATATTTCATACCATGATTTTGGTGGTGCTTACACAGGTGCACCAACTTATTAAGAATCATCACACTGTATACTTAAAATGGGTGCAATTTACTACGTGTAAATTACAACTCGATACAGATGATTTTAAAAATAAGGCACTAAATCTACTTTTTTTTCTTTTTCTTATTTTTTATTATTTACTTTAAGTTCTAGGGTACATGTGCACAATGTGCAGGTTTGTTGCATATGTATACATGTGCCATGTTGGTGTGCTGCACCCATTAGCTCGTCATTTACATTAGGTATATCTCCTAATGCTATCCCTCCCCACTGCCCCCCACAGGCCCCAGTGTGTGGTGTTCCCCACCCTGTGTCCAAGTGTTCTCATTGTTCAATTCCCACCTATGAGTGAGAACACGCGGTGTTTGGTTTTCTGTCCTTGCAATAGTTTGCTCAGAATGATGGTTTCCAGCTTCATCCATGTCCCTACAAACGACATGAACTCATCCTCTTTTATGGCTGCCTAGTATTCCATGGTGTATATGTGCCACATTTTCTTAATCCAGTCTATTATTGATGGATATTTGAGTTGGTTCCAAGTCTTTGCTATTGTGAATAGTGCCGCTATAAACATACGTATGCATGTGTCTTTATAGCAGCATGATTTATAATCCTTTGGGTATATACCCAGTAATGGGATGGCTGGGTCAAATGGTATTTTTAGTTCTAGATACTTGAGGAATTGCCACACTGTTTTCCACAATGGTTGAACTAGTTTACAGTCCCACCAACAGTGTAAAAGTATTCCTATTCTCCACATCCTCTCCAGCAACTGTTGTTTCCTGACTTTTTAATGATCGCCATTCTAACTGGCGTGAGATGGCATCTCATTGTGGTTTTGATTTGCATTTCTCTGATGGCCAGTGAGGACGAGCATTTTTTCATGTGTCTGTTGGCTGCATAAATGTCTTCTCTTGAGAAGTGTCTGTTCATATGCTTTACCGACTTTTTGATGGGGTTGTTAGATTTTTTCTTGTAAATTTGTTTCTTTTTAGATTCTGGATATTAGCCCTTTTTCAGATGGGTAGATTGCAAAAATTTTCTCCCATTCTGTAAGTTGCCTGTTCACTCTGATGGTAGTTTCTTTCGCTGTGCATAAGCTCTTTAGTTTAATTAGATCCCATTTGTCAATTTTGGCTTTTGCTGCCATTTCTTTTGGTGTTTTAGACATGAGGTCCTTGCCCATGCCTATGTCCTGAATGGTGTTGCCTAGGTTTTCTTCCAGGGTTTTTATGGTTTTAGGTCTCATATTTAAGTCTTTAATCCATCTTGAATTAATTTTTGTATAAGGTGTAAGGAAGGGATCCAGTTTCAGCTTTCTACATATGCCTAGCCAGTTTTCCCAGCACCATTTATTAAGTAGGGAATCCTTTCCCCTTTTCTTGTTTTTGTCAGGTTTGTCAAAGATCAGATGGTTGTAGATGTGTGGTATTATTTCCGAGGGCTCTGTTCTGCTGCATTGGTCTATATATCTGTTTTGGTACCAGTACCATGCTGTTTTGGTTACTGTAACCTTGTAGTATAGTTTGAAGTCAGGTAGCATGATGCCTCCAGCTTTGTTCTTTTGGCTTAGGATTGTCTTGGCCATGTGGGCTCTTTTTTGGTTCCACACGAACTTTAAAGTAGTATTTTTTTCCAATTCTCTGAAGAAAGTCATTGGTAGCTTGATGGGGATGGCATTGAATCTATAAATTACCTTGGGCAGTATGGCCATTTTCACAATATTGATTCTTCCTATCCATGAGCATGGAATGTTCTTCCATTTGTTTGTGTCCTCTTTTATTTTGTTGAGTAGTGGTTTGTAGTTCTCCTTGAAGAGGTCCTTCACATCCCTTGTAAGTTGGATTCCTAGGTATTTTATTCTCTTTGTAGCAATTGTGAATGGGAGTTCACTCATGATTTGGCTCTCTGTTTGTTATTGGTGTATAGGAATACTTGTGATTTTTGCACATTGATTCTGTATCCTGAGACTTTGCTGAAGTTGCTTATCAGCTTAAGGAGATTTTGGGCTGAGATAATGGGGATTTCTAAATATACAATCATGTCATCTGCAAACAGGGACAATTTGACTTCCTCTTTTCCTAATTGAATACCCTTTATTTCTTTCTCCTGCCTGATTTCCCTGGCCAGATCATCCAACACTATGTTGAATAGAAGTGGTGAGAGAGAGCATCCCTGTCTTGTGCCAGTTTTCAAAGGGAATGCTTCCAGATTTTGCCCATTCAGTATGATATTAGCTGTGGTTTTGTCATAAATAGTTCTTATTATTTTGAGATACATCCCCTCAATCCCTAATTTCTTGAGAGTTTTTAGCATGAAGGGCTGTGGAATTTTGTCAAAGGCCTTTTCTGCATCTATTGAGATAATCATGTGGTTTTTATCTTTGGTTCTATTTATATGATGGATTACATTTACTGATTTGCATATGTTGAACCAGCCTTGCATCCCAGGGATGAAGCCCACTTGCTCATGGTGGATAAGCTTTTTGATGTGCTTCTGGATTCGGTTTGCCAGTATTTTTTTGAGGATTTTTGCATCGATATTCATCAGGGATATTGGTCTAAAATTCTCTTTTTTTGTTGTGTCTCTGCCAGGCTTTGGTATCAGGATGATGCTGGCCTCATAAAATGAGTTAGAGAGGATTCTCTCTTTTTCTATTGATTGTAATAGTTTCAGAAAGAATAGTACCAGCTCCTCTTTGTACCTCTGGTAGAATTTGGCTGTGAATCCACCTGGTCCTGGACTTTTTTTGGTTGGTAGGCTCTTAATTATTGCCTCAATTTCAGAGCCTGTCGTTGGTCTATTCAGGGATTCAACTTCTTCCTGGTTTAGTCTTGGGAGGGTGTATGTGTTCAGGAATTTCTCCATTTCTTCTAGACTTTCTAGTTTATTTGCATAGAGGTGTTTATAGTATTCTCTGATGGTAGTTTATATCTCTGTGAGATTGGTGGTGATATCCCCTTTATCATTTTTTATTGCATCTATTTGATTCTTCTCTCTTTTCTTCTTTATTAGTCTTGCTAGCAGTCTGTCAATTTTGTTGATCTTTTGAAAAAACCAGCTCCTGGATTCATTGATTTTTTGAAGGGTTTTTTATTTCTCTATTTCCTTCAGTTCTGCTCTCATCTCGGTTATTTCTTGCCTTCTGCTAGCTTTTGAATGTGTGTGCTCTTGTTTCTCTAGTTCTTTTAATTATGATGTTAGGGTGTCAGTGTTAGACCTTTCCTGCTTTCGCTTCTGGATATTTAGTGCTATAAATTTCCCTCTACATACTGCTTTAAACGTGTCCCAGAGATTCTGGTACACTGTGTTTTTCTTCTCATTGGTTTCAAAGAACATCTTTATTTCTGCCTTCATTTCGTTATGTACCCAGTAGTCATTCAGGAGCAGGTTGTTCAGTTTCCATGTAGTTGAGCGGTTTTGAGTGAGTTTCTTAATCCTGAGTTCTAATTTGATTGCACTGTGGTCTAAGAGACAGTTTGTTATAATTTCTATTCTTTTACTTTTGCTGAGGAGTGCTTTACTTCCAACTATGTCATCAGTTTTGGAATAAGTGTGATGTGGTGCTGAGAAGAATGTATATTCTGTTGATTTGGGTTGGAGAGTCCTGTAGATGTCTATTAGGTCCACTTGATGCAGAGCTGATTTCAATTCCTGGATACCTTGTTAACTTTCTGTCTTGTGGATCTGTCTAATATTGTCAGTGGGGTGTTAAAGTCTTCCATTATTATTGTGTGGGAGTCTAAGCCTCTTTGTAAGTCTCTAAGGACTTGCTTTATGAATCTGGGTGCACCTGTATTGGGTGCATATATATTTAGGATAGTTAGCTCTTCTTGTTGAATTGATCTCTTTACCATTATGTAATGGCCTTCTTTGTCTCTTTTGATCTTTGTTGGTTTAAAGTCTGTTTTATCAGAGACTAGGATTGCAACCCTGGCTTCTTTTTGTTCTCCATTTACTTGGTAGGTCTTCCTCCATCCCTTTATTTTGAGCCTGTGTGTGTCTCTACACGTGAGATGGGTCTCCTGAATACAGCACACTGATGGGTCTTGACTCTATCCAATTTGCCAGTCTGTTTCTTTTAATTTTAGCATTTAGCCAATTTACATTTAAGGTTAATATTGTTTTGTGTTAATTTCATCCTGTCATTATAATGATAGCTGCTTATTTTGCACGTTAGTTGAGGCAATTTCTTCCTAGCATTGATGGCCTTTACAATTTGGCATGTTTTTACAGTGGCTGGTACCAATTGTTCCTTTCCACATTTAGCGCTTCCTTCAGGAGCTCTTGTAAGGCAGGCCTGGTGGTGACAAAATCTCTCAGCATTTGCTTGTCTGTAAAGGATTTTATTTCTTCTTCACTTATGAAGCTTAGTTTGTCTGGATATGAAATTCTGGGTTGAAAATTCTTTCCTTTAAGAATGTTGAATATTGGGGCCCACTCTCTTCTGGCTTGTAGAGTTTCTGCTGAGATATCTGCTGTTAGTCTGATGGGCTTCCCTTTGTGGGTAGCCTGACCTTTCTCTCTGGCTGCCCTTAATATTTTTTCCTTCATTTCAACCTTGGTGAATCTGACAATTATGTGTCTTGGGGTTGCTCTTCTTGAGGAGTATCTTTGCGGTGTTCTCTGTATTTCCTGAATTTGAATGTTGGCCTGCCTTGCTAGGTTGGGGAAGTTCTCCTGGATAATATCCTGAAGAGTGTTTTCCAACTTGGTTCCATTCTCCCCGTCACTCTGAGGTACACCAATCAGACGTAGATTTGGTCTTTTCACAAAGTCCCATATTTCTTGGAGGCTTTCTCCATTTCTTTTTACTCTTTTTCCTCTAAACTTCTCTTCTCACTTCATTTCATTCATTTGATCTTCAATCACTGATACCCTTTCTTCCAGTTGATCGAACCAGCTACTGAAGCTTGTGCATGTGTCACGTAGTTCTCGTGTGATGGTTTTCAGCTCCATCAGGTCATTTAAGGTCTTCTCTACACTGTTTATTCTCTACACTGTTTATTCTAGTTAGCCATTCGTCCAATCTTTTTTCAATGTTTTTAGCTTCTTTGCAATGGGTTCGAACATCCTCCTTTAGTTCGTAGAAGTTTGTTATTACCGATCTTCTGAAGACTTCTTCTATCAACTCATCAAAGTCATTCTCTGTCCAGCTTTGTTCCATTGCTGGCAAGGAGCTGCGTTCCTTTGGAGTAGAAGAGGCACTCTGAGTTTTGGAATTTTCAGCTTTTCTGCTCTGCTTTCTTCCCATCTTTGTGGTTTTATCTACCTTTGGTCTTTGATGTTGGTGACCTACAGATGGGGTTTTGGTGTGGATGTCCTTTCTGTTTGTTAATTTTCCTTCTAACAGTCAGTACCCTCAGCTGCAGGTCTGTTGGATTTTGCTGGAGGTCCACTCCAGACCCTGTTTGCCTGGGCATTACCTGCAGAGGCTGCAGAACCGCAAATATTGCAGATTGGCAAATGTTGCTGTCTGATCATTCCTCTGGAAGCTTCATCTCAGAGGGGCACCCAGCCCTATGAGGTATCAGTTGGCCCCTACTGGGAGGTGCCTCCCAGTTAGGCCACTCGGGGGTCAGAGACCCACTTGAGGAGGCAGTCTGTCCGTTCTCAGATCTCAAACTCTGTGCTGGGAGAACCACTACTCTCTTCAAAGCTGCCAGACAGGGACGTTTAAGTCTGCAGAAGTTTCTGCTGCCTTTTGTTCAGCTATGCCCTGCCCCGAGAGGTGGAGTCTACAGAGGCAGGCAGGCCTCCTTGAGCTGTGTTGGGCTCCACCCAGTTCGAACTTCCAGGCAGCTTTGTTTACCTACTCAAGCCTCAGCAATGGCAGGCGCCCATTCCCTGGCCTTGCTGCCGCCTTGCAGTTCAATCTCAGACTACTGTGCTAGCAGTGAGCAAGACTCTGTGGGCATAGGACCCTCCAAGCCATGTGCGGGATATAATCTCCTGGTGTGCCGTTTGCTAAGACTATTGGAAAAGTGCAGTATTAGGGTGGGAGTGACCCAATTTTCCAGGTGCCATCTGTCACAGCTTCCCTTGGCTAGGAAAGGGAATTCCCTGACCCCTTGCACTTCCTGGGTGAGGCAATGCCTCGCCCTGCTTTGGCTCATGGTCCATGAGCTGCACCCACTGTCCTGCACCCACCGTCTAATGAGCCTCAGTGAGATGAACCCAGTACCTCAGTTGGAAATGCAGATATCACCCATCTTCTTCATCGCTTATGTTGGGAGCTGTAGACTGGAGCTGTTCCTCTAAATATACTTTTTTAGGTGTCCACAGTTCTCAACCACTCTTGAGTTTGGGGAAGGTGAGTTTGTCTTTCTCCTGAGCTAATTCAAATTTCCTCTGATTTCGTCAAATTTACCTCTCTCATCACTGTTTCTTTTGTGGTCATATCTCCTACCATTTTTTCTGCCCTAATTTGTATTTGCTGTAGGTGACCCAACTTACTTTATTTTTCCATAGCAGCAGTACCTTAGGGTTACTGTGTATAGCAGACTTTTTTTCCTAAAAGGTTTGGGTAGCAGTACTGGGATGGGAATAGATATATCAAAACATAATTAATATATGACTAAAATATAAATATTTTCTTTTCTAGCCTACCACAGGAAATATATGACTGGCTAACACTTACCCAGGCCACATCTGCTGGCATGTTTCTATGGCACTTTTCACACTTCTATAACTCTGATAAATGATACCCATAACTATTCCCTATCATTTATGTCTCCTTCTTAAGCATCACGCATTTAGACATACTCATTGCAATGCTATTTTTTCCTCTCAAAGACAGTAATTATTCCAAAAAGAAATTATGACCAATTCTTAAGTCAATTTATTCTTAAAGTCAAATTAAGGCAGCTTGTCCCTCTTTCCTATATTATACAGGATGGATAAGAAGCAATCTAAATATGAAAGAACCTCATAGTGCAAGGAAAATACAGTGACAAAGCAATATTGCCTTGTGTAATAATAACCATGTGCACAAGTTGCTAGAGAGCATATAAGAAATGCACACAACCCAAACAGGTAATGAAGAATGTGGTGAGGATAGCATAGAAAGGTTTTTGGAAAAGGGGGCATCTAAATTGAAGGGATTATTTAACACAAACTATATCCAAAATAAATGAAGGGAAGGAGAACATAGAACATTCTGGGCAGAAAAATATGTTGAAACAAGAAAATAAAACTCTTAAGTATGCATAAAAACTAGTTGACTTATGGGGGGAAATTCCCCAACTTATATAAAGAAGAATCCAGACATGGGTGTGGCTTTGAGTGTAGAGTGAATTCAGTGGATCAGTATTTTCCTTCTTCATCTGTTGGCTTCTTTGTCAGGTGGTTCCTCCTATGATAACAACAGTGACTGATGCAATTCCAGATACATAACCTCATTCTGTATCACCCAAAACAGTGGTTTTCTCTATTGACTGTGTATTAGAATCACCTGGGGCTCTGTTCTCCCAACCACAGAAAACTGTTTTAAATATTTTATTATTTTAGTCATATAAATCCCCTCATGTCCGTCAGACTGTGTTCTCATTTTAGTTTGGATAGATGCTATCTGGGGATCTTCTGAAAACAAAAAAATAGAAAGCTTCTGGGTTAGAAGATATGTTCATGCATGTACAAGTGAGCATGCACACACACCAGCAAATTCTGATGTGCATTCACAGTTTAGAACTGTGTACAAAGAATCAAAGAAAGGAGAACTCAGAGACTAGTGTGATTGGTTACCAATGGCATTGAGTGGGAGTTAGGTAAAAAGGATGTGGGTGTAGTAATACTTATCTATGTATAGCTTTCTGCATAGCTTTACCTTTGGTACCAGATTAATTTTTCACATCACCAAGAAAATATTAACAAGAATGGGGAAGAAAGATAGATAAAATAGAATGCAAACAGAAAAAAATGTCTCCTACTGAGTCTTAAATGAATAGCATAATCACACTAAAAGGGAATAGTACTCAGTATTTTTTTAAAATAAAAAATAATAAATAAAGTACTTTGCAGCAACATGGATGGGACTGGAAGCCATTATGTTATGAATAAAAAGCCATTATGTTAGGAACAGAAAGTCAACTACCACATATTCTCACCTATAAGTCAGAGCTAAATCATGTGTATACATATGGACGTAGGGTATGGAAGAATAAACATTGGAGATTTAGAAGGCTGAGGGGGCAGAAGGGGTTAAGGCAATGATAAATTAATTAATAGGTACAATGTACATTATGCAGGTGATGGATACACTAGAAGCAAAGACTTTACAACCATGCAATATATGCATGTAACAAAATTGAGTGTTTATCCCTTAAATGTATACATTTAAAAAAAAAGAAACATTACCACTGATACTACAGAAATACAAAGAAATGAATGAGACCATTACTAACATTTATATGTAAACAGAACAGACATGGAGGCTCATGCTTGTAATCTCAGCACTTTGGGAGGCTGAGGCAGTTGGATAACTTGAGGTCAGGAGTTCAAGACCAGCCTGACCAACATAGTGAAATCCCGTCTCTACTAAAAAGACAAAAATTAGCCTGGGCATGGTGGTGCATGGCTGTAATCCCAGCTACTCAGGAGGCTGAGGCACAAGAATCACTGGGACCTGGGAGTTGCAAGTTGCAGTGAGCCGAGATCACACCACTGCACTCTAGGTTGAGCAACAGAGTGAGACACTGTCAAAACAACAACAACAACAACAACAACAACAACAACAACAACAAAACCCCACACATTTACATGAAAACAAATTGGATTACCTAGAATAATGGATAAATTATTTGAGATAAACAACCTACCAAGAGTAAATTAAAGGAAATAAAAAATCTGAATAGACCAACATTCTGTAAGGAGGTTGATCAGTAATAGAAAGCCTCCCATCAAAGAAAAGCCCAAGGCCAGTGGAATTCACTCTTGATTTCTACCAAACATTTAGAAAAGAACTAATACCAATTCTTCTCAAACTCTCCCAAAAAACTGAAGAGAATGAATTACTTGCAACCATTTTATAAAGCCAGCATTATCCCAATACCAAATCCAGATAGGAATACTGTAAGAAAAGAAAATTATAGTTCAGTATCCCTGGTGAACATAGACACAAATATTCTCAAGAAAATATTATCAAACCCGGTGATCCATTCCAAGATGGCCAAATAGGAACAGCTCCGGTCTGCAGCTCCCAGCATGATCGACACAGAAGATGGGTGATTTCTGCATTTCCAACTGAGGTACCCAGTTCATCTGATTGGGACAGGTTGGACAGTGAGTGCAGCCCATGGAGGGCAAGCTGAAGCAGGGCGGGGCATCACCTCACCCGGGAAGCACAAGGGGAGGATTTCCCTTTCCTAGCCAAGGGAAGCCGTGACAGACTGTACCTGGAAAAATGGGACACTCCCACCCAAATACTGCACTTTTCCCAAGGTCTTAGCAACTGCCATACAAGGAGATCCTCTCCCTTACCTGGCTCAGTGGGTCCCATGCCCATGGAGTCTTGCTCACTGCTAGTGCAGAAGTCTGAGAGGGAACTGTGAGGTGCCAGCCTGGCTGGGGGAGGGGCGTCTACCATTGCTCAGGCTTCAGTGGGTAAACAAAGCAGCCAGGAAGCTCGAACTAGGCAGAGCCCACCACAGCTCAGCAAGGCCTATTGTCTCTAGACTCCACCTCTGTGGGCAGGGCTTACTTAGCTGAACAAAAGGCAGCAGACAACTTCTGCAGACTTAAATGGCCCTGTCTGACAGCTCTGAAGAGAGCAGTGGTTCTCCCAACATGGTGTTTGAGCTCTGAGAATGGACAGACTGCTTCCTCAATTGAGTCCCTGACCCCTGTGTAGCCTAGCTGGGAGATACTTCCCACTAGGGGCCAACAGACACCTCATATAGGTGGGCGCCTTTCTGGGACGAAGCTTCCAGAGAAAGGATTAGGCAGCAATATTTGCTCTTCTGCAATATCTGCTGTTCTGCAGCCTCCACTGGTGATACCCAGGCAAACAGGGTCTAGAGTGGACCTCCAGCAAACTCCAACAGACCTGCAGCTGAGGGTACTGACTGCTAGAAGGAAAACTAACAAACAGAAAGGAATAGCGTCAACATTAACAAAAAGGACATCCACACCAAAACCCCATCTATAGGTCACCAACATCAAAGACCAAAGGTAGATTAAACCACAAAGATGGGGAGAAACCAGAGCAGAAAAGCTGAAAATTCTAAAAATTAGAGCATCTCTTCTCCTCCAAAGGATTGCAGCTCCTCGCCTAAAATGTAACAAAGCCAGATGGAGAATGACTTTAACGAGTTGACAGAAGTAGGCTTCAGAAGGTCGGTAATAACAAACTTCTCCAAGCTAAAGGAGCATGTTGAAACCCATCACAAGGAAGCTAAAAACCTTGCAAAAAGATTAGATGAATGGCTAACTACAATACAGTGTAGAGAAGACCTTAAATGACCTGATGGAGCTGAAAACCATGGCACAAGAACTTCGTGACGCATGTACAAGCTTCAATAGCTGATTCGACCAACTGGAAGAACGGGTATCAGTGATTGAAGATCAAATGAATGAAATAAAGCAAGAAGATAAGGATAGAGAGCAAACACTAAAAAGAAATGAACAAAGCCTCCAAGAAATATGGGACTATGTGAAAAGACCAAATCTATGTCTGATTGGTGTACCTCAAAATGACGGGGAGAATGGAACCAAGTTGGAAAACACTCTTCAGGGTATTATTCAGGAGAACTTCCCCAACCTAAAAAGGCAGGCCAACATTCAAACTCAGGAAATACAGAGAACACCACAAAGATATCCTCAAGAAGAGCAACCCCAAGACACATAATTGTCAGATTCACCAAGGTTGAAATGAAAAAAAAAAAAAATGTTAAGGGCAGCCAGAGAGAAAGGTCAGGCTACTCACAAAGGGAAGCCCATCAGACTAACAGCGGATCTCCCAGCAGAAACCCTACAAGCCAGAAGAGAATGGGGCCCAATATTCAACATTCTTAAAGAAAAGAATTTTCAACCCAGAATTTCATATCCAGCCAAACTAAGCTTCATAAGTGAAGGAGAAATAAAATCCTTTACAGACAAGCAAATGCTGAGAGATTTTGTCACCACCAGGCCTGCCTTACAAGAGCTCCTGAAGGAAGCACTAAACATGGAAAGAAACAACCGGTAACTGGTACCAGCCACTGCAAAAACATGCCAAATTGTAAAGACCATCAATGTTATGAAGAAACTGCATCAATTAATTGGCAAAATAACCAGCTAGTATCATAATGACAGGATCAAATTCATACATAACAATATTAACCTTAAATGTGAATGGGCTAAATGCCCTAATTAAAATACACAGACTGGCAAATTGGATAGAGTCAAGACCCAGCAGTGTGCTGTATTCAGGAGACCCATCTCACATGCAAAGACGCACATAGGCTCAAAATAAAGGGATGGAGGAAGATCTACAAGGGAAATGGAAAGAAAAAAAAAAGCCAGGGTTGCAATCCTAGTCTCTGATAAAACAGACTTTAAACCAATGAAGATCAAAAGAGACAAAGAAGTCCATTACATAATGCTAAAGGGATCAATGCAACAAGAAGAGCTAAGTATCCTAAATATATATGCACCCAATACAGGATCAACCAGATTCATAAAGCAAGTCCTTAGAGACCTACAAAGAGACTTAGACTCCCACACAATAATAATGAGAGACTTTAACACCCCACTGTCAATAACAGACAGATCAATGAGACAGAAGGTTAGCAAGGATATCCAGGACTTGAACACAGCTCTGCACCAAGCGGACCTAATAGACATCTACAGAACTCTCCAACCCAAATCAGCAGAATATTCATTCTTCTCAGCACCACATAGCACTTATGACAAAATTGATCACATAATTTGAAGTAAAATATTCCTCAGCAAATGTAAAAGAACAGAAATCACAACAAACTGTCTCTCAGACGACAGTGCAATCAAACTAGAACTCAGGATTAGCAAACTCACTCAAAGCTGCACAACTACTTGGAAACTAAGCAACTTGCTCCAGGATGACTATGGGGTGAATAACGAAATGAAGGCACAAATAAAGATGTTCTTTGAAACCAATGAGAACAAAGACACAATGTACCAGAATCTCTGGGACACATATAAAGCAGTGTGTAGAGGGAAATTTATATCACTAAATGCCCACAAGAGAAAGCAGGAAAGATCTAAAATCGACACCCTAACATCACAATTAAAAGAACTAGAGAAGCAAGAGCAAAAACATTCAAAAGCTAGCAGAAAGCAAGAAATAACTAAGATCAGAGCAGAACTGGAGGAGATAGAGACACAAAAAACCCTTCAAAAAATCAATGAATCCAGGAGCTGGTTTTTTGAAAAGATCAATGAAATTGATAGACTACTAGCAAGACTAATAAAGAAGAAAAGAGAGAAGAATCAAATAGATGCAATAAAAATTGATAAAGGGGATATCACCACCAATCCCACAGAAATACAAGCTACCATCAGAGAATACTATACACACCTCTATGCAAATAAACTAGAAAATCTAGAAGAAATGGATACATTCCTGAACACATACACCCTCCCAAGACTAAACCAGGAGAAGTTGAATCTCTGAATGGACCAATGAGAGGCTCTGAAATTGAGGCAATAATTAACAGCCTACCAATCAGAAAAAGTCCAGAACCAGACTATTCACAGCCAAATTCTACCAGAGGTACAAAGAGGAGCTGGTATCGCTCCTTTTAAAACTATTCCAATCAATAGAAAAAGAGGGAATCCTCCCTAACTCATTTTATGAGTCCAACATCATTCTCATACCAAAGCCTGGCAGAGACCCAACAAAAAGGAGATAATTTTAGAGCAATATCCCTGATGAACATCAATGTGAAAATCCATAATAAAATACTGGCAAACCGAATCCAGCAGCACATCAAAAAGCTTATCCACCACTCTCAGGTCAGCTTCATCCTTGGGATGCAAGTCTGGTTCAACATACACAAATCAATAAACATAATCCATCACATAAACAGAACCAATGACAAAAACTACATGATTATCTCAGTAGATGCAGAAAAGTCCTTCAACAAAATTCAACAGCACTTCATGCTAAAAACTCTCAATAAACTAGGTATTGATGGAATATATCTCAAAATAATAAGAGCTATTTATGACAAACCCACAGCTGATATCATACTGAATGGGCAAAAACTGGAAGCATTTCCTTTGAAAACTGGCACAAGACAGGGATGCCCTCTCTCACCACTCCTATTCAACATAATGTTACAAGTTCTGGCCAGAGCAATCAGGCAAGAGAAAGAAATAAAAGTATTCAATTAGGAAAAGGGGAGGTCAAATTGTCCCTTTTTGCAGATGACATGATTGTATATTTAGAAAAGTTCATCGTCTCAGCCCAAAATCTCCTTAAGCAGATAAGCAACTTCAGCAAAGTCTCAGGATACAAAATCAATGTGCAAAAAAAAAACCACAAGCATTCCTACACACCAATAACAGAGAGAGAGTCAAATCATGAGTGAACTCCCATTCACAACTGCTACAAAGAGAATAAAATACCTAGGAATCCAACTTACAAGGGATGTGAAGGACCTCTTCAAGGAGAACTACAAACCACTGCTCAAGGAAGTAAAAGAGGACACAAACAAATGGAAGAACATTCCATGCTCATGGATAGGAAGAATCAATATTGTGAAAATGGCCATACTGCCCAAGGTAATTTATAGATTCAATGCCATCCCCATCAAGATACCAATGACTTTCTTCAGAGAATTGGAAAAAACTACTTTAAAGTTCATATGGAACCAAAAAAAGAGCCTGCATTGCCAAGACAATCCTAAGCCAAGAGAACAAAGCTGGAGGCATCATGCTACCTGACTTCAAACTACACTACAAGGCTACAGTAACCAAAGCAGCATGGTACTGGTACCAAAATGGATATATAGACCAATGGAACAGAATAGAGACCTCAGAAATAACACCACAAATCTACAACCATCTGATCTTTGACAAACCTGACAAAAACAAGAAATAGAGAAAGGTTTCCCTATTTAATAAATGGTGCTGGGAAAACTGGCTAGCCATATGTAGGAAGCTGAAAGTGGATCTGTTCCTTACACCTTATACAAAAATTAATTCAAGATGGATTAAAGACTTAAATATGAGACCTAAAACCATAAAAACCCTGGAAGAAAACCTAGGCAATACCATTCAGGAAGTCCTTGCATATGCAAGGACTTCATGACTAAAACACAAAAAGCAGTGGCAACAAAAGCCAAAATAGACAAATGGGATCTAGTTAAACTAAAGAACTACTGCATGTCAATAGAAACTATCATCAGAGTGAACAGGCAACCTACAAAATGGGAGAAAATTTTTGCAATCTACCCATCTGACAAAGGGCTAATAACCAGAATCTACAAAGAACTCAAACAAATTTACAAGAAAAAAACAACCCCATCAAAAAGTGGGCAAAGGATATGAACAGACACTCCTCAAAGGAAGACATCTATGCAGCCAACAGACACATGAAAAAATGCTCATCATCACTGGTCATCAGAGAAGTGCAAATCAAAACCACAATGAGAAACCATCTCATGCCAGTTAGAATGGCAATCATTAAAAAGTCAGGAAACTACAGATGCTGGAGAGGATGTGGAGAAATAGGAACGCTTTTACACTGTTGGTGGGAGCGTAAATTAGTTCAAACATTGTGGAAGACAGTGTGGCGATATCTCAAGGATCTAGAACTAGAAATACCATTTCACCCAGCAATCCCATTACTGGGTATATACACAAAGGATTATAAATCTTGCTACTATAAAGACACATGCACACATGTTTATTGCGGCACTATTCACAGTAGCAAAGACTTGGAACCAACCCAATGTCCATCAATGATAGACTGGATTAAGAAAATGTGGCACACATACACCATGGAATACTATGCAGCCATATAAAAGGATGAGTTCAAGTCCTTTGCAGGGGCATGGATGAAGGTGGAAATCATCAGTCTCAGGAAACTATCACAAGGACAGAAAACCAAACACGGCATGTTCTCACTCATAGGTGGGAACTGAACAATGAGATCACTTGGACACAGGGCAGGGAACATCACACACCAGGGCCTGTCGGGGGATGGGGTCCGGGGGAGGGATAGCATTAGGAGAAATATCTAATGTAAATGGCGAGTTGACATGTTCTCACTCATAGGTGGGAATTGAACAATGAGAACACATGGACACAGGAAGGGGAACATCACACACCAGGGACTATTGTGGGGTGGGGGGAGGGGGGACGGATAGCATTAGGAGATATACCTAATGCTAAATGATGAGTTAATTGGTGCAGCACACCAACATGGCACATGTATACATATGTAACCAACCTGCATGTTGTGCACATGTACCCTAAAACTTAAAGTGTAATAATAAAAAAAATGGCAAGTTGATAGGTGCAGCAAACCAACATGCCACATGTATACCTATGTATCAAATCTGCACGTTTTGCATATGTACCCTACAACTTAAAGTATAATAATAATAAAAAAAGAAAATATTATCAAACCTGATTCAACAGGACATTAGAAAGATCACTCACCATCATCAACCGAGACTCATCCCAGAGATGCAGGGGTAGTTGAACATCCACAAATAAATAAATGTGATACACCACATTAATAGAATAAAGGGCAAAAGCTATATGATCATTTCAATGGAGGCAGATAAAGACAAATTCCAACATATTGTTAAAATAAAAGCCCTCGAATTAGCCATGGAAGAAATGTACCTCAACACAACAAAGACCACATGTGACCAAACCACCTAACTTTACACTTCATAGGGAAAACTTGAAAGCTTTTTCTCTAAGATCTGGAACAAGACAAAGATGCCCATTCTCACCAGTTTTATTCAACATGATACTGGAAATCCTAGCCAGAGCAATTCGGCAAGTTAAGTAAATAAAAGCCACAAATATTGAAAAGTGAGAAGTTAAATTGTTTGCAGACAAAATTATTGTTATGTATAGAAAACCCTAAAGACTCCACCTAAATATTTTAGAACAGATAATCAAGTAAAGTTTTAGGATACAAAATCAACATGTAAATTTAGCAGCATTTCTATATATATATCAACAACAAACTATTTGAAAAAGAAATTAAGAAAACAATCTCATTTAAAATAGCTTCAAAAATAAAATACTTAGGAATAAATTTAATAAAGGAGGTGAATTATCTGTACACTGAAATCTATAAAACATTGATGAAAGAAATGGGAAAAGACACAGAGTGGGAAAATATGTTTGTGGATTGAAAGAATGAATATTTTTTAAATATCCATATGACTCAATGTGATCTACAGATTCAACATAATTCCTATCAAAATACCAATGACATTCTTCACAGAAGTAGAAAAAGCAACCGTAAAACTTGTATGGAACAACAAAAGACCCTAAGTAGCCAAAGCAATCTTAAGTGAAAAGAAGAAAGCTAGAAATATTACACTACCTGACTTCAAAATATATTACAAAGCTAGAGTAACCCAAACAGCATGATACTGGCATAAAAAAACTGACACTTAGACCAATGAAACAGAATAGAGAGCTCAGAAACAAATTCATGCATTTTTCACCAAGTAGCCAACAACACACAATGGGGAATTACAGTCTCTTTAATAAATGATGTTGGGAAAACTGGATGTCCACATACAGAAGAATAAAATTAGACCCTTATTTCACATCATATTAAAAATCAGTTCAAAATGGATAAAGATTTAAATGTAAGATCCAAAACTATAAAACTACTAGAAGAAAACATAGGGAAAGCTCTATGACATTGGTTTAGGCAAAGAGTTTGTAAATATGACCCTAAAAGCACACATAACAAAAGCAAAAATAGGTAAATAGGATTACATCAAACTCAAAGGTTCTTCACAGCAAAGAGAATAATCAACAGAGTGAAGAAAACCTACAAGATGAGAGAAAATATTTGCAAACTATACACTTGACAAGACATTGATATTCAAGATATACAAGGAATGTAAACAATCCATTAGAGAGAAAATAAATAATCTGATTAAAAAATAGACAAAGGACCTGAGTAGACTTTTCTCAAAAGTAGGAATACAAATGGCCAATAAGTATATGAAAAAAGCTCAACACCATTAATCATCAGAGAAATGCAAATTAAAACCACAATGACATATAATCCTACACCAGTCAGAATGGCTATTATAAAAAGACGAAAGATAACAACGATTGATCAAAATGTGGAGAAAAGGCAACCCCTGGAAACTTTTGGTGTGGATATAAATTAGTGCAGCTTTTATAAAACTATTATGAAGCTTCCTCAAAAAATTAAAAATAGAACCACTATATATCAACTCCACTACTGGGTATATATCCAAGGAAATGAAATCAGCCTGCCAAAGATATATCTGCTCTTTCATGTTCATTGCAGTATTATTCACAATAGCTATCATATGATATCAACCTAAATGTCCATCAGTGGATGAATGGATAAAAAAATGTGATATATATATATATATATATATATATATATATATATATATATATATATATATATACACACACACACACACAATGGAATACCATTCAGCCATAAAAATCCTGAAAAGAATCCTGTCATTTGCAACCACATGAATGAACCTGGAGGACATTATTTTAAGTGAAATAAGCCAGTCAAAGAAAAATAAATACTGCATGGTCTCACTCATATGTGGAATCTAAAAAAGTTGATCTCATAGAAGGAGAGAGTAGAATGGTTAACAGGAGCAGGCATGGTTGTGGTGGGTGTAGATCAGAAAATGTTCTAATAATACACAATTTCAGTTAGATAGAAGGAATAAATTCAAAAGACATACTGCATAACACAAATACCATATAGAATTGTATTATTGTTGCATAATAAATATTCTTGAAAAATGCAAGAGAGTAGATGTTAAGTGTTCTCACCACAAAAATTATAACGATGTGAGGTAATGCATATGTTAATTAGCTGGATTTAGTCCACTATATATATTTTTCAAAACATCATATTTTACACAATAAATACATACAATTTATCTGTCAATTTAAAACTAAGAAATAAAATAAAATCAAAATACAAAACATTATTTGTATAATTTATTAATGAAAGTTATCTTTCTAAACATGAGAATTGGTTTGATTATAACATAATCAAAAGATGGGCGTCTGTTTTGTGTAAGACACTATAGCTAAAAATTCTATCTGCAGGAAAAATCCCAAAGAAATCTATTTCAAACTACCTATTTGAAAAAGTTCATAGGCTGCCATTTTATTTCAAAAGAAAATACTGATCCAAAAAATGGTTATGAGAAATATTTTGAAAGCAAGTTCACAATGCTGAAATAAGCACGTGCTTAGTCAACCTTTTCTAAATGTCTTCATGGAAGCATCACCCAAAATGAGAGAGGACCTCGTATGGTCTTTTCTTAGCACTATTAGCCCTCTATTTTCTTATGTGCTATAAATGCAATCAGATCTTAGATAAAGGAGAGCTGCAATCTAGATTTTCAAAGCAGATAAACAAACAAACTGGCAAACAACACACTAAGGGCACCCATTCCACCCTAAGTTACTACCTCTTTCCTCAGAAGCTTCCAAGTATGTAGCTAAACTAAGTTGCCAAATAGCAGAAATCAGTATATATTAAAATGTGCCCATTAAAATGACCCTTGCTCCAGTGACAGCACCATCAGGTACTCAACTCCTAGTTCCTATAGTAGTCACTTTACATGCATTATGCTATTTAATCCAAAATTGGCTCAGCCTGTTGCTATTTTTCTGGTTTCCTCGGCTACCAATTAGTAAATTCTGTCATTAGCTATGATGTTGCTAATAGAGAGCTTTTGATCCCATAGCACTGGTGTTAATCTCATATAACTTGACCTTTGCTCTCAAAGAACATAAAAATGAAGAAAATGCAGATATTGCAATGAGTGGTGTGATGGATTTTGATAAGAGATATTAAAGGAGAAGGGGGTTCGATATGCCATAGGAACGCATGGGTAAGTTGCATTTCACTCTTCAAGTTAGAAGAAGCTTTATAGAGGAAAAGTTGTGAGGAATGCCTGCTGTCCAAAAAATATATTTTCTGCTGCTGTCTGAAATGACAGCATCATTCAGTAGGCTGTTCACAGAAATGAGGCAGTGGTTTTAACCAGGGGATCTTCAATGAGACTCCTCTATCCTCTCACCCTCCTTAACTTTTTGTCTCCATACTTCTGACACTTGGCAGAAACCACTGTATACTTGCCACATCTCTAGCACCAGTAACAGTTCCATTTATACCAAGTATAATATAGTTTTCTCAGGATGATAAAACAATCAAATATGCTGGTTGTCAGGCCTCTGAGCCCAAGCCAAGCCATCGCATCCCCTGTAACTTGCACATATAAGCCCAGATGGCCTGAAGTAAGTGAAGAATCACAAAAGAAGTTAATATGCCCTGCCCCACCTTAACTGATGACATTCCACCATAAAAGAAGTGTAAATGGCCGGTCCTTGCCTTAAGTGATGACATTACCTTGTGAAAGTCCTTTTCCTAGCTCATCCTGGCTCAAAAACACCCCCACTGAGCACCTTGCAACCCCCACTCCTGCCTGCCAGAGAACAAACCCCCTTTGACTGTAATTTTCCTTTACCTACCCAAATCCTATAAAACGGCCCCACCCTTATCTCCCTTCTCTGACTCTCTTTTCAGACTCAGCCCGCCTGCACCCAGGTAAAATAAACAGCCATGTTACTCACACAAAGCCTATTTGGTGGTCTCTTCACACAGACGTGCATGAAATTTGGTGCCGTGACTCGGATCGGGGGACCTCCCTTGGGAGATCAATCCCCTGTACTCCTGTTCTTTGCTCTGTGAGAAAGATCCACCTATGACCTCAGGTCCTCAGACCGACCAGCCCAAAGAACATCTCACCAATTTTAAATCAGGTAAGTGGCCTCTTCTTACTCTCTTCTCCAACCTCTCTCACTGTCCCTCAACCACTTTCTCCTTTCCACTCTTCAATCTCTCCCTTCTCTTAATTTCAATTCCTTTCATTTTCTGGGAGAGACAAAGGAGACACGTTTTATCCGTGGACCCAAAACTCTGACGCCGGTCATGGACTGGGAAGGTAGCCTTCCCTTGGTGTTTGATCATTGCAGGGATGCCTCTCTGATTGTTCACCCACGTTTCAAGGGTGTCAGACCATGCAAGGACGCCTGCCTTTGTCCTTCACTCTTAGCAGCAAGTCCTGCTTTTCTGGGGAAGGGGCAAGTACCTCAACCCCTTCTCTCCTTGTCTCTACCCCTTCTCTGCTTTTCTGGGAGAGGGGCAATTACCCCTCAACCCCTTCTCCTTCACCCTTAGCGGCAAGTCCCGCTTTCCTAGGGGGCAAGAACCCCCCAATCGCTTATATCCACACCCCAACCTCTTATCTCTGTGCCCCAATCCCTCATTTCCGCACCCTGACCTCTTATCTCTGTGCCCCAATCCCTTATTTCTGTGCCCCAACCCCTTCTCTGCTTTTCTGGAGGGCAAGAACCCTCCACCCCTTCTCCATGTCTCTACTCTTTTCTCTGGGCTTGCCTCCTTCACTATGGGTAAGCTTCCACCTTCCATTCCTCCTTCTTCTCCCTTAGCCTGTGTTCTCAAAAACTTAAAACCTCTTCAACTCACACCTGACCTAAAACCCAAATGCCTTTTCTTCTGCAATGCCACTTGACCCCAATACAAACTCGACAGTAGTTCCACATAGCCAGAAAATGGCACTTTGAATTTTTCCATCCTGCAAAATCTAAATAATTCCTGTCGTAAAATAGGCAAACGGTCTGAGGTGCCTGACATCCAGGCATTCTTTTACACATTAGTCCCTTCCTAGTCTCTGTGCCCAGTGCAACTCGTCCCAAATCTTACTTCTTTCCCTCCCGCCTGTCCCCTCAGTACCAACCCCAAGCGTCGCTGAGTCTTTCTAATCTTCCTTTTCTGCAGACCCATCTGACCTCTCCCTTCCTCCCCAGGCTGCTCCTCGTCAGGCCGAGCTAGGTCCCAATTCTTCCTCAGCCTCCGCTCCTCCACCCTATAATCTTTTTATCACCTCCCCTCCTCACACCTGGTCCGGCTTACAGTTTCGTTCCGTGACTAGCCCTCCCCCACCTGCCCAGCAATTTACTCTTAAAAAGGTGGCTGGAGCCAAAGGCATAGTCAAGGTTAATGCTCCTTTTTCTTTATCCCAAATCAGATAGCGTTTAGGCTCTTTTTCATCAAATATAAAAACCCAGCCCAGTTCATGACTTGTTTGGCAGCAACCCTGAGACACTTTACCGTCCTAGACCCTAAAAAGTCAAAAGGCCATCTTATTCTCAATATACATTTTATTACCCAATCTGCTACCGACATTAAATAAAACTCCAAAAATTAAATTCCGGCCCTCAAACCCCACAACAGGATTTAATTAACCTCACCTTCAACGTGTACAATAATAGAAAAAAGTTGCAATTCCTTGCCTCCACTGTGAGACAAACCCCAGCCACATCTCCAGCACATGAGAACTTCCAAACGCCTGAACCGCAGTGGCCAGGCATTCCTCCAGAACCTCCTCCCACAGGAGCTTGCTACACTTGCCAGAAATCTGGCCACTGGGCCAAGGAATGCCCGCTGCCCGGGATTCCTCCTAAGCCGCGTCCCATCTGTGTGGGACCCCACTGAAAATCGGACTGTTCAACTCACCTGGCAGCGACTCCCAGAGCCCCTGGAACTCTGGCCCAAGGCTCTCTGACTGACTCCTTCCCAGATCTTCTCGGCTCAGCAGCTGAAGACTGACACTGCCCAATCGCCTCAGAAGCCCCCTGGTCCATCACGGACGCTGAGCTTCAGGTAACTCTCACAGTGGAAGGTAAGCCCATCCCCTTCTTAATCAATACGGAGGCTACCTACTCCACATTACCTTCTTTTCAAGGGCCTGTTTCCCTTGCCTCCATAAAACTGTTGTGGGTATTGACGGCCAGGCTTCTAAACCTCTTAAAACTCCCCAACTCTGGTGCCAACTTAGACAATACTCTTTTAAGCACTTCTTTTTAGTTATCCCCACCTGCCCAGTTCCCTTATTAGGCTGAGACACTTTAACTAAATTATCTGCTTCCCTGACTATTCCTGGACTACAGCTGTATCTCATTGCCGCCCTTCTTCCCAATCCAAAGCCTCCTTTGCATCCTCCTCTTGTATCCCCCACCTTAACCCACAAGTATAAGATACCTCTACTCCCTCCTTGGCAACCGATCATGCACCCCTTACCATCTCATTAAAACCTCATCACCCTTACCCCACTCAATGCCAATATCCCATCCCACAGCACGCTTTAAAAAGATTAAAGCCTGTTATCACTCGCCTGCTACAGCATGGCCTTTTAAAGCCTATAAACTCTCCTTACAATTCCCCCATTTTACCTGTCCTAAAACCAGATAAGCCTTACAAGTTAGTTCAGGATCTGCACCTTATCAACCAAATTGTTTTGCCTATCCACCCGTAGTGCCAAACCCATATACTCTCCTATCCTCAATACCTGCCTCTACAACCCATTATTCTGTTCTAGATCTCAAACATGCTTTCTTTACTATTCCTTTGCACCTTTAATCCCAGCCTCTCTTCGCTTTCACTTGGACTGACCCTGACACCCATCAAGCTCAGCAAATTACCTAGGCTGTACTGCCGCAAAGCTTCACAGACAGCCCCCATTACTTCAATCAAGCCCAAATTTCTTCCTCATCTGTTACCTATCTCGGCATAATTCTCATAAAAACACACTGCTCTCCCTGCCAATCATATCTGACTGATCTCTCAAACCCCAACCCCTTCTACAAAACAACAACTCCTTTCCTTCCTGGGCATGGTTGGATACTTTCGCTTTTGGATACCTGGTTTTGCCATCCTAACAAAACCATTATATAAGCTCACAAAAGGAAACCTAGCTGACCCCATAGATCCTAAATCCTTTCCCCACTCCTCTTTCCATTCCTTGAAGACAGCTTTAGAAACTGCCCCCACTCTAGCTCTCCCTGACTCATCCCAACCCTTTTCATTACACACAGCCGAAGTGCAGGGCTGTGCAGTCGGAATTCTTACATAAGGACCAGGATCGCGTCCTGTAGCCTTTTTGTCCAAACAACTTGACCTTACTGTTTTAGGCTGGCCATCATGTCTCCATGCAGCTGCTGCTATTGCCCTAATACTTTTAGAGGCCCTCAAAATCACAAACTATGCTCAACTCACTCTCTACAGTTCTCATAACTTCCAAAATCTATTTTCTTCCTCATACCTGATGCATATACTTTCTGCTTGCCGGCTCCTTCAGCTATATTCACTCTTTGTTGAGTCTCCCACAATTACCGTTGTTCCTGGCCCAGACTTCAATCCGGCCTCCCACATTATTCCTGATACCACACCTGACCCCCATGACTGTATCTCTCTGATCCACCTGACATTCACCCCATTTCCCCAAATTTCCTTCTTTCCTGTTCCTCACCCTGATCAAGCTTGATTTATTGATGGTGGTTCCACCAGGCCTAATTGCCACACACCAGCAAAGGCAGGTTATGCTATAGTACAAGCCACTAGCCCGCCTCTTAGAACTTCTCATTTCATTTCCATTGTGGAAATCTATCCTCAAGGAAATAACTTCTCAGTGTTCCATCTGCTATTCTACTACTCCTCAGGGATTATTCAGGCCCCCTCCCTTCCCTACACATCAAGCTCGAGGATTTGCCCCACCCAGGACTGGCAAATTAGCTTTACTCAACATGCCCTGAGTCAGATAACTAAAATACCTCTTAGTCTAGGTAGATACTTTCACTGGATAGGTAGAGTCCTTTCCTACAGGGTCTGAGAAGGCCACCGCAGTCATTTCTTCCCTTCTGTCAGACATAATTCCTCAGTTTAGCCTTCCCACCTCAATACAATCTGATAACAGATGAGCCTTTATTAGTCAAATCAGCCAAGCAGTTTTTCAGGCTCTTAGTATTCAGTGAAACCTTTATATCCCTTACGGTCCTCCATCTTCAAGAAAAGTAGAATCGACTAAAGGTCTTTTAAAAACACACCTCACCAAGCTCAGCCACCAACTTAAAAAGAACTGGACAATACTTTTACCACTTTCCCTTCTCAGAATTCAGGCCTGTCCTCGGAATGCTACAGGGTATAGCCCAAGCCATCACAGCTAATATCTCCTGGTGCTATCCCCAAACTGCCACTCTTAACTCTTGAAGTAAATAAATAATCTTTGCTGGCAGGACTATGCTGAATCTCCTTAGGCACTCTCTAATCAGATATCCTGAGTCATCCCAATTCTTAGACCTTTTATACCTGTTTTTCTCCTTCTGTTATTCCATTTGGTTTCTCAATTCATCCAAAACCATATCCAGGCCATCACCAATCATTCTATATGACAAATGTTTCTTCTAACATCCCCACAATATCACCCCTTACCACAAGACCTCCCTGCAGCTTAATCTCTCCCACTCTAGGTTCCCACGCCGCCCCTAATCCCGCTTGAAGCAGCCCTGAGAAACCTCACCCATTCTCTCTCCATATCACCCCCCAAAAATTTTCGCCACCCCAACACTTTGACACTATTTTGTTTTATTTTTCTTATTAATATAAGAAGGCAGGAATGTCAGGCCTCTGAGCCCAAGCCAAGCCATCACATCCCCTGTGACTTGCACATATAAGCCCAGATGGCCTGAAGTAAGTGAAGAATCACAAAAGAAGTGAATATGCCCTGCCCCATCTTAACTGATGACATTCCACCACAAAAGAAGTATAAATGGCCGGTCCTTGCCTTAAGTGATGACATTACCTTGTGAAAGTCCTTTTCCCATCTCATCCTGGCTCAAAAAGCACCCCCCACTGAGCACCTTGCGACCCCCCCACTCCTGCCTGCCAGATAACAAACCCCCTTTGGCTGTAATTTTCCTTTACCTACCCAAATCCTATAAAACAGCCCCACCCTTATCTCCCTCCTCTGACTCTCTTTTCGGACTCAGCCCGCCTGCACCCAGGTGAAATAAACATCCACGTTGCTCACACAAAGCCTGTTTGGTGGTCTCTTCACACGGACGCGCATGAAACTGGTCATAACTGGGGACCCCCCTCTTAAGCTACCGTTTAGAAGATTTGGGGTCACTCCATTATGGAGTCATCACTTTTAGAATCCAATTTCTCCTTTGGACATCTATTTTTAAGAAGAAGAAAGTTGTTTGAGAAGGGCAGAAGGGCTTCAGCCATTCTTTTCTCCTCTATCTCCACTCCCTCCTCCCTCCTCCCTGCATCCCACCCCACCCTATTTTTTTTTTTTTTTTTTGCTCAGGCAGAGGGTAATTTGTATAGTAGCTAAAATAAAAGCAGTTTAACAGATGAAATCCACTCAAAGCCTGTGGACATCATTGAGGAGCTAATGAAATTTCTGTGCCTGGAACAGATTATTAGGCAACAGTTGAGATTGGAAAAAGATTAAGCTACTGAATTGCTGGCAGAACCAAAGGAAGGAGTCTAAAGTCAGCATTCATCATGCCCCATAGAAGATGAACAATTCGGGAAATAGAATTGGGTGATTTGTTCTGAGCTCTTAAGCTATTGTACCCTGTCTTTTTCCAACCTAGATGGGTGGACATTTTCTTTTTCCAAGTTCAGTCACTCCCGCTGCTCAGAAACTCCTGATAGCTCCCCAGTGCCATGCACACATAGCCTAGCATTCTAGGACCTCCAGGACCCTCTCTGTAATCCCCTCCCACAGTATATCTCATTGATTTCCTACATAAATTATCTTTTGAGGCACAGCTGGTGGATTTTGCACAGAGTAGATATTTACTATGTTTTACTCCTTGATCTCTGTTTCCACATCTTTGTTTACACGATTGCCCCATCTGGAAACAAACCCCCCACCCTTTATGTTTAACTGCAAAATAAATAGTAAAATTGGGACTTTTCCTTAATTATAATAGATGAAATTGCATAAATGCTTGCTTATGTGCTGTACTGCACATGCTTGTGTTGATACCCAGATGAATAAGAAATGTCTTCTGTTCACAAGAAAAATGGAGTCTTAAGAGAACAATGAGAAAATCAGAAAAGAAGTCATTTTCCAACTAACTCTTACGGTGTTCCAATAGCAGCTTCTATATATCGAGCACTTGCTAGGTGTCAGGCATTGTACTAAATGCTTATCAGAGACTACTACTTTTATTGATCACAAATATGTTGTGAGTTACAGTCTGTAACTTATCCCCACTTTACAGATGGGGCTCAGAAAAATTAAGTAATTGATCTAGTGTCATTAAATAGCTAAGCAGAGAAACAAAATAGAGTCTCTCTAACACCAAAGTATGCATTATTTCCACTATGTCATATTGAAGACTAATTCAGCTTTAGTGTACAGAATAAACACTAGAAAAGGATTATATAGTTAAATAATCCTGTAGTATTCTATGCAAGAGTTCATGAGAATATGAATAAGGGGGTGGCAATTAGAATGAGAGAAAGTGACTAAAATGCTAACATGGCCCATTTAAGGATGACCCTGTGCTTGAGTGCAGGGTACGGAAAGAAAGAGAGAGAGAGAGAGAGAGAGAGAGAGAGAGAGAGAAAGATGTCAGAGATGATGCTAAGACTCAACCCCAATTAATAGAATATATGCAAAGAGAATTAAAAAAATACTCTTTGGAAGTAATGATTTCCCTGTAACAGAAGCCCACTGGCCCAAACATTCCTCTAGGTAAAAGTCCTACTGAGTCACCAAAAGAGCAGTGATACTCACAAGAGTCTTTAATTCTCCAAGCTAATGATCACCATTGCATTGTTGTTTGTCACATGTCAGGAACCCCCAGTCTCTTATTCCCACGTGCTTTCTGCTCCTTGTCTAAGGCAGAGGTAGGAAAGGATTACAAGACTTTGACAGGGAATGGTTCCTTCTCCTTCAATTCCACCCTCAGTGGGGTAAAGTCAATTGGTCTGCACTTGATTTTTTATTTAACTTGTTTGTGCAGTAAAATGCTTTGGATGCAGATTAACTTTCCCCGTTCAATACTGCCTAATTGATTCACCTACCTTGAAGCAGAAGCTTGCAAGGCCTTTGATAAATAGGTTGAACGACTTCTTTTACTTCATAACTGCCTCTATGGCAATCACTCAACTATATCAGAGAATCCTATATATTCTCCAGTGATAAAAACATCAAGAGGTGGGGTCAGGAGAGACAAAGATCTTTCTTTTCTACTAGCAGCACACTCACTTTTTTGGGTGCCACTATCCATTTGTTCTGCTAAAACAAAATATCTGACATTGGGTAATTTATAAACAACAAAAGTTTACGTTTCACAGTTCTGCAGATTAATAGTCTATGATCAAGGTGCTGGCAGATTTGGTGTCTGGTGAAACCCCACGCTATGCTTCCAAGAGGGTACGTTGTTGCTGCATCCTCCGGAGGGGATGAAAGTTGTGTCCTCATGTGGCAAAAGAGAAAAAAGGGCAAGAAAGTGCTCCCTTCAACCTCAAGCCCTTTTATGGAGTGCTAATCCCATTTATAAGGATGGAGTTCTCATGACTCAATGATCTCCCCAAAGCAACACAATTTAATATTGTTACATTGGGGATTAATTTTCAACTTGAGTTTAGAGGCGACATCATCATTCAAACCATAACATTGGGTGATTATAAAGGTATAGGACAATGAATCCAGAGACAGTGCAGGGGATCACTATGTGTACAGCATAGTATGGACCAGAAATTTTTTATAAAAACACTCACCATCTTGATTATCAAGAAAATCTTATGTGATAGATATTGCAATTCAAACTTTGGGGATATGGAAACCGATGCACAGAGAAGTTAAGTAACTTGCCCAAGGTAGCACAGTGAGGAAATGGTAGAGCTAAATTTCTAACCTGTATTTCTCTAACATTAATTCTCTCCATGCTCTTAGCATACTGCTTCTCTCCTTGTCAGCAGAGTCCCAGTACATTTTCTCTTTAAAAAATGAAATTCAACAGTTGTTAAATCAGAGATCTAAAACAGAAAGCAATGTCAAAAACAAATTGTGACAGAACTGAGTCTTAGCAACCAAACTCAACTGCTCCTTCCATGGTAGGAAATAGCATCAGCCTAAAGAGGGAGGGGGCCTCCCTCCAGCAGTATGTGACAAAGGTGGCACTGAAGTGTAGGATGTGGAATGGAAGGGGCCTTTGATCAATGAACAAAGCAGTTGCTTCCACAAGAAAGGATACTGGAACAATCAGCCCCTACCCCTGGCCCCAGGATAAGGCAGCAGCCTGAGGGCCTGTCTCCAGTACAAAGCAAACACCAGGTTTCCTCTCCAAACCTGACTGTGTTTTTCCTATTTGATCGCCAAATGGATGTACCTCCTGCAAAGAGAAAAGGCATCTTATAAACTTTGCTCACAGTTGTTCTTATGGCTGCCCGTGATCAGACCCATCTCCTGTCTTTTCCTGCTGTGTTTTTCCAAGGTTATATGTGTACTCAAACAGACACATTATACTCCCCTAGCCCACAGGTTATTATACATATAAGAGATAGTGCTTATTAAGAAAGTTGCATACATTTCTGCTATTTACCAGTACTCATCGACTGACTGCACTCATCAGGTGATGCACTATTGTGAGCAATATAAAACAAGACTTTTACCTGTGAGGAGTTCACAGACTACTGAGAAAAAGAGATGTAATAACATTGTAGCAGTGCAATATATAATATGGGAGGTCAAGGTGATGTTTTGGATAATTGAAAGAAGTGTAGTCCACAATGAGGGGTAGAATTAGAATGAAAACATAACTTTTATAACAGCAATATTATAATGCACCCTATTCTTGCTAGACATTGCTTTTGAACACAGTATGATTATTGGCAGTAGAGCAGTGAACAAGTCGGACTACACTACTGCTCTAGTGGGAAGAAGACACACAGTAGACAAGTATTCAAATACATAAGATAATGTCAAATAGGAATTTGGGCTATGAGGAGAATAAAACAGGGTTATGTGAGGTCGAGATGCTCAGGAGCATGAGCAGAATTGAATGCTGTGGTCAGAGAAAACCATCTAAAGAATTAGTATTTGCATGAAGAAGTCAGTGTACAGTTAAATGTTACATAGTAAAAGTCATGAGAAAATACCTTGGGCCAAAATATCTCCAATGATGATATCTAAAATCTCGCTATTGTTTAGTGACAGCTAGGAAAATGCAATTTTCAGATCTCCCACTGCAGGACTCATAGCTCCCTGATGTCCCTAGCTGCTACTGCCTCACGGATCCACCAAAACTACACCAAAACTACATTGGCTGATCCTAGCCAATGGCTGAGCACATTAGGGGTATTAAAGCAGACCCACTCTAGTGAGATAAGGAACTAGTAGAATACACTCAGTGGGCTCAAGGTCTGCCCATTGGCCTAGCTGACACTTTCTTGGAACTGTGAGGCAGTCTGAAATTCCTTCTACTCCAGTTTTCCTTCCTTCCTCTCTTCTTCCACAGGTTTCCAACCTGCATCATGGTCTGAAGGCTCTCTTTTCTCCTGTTTGTAATGCCAATCAATTCCGTATATATCTTAGTCTTTCTTGGCTGTTGCTTCTCAGTGGACCCAAATGAACACAACTATGAGCAGGAGTTACTCAGTGGGGATCCTGCCTTGGGAGGACCAAACTTGAAAAAGATAAAACGAGTGTTAAAGATGACAGAGTTCCTAAAATTAGAGTCAGTGAAATATGCACAAGTGAATACTAATACATATTGAGATGAAAAGAATGAAAATACTAGAAGAGAAGAATGACTGTGGTGTCAAGAGCCTAAGCAATAAAATTCAGCCAAACAGCCCATAGTTAGGAACTAGGCAGAGGCTTGGGGTTCACAACAGGGTCTAAAGCTCAGAATTCAGTGGAAGACTCAGGCTCTAAACATTGGCTTTATTACAGGCAACTTCCCTAAATAATTAGAAGTGTTACTCTTCATATGTTGCTTAAACACATGGTAACTGGAATACAATTTTGCCTAATATTTTTACACTCTCATCTCCAGCATGAGATTCTCCTACAATCTCTTTTAGTCTTATGTCCTTATTTTTCAATAAGTGAACTCAGTAATATAATAGATTCATTTTAGTTTTTCCTTCAATTGACTCATAGGGTTTAGGCAACTGTAATATTTGCTTGACAGGTTAATGTTCACTACAATGCAAGACCTAAAAGATACCCTGGATACTGATAGGTTGAGCATCACTAAAATGTAGACAACTATTAGAATTTAAAGGTAGAAGTCCTGTAGCATAATAAAGTCTTCAAGGTAAAAACAAACAAGCAAACAAACAAAACAGCAACAAAATGCCAAGATTGCATTAACAAGCCTTCTTCACTAATACCTCTGGTTTTCTTTGGATATAGGTTATTTTGGTAATGGTGCTGAGGTAAGAGGGCAGAAAGAGGGAGCTTCATGATGGCATGGCCATAATGGGATGAAAAAAATGCCCTAATATTCTGACAAACAGATTAGTTTTGTCTTTTCTGAATGATCTTCAAGGGAACACAAGTACAATAGGGGTAGTTCTAGGTTCTGGTACCAGTAACATGATAATGAGGACAGAACAAAACTGAGGACATAATAAAGACTTGCCAAGCAGGCAAAGTTTTATCTGGTGAGTCTATTGAAAGGATATAGGCAGATAATGAAATTCTGAGTTCAGTTAAGAAATAATGCAGAGGCCGGGCGCAGTGGCTCACGCCTGTAATCCCAGCACTTTGGGAAGCTGAGGTGGGTGGATCACCTGAAGTCGGGAGTTCAAGACCATCCTGACCAACATGGAGAAACCCTGTCTCTACTAAAACTACAAAATTAGCCGGGCATGGTGGCACACACCTGTAATCCCAGCTACTTGGGAGGCTGAGGCAGGAGAATCACTTGAACCCGGGAGGCGAAGGTTGTGGTGAGCCGAGATTGAGCCATTGCACTCCACTCCAGCCTGGGCAACAAGAGCAAAACTCCATCTCAAAAAAAACAAAAAACAAAAAACAAAAAAAAAAACAAGAAAGAAATAATGCAGAGATCCAAACAGCCAGTTTACATTGGGGATGCGGTCCAAAATCCCTAGAAGTATATATGATCATGAAGCTGTAGGATCAATAATGAGATTCTTATTTTCTGATTCAGGTTTTAAAATGTTCTAGTATATGATGTATTATAGAGAACTTGTAAATACAGTTGCAATCTCAATCATATTAGGTTACGCAAGTGTAGTTAAAGAAGAAAACGAAAGCTAATATAAATTAGAAAATGAAAGAGAAAAGAGATAAGGAACCAACAAGGGATTAAAAGGGATAAAAATGACATGCACATATGAAAATTAACAGATAACAAGTGATTGAGAAATATGTATGGCTAAAGAGACTCAAAATTCCAAGTAAAGTATAAGGCAACAGGACACCAAAGGACAAGGCATAATTTATGCAGTATCTCTAAAGTGCAAGCAGAGTCCATAACATTGAAGCTCATTCCAGTGATAATGGAGGCTTGGGTGAACAGAGGAGGTATAAGTGTGACTGCTAACTCTTGTCATATAAAAACCTGTGATAGGAGAAGTGTTTTCTACCTGAAGCAAAACTTTGTGACACCATTGCTAATAGCATTCTCACCACCCTGCCCATAGGAGATGTTAATTGGATACCTGGTCACACTCATAATATCATCTGACTGCCTTACAAATTAATTACAACCATTGTCCCAGATCCAAGACTGCAACTGGTCAGTGTCTCACATCCAAGAATGTAAGATGTCAACCCTGAAGTAAAATAAAGGTGAGGAGTAAAAGTTAAATTGAACATGCAAACAGAACCCTATTAACTGAACAAGAAAGAAAGGCTTTTCACAGAAAAGAGGCAGTGTGGTTGGAGCTTGTAGAGTTGAGAGAAAGGGACTAATAGCAATTGGACGGCTAAAGCTAGAATTGTCTCCCACCTCATTTTCTAGCTTCCAGTGGGTTAGATCATTTTTATTTGTAGAATTCTCTTTCCCACTGGAAATCATTTACTGGGAATGCCGCTCTTGATGGGGCTAATTATAGATCTCTGGGAGCTTTTAAAAATCTCTTTCTGGGCTGGGCACGGTGGCTCACATGTGTAATCCAAGCACTTTGGGAGGGCGAAGCAGGACCATCACGAAGTCAGGAGTTCGAGACCAGCCTGGCCAACATGGTAAAACCTCGTCTCTACTAAAAGTACAAAAATTAGCCAGGCATGGTGGCATGCGCCTGTAAGCCAGCTACTCAGGAGGCTGAGGCAGGAGAATCTCTTGAACCCAGGAGGGGGAGGCTGCAGTCAGCTGAGATCGTGCCAATGCACTCCAGCCTTGGTGACAGAGCAAGACTCTGTCTCAAAACAAAAACAAAAACAAACAAACAAAAAATCTCTTTCTGATAGAAATACTGACGAGACTAAGAATTTCTCCTCAATCTCATATGGCTAGTTTTTTTGTTTTTTTTTTCTTGATGACTTCTTTGAGGCTTTGTCCTTTTCTTTTAGCTCCCAAAGACCCTCCCCAAAGCATTGGCTTCTCTGAAAGACCCTTAACCAGTTCAAACTCCTTTCATTATGACAGAAGCTTTGTTTGTCTCTAACTATGGTACCTTATAGCATACTGGTGCGCTGCAAGTCCATCCCAGGTCAGTCACCAGGTATTGACGTCTAATTCCTTTGGCCACAACTCCTAAGACATGTCATAAAGTGATGCTTGTCTGAGGGACCACTGAGCTGAGAGTCATGCGTGATGCTGACCTCGTGTTGCCAGTAAGAGGGAAGAGATGCTTAAAACATCAGATGAGCGAAAAGAACAGTCGGGCATTTACGAAGACATTTGAGTAGTTAGTCTCATGAGATTTTAAGAACATTCTCTAGAGCAGTAAACAGTTCTCAAATAGCAAAGAAATGCCAAAGGATGACCAAGTGAATGGTGTAATAACTGTGGATGTTTTTACAGACTCTGTGAGGCATTGTTATACCATGGTAGTGATTATGTTGTAATTGCTACTGGCTTGTTTAGTATTGTTTTGAGTCTTTTTGTACCTTCCAAAAAAACGACAGGAATTCTATTATTTGAATGTGTGCTGCAAATCAGAAATGTTTCTCATCATTGCTATATGGATTTGGCCAGAGTTGCCTGTTCACTATGACTGTCATTCATGAAGCCAGAGGGTGTGCCAATGCCTGAGTGCCTGTGAATGCCTTTTTCTGACCAGGAAAACAGGTAAAGCTAAGCTTATTACCATTGACTGTGGACTAACGGCTTTGTAGACTAGAGGCTGTAATAAATTATTTACATAAATTAAGAACTGAAAATAATTCTGAGAATATGTTCCAACTCAGTGGGAAATAGACATGGGACCACGTGGTAGACACTACTTCGGTGACAAGATAGGGAATGGTGGCACTTTTGCTGTGTGCTTACCATTAACTAAATATTGCTAAGAAAACTCTCATTTCATCCCACAAACTTACATAGCCAAGTGGTCATCACATTAGATTATTTTATTCATAGTGTCATCACAAGAAAGTGGAGCTTTTACTCTACCTCATTCGGTAGCATGGCCTCCCCTCAGTCTGGTTTCCAGACAACAGTTCAGCACAAATTTTTGGTTCTCACCAGACTTACCTCTTTCACATTGACAATACCATCTTCCACATACTCCAGACACCATGCAAAGATATTACATAAATCATCCCAAATCCTCAAATCAGTTTCATTATAGGGGTATTATTTTATATCATGATTTTAGATAATAGTAAGTGGGGAACCTGAGACACAGTGAGGTTATGTTTATATGCCAAAAATCACTTGGCTGAAAAGTAGCAAAACCTGAATTTGAACTCAGAATAGTATGTTCTGAAGCCTATATTTTTTCCTTTTCACTATCTCTCCTCCTTGAGATCTCATTTTCAGAAAGACACTAGGTTTGTTTTCACATTTTGATTCCATGTTTTGATTTCATTTGCATTCTCAAATATTTTACTAAGGAATTAAGGGTAATCGTTCCCAAGAATTACTACAGAATTAATACAAACATTCTCCAGGTCTGGGAGATAGAAGAGGCTGGAGTGATTGAGTAAGGCCCCTAGTCTAAAGGGACCAGGGAACTGAGCATTTTATTAAGTTTCTCTGTACATATGAGGGCATAAGGCAGAGGCTGGGTTATTGGAATTAGCATAAGAGTTAGGTTCAGTCAGTTGCAAGAAATAAGTCTAGGTAAAATAATTGGTCCACATATTTGGACAAATAATATCATGGATGACACAGAGTTAAGTAAGTATATTAACTATGACAGGGATACGTCCTAGGTATGTGTGTAATGTTAGAAAAACAGTAGGGTGAACTGGTGTCTGTGTTTGATTCTTCAGTCCTGTGAAAACATGCTAGACAAGCATGTATGATATTTTGTGTAAAACATTTTGCAAACCTCCAGGAAAAAAAAAGGGGGATGATAGGGACCTATACCAAGGTTTGTTTTCTTAGAAGAAGAAAAATATGGGGACAGGCGCTGTGGCTCATACCTGTAATCCCAACACTTTGGGAGGTCGAGGTGGGTGGATCATGAGGCCAGGAGATCGAAACCATCCTGGCTAACACGGTGAAACCCCATCTCTACTAAAAATACAAAAAAATTAGCCGGGTGTGGTGGTGGGCACCTGTAGTCCCAGCTACTCAGGAGGCTGAGGCAGGAGAATGGCATGAACCCAGGAGGCGGAGCTTGCAGTGAGCCGAGATGGTGCCACTGCACTCCAGGCTGGGCAACAGAGCAAGACACTGTCTCAGAAAAAAAAAAAGAAAAGAAAAGAAAAGAAAAATATGGGAGAAGAAGAGATGCTGAGAAAGGGGGATTCAAACAGAAGCATTGTGACAATTGAATCACTGCAAAAGTGGGAAGGCCAGACTTGACCTCAGGGGGAGTCTCTGAAGCTTTTCCAAATCCATTCCTTTCTCTAGTCATCAAGTGATGGAGGTTTGTTGAACATGACACCTGGCTGCTCTGCATTATGGATTTGAATGAAGAGACAAAAGATAGAGCTAATTGTTTCTCATGCATATGAGTTTAATTTGGTGCACTTTTAATTAGTGCTCTTATGGGACTGAGAATCAGTTACTTCTGCACAGGCCGCTCCTGACAGCAGGTGGCTGTGTAGAGGAACTGGATTATTATAGAAGCCACGAAGGTCATGTTAGCATCAACGTAAGAGTTACACAGGATATAGTGGGAAATGTCAGTCCTGATGGCAATGATGACCTGTTCAAGATCAAAAGCACTCAGCGGGATGTGATACATCGAATTTTGCCATCATGTAGAAGGCAGCTAGGTTCAGAGCTGGTAGAAGAGGTTCACAAATAAAATTATTCCTGAGAAAGAAAGGGACTCACATTTATTGAGTAAGGTTTATGTGGCATAGGAGCATAGACTATGGCTTTCAGCCATAGTCTAAAACCTCCATGATTTTATTTTTAAGACTCACCATGATATCTCTTGATTCACACACATTTCCAAATGTGGAAATTCAGTTTGAGTGGTGCTAAGTGACTTCCTCAACTTTACAAAGCTAGTAAGTACTAGCATCAGGTATGAAACTCAATTCCATCCCACTTCCAGGTTTAATTTCCTGTCTTCCCAGTTCCCAAGCTCTAACACATTCTATCATTTCTGGCTACTATAGTAATAATAAAAATATTCACCTCTAGAGATAAAATGTAAAGAATGAGCTTGCTATGTAAATTACCAATTTATTGTACTTGCAGATATTAATTAGTTTTGTAATAATTGTTTCTATTTTTGCATCAGATTTCGGATTTAATCTATCAAATACTTACACAGCACCCTCTTGCACAAGGCTATCTAGAGGATACAGCAAGAAATCCACTGGTAAATTAGAAAAGGTATTTCTCTAGAAGCTAACAACCTATAATATGTGTTATATTAATGGATTTGTGGAGCACCTGTAGGCAACACCTTGTCAAACCCTTTATCCCAAAATTTAAATGTTTTCCCCAATATAAACTAATATGTAGAAAATAAAATAAGTATAATTAGTATAAAATAAGTCAAGCAGTCTAGAAAAAGCATTAAATATAAGTTGGCCATTATGACTCTCAAATATCCTATGGAAGCAATGCTCATGGAAGAAATTTGGTGGCTATTAAAAATTTTATCAGATTGTGCTCATTCACTTAAAAAAAAGTAGCTGTTTTTCCAGCATGTTCAGAATCCCAAGGTGCTAACTTTCACACCTCAGTCAAGTAGGAAGGTGTTCTTAATGGCAGATCTGTCTCCACATCCCTTTCCGTGGCTTGAGTGTTTTCCCACAAGGAAGAATAATTCAACCTGAATGATTCTTCTCTTTCTCTTAAAAACAACAGGGAATCCTGATAAACTCCTTCTCTTCATCATCGTGTCTGAACTGCTACAATAGCTCCCCAATCTTGACTCCCTGTTTTTATCCTTGGTTCCTTTTAAGCTAATCTCCTTACCGATGACCAACTAATATATACGTATTTTATTTTAAGACTAAGCAGATACAAAAAAACACAAAATAAATGTAGAGGTTAATGGATCATTATAAAGCAAACATGTCTGAAACCATTAGCAAAGACAACAATAGAACTTTGCCATCCACTTGAGAAGCCCCTATATGTGTTTGGCTGTTTCTAGTTCAAATATCTCCCTTCACCAAAAGCAACCACTATCCTAACTTTTATGGTAATCCTTTCTTTATGTGTGTTTAAAAAATTGTCTTGTCACCAGACTTCAGTGATTATTCCTGCTAATATTTTAACTTAACTTTATTAAACTCTTTTAATCTATAAAGACTATAATCGCCTTACTTTTTTCTTTCTTACAATTTGTCTGTTGAATAGCCCAGAGCACTTGACTTGCAGAGTTTCCCACAGTCTGGCTTTTGTTCATTACATGGACATGGTGTAGGTCAACACATTCCTTTGTCCTGCAAATTGGCAGCTGGATCCAGAGTCCTGATCACACTCATGTTGAATCCCTTTGGCAAGACTAGAGGTGGTGCTGTGTGCTTTCATCTGTTTTCTTGCCTTTTTTTTTTTTTTTTGAGATGTTCTCTGTTGTTGCAGCTCAATGCATGAATCCATTAATTAATTTACCTGACAAATATTTATATTAAAATTATTTTATTTCTGTCTTCATTTAAAAGTTGGAGTGCTTTTATAAAGAAATGTTTCCCTTATTTACTGTTTGATTAGCCAGTGGCCCAGTTCATATGGAAAAGGCAGACTTGACGTTTGAATTGTTTCTCCTTAATTACCAGATTTTTAGGTAAACATTTGGTTCTCTCTTATCCTTTGAATGTGAGCAATTCGTTTTTGCTGCTATTTCATTTTATTTTAAATATCATCACAAACTCGTGGACTTAAATATATTTAATAGGTTTCAATTAATTGCAATTACTATTCCTTTTGAAACTACTTGTCTTATCTTTGGGCAGCGAGAGCCTCCTAACGAATGCCTCTTGGACCTGTTTGACATAACTTTAGTTGTCTTGATTGCTTCCCCAATATCTGGAATGACGAGATGTTCTAGGACCATCTTGAATATCTCCAAACCTGATAGTAGCCATTTCTACAAGAAGTTCTGCTGTCTTTTTTCTTTAAGTGAAAAATAATACTTCAAGGCCCCAATCTGTACACTACCTGCGCTCATCATTACGGCTGTAGTTATTGCTAATTACTCTTCTTTAAACAGTACAAAAAGAAAAAAACTCTTTCTCTCTCTCTCTCTCTCTCTCTCTCTCTCTATATATATATATATATATATATATATATATATATATATATACAGAACAAAAAGAAAAACTCTCTCCCTCTCTATAAATATATATATAAATATAACAAATATAGGGGAAATATATATAGGGGAAACAAATGTAGGGGAAAAGCATTATAGCGACACTTTCAATTCGAACTTAAAACAACAGAGCCATTATTTGTTTGTTTCTTTTTTTTAAAAAAAGCTTGACTTCTGACATATAATATCTGCATCATCCTTTTTTTGCAAAGAAAGAATCTTGGTTCTTGAGGATGTATGGGATAATATAATTAAAATAGTTCATATGCTTTCATTGACTTTATTCCACATTGTCTGCACAGTATTTTTAGAATAACAATATTAATACTACCACCACTCAGAGCAATTAAAAAAAAAAAGCTTACTTGCCCCTCCTCTCCCTTCTGTCATTTTTTTTTTTTTTTTTAATTTTAGACAGAGTCTCGCTCTGTCGCCCAGGCTGGAGAGCACTGGCGGGATCTTGGCTCATTGCAAGCTCTGCCTCCCGGGTTCATGCCATTCTCCTGCCTCAACCTCCCGAGTAGATGGGGCTACAGGTGCCCGCCACCACGCCCAGCTAATTTTTTTGTATTTTTAGTAGAGATGGGGTTTCACTGTGTTAACCAGGATGGTCTTGATCTCCTCCTCTCAATTTTTATTTATATACTCTCACTCTCTGAGCATAGCTCTTACACAATATATTCCCTTATATTAAACCTTATATAATTTTACTTCTACAAGTACTATATATTTTATGCTATTTACTAGTTCTTATTTCAAGGTTTTTAGTGGGGTTTTTTTTTGGTTGAAAGAAGTTGATTCTTTAGCAGGTTCCTTATGAAGAGATTGTTAGAACAACATTCCTTTAGTTTTTGTAGGTTGATAATAATTCGTTCTCTTTATAATTGAGCATCTATCTTGCTGGATAACAATTCTTAGCTCCCTTTTTCTGTGTTTAAGTATTAAATATATTACTCCATTTTCTTCTGACATAAGGAATTGCTGCCGAAAAGTTTGATGATGATTTTTCTTTCCCTTATAAATCACTTGATCTCTTTACTTAGATGCTCAAAGGATTTTTCTTATTCAAAGTCTGGTAGTTTTATAGAAATATGTCTTGGTGTGATCTTCCTGGGTCAATATTCTCAGGTAAGTAATACACATTTTCAATATATAGTTTTAAATCTTTTTTATTTCAAGAAAGTCTTATTGAATTACAACTTTCTTTATTTGTTCTGTTCCTGTGAGGTTTTTTTCTGTTAGTGACTTTAGTATGTATAATAGATCTTGGCTTATCTCAACATCTGTCATGATTTTAGATTATTTTTATTTTTGTTAATTTCTTTCTTTTTCCTCCTTTATACCATCCATTTATCTTAAAGTGTTGTCTGACATGTTTCCTGAATCTTGTGTTTCTTCTGATTAAGATTTCACATATCTAATTCTTTTTTCTTTTACTTTTTCCTTTATTTTATCAGTTCATTTTTGTGTTCTTTCTAATTCTGACTTTTCCTTGTGTTTGGGTTCTTATAACATTTATAAATCTCTTTTATCTTGTTGTATACAGAGATAGTTTACAGTTTTGCCCTGCTCTGTGTGCACACTATTTGAAATGTCTTATTTTGCAAAAGGATGCGCATGTTCCTGATTCTCCTTAGTTTTGTAATAATCGTGTGAAATTTAATCTCAATACATTTCTGTTGTTTATATTTATGTGAGATTAGTTTTCTTGAACTTTTAAATGGAGGTATGATTTGGTGTGGGTTTTTTAACTTTTCTGAGCTCTCTCAATTGTTATTATCATAGAATGTTCAAAAATATGTTAGTTTACTTTCTGAGATTTTCTGGTTCTGTTCCCCTCTCCACTTTTTTTTTTTTTGAAAGTTATCTTTCCTTTGTCCCTAATGTCACTGTCTTTCACAGTTTTTATTCCATTTCAAGCAATTTCTCCTAAGTGTGAGGCCTCCTCCTAGAAAGAATCCCTGGTGAATAACTAGTTCAGTGTGAATTACCTGCTCAAGCTCCGCTAAGCCCTCATCACAGCCTCCTTGAGTCCATCTGGCCAACCTCCCTTCGTCCGCTTTCCTCCAATTGACCTGCTGTGTTTCTAGGGAATCTCTGTGGACCATTTTGGGTTTTGATTGCCTGTTGTATCCCTGGGTTTTCTATAACACAAATGTTGATATTATGTAGCTTCTACGGATGCTGACAATTTGCTTATAGTTCAATGTTTCTGAGAATATCTGGTGACCTATTTTTGTTGCCATGTAACCCAGTCATTTCTCGGTTTTGCTATCTAAGTTCTCTGTTGTAAATGGAGACTAAGAGAGAATTAAACTATGCAATTTTCTCCATCTTCCCAGAATCCCCCAAAGTAACTTCTGTTATGCAAAACACATTATGTTACATTGTCATCTAAAACCCTCCTATGACTTTTGTCTCATTTATAATGAAATGAAAACTTATTAACTTAACTTACAAATTCCTTTAACATTTGTCCACTACCCATCTTTCTAAACGTATGTTTTCCTGTCCTTCTTCCTTAGGAGGTTCTAGGACTTTCTCCTCTGGACTCTGTATCCTGCCCATATGTACTTTCTTCTTATTTTTCCATGTCTTCCTCATTTTATTACAATTTTTGCTTAAGTGTCTTCTTCTTCAAGAGGTCCTTTCAATCTGTATACCCTAAAGAAGACACCACCAAGTCACTGTCTATTACATTTCCTATATTAATTATGTACTCAGCACTTACCACTAACTAATATTGTGTGGCTTACATATTTATTTATGTGTTATTTTAGGAGTCAGCAAACTATAGCCTGAAAACCAAACCTAGCCAGTCACCTGTTTTTGTAAACAGGTTTCACTGGAACACTTATATTTCAGTGTTGTCTATGACTGTGTTTGTACTATAATGGTAGAGTTGAGTAGCTGTGCCAGAGACCATATGGCCCTCAAAGCATAAAATATTTATTGTCTAGCTATTTACACAAAAAAAGTTTCCCAGCCTCCTGTTAGTTCATTGTTTCTTCCCACTAGAATATAAGTTTCAGGGAAACGCAGGCCAAGTCTGTCTTTTCATTACTTTATCCCCCTCATTAAGATTAGTAGTCAACATATGGTTAGCAATCTCTAAATATTTGTACATGAATTAACCCATATCTTGAATTGTCAGCATCTTGTTAAGGGTATCATGTAGTTCTTTTCTTTAATAGATTAATAAAATATTAGTAATAATTGTATTCAATTCCCCACTCAAATAGCCAGATGACAAAATGGAGATTTTGTCAATTAAGGGCAATGATTCTGATAAGGACTTCAGAGAATTCATATTTTTGCAATTATTAGCAAATATATGCATGCATAAACACTTAAAAACACATTAGCTCTGAAGTCAAGATGCCTAGATTTAAAACTCAGTTCTACCACTAACTGGTTATGTGGACTTGTGCTAATTCCTTTACTTCTCTGCATCCCCATTTATTAATCTGTAAAATAACACTGATGGAGCATCTACATTAGGGGATTATAATAAATAAATAAGAAGAGTGTCAGTCCATAATAAGGGCTCTGTATATGTTAGATGATGATGAAGAGGGTGATAGCGATGATGATGATTAATGATGGAAGAAGAATTAGGAGAAGGAAAAAGAAAGACAGAAGAGGAGAAGGAGAAAATGGTAGCAGTGGTAATAATAAACCGACAAACTTTACTTACTGATTTCATACTATGTTCCAGTCACTATGATTTGTCGATTCCATGGATCCCATAATTTAATCCTTACAATCCCCCTTTGAGGAACGCAGCTTATATTATATTACAGATGATGAATCCATACCTGATTATAGGCTAAATTATCTTTAAAAAAGAGCATGGGAAGAGTGAGAATTCAGATCTCTGTTCTTGGCCTATATATACTCTTCTTCCACCTCTAAATGTCTTCCTAAAGATCTATCCACTTCCTGTTTAATATGTGAAATGCACACACATTTCTGTCCATATAAGTCTTCCACATCCCGTTTCTAAAAATGTTTTAAGTATATACAGTTTGATGTTTGCCATCTTCAAGTATTGCTCCAGATTCTGATGTCATCCCTGTCTTCTTCCCTGGAAACCCACATTTAGTTTCCAGATCATAGTCAGCTGTCAGAAGAAATAAATTGGAGAGACTGATTTCCACTGAGGTGTTCACAATGAAACCTGCTTAATTGCTAGTAATTCTCTGCTCAGAAATAAGCTCTTGTAAGTTTGGGTTTTGTAACTTCAAGCTTGTTGGCATAGGAAAGGTGCCAACCTAGTGTCAGGGGCTATTAATTTGGTTCTTTGTAATAAAAAGAATATTGACTGCAATGAGCCAAAAATAGCTGTAGCCTCCATAGCCTCAGGTCTCCCAGCTTCTACTTTGCACCTGGTAAAGTGAGGAAGTTTATTAGTAGTAATCCAGTAGCATTGGTAGAGTGATAGCAGTACTAACAGTAGTTAGTAGTAGGAATAATAACAGTAAGGATTGACAACTTAAACGCCAAGAAGTGTGCTGAGCCAGTTACCTCATTATCTAATTAACTCTCTATAACAGTTCTATGGGAAAGTAATACACCAACCCTATCTTCTTGATAGAAAGATGAGAATTAAGACTGATTAAGTGACTTGCCCAAGGTCACACTGTGATTAAAGCACTAGGTCTAGGCCTATATCAAATTTTGCTAAATCCCAAAGTTGCTTTCTTTTAACCACTGATGCAATATTACCTCAGAAGTTTCCACAAAAAGAACATCAGTACTAGACTGAAGAAATTAGTCCTTCAGTTTAATTAATCTTATTTTACAGATGAGAGAATTGAGGTCCACCAGAGGTGAATGTTCTCCACTATCCATCAATATCACAATATTTTTTATGCTGTTCTCCCATATACTCATAATATACATCGAAAGCCAATCCTTAGATTAAAACTCCATCATAAGCTGTGATCCACCCACTCCCCCAACACATACCTGAATCACTGACCAAATATATTCAGTAGAGTGCTGGTAAATGTTTAACAATTTGCTCTCCAGGATGGGGGTTAGCCATGATTTGTGACATTTACCAATTTTCATAGTGTAAACATACCCCTCATGGGTAGGTGTGACCCATCCATGTGTCAACACACCCATCATTGCTAGTCATGTGACATCACTTGAACAGAATTGTGGATAGATGCTTGCAACAGGCTTGTGCAAGTTGGTACAAGCAACATGTGCTATCCTCCTTCTCCATACCTACTTTCTTTTCTATCACGCACCATATTTTCAGAATGTAAGAATGTGAAAATATAGGTTAAAACTAGAAAATACCCTCTGGGCGCGGTGGCTCACTCCTGTAATCCCAGCACTTTAGGAGGCTGAGGTAGGTGGATCACCTGAGGTCAGGAGTTCAAGACCAGCCTGACCAACATGGAGAAACTCCATCTCTGTTAAAAATACAAAATTAGCTGGGCGTGATGGTGCATGCCTGTAATCCCAGCTACTCGGGAGGATGAGGCAGGAGAATCGCTTGAACTCGGGAGGCAGAGGTTGCGGTGAGCCAAGATCATGCCATTGCACTCCAGCCTGGGCAACAAGAGTAAAACTCCATCTAAAAAAAAAAAAAAAAAGAAAAAAAAAGAAAATTAGAAAATACCCTAAGCTAAGCCCACACTGAAGTAAAGACACCAATGGGAAACACCCTATAATATAAATATGTAATTATGCAGAAGTACTCAAAATGCATGTTTCCTATTCCCTAGAAGCTGTATCTTTTTCAATATCAATATGAAAACTGGAATTTATATTTGCTATAAATATAAATTTGAATTTTTGTAAACAAACCCCCCCTAAATTTTATGTTGAAACTCTAACTCTAACCCCAATGTGGCTTTATTTAAGATGGAACATCTGTGGAAGTAATTAAGGTTAAATAAGGCCATAAGGGATATGATTAGTCCCCTTTAAGAAGAAATGCCGGAGAGAGAGTTCTCCTCTCTTCTCTCTCTCTCTCTCTCTGTCTGTCTCTCTCTTTCTCTCCATGTACACACAGAGATGGAAAATCATGTGAGAACATAGTAAGAAGGCAGCCATCTGCAAACAAGAAAGAGAGCCCTGACTAGAAACATAATTTCTAGCACCTTAATTTTGGGCTTCTAGCCTCAAGAACTCTGATGAAATAAATGCCTGTTGTTTAAGCCACCCAGTCTATGGCATTTAGTTATGGCAGCTCATGTAGATAAATACAACATTCGAAAACATCACTATGTGATTTTGAACAAGTCTCTTATTTCCTCTGAGCCACATGTCAAAGAAATGGTTGAGCTAAATATTTATAAGATGTCTTATTGATTTAATTTCCAGATCTTGTGGTTGTAGCATTTTCATTTGCCTTTTCTAGCTATAGTTTTTTAGGGAATGTTGGGAATGTGAAACAAACATCCTAGGCTGTTTTGAATCCTAATATTGACATACTAGAGTAAACATTATTTTAAAGTTATAATATATAGTGAAATATTTATAATTAAAAAATAACTCTCAAAGGAGATCATAACACTTGGTCTTTGATAAGAAAGAATGGAGTTGGGATTTTCCATCACTGGTTGTGGACCTGTATCAGAGCAGGCACATTGGAATCACCTAGGATAACTTATTAAACTACAAATTCTGTGCTGAACCCCAACACTAAATCTTGCAAATTTATGAGACCATTTATCATTATTAGTGTAAAATAGCTATAAAGTAGCAATAAGCATAAAGTGTGTATGCGGTAAGTAGAAACTGATTATGCACTGGGAATTAGGAGAACCATGTTGTAGTTTGAGCTTATGATCAAATAGCTTATGATCAACAGAGAGAGAGGGAAGGAAAGTAGTCCTATACAAACGAAGTCACATTCAACCTCTGCCTGAGCCTTATGCTCGTTTCCTGATAATTAGGGCCAGCAATACTTATTTTATAAAACTATTGCATAGTTTATATTGTGATCTTGAATAAGCCATTTCCTTTTTCTAGGTCTCAGTTTCCCCATCTGTAAAATCAATGAGCTGGGTTAGATGGTCTTTAATCTAGCAGATAGCCATAAACACTTTAAGTACCTAGGGATTAATATCAGGATATTAGATGCTTTTTTCAATGTCAATAGTTCAGCAGAACATAGATTAGTGGACATGTATGAAGCTCAACAAATCATAACATATTGACAGCTCTATCATCTAGCTAATCTTAGATCTAGCCTGGCTTAATATCCACTAGCTATTTTGGCTAAAGAGAATTTGAATTCAGGCATTGTCACTGCTCTGATTTTTATCATTTTACTCTTTTTTTGCATGAGTAAAAAGTTAATTGAGAAGTCAAGAGGCAAAATGAGTTTCAATGTTCAGATCCAGCACCCCTAAAGAACTCCCATTATTTCATGATAAAAGTAATTTAATAACACTCTCCGGATTTTTGTTGTTATATAAGTTTCTCAAGTGTTTCAAATATTAAAGTTAACAGAAGTATTTTTATTACCAGTCAGTGGACTTTTTGTAAACACAATAAGTGAATATTTCTCAGATGTTAATTTTACTACTCCAGAGAACTATACAATACCTGGAATTTTAAGGAGTGGTATGTACAGAAGGGAAGTATCAATAGAATCTCTCAGGGTTGTTGTAAAACGCAAATAAGGAGATGAAATTCTGCAAACTATACAACCCTGGATTAATATATTCTGTGTGTTGTGATTACATGTATTTTCCCCTAAGAATGTTCCTATTTTCTTCTTTTCCTTAGTGTATTACCTTTGCTTGGCAATGGTCAGAATTTAGTACCTTAAAATACCTTGAAACATTGATTGCAATGCTGAACAACTGAATACTAGAAGCTCAACACACTGAAAAAAGAAAATTAAACAAATTTCTATTAAGGTGCATTGGTTTAGACCATTTACATCTCAAGATGTAAATCCAATTGTGAAATCTGTCCATGCAGTGCTAGGAGATGATTCAAAGCACCATAATCAGAAAGCATGAGGAATGAACTTCAACTAGCCTTCTATTCAGGGTTGAGAGTTCTGTGTGTTTGTGCATGTATGCACATACCCCATACATGTGTGCATGTTTGTGTTGTGTGTTTATAAATTTCTCAACTGTATACATTGTTCTTATAGATTTTTTGAAAACAAAAGATGCTGTTAATGGAGAAAAAAATGCACTTCTGAGAGATTTATTCTGTACTTCTGAAAGAATTAGAACTTCAGGCTTCATCATTACTTTCCAGGCATTGAAACTAGTTGCTATTATTTAAAACTGAGAGTATTCCATTGATCATGTCTGTATATCACTGAAATAGAGTTTTTGGCAATGTTGAGTAAAGGGCATGTCTGTGTGTTTTTGTGGTTGGGTTCTTAATTACATAGAATCTTATCTCATTAATTCATACACTAAGTTAATGAAACAATGAGTACAAGCAATCTCCCTCAAATCTATTACCAAGGAGTTAAGGACTCCACAAGTTCTAGTGGGTCTTGGAATCCCTTCACGGCTGCTATGTATTGTGACTGATTTTATTTTCATGGGGTTTCACCAGCTTTTTTGCAATCATCTGGAGCATTGTCATGATCCAGTGTGAAATGATGAGATGAGCAGGAGTCATAAACCTTATCTTTTTGGCTGAAGAGATGGGTTAACTGAGGCAAGACTGAGTCCTTTCTGAATGCGCTTTGCTATTTCAAAATTGAGTAGCTTGGATCAGGTTGGCAGTTACAAATAGGTGGTGTGAGGACTTATTGTACCAAAATCACCTTTAAAATGATCTTTAAAAGATAGAATCAATTGAATGCAGTATGGTATCCTGAATTGAATACTGCAGCAGAAAAAGAACTTGATGAAAAATGCTGGTGAAATACAAATAAAGTTTAGAGTTTAGTTAGTAGAAATACATCTGTCTTAATTTCTTAGTTTTGTCGAATGTGCCACGGTTTACTATGGTGGTAATTAATATTAGGGAAATCTGGAGAAAACACTCTGAACAACTGTTTTGCTAATCTAAAACTATGACAAAATAAGTTTAGTTAGAAATACAGAATCTATGTTCCTATACCAAAATAGGCATGGTCCTTCAAAACTTTTCTTGGAAAAAACATGATGTAACCATAATGTAAAGCCAAAGATAGGGCTTATGGAACCAGAGGAATCGTACCAACTCTTAAATATGTTATTACTTCATGAGCCACATGGATTGGAATTTGTGGATTATCTATGCCAGTAGATGTCAACACTGTCCTTGCATTAGCCTTATCAAGGGAGAATTTTCAAACTCCAGATTCCATGTTTCCCTAGATAGAGTAAATCAGAATCTTGGAGTAGTGGGGAATAACAAGGTCTGTATGGTTTATTAAAGTATCTATGAGTAATTCTGATGTACAAGCAGAAATTAAAATTATGAAAATGCAAGTTTCAATTAAGAGACACCACATAAGGTTCAGGCACTCAGCTACCGTAGTGAAAGCAATGCCCGTGAACGTAAGTACATTAGCAGCTGCAACTAGAAATTGTGTGAACTGTAACTCATGTTTTATTTTCTGAATATCTCTAAATCTTAAAGATTCTATAGAAACATTTTATTTAATATCCATGTAAAACGGCTTACACTACTTTATACATATCGTTGGGATTGCAGCATCTCTTTGATCTATCCCAAGAACATTTCAGTGAATTGGCTTGAGGAAGGCTGGGGTAGGTTATGCCACTGTCAGCTTCTTCAATGACAAGTCTTGACCCTCACACTTAGTTCTTGCCTCTTCTGAAGAACTTTGTAACCTAGGTACTTGGTGCAGAAAGGGCTCAATCGTTCTGTGTATAATCCAGGTGAAGAAAAGTACCTCAACTCTATTTCCCTGACTTACCTATACTGTCTGCTCAGGTCTTCAAACTAGATTTCCCCAGTACTTATGCCTGCTTCTGTTCCTTCGGGGGTGCCAAGGGCTTCATATAAGCTGAAGGCAGATCCAGCCTTCCCTCTTTACTCAGATGAAAAAAATCCATGCATCCTTCAAACATCTGTTAAAATCCTACTTTGTCTATAAAACATTTCTTGGCATCATCTGTTTTCCCCTTTTCCAAGTTCCAATATTATATTTGGTGCTATAAAATTAAGCAATTAATTCCAGTTTACATATTCTTGCTCTCTTTCATATGTGCCAGGAGGCAGTGAGATACAGAGAGAGGGAGAAGGAAAGTAGTCCTATACAAACGAAGTCACATTCAACCTCTACCTGAGCCTTATGCTCGTTTCCTGATAATTAGGGCCAGCAATACTTATTTTATAAAACTATTGCATAGTTTATATTGTGAAGCCTATGTGAACGTGTTTAGCATATTAGACTAAACAATTGTCATTTTGTTTTATTTTTCTCATTTATATTTTTGCATTCAGTTCTACCTAAGTGCTAAACTTATCATAATACCTAATATTTGTAGAGCACTTTATAATTCATATACTCTTAACAATCTGGTGAAACATGTATCCAAACCTCACTTGATAAATGAAAAGCATGATGAGATCCTGAAAGGTTAAATACTTTCCACAGATCACAACATTTATGGGAAAATCTGCTAACATAGCCCAGTCCTTTTGCCAGGCTTCTTTCTAAATATTATACCAAATATTTTATAAATTGATTATTAGCCATTTATCCAAAGTAAAAGGGTTACCTTCTATAAGCCAGGCTCTCAGCTAAGCATTCAGGGTACAGTAATGAATGAGAGACTTAAACCGTGTCCTTATTGAACTTAGATTCCAGCAACTGGAACAATGTCTAGGCAAGGTTGGTAGGAATGGATCCATTTATGTTGACGTCAACCTTATTCTTGCTAACTCCAGTACTATGGAGTATTGCTATAAGAGTGATGGGTTAACCTGAGTCAGCAACACTTCCAATATATGTGGCCCTTATGATCATTAGTTCTCACTGACCGTATCAGTAGCAGGACTGAAATTAACTTACCCTTATGTCCATCAAAACTGCAACCTTATCCTCATTAGCACTTGTCAAAAACTTCCAGAAGCTAAGCACTATAACAGGACATTGCTACGATTATTAGAAATAATAATAATTAGCTCTATCTTCTTCTTTGTAACAGAGTGATTCTTTGGTGCACAGAAAGATCTCTCATATAGTTTCACTATCCCTTGGTCATCTTGACCTAGATATGTCCTCACTTTTGGTTGGCGTCTTGTTACAAGGTGGCTCTAAAAGACCCTCAGCAATGGATGTTAGACAGTGGACAGCCTTGTCTTTACTGCTATAGTGTGGTGTATTGAAAAGACTATGAGATGGAGGTTTGAGTATGCCTCTCCTCAATCCTGTATTTGTTCCAAATCTGGTACACTTGTGCTCCCATTGAGGGACCAGGTTTATGCCTCAGTGCCAGCTTTCCACCATATGCTGGCTAAAACTTCAGTAATCCAAATACAGGAGTTTTCTTGATCTACCTTCAAGTACTTGCCACTTCCCACATATGCCCATTCTTTATAATTTATACCGGCTTATACATGTTTGGGATCAAGGTGTTTGTGGAAATCTTTCTTACTTTTGAAGAAACTAACAATGCATCCATATTATTTTTCCTATCTATGAACTAGTTTGCTTTTTTCTTCTTTCCTGAAGCAGAGAGTTTCTCAGAGCACTTACTCTAGCATATTGTTGGAAGACTAAAGCCAGTATGGGCATTTAGATCATTTAGATTCAACTTGACTACTTAATACGGGCAATTTACTTGCCTTTTTAGGTTCTCACTAATCACAGAAGCAAAATGATAGGATTTAGCTAGCATCTTACATTTCTGAAACTATTTGACTAACAGTAACAATTGAGGAAGTGATAGTGAAAAAGTACATTAGTACTTTCATAAGAAAATACATTTTAATAATTTAGAAGTTGCCTCACAACAGGAAATACCCTGTAGCTCATTCTTAATAATTTTTGTTAGGTGCTTCTTTAATGAATTAAAGGGCTTTTACATGTTTTCTTGTGTGCAATTTGACTTCTCTAATTGAAAGTCCTCTAAATGAGACTCCTCTCATCTCAATTTAAGTTTATGTGTAGCAGTTTATCTGTAAATTAATTTTATAATTATCAAATTAAACAAACAAACAAACAAAAACAGCTAGCAGTGATGATAATAGTACAGGCTCAATTTTCACTTTTCAATGCTTGAATTATTAAATTTTTAAATTTATATTATTGTTTAGACCCTGAATATGTATTTTCATACCTGTGTATGACTACATGACTGACTTTGTACATCTGCCCAGTTTGACAAAATAGTTTAAGGGGGAAGCTTGTGATGGGGAAACGCTGAGATGTTCAGTTAGGGACATAGCTCAACTTTTGAGCCACTGTGAAATACAGGGCGGTTTGGGTCAAATTTGCCATTAAGTGTGTATTGATAGTGGAAGTTGCACACACTGAGGCAGAAAGAAAATATAATCCATGTCGGGGTGGGGATATATTTCTGAAACCAATGATTACTGAGAGTAGTTTAAGAATGATAGGGTGGGGCCATCCTGAGACTCTAAGCAACAATAAAATCTGTTTACCCAGCTGAGTCAGTGCCACAATAGAACAGAGCCCCTGGAGATCAATGAGCATATGGTTTAATCAACACACTTGGAGACATGGCACAAGAACGGTCCCTGCACAGCTGGTGTGCTCATGCACCATACTGAGATGGAGCAAAGTAATCATTTTGTACACAACTTGGCTCTTCCCAGCATCATTTCCCCATAACACCCATCTAAGCCAGTAAAGCTTACAGAACCAGGATTCATCTGTAAGATTCACAGGGATGGAGCCTGTGCCAACTGCCTCCAGGAAATCATAGAGGACATCATCTGATGCCATATATGGCACCATTCTGGAGGCCCATCCTGTACTAAAAATAATGCAACTGGACGGGTGATAAATAGCTAGGGTGATTTCTATTTCTAGTCCATTTCTCACTTTTTTTTTTTTGACCTGCAAACCTGTATCCACAACAGCCTCCTGGAATCTTATATGGAACATAAATAAAATTGAACTAATAATATTTTGTTCTGTGCCTAGTTTTGCTCCCATGTTCCCTGGCCCAACAAATGGCAGGCCCATCCTACTTGTTTCAAGTCTAAATGCCACACTTTCTCTTCACTGTGTAAGCTTCAGGAAAAGAAAAAAAGGACTCTGTTGTATTCACTGTCATATCTCAGGAAATCTAAGGAGATATTTGTTGAATGAATGAATGAATGAATGAATTATCAGAATACCAGAAAATGCTGCATGCAATATAAAATTTCATTAAGAACATAAAGTAAAGTAAGAAAAGGCAAGCATGTAAGTTTTATCTAATGGAAATTACACCAATGAAAGAAGAAATAACCCTCCTCTGTCTATGTATGAATTTTCTATTGCTGTTGTAACAAATTACCACAAACTTAGTGGCCTAAAACAACATGTTTTCAGTATCTTATTGTTTTGGAAGTCAAAAGTCTAAAACGAGTCTCACTGGGTGAAGATTAAAGTGTTGGCACAGCTACATTCATGTCTGGAGGCTCCAGGAGTGAATCAATGTTCTCGCTTTCCAGCTTCTAGACGCTTGCCCATACCCCCTGGCTAATGGTACCCTTACATCTTCAAAGCCAGCAGTGGCTCAACAAGTCTTTCTTATGCTTTGATCTCTCTGGTTCTGACACTTTGTGCCCCTCTTCTCCATTTAAGGACCCTTGTGATTACATTGTTTTCATCCAAATAATCCAGGATAATCTTTTCTTAAGGTCAAGTGATTAGCAATGTTTAGATGTTCATCTGCACTCTTAATTATTCCTTTCCATGCAACATAACATATTCACACATTCTGACTTTTAGGACATCAACATCTTTGCGCAGCCATTATTCTGTTCACCACAGCAGACTAGACTAATAATCACAAATCTCAGATCATCCTATAAGAAGCAATTGCCCTGATTATAAGAAAGATTGATCAAATATGTGTCTTCTATAATCCTTCTTCCCATCATGGCATGTTGAAGTAAGACCTATTCTTCAAGGATTACCTTAAATTCCTCCTTCTTTAAGATTATTTTCTCAATTGTCCTTGTAGGCATCTCCATCTGTTTCCTCCTTGAATTTCCATTGAATTTTATTTATGTGATGAGTCATTTTAAAGCCTGTACACTTATAGATACACTTATAGATACACTTATATAATGTATCTCTTTTCTTTGAATGTAAGCTTCTTGAGGACAAAATTCATTTCTGAACCAATATTAAGATAAAACTTCTTCATAATACCTTTGTGACTTTAAGATTTCAGTTTCCTTGTGTATATATATCCAGTTTTCTCATAAAAATTATTAAGCACATATATAATCCTGGCACATGGGGGGACTGCTCAATGAATGTTATTTTTCTTCCCCAAATATGTATGTGATGAACTTGCACACGGTTGTGCCCTATCTGCATCTATTTATTTTTCCTGAATGATTATGATCTACAGAAATGTAGGGACTCTGTCTTTCAGGTTCATTGGCATGTTCTCAGCCCCAAAGTGCCTCTCAACAATGTATGTTTGCTGAATTAATGAATAATACAACAGTGAAAACAGTAGAAATGATTCTCCGTCTTCCACTTGTGTGTTTCTCTTAACTGTAAGCCTTGTCACAAATTTCCCTGGTTTATCTAGCTCAATCCATATTTCCAAACCGTTCACTCTCATATACAAAATAAGCCCTGACAAAGAAAAATCTTTGCATAGCGAGAGCTTTAAACTATTTCAAGCTGCTTCCACCACTCCACCCTCCAGACATTCACTTTTCTCCCCTATGGAAATGCAAAGACAAAAAGAAGTGTAATTCCTCAAATGAATCATTGATATTTCTTCAGAGCAATCTACTCTATTCTACTTGTTCTCTTAATTTACTTGGTTTATACCAGCTGATGACAGAAACCCATTGTTTTGCTGAAACATTAACTTCACAAAGTCATTCCGCTCCCATCTGCAACACTAAAATTAATGATTCCCTCTGCAACATCTGTTTAATTAACTATTGGCACCATAGAAGAGGCGTGCAAATACCCCAGCGACTAAATCAGGCTCAAATTAGGGAAATACGATGTTAAATTGTATCAGAGAGAAGCCGAGTTTATCCTTCCAAGCACTGGCATTCATTATCTTGTAGCCATCCCATGCATCTTCATAATGAAGTAGTGTCAGCAGTGCCTGGCTGTAAAGTTCTCATTTAGGGACTGCATGGGTCCCTCTAGTCATGCACTGGAGGGGATTAAGGAAGAGGGACCTGGAGAGCCCCAGGGGTCGCCACATCATCCCATCATCTTTGTTCCTGAAAAGAGTAATGGGGTTTCAATTGAGCATGTGCAGGCTGAGGAATTCTGGGAAATAGCAATAGTGTAGAGAAAGTGGCATTTTTGAGTCATTTCCATTAGTAGTGCTCCATCTTCTCTGAATCCTTTTAGCTCCATTTGCATAACTATTTGCATTGATCTGCATAAGCAAGAAACTTGTCTGGCTACTTCAGACACATTGGAGAATCTCTGTAGTTTACATTTCTGAGAGAAGTCATTTAACAACAATCTGTAAAGAACCTACTGAATTGAAAACAGTACTAGGCACCAGAGAAAGGCAAATTAGATGCAGACCTTGCTCACCAAGAATTTACACCAGACAGAGGACACTGTAAACATTAGTATAAGCATGTGTGTACTCATTTGTGCATATCCAAATAAAATTAACTAACACTATGCTAGTTCTAAAAATGAGAATGAATAAGCTGAATATGATCCCTATTTTTACAGAGGTTAGCTTCTAGTCTGTCTACACATGACAGCAATTAGAATACCAATTCAAATATAATGAATAAAGCAAGCAATATTATAAGAGAAATTTAGATAGGCTGTTGTAAGAATTCAGAAGGGAGGGCATTACGTTTAATTTGGGAGATGCTATAAAAGAAAGTTCAGAGAGTAGATGTTCCATTAGCTGCTTATTGAAGGATTGTAGAATTTGCACATGCATCTATTTGGAGAAAGAGCAATTTAGAGGTAGATCAAGGGGGAAAACCATTGGGAGTAGTGAATCATGTCATTTTGTGGATATAAAGAATGCTTGAGAAGAGAAGTTTCTACTTTCCCCTGCCTGCATATTCTCTGGTCTGAAATTGACCTAAAATAATGAGAGCTGGCCAGGTAGTACTGAGGAGAACTTTATAACCTATAGGTGCCTTATGTCTCCATCCTTTGAGTATGCCACCCTGTACTGACAAGAGCACCTGGCCTTCCCACTTATACCTGACAGTATGAACAGCCTGTTTGTCTGACTGACATTCTCCCTCAGATCCTGGTCCTCAGGTTCTGCTTTCACTCTACACCAGACTTTGAACTTGAAACACAGCTTAACTCGTTGGTTCCTAATACCCAATCTCAGGGCCTGCCTGACTAAAATTCACACACGTCTCTCTTAAATGATAGTATTCAGATTTGGATGCAATTTTCTCCATGTTAATTACTTGACCAACACAGAGGATGATCAACACCACTTCTTAAACTTTAGTTGATTCTGAAGTGTATTCTTCCACCCCGGAGGAAGACCTACTGAAAATAAGATTTGAAATGTGAAAGAGTAAACACTCTTTTTGGCCACATATTAAGTGTGGATCAGAAGAAAACAAGATTAGCAAAAAAGGAATTGAGACAGTTGAGAATTGAAGGTCAGGCTTATAGCTCTTAGGAAAATAATACCCGTCCATTGCACAGACAGCCCAGGAGGCAGTGATGTGTTTGACTGGACACCAGCAAGACATAAATCTGGCAGCTGATTCAACAAATTTTCCACTTTGTAGGGTTTTTTTTGTTGTTGTTGCTATGGTGATAAATGTGGTGTGAAATTGCAAGTTTGCAAACTGTACAGTCAGGGAACTCCTGAAACCAAGGGTCTGGCAAAGCTACAAGATGTGAGGGAAGCAGGGGAAACAGAAGAGGAAAGAGTGGTCCAAAAATTATCATGTTACCGCACAGAAGTATCCTCATGACCTTCCCTCTCTACAACTGCTGCTAGTTCCTACATCCAAGTGGCCATGTGAGACTGAATATTAGATGCCAAGTGCACACATGTGTTAGGTAAGTCACATGCACAAAATGAAGAATGTCACAAAAGTTTCCAAGTTAATTTTTTAAATGACTTTCTGAAATCTGACAGCTCTTAGCAATGAAAAAATGTCCTAATGAATTAACATCATTTCATGTTGTGAGTTGTGATGTTGTTTAGTTTTCTGTTGCAGGCAATAGGAGATCTTTTTCCCTCTCTCTCTCTCTTTCTGCTCATTCTCCTGCTCTACAAAACATTGTAGTTCCATGACTCAATGTGAACACACATTCCACCGAAATGGGTCAAGAGGCAGAGAGTTTTGGTGAGTAGGCATCTGGGCTCTAATATTAAGAGACTTGGACTTTGGACTCCAATCCTAGTTCTGTTGCTTATTCACAATATAAATTTAAGCAGTTGATCTGATCTCACTAAACTTCAGGTTTTGGTAGTTTTGTTTGTTTGTTTGTTTAATTGGAAAAAGAATGAGAAAAAGTACGTACTTCATGGTATTATTATGAGCATTAAAGGAAATAAGAGTCACAAAGCACTGAGTAGGGTTTGTCATATGATAAACCCTCAAAAAATTTTAGTTATTATGGTTACTATCGGCTAACTTCTGGTATAATTTTTAAGGGGTGTGATTGTTGACTTTCTTTTTTAAATTAAATGAAAATTAAGCCTCATTATGCTTCATGGGAAAAAGAGTAAAAAGAGAGAAAACGGTTAAAAGGGGTTTTATTTTACCTGATTTGCAGTAATGAATAAATGCAACTCTTCAAAGTAGGGGTGCACCAGGAGTGATAATCCTTCCAGATGATGGAAGGAAGTCCAGAATAGCAGATAAAAATAATTTCCAGCTCCAACAGGGCTACCTAGAAAAGGTGCGTGCATTAAAAAGTGTCAGGAAGATATCCATAGAAGAAAACAGGGCACAGCCTTGAACAATCTAGAAAGCTTCCTTAGAACTCCAGGTACTGAGGCAGATATTTGACCTCACGGCAATCTATCTACAGGCAAGTTTCAGGACAAGCTCAGAGCAGCGTTTAGAGCAAGTTTCTACAAACTGTGTACAGAAATACAAAAAAAAAAAAAAAACAAACAAAAAACCATGATACAATGCTTCTCTGAGAGTGACAAATATGGGTCTAGTCCTAGAAGGTAAACATAGGAATAAACATGTAACACCAAATTCTAAAAGGGGATAAAAGTGTCTAACTGTTGAAAATGTTCCAGAAATATTGAAAATACGTTGTATAAGTGCACACATTATGAAGTAAAAGTCATGTTTCTATTTTATATGACTGTGAAAGATAGAAGTAGAAAACAAAATCATAGAAAAGCTATGAGTGCAATAATCGCACTGTCTTATAAAGGGATCTTCTTCTTTGACCATGTCCAAGGACATTGGGATTTCCAGTAAAGTTTGTCACACGATTTCTGTTGAATGTTAGGCTAGTAATGTATAAAGACTTGGACTCATTATAGAACTAAGTGGTCTTTTTACTAGCACTTTAAAGTACTCAAAGGGGGTCTCCTCTGAAAAATAGGGTGAAAACTGAAGTTGGGGCATGAAGTCAGGTGTGGACTCACAGAAACTCTGGCTTGACATTGATTTCCAGTGTGCTAGACTTAAGATCTTTAACTTCTTCTAACAGAGGGTATGGGTGAGTCCAAAGTCTGCAGCCACCTACATATTTTATGGTTCCCTGTACGTTATATTAGAACAAGAAGAAATATCAACACAGATATAGTCTTGAAATCCTATATTTTAAGTATTTCCATTTTAAATTTTTATGCAAAAATTTCTTTGAAACTCAAGTTATATAAACATGAATTTTATACAAAAAGCCATTTATATCAATACAACCATTTCCCTAAAAGTTTATCTATATAAGATTTAGAACTTAGGTGCAGCAAACCACCATGACACATGTATACCTATGTAACAAACTTGCACATTCGGCACAGATATCCCAGAACTTAGAGTAAAATAAAAAATAATAATAAAAGGCAAAAAATCCTTTTTATTTCCCTTTAAAACATTAAAACAATTTTTATCTTTAAAAACAAACAACAATAACAACAAAAAGATTTAGAACTTACACCCAAAGTGCACAATGCAATGAAATTGATGCCATTATGTAGACACGTTTTTAATTAACTCAAGTTTATTTACTTACTTTTTTATGAACAGCTTTTTAAAAATACACTCAGAGAACTCCGTGACGTTAGAAACAAATTGATTTGTGTAAATTTTCATCTCAATGAAGGCAAGATGGTCTTCCTCTCCCCCTTTCGTCTCTGCCTCACCAATGTTCCCCTTATAACAGACCCTGATTTTTGCTTGAGATTATGAAGGCTGCAGTCCTGGATTGATAAGTAATATGGAACCAGAGAAATGGCAGATAACTCTTAGGAAAAAAAAGTCACCATGAAGGGTACTACATAATTTTCTTGCTCTTGTTTCTCAACTTTTGAAAGGCAGGAACATAAGAAGCTAGGTATCAGGGAAAGAGGGCTAGCTTTCTTCACCTTGATGGGTCCTAAGTCAGTAAAACAGGAGGTAAACAGCATTACCGGGGCAAACAGCATACAGCAGTGTAAGAATCCTATTCAGATGTAGAATAGACCTAGACCAATGGCCATGGATATTATTAAATTAAGAGAAGACACAGAAAAATCTATTTGAAGATAAACATGAAAGGTTCAAACCAGGCAGAAGTTCGAAAGCTGGGAAGAGTGTTATACTGTCCTTGGAGAGATGTTAAATAGTAGCGGTCCTATAAAATAATGGTAACCTTAAACTTCAGAAAACAAGAAGTTCTATTTGAATTACTTCCACTGGTATTCTCCTTCTTATTGGCTCTATTTATTTAGCAACATACAAAGCAATGACTATGATTTTGATCATGTGAAAGATCGGTCTTGGAAGCCCATGCAGGAATTGTCATTGAGAAACATGCTTTCGGAAATGGGTATTTTGGTTTGTGTTTTGCTTACTTGTGTTGATATCCTCTTAGAACAAGATATGGATCTTTTTTTTTTTTTTTGAGACGGAGTCTTGCTCTGTCGCCCAGGCTGGAGTGCAGTGGCGGGATCTCGGCTCACTGCAAGCTCCGCCTCCCGGGTTCACGCCATTCTCCTGCCTCAGCCTCCCAAGTAGCTGGGACTACAGGCGCCCGCCACTACGCCCGGCTAATTTTTTGTATTTTTAGTAGAGACGGGGTTTCACCGTTTTAGCCAGGATGGTCTTGATCTCCTGACCTCGTGATCCGCCCGCCTCGGCCTCCCAAAGTGCTGGGATTACAGGCGTGAGCCACCGCGCCCGGCCCAAGATATGGATCTTAATTATTATCTTGTTAACATATGAGTTTAGTGAGAGAAAACAGAAATATCACCAAGAAGTGGGAAGAACTCCAATCAAATTCTTCCTTCCTTCCTTTCTTTTTTTATTATTTTTTTTACTTTTAAAAAATTTTCTTGAGTCAGGGTCTCACTCTGTCATGCAGGCTGGAGTGCAGTGGTGCAATCACAGCTCACTGCAGTCTGGACCTACTTGGGCTCTAGCAATCCTCCCACTTTAGTCCCTGGAGTAGCTGGGACTACAGGTGAGTGCCATCACACCTTGTTAATTTTTTGTAGAAACAACGTTTTGCCATGTCACCCAGGCTGGTCTTGAACTCCTGGGCTCAAGCGAGGCAGCATCCTAAAGTGCTGGGATTACAGGCGTGAGCCACTGTGCCCAGTCAAATATTTCTACTAAAGAGATTTTAGCCGGAAGATTAGAAGCTATTGAGTTTCAGTGTCACCCTGAAGCACTGAATGTAATGGATAAATATTTTAAAATGCTGGCATCATTGTAAGGCTTAATGTGTGTTTAGGAATAGGTATTTTGGTCATGCTTGTGTTTAAGATCAAGATCCCAATTATCATGAGCTACTGCTAACAGGCAAGGTTTTTTGAGAAAACTTGTAGCTAATATACCTAAATTTTATTTAAGATCTACTCACCCCATAGTTGCTAATTAATAATGAATGGGAAATAAATGACTTTTGGTATCAGCTTACTTTTAAGACTTAATGTTCACAAAAAGACATTGCAATCACTTACTAACCTCTATTTTAATTGCTGTTTCAATAATTTCGGCAGTTTAAACTTCATTTAAGAGAGGAAAGATGAGCCAATGGGGTTTTACGTATCTTCTGTGATTGATGCAACATTCAGACAAGGAGACACTAAGACATTTAGTACGTGTCCAGGACATCGACCTTATACACATTATCTCATTTAATCTTCACTCTATTTATTAGGCATGATTTTCTCTTTTACAGATGAGAAAACAGAGGCACACAGAATTAGTCTAAGTTACTTGGCTAGTAAATAGAACCAAATTTATATTAATCCCAATCCTTAGCTCTTATCTACCATACAATGCTACCTGAAATAATAATTTATTGAGTAAGTGATATTATTAAGTAAATCAGCAACCTTTATTAAGTAAGTGAACAAGCCTAAAATTTGATACATCTGTTTAATAAAACTATTAAATAAAAAATATTAGGCAGCACTTTCCAGTACCAGCACTAGACTAGGAATACAGAAATCTGAGCTGCTGTCAATACTGAGTACCTTTGATAAATATAACTATCTCCATTGACCTCAGTTTCCCTATAAATGAGAAGATGAGCTAGATAAACTCTAATGCACAACATCTGGTTGGCAAAAAGTTAGTACCTTATAGAACTTGAGAGGCTTTACTTCCACCTGAAGAACTCTGAGTTGGGATTGGGTTTTACTTATGAAACCATGGATTGCTCACATGCTGGTACTAGAGCCCTGTTTGACTGGTTATTCAACTATTCCAGAAATCTGCATTTAATGTCCCGTCATGTCGTGTGTATTGTTTAAGGGTAGGAATCTCATCAGCACTTTTTTTCTCTAATAGAATTTCAGAGTTAATACACAAATATCTGTTAAATGAAGGCTTGACTATGAAATGTGCTGTTTTTATGGAGCTCCATTAATAACCACTTGTGTACTAAAAATCTACATTTCATATAATATAATGGGTGCTATTTCATAATCCAGGCTTCAGATATTCTAATTGGACTTTCTATAGATTATGTGAATTATGAAGGGTTGTAAGCTTGACTATACATTTAATTACTCCAAAGACTGTGGTTATCAAAATATGCTTGAGTTTGTTTATACGAGGAATGACAAATATGTGATACACTGGTCTCTGCTGTCCCACCTGTGCCTATAATGGGCATTGTTACTGAGTCATGGTGCATATGCATTATCACAGTTCCTGGTACTCAGTAAAGAACTTCAAGCTTTTCACTACCTGTTGTTTAGAAATGGCACATAAATTGACATGTACTTGCCTTTACTAGTCTAACACGAAAAAAAAAAAATAACCCACATTTGACTGCAGACACAATATTGGACCAGAAGTCCTTTTTTCTTAAGGGGTCACTTTTAATAAGCATTAAGAATCAAGGTGTCAGACTCTTATCTCTTCCAAAGAACTGCATGAAATACCTGGAAAGTCACTATGAAGGATATACAGGAGATACGTAGCTGTCCACAGCTTGAAATTTGCTATTGGTCTTGTTTAAGCCACTGGAGACATTTTTCTTCCTGGTGGGAATTATAAACCTGGCACATACCAGGGGAGTCATAAAATCCTCTCTCATATCTTTAATCAATCATGACTAGTATATCTACCATACATTTTGCAAGTTTAAAATAGAATGAAGTCACATTATAATCTTTCTGTTAGCAGCTAGACTGCCTTTCAGCACAATGACCCACACTCTATGGCTGTATTAACAGATACCATCTATTCTTTAATGGAGCTCAGCCATGGGGATTAGCTACCTGTAATGCAGTTTGGGCTGTCAAGCACTCTACCAAACTGCTAACACATTACAAGTTATAGGCATCAATTCTTTCTAAGTGAAAAGGCATTTCACATTCAAAACACTTCAGACCTAATAACAGGAAATTATCATGATGGATCCCCTTCAGCTGCCGAAAGGTAAAGAGATGGAGAGAAAAAAGACAGGCACCCAATCAAAAAATTCATATCAATTCTTTTTGATCTACCTGGGGCAGATTAAACCCACGTAGTGGATAAGGCTGTCAAAAAGATTGCAGAAGCTCAGCTGTGGATCAGAAGTGTTTCTGTTTGATGGGAGGAGGAAAATTCTAATAAAATAGAAATAAAATCCAACAAAAGGAAGATCCCAGAGTGGCCTGGGCAGTCCAGGAAAGCCGGGTAACATACATCACACTTAATTGCTCTCATGTTCAGTGTTACACCAGGACATTAAAAACACTCAAGAGAATCAGACCTGGAGCAGAATCTTGGAAGAGAGATCCACAAAAGCAAGGGAAGGTGAAATGTTCTCTCCCCTATTCTATTTCATAGGCCCTTCTAACTATGTTCAGGCTGTCAGTTGGTCAGAAGCTTCCATTGACTTCGGAGTCTGGCAGGAGTCAGAGATGCTTATATTACCCTGTATTTGGACTATGCGCCAAAATTAAGTGTCATCCTGCTGTTATTTCCACGTGACTCAATCACATTCATTCCATCATTCATTCACTGTTAAATTCACTTATACAATTAGGTATCCAACTTTGGTTCTATGTTCATGAATTCACTGGATGACATGGAGGAAAGTTTAAGAGGCTTTCATGAAAACCAAAGGAATATAAAACACACCTGAACAAAACTAAACTATTACTTTCCTGTCTCACCACCACATAGATAGAATAATGTTTATCATATTTCACCATTAAAAAATATTCCAGTTCAGGTCTGGCAAATACGTTTCAACTATTCAGTTGAAGGGTTGGGTTGACAAGGACGCTGAGGCCCAATCTGTGCTTATTGAGAAAGGGAGTTGGAACTCACTCCGATGTCTATGGAGGGAAGAAAGAAAGGCATGGAGCACTCCTGCTGATTCTTTGCCATCTCTAACCTAATTAGATTTCCATTTTCAGTTCCCTTCATTTTAAACCTTTTTTTAAAACCACTACCAACTTTATATCCCATCATTTGATGTCTGGATGACTTCGAGCAAGTGATTTAACCAATTTTAGTTTCACTTTTCAGAATATTTAAAATGGAGCTGTAGCACAATGCCTTTTTCTGTTTTTTGTTTGTTTTTGTTTTTCTTTTTTTTCAAAAATATATTTATTCAGTACTTTCCAGGCACTTACAGTTCTTATGGAAATAAGAGCATGTTCCATAGACAAAGTCCACAACCTCATGGAGAGGGACTGATGGTAGTCAAAATAATTACACCAATATATAATGTCCAATTAGATTCTCGGTTAATTAAATTCTAGCTAAGTGCTGCAAAGGAAAAACACATGTAATAAAGGAGTCATACAAAAAAGAAACTCATTATTATCTGGGATGGGGCAGAGGGATGGCATTGAGAAAGTTTTCCTGGAGCAAATAATGTTTAAACAGATTTGAAAGACATATAGACATTAATTAGGCAAAGAAGCTGAAGGAACAGCATGTGCAAAAGCCCTGAGGTGGAAAGGAGAATGACATTTTTAAGAAATAAAGATTGGCACAGCTAGAGGCTAGAGAAGAAGGGAAAGGTGGCATGAGGTGAGGTGCTGGATCATGTAGGGCATCCCAGGGCATGTTGAAGATTTTGCTTTTTATTCTAGTAACAATTGGAAAGCATTAAAGGATTGCAAGCAGGGGAGAGCTATGGTCAGATATACATGTTGAAAAGATCACTCTCACAGGATTAGAAAGATCTTATCAGGAAAGGCAAGAAGGGAAGCAGCAGGAGACAGTATTAAGTTTGTTTGCTCATTTGTTTGCTTGTTTTCTCTAGTAGTATGTGGAGAAATGACAAGATTATATTGTCGTTTTGATTAGACAAGCAGTTGGGCTTAAGGGTAAAAATTGGTATGAAAATTGATGCCCAAGATGAGTCACAAAAGGACCAGGTTTAAGATTTTAACATATTGAAAAAAATTAACATTTATTTTACTTACTCTAAGCATGACATTATGCTATGCTGTGAACCATCCAAATTCTGGTCTTACTTAATTCTTATAAATGCTGTATCAAGTAGTCATTATTATAATATTCAGTTTATAAGAAGGGGGAAAAAGGGCTCAAAAATACCCTGTGGAAAGAAGAGAAGACCAGGCCTATGCTTTGGGAGATAGGGAGAATTAAGACCAAAACAATAGCAGAACTGCAGCCCTGCTCCAGTCTCCTAATTCTGGAGGATGCATCTCCACCCAGCCACTCTGGAACCGATCCTCCCTGCTCACACCCTCTGCTCTTTATCAATGCCTGCGCATCCTCGTATCCTCTGAGCCACCGTGTCTGCTCGGCTACCTGAATACCCATGCTTATATGCTAGTCCAGCTTCCAGAAGGAGACAATGTAGGTGAGGAAACAGACAGGAGGGATGGGGTTAATTTTTCTTAGAACTCGTTTTCTGAAAATCCCCAGGGCTGGAACACTGGTTCCGTTTATTTTGTGATTCATCCAGAAGCCTGAAGGGAAGGACACATTTTCACCCCTGTCAAAAAAGGGCTGAGGAAACCAGGGCTATGTAATCGAGTGAGAGGATACAGTTTAGGAGCCTCTGTTAAGACTGTCTCATTAGTCATACAGCATTTGCACATTGATGACCGAAGGCAGAATATGACCTTAATTACATTATTATGCTAAACATAATGCTTTCCTTGAGGGCCAGGGGACAAATGGAGAGGAATGGACTCAGCATCTTTCAGCCAAGGATGGAAAATACCAAGATATTTTATGACAGATAATTAAGAGAGAGGTGGATAGGGAGGGGAGGAGGGAGGCATGGAAAAGGAAAACAAATCATATATCTTGAGTGTATTTTGTTTCCAGGAACTAAGGAACTGAGTTATGTATATGTATATATTGTATACAAAATAGTAATGATACCAGTGAATTTGTATTACAAATAGCTAATAAAACACAAGAATAAATATGTATTTCCTAATTCTTTGCAGTTTTCAAAGCACTTTGACACAGGAAATGCACTATTGTGTTATGGTTTAAGGAGGCTAGTAAAGCACACATCTTTCTTTCCCGTAGGTTCAGAAATAACAGAGAAATAGTCCCAAAAGCCAGATAGGACACAAAATAGAAGTTCCTTGTTGTTAAAGCAGTATTGCAGAATGTATTTTGGGTCTGGGGCTATTATCAGGCTTCCTACTAAAGTGTGTATCCTCACACTCTACCATCAACCACCTGAGTACAAGAAGAGGGGCTGGAGACAGGGCAGTTAACTCATAGGGAGCCTGCAGGCATGATTTCCCAAGGAGCTCCTTCTATATGGAGACCCTTTCTCCAGCTCATTACTCCACTGTGATTCCTTCTGTGGGGGGAAGCCAGCTGGGAGAAGGAGCCTGAAGTGCTTCAGAAAACAGAAGTTCCGTCAGGAAAATGTCAAGATATGAGAATAAAGTTCTTGTGATCACGCTGCAAAGTTCAATAAGCAGGGACTTTAGAGAAGAACAGACAAGGCACTTAGTAGGTTGTTTCCTACATTCCCTAAACAAATCGGTAGTCCTCGTTCCTGTTTATAAATAAGCAATGCTGTTTTCATTGAAAATTTTGATGTTTTGTGCATCATGGAAGCTTTGTATTAATTTAGATATTTAATCTTTTTATTTTGAAACTAATCAACATATTAATTATGTTGTATAATATGTTGTATAATTATATGTTGTATATACAACATATATATAATATATATATAATTATATACAACATATATATTTATACAACATATATATACAACATATATATAATTATATACAACATATATATAATATGTTGTATAATTAATATGTTGTATAATAATCAACATATTATACAAAATATAATTTATCTTTATTACTTTTTGTTGCACTAGCATACTGTCTGCACATATGAAGCGTTCAGCAAATGTTCTTGAGCATATTGAATTGTGTAATAAAAATGATTCCTATACACAGGATCTATCAATATAAAATAAGACAGTGTTTTGTAAAGAAAGGTATGAATTTAATATGTAGCAAATGAACTACTGGCAGTATTCGAAGTGATTTGAGGTGATATATTTTAAATATTTATAAATGTAAATAATATTTTAAAATTTTGATAGTCATTGTGGTAAGATTTCGCATATGTACATATATATGCTTATAATGCAATATGTGCATATAGATAATTACATCAAATTTTTAATTTAGCAGATGAGACTAAGAATGAGGCTTAAAGAAAAAAATGTTTTTAAAAGTTAGTAAATGTAAAGAGACGATCAGGTCAATAAGCTACGGACAGCACACAGATTGGGCAAAATATCTAAAACAAATGCACAGATAACTGAAACTTGGGAAGCTCCACAATAAACACAAACACTTTAAGGTCAAACTGAAAAAATTATAATAAGTACTCTACTAGATGCAGAAAACATGAGCAGCAATAATTGAGAAAAAGGGGAAATGAATAGTAACAGGTAGGGATTTGGGAAGACTGTAAGGAGGAAACAATTATTAAACTAGTCCTTGAAGGTTGAAAAGAATGTCAAGATGCAGATTTGAGGCCATTCTCTAAAAATGTTAAGTCCCAACTGCAAGCTGCATTTTATTCTGGGGTCTAATTCTGTTTCACTCAGCTGGCCACATCTCTATGCCATTCATGAAAAGCTGGATATGTTTCTAATCCCCATGAAGAATTATTTGTGTTGCAGTTTAAGGTCACAGAGTTGATGACCATAATTTCCCACCTCTCCTTTAATATTGCCTGACTGTCTTCTAAATTTGTTTATGATGCATTTATAGCTAAGAACTCAATTAAGGGTGTTCATACCCCATACAAGTGTGATCAGCAGCACCTGGAAACAATAACAGTGCCTCCCCCCCACATACACCCTATTTCTTGTAAATTTTATGTCACAAAATGAAAGTCAGTTACAGGTCCCTTAAATGGGGGTTGTAATGGGAGGAAAAAGCAGAGCGCTCTATCTGGGCTGAAGAAGATAAGCTGCATAAATCAGCACACCTTGCAGCTGAACATTTCTTTAAATAGCTGAACAGGAAAAGAACATGCTTGTTCTATTAATAACAGCATCACTCCCTCCTGTCTTTAGTGGAAACCAGCCCTGAGATGTTGGGTGGGGAAAATGCCATTATCTCGTGCCGAGGTGCTATGCATGCAGCCATGATTGTGCATCTGTCAATGTTGCCGTATTGAAATTGTCCCTGGGGCAGAACTTTTCCCAGAGTATTCTTGGAATCAGTCTCTCCTATATTCCTATTTCATCCAAATTTATGCATTTCGCATTTCAGTCTAATAGGTTTTCCTTCTCTCACCTGAAGACTCTGAGTTGACAAAATCTGAGGGTTGGTTTTTTTTCAGGTGGGAATATGTAAAGCCACACCTGGATAAGGCCGTAACTGTCTCAGTTTTAAAACGTTTTCCCCTACGCCTACAGATCCTACATAAAGTTTTAATTTAATTTATGTGTTATTTTATTTAACACACAAGAAATTTGTTGCAGAAAGCGAAATACAAGATATAGCTCAGCAAGAAGAAAAATAGTCAAAATCACACAAACCAAAGATAACAGTTTTGGTGTGAAGATATCCATATTTACAATGCCTTGTGTAAAACACCCTATGGTTGGATGTGTTCCAGAATTTGTTTACATTTTAGAAAGTTAATTTGGACTGTATTCATTATATGGCACATCACCAGCAGCAGATTCTGGGGAAGAATTAGTGAAAATGACGAATATTCACATTCTGTGGGACCAAAGTTTATAAATAAATTCATGTCAGTTCAGGTTAGATTTTGTGGTCAAATGTGTTTGGCAACAAATATAAAAAACACATTTAATTTTTGGAGTGCTTTGGATTTGCAAATTGAACATTGATGCTCACACTATTACTATTCTCTAAACTGCTTTTCTGCATAATAAGTATATTATGAACAGCTTTTAATGTGAAAGAAATATACATCTCCATCACTGAATATTAAATTTTCACTGCTAAAAGTTTAATACATACATATTTTTAAATGCAAATTATACAGAAATGCAAAACAAAGATGCTAAGTACCATTTCATACCACCTCCAGAGATAATCACTATTAGCCAGTATATGCCCTTCTTAGCCCTCATTTTATTCCTACACAATGTCATACAAAATTATTTATTTAAAATATTAGAATAATAATATACATGCCATTCTGAAGTCTTGTTTCTCCTGGTAATATATTTTAGAAATACTTTCATGTTATTAATAAAGATCATTTTCATTCTTATGAATGACTTCATAATAGTAAATTTAATGGATGGATTTTCTCCCTCCCTCGTCTTTTCATTCCATTCTTCTTCTGACAATTATTTATTGTTTCTAACACTGTTCTAAGTGCTAGGAATGAAGAGAGAATAAATCTGACCATTCCTGAATTTAGCATACATAGGTTATGAAGGAGAGAAAGACAATGAACAAGACACAAAACACAGTATATAGTATTTTAGACAATAAGATGGAAACTGAATCATTAAGAGGATAGGAATTACCAAACTGGGCTACAAAATTTAGATAGGATGTTCAGGGATGCAGAATAGCCACCCTTAAAAGATAAATTTAGTAAAGTCCTAAAATAAAGGGTAAGTGAGGGTGTGAGGCAAGCAGATATCTGGGGGAAGAATAAAGTCAAGACAAAGGAAATGTCAAGCGCAAATATTTTGATGCAAGAACAGGCCTGGCATGCTGTGGTAACAAAAAGGAAACCAGCATGACTGGAGTCAGCTACACAGAGGGAGAAAATAGCAAGATATGTCAGAGATGGAATGAATAGCCAGATTATACTGGACCTCACAGGCCATCAGAAAGCATGTGAATTTTACTATAAACAAGATGATAAGTTTTCGGAGGATTTGAAGAAGAGCAATGAAGGATGCAAACTTTATTTTAAAATGATGTCTCAACATTTAATGCATTGAGAATATAGAAGAGTGCAAGAGCAGAATTTAGAAAACCATTTTAGGAGTTGATTACATTATTCAGATGAGAAATATCTTGGATGAGTGTGGTAGCAGTGGAAGTGGTGAGAAGTGTTCAAGTTATGTACACATTTCGAAGGTCTCAAAAACAGGATTTTTAATGGAATGGATAGGGTGTGCAAGAAGAGAGATGTCAAGCACCCAAGATATTTGGCCTGAGCCTTTGAAAGATTAAAGTTGCTGTTAGCTGAGATGGAGAAGTATTCTGGAGGGATTGGTTTGGGGGAGAATATAAGTAGTTTACATATGACCATATTAAGTTTGAGATATCTGTGGCACATTCAAGTGGCGATGTCAAAGAAGCAGTTGGACTGAGAGAAAGGTCCAAGCTACAGGTATAAGTTTAGGAGTTATCAATATTTAAATAAACTTAAAAGGCATGAAACTAGATAAGATTCTTAAAGATAGAGTTAAAATTAAAAAGAAAGATTTTATTAAATCACTGTCCAATTTTTTGGACACACAATTGTTTAATTTTACCATGAATATAAAAGTGAAAAAACTGTTCCATGTGTATATTTGAATACATGTCTGACTGTTTTTTTAGGTCAATCTTCTTCATGCATGATTGCTTAGTCAAAGACACCTGTAAACAGATTGAAGTAAACATGGTTAATGATGCATCATTGATGGGGGTACATTCCTGTTCTGTGAACACAGGGAGTAGGGTTTATGATGATATCTGAAGAGTCGAGGATGGTTTCTATGAGGAGACGAGGTTTAAACCACATCCTAAAGGCTGCAAAAAATTTTGCACATGACAAGTGGTAGAACGGGAAAGCACATTCAAGGTACAAAGGAACATAATATGAACAAATATGGCATGAGGAAGAAATATGTAAAATGTTCTATCAATAACTAAATGTTCACATTAAGGAAGCACATGCAATAGAAAGCAACACAATACGGAAGCAGGAGTTAACTTTCAAGGATTTTACATTCCAAGTAAATTTTTATTATGTTCTAGAAACATAATACAACTAGAGTGCAGAGGTATGGAGGTATCTAGGCAAGGGAAGGAAATTTTATTAAATCTCTATATGTGCAAGATAGTACTAAACAAAATACACCTCCATTGGAAACATGATGGGTTAAATCCAGTGGAGAAGCACTTGATCATGGAGGGTCCAGGTTTTAGGCTCTTGGAGTAGCCGCGTTCAGAGATGCAAAGAGCAGTGTTAGGGCTAGTGGAGAGGAGTGCATTGACTTGAGCGGTGTTTGTAACATTATATCTGGACCTCACCTTTCATTAATGCCCATTCCTCAGCACACTGAGCTGGCGTTTCCTGCCCCGTCTCAGTGATTCAGTGCCACTCATAGCCAAAGTAGGTGTTTTAAATTTAAGAAAAATTATTCTGATGCATGAAGCATCTGAATTAGAGATATGATTTTTGTTTTGGAAGTCAGAGCTTTATTTTCAAGCACGTATAGTAATTATGAGAGGCAACTTGTGCGATAGAGATAATTCTGGACTGTGATCCTAGTCAGGACCTTGCCCTGCATCTCCCATTTACCATCTACATGATTAGCTTTGACAAGTCATCAAGAGTGTCTGAGCCTCCTTTTCTTCACTTCTGAGATGTGTTCTATGAACTTCTATTTCAGGTAACTTTGTTGTAGGAATTAGTTGGGATAAACATACAGATGTTCCTTGTAATGAAGTCTACAAATATACGGTATTCCATTGAATGAGGCTAAAAAAATTATGTTAGACACCTCAAAATTTTTTTGGAACAAGGTAGTATATCAAATAACAAAATAAAGTGCTGGCTAGTGGAGGTTTTCAGGGAATCTGATTCAATAAAATATGTGAGTAAATTGCTGGTGGCATTATGGTTTTTGCAAGTAAATGTTAATTAGAAACACCTTGTTCACAAATTTTAAAATGTATATCCTTCTAATACTATTATATTATTTCTCTTATCTAACCAGGTCTTTATAGACATAGTAAAGTAAATTTTACTGAATTCTAACAAAATCTGAATTAATGACTTTTAAATATTTAATCAGCCCATTTTGTGGACCTACATTTTTATGTTGATTAACTTTCTCTTATAGTCTTATTTCTTGCATGTTAATTTTTTGGAAGGCAGTCTTCTGAAACAGAAACTTATTCTAGGAAACTAAGACCTTCTAACACAGAGGACAGGAACCCTCTCAATTTAAAGATGTAAAGTAGATAAATTCGGATGGTATATGGAGAGAGATAAGAACCAGAAGCTTGAGTTGGGTTTTCTGTCTCTCGAAACATAACAAAGACTAGTTCATAAAGCCTCTTTTAAAGGCCTGCAATCTAGCTGTTTCTGGTGTGCAGTCTATGACTCGTACTCTATTTGCTTGTTTTTGTTTTTAAAATTTTATTCAACAAACTTACAATAAGCGTTGGTCTAGGATGAACCATTAATAGCCCTGAATATGTAAAGACAGTCTTTCCCTCAAAAGTTGGAGCTTCCTACTCTCCTCCATAAGATTATAAATTCTTGTAGAGGGAGAACTATATCATCCCACAGCACATAGCAAAATAATGAGACTATAGTAGATGCTCAATAAATTATCCCTGCTCTTTGTTCATACTAAAGATTGACAAGCTTTTCCTGCTTGTGAATTAACATACATCTCTAATTGGTTCATGATCCTAGCAGTATTCATGAAAGGGATAATCTACGGCCTTTTTATGTTAGCTTATATATTACCCAGTCTTCTTCAGGCACTCAAATGGCCTCAATTCAATGAATTTAATGAATGCAATGAATTCATTGAATTCAATTAATGCTTACTAAAGATTATTTTTGAATAATATTTATGCAATATTAGGGGGAAGAACAACTTTAAACATTTTTCCTGGCATCAAAAAGAACAGAACCTAGTGCGGAAAACTTTTCTTGTCACCTAAAACAACACTAAATGTTAAACACTCTCCTACAGTCAAAAAGGTATTCTAGGAGACACAAAATAAAACGAGGGCGGGGAGGACAATTAAGTGAGGTCAGAACCAGTAAAGAAGATAATGTAGCAGATGCAGCCTGCTAGCTTTTAACTGAAAGAACCAGGGTAGGGCATCGTTAAGCCTTTGGACTTTTGAAACTTTCCATGATTAGGTTTAAATCCCTGCTCAGCACTTGGTAGATGTAGGTAAAGTCACTGTTCCTCCCTGGACCTCAGTGTCCTCATCTATAACCTGTAGATTATGGTCATCCCACCCACCCATGGTTGACTTAATGTTAAACAAGACAGTGTATTAGGTGCTTATTGCACTATATAATGTGTATTAAAAACTAAATAACTTGAACTTATTGATGTTGCCTTAAATTGGAACATCTTACCAGTTGGTTTGTCTTCTATTTTCTCTTCGTATGTTGCAAGACCTTTGCCCTTCCAGCATTGTGCTAGGATCAGAGAAGAAAATATCAGACAAAGGCTATTTTTCTTACATCGTCGAACCAATGCAGGAGAGAGGAGTTAAGAAAATGACCCAAGGAAACCTCTCCGCAGGAGATTCCCAACTCAGTTTGGGGGTCTTGTAGATGTTCAGAACACATCTCAAAGTTTAAGTTTTGAGGATTTGGCTTCCTTGAATCAAAGAAAAACTCACTGTTTATCATTCAGAAACCAGCTCCAGCTGTTTCCTCTTAAACAAGTTATTCACCTGCTCCTTCTGTTATCTTGATGGCCTTTGTCCCACTTTGATAGTGTGTCTGTTAGCCTGGGTCATGCCTCCTCTGTATTCTTCACAATGCCAGAAACACTGCTGCAGTTCATTAAAAGTTGCAACAATTGGGTCTCCAGTCATTTGAAATCTTTAAAAAGTTTCAACATACTTATTGAACTTTTCCTTTATTTATAGAAAGGAAGAATGTTGAAAATAGTGCACATTCATTTACTCATTCACTCATTCACTCATTCATTCACTCATCAGGTAAAATGAGCCTCAAATGGAACAAAGCTCCCTAGCATTTGCCTGACATGATGGAGTTCGCAAAATGTCTCACACGTTTACATTTAATTCAATGATCACTATGTACTTGTGAGACAGTATGGATAGGCAGTTTCACTACCCTATCAGCTCCCACCATGCCTGGCACAGGGTAGATATATATTTGTCAAGTGACAATGGAAAAAAATCACTTAAATTCTCTGATTCTCAGTTTTTGTTTGTGTAAAAAGAAAATGACTAATAACATTGACCTCTCAGGACCATTCTGAAGATTCAATGAGAATTTATAGGACACTCAAAGAACTATGACTTGCTTACAAGTGAACACAAATCAGAACATCCCAAAGCAAATAAAAACTTTGAAATATGATTGATCAAATCATTCACTGATAAATAAGCCATGAAATTAACCCATGATGGATGAGTAAGAAAATGTCAAGTAACTTTAAAAATACAGAATTGTCCCAAATCAGTTCAGTAATCTAATGGAAGATAATTTAACCACAGAAAAGAGGTATAAAAATAGTTTGAAAGTGTTCTGTAATGGAAATATGAAGCAATCATTAGGCTTGTTCGGCCCAGGAAAGAACATTCTCTAGTCTAAAAATATCATCTGTCTGGTTCTATTTGCTGAAGTATTCCTATTGTGGAGATGGCCACATCACGGTCTATTAAACTCAAGCAATTATGTATTTGCATCATATAAACTCATCTGCCTTGTTTCAATCCTGTGCTGATCAAGCATACTTCCTGCTAATTTATCTTTCCACTTATCTGGTCCATAGGGAGAGCATGTACTGCCCAACGCCCAACCTGACATAAAACTCAATCTACTTTCGATTTATATTTCTCAGTGTAAATTAGTACATTGTTATTCTGGTTTTCTTCATCAGCCTCTCGTGAGTTTTGATAGTGTGACCCAGCATTCCTGTATCTGATAAACTCAGAAACACTTTTAACAACAAATTGTCTAAGACAGGCAAATCAAGAGTCTCTCCATGGATGGATTTGGACCTGCCAATGTGGTAGCACACCATGAGGTCTGGAATAACCAGGCAACTAACCTTTGCCAACTAAACTCCTCTGATGTCTTTACTTTTAAACTCTGTAACACCCAGTGGATGGTGGTTATATTTTTCATGTTTATAGTTTACTTTTCCTTGCTGTCTTATTAAGGAGAAATTAATTTACTGGTAAATAAATTTATTTACTCCAGATTATATAGTCAGAGATTCTACTCTGAAAAAGGAAGATGAGAAACATGGCTGGCTTTCAGGAGTTCACAAATGAAAGAAAAAGGAAACATTCGAAAGGTGCTATGTTTCTCCCTTATTAAATTATAAAATATGAAAAAGAAGTCAGATTCTTCAGATAAAGAGGAAATGTATAATTCAATTTATCTTCACTTTATCTTTTCTCCACTGTTATCCAATCTAGAATTATATTAAAGAGAAAAAGGTTAAACTTGAATCTCTACCCAGTGATGCTGAGTTCTAACGCTTACCATATCTTCTCTACTTTCTTCTCTTGCCAGTATTGTATTTCTATTGAGGGCACAAGAATATTGTGCTATATCATACTAAATAAAGTCTGGCAAGTGACATAATTATTTACATAGACAATCCTAAGGTTAAAAATTAGCCATTAGAATTAACCAAAAATGTATTAAGGTTTGAAGATAAAAGAATAATTTAAATATCAATTGCATCTTACATAATAGCAGCAAAAACTGGAAATAAAAATAAAACAATTACATTTACAATAACTTCATTTAAAAAATCAGGTCGATTTTTAACAAGAGTTGTGTAAGACTTGTACAATGAAACCTAAACAACATTGGTGATGGGAATTTAAGAACACTTAAATAAGTGGAGAGATATATGTTCATGGATGGGAATCTCAATATTTTAAAAGTGTCAATTCTCCTCACGTAATTCCAGCAATCATTTTGTGGAAATTGAGAAGCATATTTTAAAAATTGTATGGAATGCAAAAGACCTGGAATACAAAAAACAATCTTGGAAAATAACAAAGTTGGAAAGCTTATACCACCTGACTTCAAAACTTCCTATAATGCTATAATCAAGATAGTGCAGTACTGAAATAAGGGTCAGCAAGTAGGTCAATGGAACAGAATAAAGACTCAGAAATTGACAGTTGTCTCATTATACCATTATTTGATTTTCAATAAAGGCAACCAAACAACCTAATGTAGACAAAAAGCATATTTTCAAGAAGTGGTGCATCATGAGGCATTTATATGTAAAAAAAATTTGCTCAACTACTTTACACAATACACAAAAATTAACTCATGAAGGATCATAAATACAAATGTAAGAGCTAAAATATCATAAAGCTTTTATAAGGAAGCATAGGAGCAGATCTTCACAACATTCAAGTGAACAAATGTGTTTTTATGTTTTTTGTTTTTTCTTGATTTAGACAAGCCACAAAAAAAAACAAAAAACCCATGAAGAGGAAATTGGGCTGGGTGCAGTGGCTCATACCTGTAATCGCAGCACTTTGGGAAGCCAAAGCTGGCAGATCACCTGAGGTCAGGAGTTTGAGACCAGCCTGGCCAAAATGATGAAACCCTGTCTATATTAAAAATACAAAAAACTAGCCAGGCATGGTGGCACGAACCTATAATCCCAGCTATTCGGGAGGCTGAGGCAAGAGAATCCCTTGAACTCAGGAGACGGAGGTTTCAGTGAGCCGAGATCGCACCACTGCACTCCAGCCTGGGTGACAGAGTGAGACTCTGTCTCAAAAAAAAAAAGAAGAAGAAGAAGAAGAAACTGATAACTCAGACCTCATCAAAATGTAAAACTTCTACACATAACAACACATCATTAGGAAAATAAACAGGCAATCCATTACAAATGGACAAATTCTATAAAGAGTTATCTCACAAAGAAGGGCATACATTGGCCAGAAGTCACATGAAAAAGTTTTCAACATTATTAGTTATCAGGAAATGCAAATTAAAAGCACAGTAGATATTATTGCATACCCACAAGAATGGCTAAAATTAAACGGTGAAACACCAAATGTTGGTGATGTTGTGGTACTCTCATACATTTTTCTTGGAAATGTAAATGGTACAGGCACACTGTAAAGCAAATATCTAGCATTTCCTTATAAAAATAAACACATAAAAAGCGAAGCATGAGTGAACTCTCTGCGGTCATGATAATACAATATTTTATCTCCATGAGAGTTTATATACAAAGGTACATTAATTTGCACATTTCATTGTATGTAAATTTTACATATAAATTTATAACATAAGACATAAAAAACATTTGTTTTTATTGTTAACAAATATGGAACTCTAGATAATAATATACATGCTAAGTATTGGGGAGTAAATGCATGGATAGCTGTAATTTACTTCGAAGTGCATAAAAAAAGAAAATAAGATAGATTAATGAATGGGTAGAAGGATGATGGACAGCTATGTGATAAAGCAAGTACAATAAAATGTTGATGGAACAATCAAGGTGGTCAGTATATGGATATTTACTTAAAATTCTTTCAAATTGGCTGGGCGCAGTGGCTCACGCCTATACTCCCAGCACTTTGGGAGGCCTAGGTGTGCGTATCATGAGGTCAGGAGATTGAGACCATCCTGGCTAACACAGCCAAACCCCGTCTCTACTAAAAATACAAAAAATTAGCTGGGCGTGGTGGCACATGCCTGTTGTCCCAGCTACTAGGGAGGCTGAGGCAGGAGAATTGCTTGAACCCAGGAGGTGAAGGTTGCAGTGGGCCAAGATCACGCCACTGCACTCCAGCCTGGGTGACAGAGCAAGACTCCATCTCAAAAAAAAAAAAAAAAAAATTCTTTCAAATTTACTACATGTTCAAAAATTTCCATAATAAAATGTTGACAAATAAAAAGAGAGAGAGAGACCACTGACCTGGAAGCCTGATGTTAGGGTAATGTCCAAACTTTTTAGCATGATGTGTGACCCTAAGTGAGCAAATATGGATTCTTTTTAGGTTTGTTGAAGTTTTGTTGTTGTCCTTAGAATAAACAGTCATTCATTGAAAGTAACATAAGCGCTTAGTGTATGTGCATGTTAATGGGGATGGGGGCAATGGGAATAAGGGTAGGGAAATTGCAGTCATCCAAAGACAGGATAAAAAGTGCAGTGAGGACAAACTTTTAGAACTGAAGATTCTCTCTCTCCTCTTTCAGGGCCTAAGTCATCTCCTGCTCTTACTCTTCTCAGATTTTTTTTTCCATTTGACACATTTTCCTCCCACTTCCCAGGATCCCCATCACATTTCTTTGGCTACAAAGAGAGAGCTCTTTCTAGTGGGTGTGGTGGCTCACACCTGTAATCTTAGCACTTTGGGAGGCGAGACAGGTAATCTGAGGTCAAGAGTTCAAGACCAGCTTGGGTAACATAGTGATACCCTGTCTCTACAAAAATTAAAATTACAAAAAAAAAAAAAAATTAGAATGAGCTACACTCTGCCTCTGTTGGTCTGTGACCTTTGAGCTCCAGTGTCAACCACCACAGTGATTTCCTCCTGCAGCCTCACACTCTCAAATTCCTATCCCACACAGGGCATCTTCAGGTTTTATATAAGCTAGCTCCTCTTTCTGAGACACAGTTATCTCATTCCAGTCCGCTCTAATGCCTTACCTGTAGGGCCAAAATCTTCCTATCTCCAGGATCCATGTTCAAAACTCCTACACTGGTACAAAAACCCTAACTGTTTTAGCTAAATTTTTGGCATCGTTTATTTTACCTCAAATTTGTATAGGAAGGATATTTGTGAAAATAAGGAAACAATAATTAAATAAAGCTTTTTAGGAGCAATAAAAAATAGCTTAATTACCAGATGAGGTGCAGGTTCTATACAAGCTCTGTTGATGGCTTTAAGTCACCCTTGGCTTTTGCTTCCTTCAAAAGTTTTGCTGTCTTGCAGTGTCTCTGTTCAGTTTCTTCAAAAATGCTGAAATCTCCTTGAGTCACACATTTTTAAACATCTGAGAGGAAATCTAATTGGTTCAGTTAATCTTCAGTCACCCTGCCATCCCTGAATTGGTCTAAAAAAACATTTATGATTTAAATATAGAATGATATTGGGTTATTACTTAAACCTAGACTGATGGATTAATTGCAAACAAAGAAGCAAGTATGAAATTAGTAAATCACCAAGACAATGACTATATAGTGGTTGGTATGAATAGGAAAAATGCCAGAACATGCTGGTAAACTGATAAAAGACATCCTACCAAGATGCCTATACAATGTTTTCACTTCAACACAATGGAAAATGGCCTTGAATATTAATCAAGACATTCAAGTTTTAGGGACTTTGACTTTCCTCAATCAAAAACCCCAGAGATAATGGAGGTTGTTGTCACTGCAAAGTACAAGCAGACTTATAAACCACATACGTTTCAAAGAATTTGCATTATAAGATACAAAAATCAATGTTACTAGTCATTGATTAGGCAAGTAAACATTTGCATTGCTTTTTTACCAAAGGAAAAAGTTGAAGACTTGAATCTTTCAGGAATAGGTTAGGGAAATAATCCGCCTTTTGAAGCTTAATCAACAGAACACTGAATGTCACAGTAGCATATGTATATTTTCATTATAAAACTAAAACATTTTTCTTCCTACTCATCTCTTGAACCTTGCATCCTAACCAAAGTGAATTATTCAACATAGTTTGCTCGTTCCCACCCATGCATTTGACTAAGTTTTTTGCTCTGTAATGAAATATGCCTCCATTACTTCTCACTTCTTGACAAAATATTTCTCATCTCTCTCTGCTTCTCTCTTCACTAACACTTTATCTGTACATCTCATACATAATACCAACTTCTCACCTCACATTTGTGGAAAATTCAGAAAGCCAACTGTATCTGTAGTCCCAGTTCAGTTCTATACCCAGCTCAGCACAATGATTGCCACATAGTAGACATTTAAGTACTGTTAGCCAAATAATAAATGCCCTTTTAAGTTTCCATTTATGCTTGCTATTTGGAAGATTTTCTTCAGTAGGATTATCTAAATTAGGTTTGGCAATGTGAATTTTACTTTTTTCAGTTTCTTTATTGTCAGTAATTACTGAGTCAAAAAATCATTTTTTAACTGAGGAAATAAATTTCTGTAATCAAAGGAATAATGGCCAAAGAGTTCCCAGCAGGAAGAGTTGCACTATTTTGTGGAAAATATCTGCTCTCATCCACCTTAGCTGAATGCAATTTTTCAGGTGTTTACTTTCTGCCTGAAGACATTTTTGTTTCTCTTGAGAATGAGTTCATGATTATGGCAGGGTGAAAATTTGTAAAGGGAAAGTGTAAAGACCACATATAACTAAGTAAGTTCGGATGCATCCAATCTAATAATGCCCATGAAAGTGCTTTGAGCTTCTTAAAACACTAAAAGTGCCATTATATTTCTGTCTTTGCTTTCAGTATAGGCCTAGAATTAAGGTAGTAAAAAAAAATCTCTTCTATTTAAAGGTCTCCAAGATCTACTTAATTATAGCCACAATAATGTCAAAATTTCTGGGTTACCAAATTCCACTCTTGAATTTATTTTGCCATCAAGTACTTTCTCATTTTTACCCTAGTCTATTCTTGCTGTAACCTAGGTATTTACATGCCGCCTCTCATTATCAATCTTAGTTTTGCAAGACTTGAGGTCAGTTCATATGTGTTAGGTATCTTACCCCGCTTCCTGACATCTTCATTCCATCCTTATTCCAGGGTTAAATCACACTTAAAAGCAAACAAACAAACAAACAAAAACTCAAGATAAGTGCCGATGTCTTCAAAATAGCTATTATAATCCTCCAAGGCCATATTAATGCATTCTGCCCACCACTGCATACTTTCTCAAACACCTGTCTACATCATTCTGTGTAACATACCTACTCATTTCCCTACTCAACTGTCAGTCCCTTGAAAACAGGGTCCATCTCTTACTCATTTTTGAATTTCTTGGGGCATGTGAAATAGCTAAATACTTTCTTTTTGAAGGTATGATGGATACTGGCAGTATAGTACAGCTTCTAGTCCAGGAAAACGGGCCAGCAGAGATTAAGAGGGGAGAATAGTGTCCTTGAAACTCAGAAAAAGTTTTTAGTTCAAGCAAGAAACTTAGGACCAAGTTAAAAATAAATCCTTTTATTCCAAGCCTCATTTATTATTTAAAACAAACAAACACACATACAAAGCAAACTTCTTAGTAAGCTAAAAATAAAAGGGAACTACTTCAATTTGAAAAAGAATATCTACAAAAATCCTACAGCTAATATCATATATAATGGTAAAAGACTGAATGTTTTCCTCTAAGATTGGGAAGAAGTTGAGGATGTCCATTCTTCTCACTGTTATTCAACATAGTATTGGAAATTCTAGCCACAGCAATAAGGTCAGAAAAAGAAATAAAAGGCCTACATATTTGAAAGAAAAAAATAAAGTTGTTCTTATTTGCAGATGATTTTATACATTGAAAATCTCAAGGAATCCATACAAATCTTCTAGAACAAGTAATTGAGTTCAGCATAGTCATAGAATACAAAAGCAATGCACAAAACAAATTATGATGATTCATATTTGTATATATTAAGGTAGTAAAAAACTATCTCTTCTTTTTAAAGATCTCCAGGATGTATTTAATTATAGTTATAATAATATCAAAATTTCAGGTTACAAAATTCCACTCTTGAATTTATTTTGCTATCAAATATTTCCTGAATTTTTATAATGAGGGAGTACTTGATGGCAAACCAAATGAACTTATGGAAACCAAAATTAAAAACACAATACCATTTGCAAACTTTCCAAAAGATGCAATGTTTTAGGTTTAACCTTAAGTGTTAAATTTAAAATGTGTTTAGAACTTGTATGGTGAAAGTTACAAAATGCTGATGAAATAAATCAGAGAAGCCCTAAATTAATGAAGAGGCATACCATGTTTATGAATTAGAAAATTCAACATAGTAAAGATATGAATCTACAAAATGACAATAAAATGATTGATAGGCTTAATGTAGTTATTGTCAAAGTCCCAACAAGGTTTTTTGCAGACATTGATGAGCATATTGTAAAATTTATGTGGAAAGAAAAGGCCTAGAATGACTAAAACAATCTTGCAAATGAACAAATTTAAGGGAATCACTCTACTTGATATTAGGGGTTAACATAGAGCTATAGTACTCAAGACAATGTCATATTGATAAAAGGATATATACACAGATCAATGCAACAGAACCCAGAAATAGACCCATAACCATATGTTCAGCTGATATTTTGACAAACGTAATTCAACAGAGCAGAGATAGATGTTTTAACAGATGATATTAGAGCAATTAACCATCAACAGGCAGAAGGAGGAGGAAGAGGAAGCCCCAGCAGCAACAAAAGCAGCTTGATCTAAGTCTCAAGACTTATACAAAAATTAACTCAAAATCTATATTGATTTAAATATAAAACATAAAATATTAGAAAAAAAAGCAGGAACAAGTATTTGGGATCTAGACCTAGGAGTAGAGTTCTTACACTTGATATGAAAAGCATGATTTGAAAAATTAAAAATGGATAAATTGGACCTCATCAAAATAAAAACTTATACTCTGTTAAAGTCCACCTGAAGATAATGTAAAGACAAGCAACAGACTGAGAGAAAACATTTGCAAACCACGTATCTGATGATAATGCTATCTAGAATATATTTTAAAACTCTCAAAACTCACAAGAGAAATAATACAATTAGAAAATCAGCAAAAATTAGCCATTAGAAAAATGTAAATATAAATTACATTGAATTATCTCTATACAAGATCAGAATGAATCAAGAAAACAAACAAAACTAGTGAAAAAATAAAATGCTGATGAGCATGCAGAGAAACTGGATTGCTCACACATTGCTGGTGGGAATGTAAAGTGGTACAGCTATTTTACATATCATAAAATGGTATAAATTACCTTTAAAACCTTGGGAGTTTCTTAGAAAACTAAACATGGGACACAACAATTGCACTCCTGGGCTTTTATCCCAGAGAAAAGAAAATGTATGTTCACATAATAATCGGCATGCAAATATTCACAGCAGCTTTATTCTTATAGCCTAAAAACTGGAAATAGATAAATAGCTAACAAAAAGTTGTGGTATATCTATACCATAAAATACTACTCAGCAATAAAAAGAAAATAACTATGAATGTATAAAACAGGTTGGATGCATCCTGAGGGAATTACGCGGAGGGAAAAAAATTCAATCTGTAAAGGTTACATACTGTATGATTCAACTTACATAACATGCTTGATATGACAAAACTGTAGAATTAGAGGATATATTAATGGACTATTGTGTATCTTGACTATATCAATGTCAATATCCTGTCTGTGATACTGTACTTTAGTGCAAGATGTTAGTATTTGGGGAAACTGTGTAAAGGGTATGCTAAATCTCTATTTTTTTTTACAACTGCATATACATCCATAATTGCTTCTAAATATAATGTTTTATTTTTAAAAATTATTTATCTAAGCCATCCTGACAGAGCAGGGGATTAGGTGAGCATTCCACAATGTGATATTTGAAGACATAGTTGAGGCTCTGTCTCCTCTGGGATGTTTGCTGATTGGGATAGTATCATAGACAGTGATTTGTATTCTCAAAGGTCTCAAAGGTCTACCAAGAGTCATAGCAATCTAACCTGACAAACTTAACCCTAACTGGAGATGGATCTACTCATGTAATAAAACTGAGAGAGGGACACAGACTCACCTGCCTTGAAGGCGACTGGATTTAGGACCATGCATGTCAGCAAGATTCTCTCTATGCTTGCTTCTGACCACTATTTTCTTTTGTTCTCCTTCTGCTTTAATTTCCCCACAGGGTAGGCCACAAAGCTGCCAGTGGCTATAGGTTAATAGTTCTAAAAGCCACATGACCAGAGAAGTAAAAGGACCATTATCACTGGCTTCACTGGAAAAATCCTAGAGAGTATTTCTGATTGGCCTATACTGGGTCATGTGTCAATTTCTGGATCAAATTCTATGACTAGGTAATTGAGTTTTATGACTGGTTCAGGTTTGGTCACATGACTACAGTGTGACTTGGACAGAGTGGCCTGGGACTGGAAGCTTAAGCAGAATTACATCACTGAGGTAATAAATGATTCCTCAGAATAAGGGAGATACTCTTCTCAGATGCTACCTAAAGCACAAAATAATAAATATTGACTAAGTAACCATACCTATATTCCCAACACACCATTTGACCTGATTTTTTTTTCTTTTTTTGAGATGGAGTTTTGCTTTTGTTGCCAAGGCTGGAGTGCAATGGCACGATCTCTGCTCACTGCAACCTCTGCCTCCCGAGTTCAAGTGGTTCTCCTGCCTCAGCCTCCCGAGTAGCTGGGATTACAGGCACCCGCCACCACACCTGGCAAATTTTGTATATTTTTAGTAGAGATGGGGTTTCATAATGTTGGCCAGGGTGGTCTCGAACTCCTGATCTCAGGTGATACAACTGGCTCTTTCTCCAGGCCTGGGATCATCAGTTATTGACTCCAGAAATTGGTGGATAGAAACTGAGCATATGCGGCTGACCAAGATCTGTGCTGACACTGTGAAGCCGTGGAATATTCCATTAACCAAATGAGGTTGGGAAGAAAACTGATTTGATTATTGGATGTGTTGGAAAGATTTAGAAAATAATTGGCTTATGTTTTATTCAGTACTTCTATTAGTTGGGTTATTTTCTACAGGCAACAGTAAAGAAATCTTGATAATCTCAGCAAAATAGAATTACTAGGCAATGTATCAAGGAATTTACCATTTTCATGGATATCTGAAGGTCCAGCTTTAAAATTCAGGAAGAGAGCCTGCTGCAGATGGCTAGCAAGCAGAGATACTGCAGAGTTCTAGTATCAGGAATAGTCTGCTGCGAACACTGCATCTATTATACCTGTTTTCTAACTATTTCTCTCATCCTGGAGTCATATGCTCAAATACTAAATCCTAAGGTGAAATGTCTGGTTGGCTAAGTTTAGATCATATGCCCATTACGGTGTGAATGGGAGTAAGGGAAGGAGTATCTAGCCTCTTTGGCTTCTGCAGGGGAAGATGGTGATCCTGAATTAGCCTATGTATTAATTTTCCACTGTTGCATAAAAATTACTACACACTTAACAGCTAAAAGCAACATCCGTTTATTAACTCCCAGCTCTGTAGGTCAAAAGTCTCAGCTCTGTAGGTCAGAAGTCTCTGCCTAGGACTTCTCAAGGCCAAAATCAAGCTGTCCCCAGGTTAGGCTCTTCTCTGGAGGATCTGGGGAAGAACGTGTTTCCAAACTCATCCTGTTGTCAACAGACTTCCATTCCTTACAGTTACAGGACTGAGGTCACCATTTTCTTGCTGGCTTCTAGTTAGGGATCACTTTCAACTTTTAAAGACCACTCTCCAGTTCTTACTTGTGATTTCCACCATTTTCAGGCCAGCAATTTTCAAACCAGATTCAATTTCAATCTCTTTGACTTTCTCTTCTGCTACCAGTTGGAGGAGGTAGTAGAGGATAGCTTTTAAAGGGCTCCTGTGATTAGATGAGGCCCACCTAAGTAATCTCCCTATTTTACATTAATGGCTTAGCATATTAATTATAGCTCCAAAATTCCTACTGCCATGTAACATGATAATTGTAGTAGTAACAGGCAGCCATTTAGAATTCTGCCCACAATATGCTCCTACCCCAAATAAATACAATGATAGAGAAAAAATGCTGACAAAGAATATTAAAGTACAATTCTAAGATTTTCTGAAGAACCAAACCAGCGATTAAATATGTTAATATCCATTACACTGTCTCAATCTCACTTTAAAAAGGACAGTATGTTTTTGATTGATGTGTATAAATGTAAACATGCATATAAGTGATTTATAGTAATAATAATATATGAAACACTAATAAATACTGCTTTTGTATTGGTATGCAACTGATCTCACCTATGAGAAGTCCAAGGGACTCTGTGGTGATATAATGGGCCACTAAGCAAGGAGTCAGGCAACCTAGATTTAATTCCCTGCTCCAATAATAATGTACCCTATAACCTTGAATAACTCACTGGCTTTCTCTAAGACTCTGCTTCTTGAGTTGAAAAATAAGAGAATTGGGCTGATTATTTCCAGGAATCTTTCCAACTGTAACGCCACATTATATTGTAAAGCTCTTATGTTTTAAGACTTAAGTGTGGAATGCCTTGTGGTTTAGCTATTAAATAAAATTATAATACAATATATAATTATGTATTCTATCTATAATTCTATAGAGTTTACAGTGAAATTGGTACATACACAAATCTGACATCAGTGTAATTTTTATATTCCTTTGGGAAACAATTTTGTAAAATGAATCCCAAACTATAAAACCATGAATATGGACTGTTACAAATCATTTTTGGGAACCATATCCAAAAGACAGTCAATTATTTACACTCTGCATTTAGTGAAAGATGTTCATAGTGTCATTGTTTACAATAAAGAAAATGGAAATATGACATAATTATCTCCGAAACAGAGACTTGTTAATTAACTTATAAAACATTAATGAAATGTGATGCAGACTTGAAGAATTATATCATAAAATCTGCTTTGCAATCTGGAATATATTTAGGGCATAATAGTGTAAGTATATAAATTTCAAGTTGTTAAAATATGTATGAGTATATATTAATTTTGTAGGACAACATATAAAATTTAAAAATTGTTAAAGATATTAGGGTGGTTGCTTTTTGTTTATATGTTTTCTAAAACTTTCTAAGACTTCATACACAGAGGAAATACGGAATGCTCCTCAGTGAGTGGACCTTACTTAAAAAATAGTCTCTATGCCTTACATTTATAAAGTTGTTTTCTCACCATTAGGTGGAACCCACTATCAGAAATCAATTGGTGCCATCAAGACCTTCTTAGGGTGACAATTATGAAATATAGAGAAGAGGAGATACATGTTTATTGGTACTGCACTGAGTCTTCAAGCAAAGTCCTTCTGATACCAATTTAGGATGTTATATCATTTTGGTTTTCCAATTTTATGATTTTTACTACAGTTGTTTCTGTTCCAGTTTGACTTATATTACTTTACTTGTAGCTTCTGGATTTCCTTCTGTACTGTGGTAAGCCTTTAGATTCTAGATTCTGCAGTTATCCACAGCCTCCTCTGTTTCTGCCTTGGGCTTGTTCTCCCTGGATACAAACATCCTCAGTTATCTTCAGTCACCCACTTACAGTTGTAGCCCTTTAGTTCCAAAGGACTCTCCACTGATCCTCTTTCAAACTGAGGCTGTATTTCAAGTACATGAAGTGGACTGTATTGGGATTTGCCAAATTATGGGCCATCATCAGTATGTGAGCCAAGGTCAAGATTCCAGAGATCAGAGCTAAAAGTAAGTTGCAGGAATTAGTTGATTAACTACTAGGACTGACAGAGCCAAAAAACAACAACAACAAAAGGGAATAATGTAGGAATTATCCAAGAGTCTAGTGCTAATAATGAAGCAATGGAAAGAAAAGCAGATAGCTCAGGTCTAAGATTTTGAATATTTGATGTTCTCCTCCTCCAGAAATGTCCTCCAGATTTCTGACAAATAAGTCCTAACAAATATTATACAGCTGGAGAGAGAGTCTTAAAAGGGCTTAAGAAAGGAGAATTAGCCCATTGCAGTGATGCACAGTATCCTATGAAGTGGATTCTCTGTAAGCATGATCAGACAGTAAAAACACCCCAGAGGTTAGCATACCAGACCTCCCATAATCTCCATGGCTAAACACAATCACCCATGTAACATTTGTATCACAAATCAAATTCATTCTCCAGAAAACAAAGCCTAACAGATTGAAAATTTATTAGCATCTGCTGTGTTGTGATTATGGCTTTTAAAATGATTCACATCACACGTGTAAAACGCACAAATGCATTTCACCATTGCAGAATACATGGCATTTGATCGTATATAATGAAAGATTTTTATCTAACACAGGATGCTGCCTTTTTTTATTGCTCCTTGCCAAGAGAATACCTGGAATTCTATTATTGGTTTAATATAATAATAAAATGAGATTGTACCCAATACGAAAGCCAGAAGGACACCCATACTGAAGAAGGTAAATTAATTGATTTCTCTGAGAAGTAAACTACTTTTTTGTGAATTTAACTTTAAGAATGAAGGTTGTTGGCGTAATCACAATTTGAAGTATTCATTCTCCAAACACAGTTTTATTGTAAGTAAAAATTACTCCTTTTTTTCTAAGAAACTGAAAGGACTGTATTTGTTTTCATTAAGCCTATGATTTCCAAGGCCACTCACATCAGTAGTTGAGACTATGAGAATTGCGAATAGGAAACTTTAGAAGAGTAGCCGTGGGTTACAATAAATGTTTGAATTTCATGAAATCTGCTTCCCATTTGTTTTTCTGTAAGTACATCCATAGAGGATATGGGCCTATAAAGATCTGGATTACTTAATGCATTGTATCTCTCCTAGGGATTTATAACTGTAAAATACAATGGGTTTCGTTGAACTTAAACTTTTTAATAAAATTTATTTAAATAAACATTAGGAAATGAGAAAAGGCATCCACGTGGTGTTGCAGTACACAGTAGGCATTTACAAAATGGCTGATATATGAATGGATGAATGAAAAATAGCATACACAATAGAGAGAAAATGAATGAGAATTTATATTGCTATTGGTGGAGTACAAAGTTCTTGCCCCGAAGCAGACACGTAAGGCAGGATAACATAAGATAAAAGTGAATGAAAATTTAGATTGCTGTTGGTGTAGGACAAAGTTCCTGCTTCTGAAGTAGACACTTAAGAAAGGATAATATAGTAACTATAGCTTCTAAAGGCAGCCTGCAGGGGTTAAAATCACCAGCCCTGCATTTTATTAACCATGTCACTTTAGACAAGATATTTTACCTTTCCGCAACTCTCTTATTTGCAAAACAAGAAATATTAATAATATGTATTATGCATGACTGTTGTAAGATTATGTGAGTTAACGTATGTTAGGCGCTTGGGATGGAATTTGACACACAGTAAGCTTCTTGTAAATATTAGCTATAATATTATTAGATAGGAATTCTAGAACTGCCACTTGAGCCTGGAACTATTTCTTAATTATCTTCCCTCCTACCTATCACATTAACTGTACCTGAAAACACTTAATAGGTGAACATTCAAATTATATTTTGTAAACTTGACTGATAGACTTCTAGCTTTTTTTTGTGAATGCATAAACTTCCATATTTTTAAAAAGATTTTTTAAGTGGTGACTTAAATAGAGCAGGAGGGGCGTCATTGATTTTTTTTAGTTCAAAGTTTCTCAAATTTCCATGCATATAAAAAAATTTAGTGCCTTTTTACGTAGAAACTAGCATGCTAAACACATAAAAGTTGAGCCATCCTACTTTATGTGGAAGTAAATGACTAGAGTTTTATTCCAGTTTCACCTTTGCCCCTTGTGATGACATTTTGAGGCTGTGTATTGACTCCCCATGGGCCTTTCAAGCTGGAAAATGAACAAGACATCCGCAGTTTATCCACTGAGGAAGTTCATGTTCTAAATGGAAAAGTGAATCTTACACCAGAACAAGAACTGCAAAAATGAGGAAACAATGAAAAACCATGGTTTGCAATTTAGCCCCACTGTACCCAAATGTGTTTTAAATGTTGACTTTTTATAGTATGTTAAAAATCACGACTCAAATCAGGAATTAGAATTCTTACCTATGAACCCCTTGTCAGATTTTAATTTTAAAATAAGCGGGTAACTTAAGACTGAATTACCTTGGATATTTGAACAGAAACATTCTCTAAGTCTAAGATGATTTTTAATATCATCTTTTAATAATCTTATTTAATTAGCACCCTGTCTGATGTGTGTCAATTTCTATGCCTCCTGCGCCTAAGACTTGAGGTTTCCGTGTATTCTATAATTTATGTCACTGAAACTTTACAGCTACCTTGTTAGTCATATGGACTTTGCTTCTCTAACATATCCCTTCTTTGTGCTCTATCAGCACAAAGAATTTGACCTAGACTCTCAATTGTGTTTGGTAACCAAGTAAGATGTTTAGTATACTAGATATATTTTTTTAACCAAAAACACTGACTGCCTTCCACATTAGCTGAGTCCAATCCCAGGTTCAGACATTTTCTCTGCTGAGGTCCACACTGCCCAGCCCTAGATATAACTGGACCACGCTACACCTGAGATGTTCAGAAATTATAAAGGCAGTGGCCATATCCTCAACACCTGTCCTCATTGTCCCTTACAGGCCAATGCTTATTGATTAGATCTCAAATTTTGAATAGTTAGATATTTATAGGTAAGCTTCCTTAGTAATTTCATAAGGCTTCACTCTTGAATCCCTCAGTTTCTTTCAGTCTCTAGAGTAGCCTATTTGGTGAACTCAGAGACAAACAAGGTAGGCTGTGTGTTTTTGGTGTGTCCAAAAATTTAATCTACCCACCTATTCATTAGAGCCAACAAAGTAAGAGAAGTGATGGAGAGATATAAAGGACCACCCCAGACAGGTGGAGAATCAAATTGTAATGAACAAAACTACTTTTAATGGCACCTTGCTGCAGCTCAGTTGCAGCACAGCATTCATGCCATGCTTCCTGTCTGTGGAGGCTTCATTTACTGGAAAGGTGTTATGGCCCAAGAGACCTGAAGAGGGTATCTATTTCCACTGCCCAAATAGAGTCTGATTAAACATGTACATACACACACACGTGCACACACACACACATTTTGTCCATTTCACTTTAAAAATCCACAGTAGAAACTGCTTCAAATGATAAAATTTGAACTGTTACATCTCATCACTCAGTCCCATTATTATTCACTGGAGACTAAAGAATACTGAAGTAGAATTGAATGGGTTAGGCAGGAAGAACAAGGCTGGCACTTTCTTACTTTCTTACTCAATGTGGTTCTATTAGAATAATCTTTAGGTCAGTGAATAACTATTCATATGCTTTCATGAGCTTGAAACACATGGTTAGATGTATTTATTCATTCAACAAATATTTATTGAAGACTTGACATGCCATTTCCTGTACTTGGTAGTAGAGACACAATGAAGAACAAGAAGGCATCCTATCTTCATGGGACTTGCAATCCATGCAGTTCATGAGTATTTCCTATGCAACAGATATATGTGTGCTAGTCTTTCAACCATGGATGGAGTCATCAATCTTCTAGGCCTTCTAAAGCTTAGGGAAATGTAAAGGGCAGAGATAGGAGACATCGTACACCCTACTCCAACACATATTTTATTTTAACAAATAACATAGGTGGAGATATACAAGTCTTTTATAAAACTCTATTTGTTTTTGTGTTAGCTCTTAGCATACATTATTCTAATTATTCATATCAACACATTTTTCCCCACTGCACTGTGAGTTCCACAATTATAAGAATTTTGTCTGTCCCATTCACCAGTGCATCCCCTATGTCTAGCAGAGTCTCTGGCGTAAAGTAGATAATTAATAAATTTTGTTTGTATTGATGAATCGATGAAGGTGTAAATGAAGCATTTTCTTGACATGTAATAGGAAGCTTTGAAAAATCACCAAATTAATTGGGTGACAGGAAAAGCAAATAATAATAATCACCACTTCTTAGATTTTTATAATATCTGAGACTACCATTTTAGGAATAGTGTACAACCCTAGAGGCAGGTTATTTTTCACATTTTACAAATTTAAAAATGTTAAACTTCAAGATTTTAAGAAACTCTTTTTTAGTCATATAGCTACTTAGAAACAATGTCAAGATTCAAACCCAGATCTACTAAACTTAAAATTCTGAAAGTTTTATCAATATGCTGAATATCCTTGAGCTGTATGAAATGACCAACTTTAACAAGGTAAAATTTAAAGTGAAAAAAAGTAGGGTTTATATTTTGATATTATAACACTTATAGAAGTGAGAAAAAGGGCTGATGGCATATCATATTTAAAATAAATAAAATACAATAAATTTTGTCAAAAAATAAAATCAATTTGAGTCAGCAATACAGTCTACTTGCCAAAAAAGCTGTTGTAATTAATTAATTAATTAATAAACTATGGGTGATGGTAGTCTTTTTTTTTTAATGATGCTTAGACCAGAGCTAGAGAATCATGTCTACTTTTGACCAGCACACTCGTCATAGAACATTATCCAACTGAAACATGTCTAGAGGAAAATGACCACTATTGGGAAGGGGGTCAATGACTTGTCATAAAAAGAATGAGACTTCTTTTCCTGAAGTAGAGCAGACAAGGGCTAGGGTTGTCTGATCACAGCCTTACAATAGCTGAAGGGTCATCATAGCCAGAAAGTGAAGACTTATTTTGCCTGGCCTTGAGGAGTAAAATTTTGATCTGAATGAAATCCTGAGAAAGAGTTTTAGTTCAAATAAGAAAGAGCTACGGGGAGATGGAAATGTTGCCCTTAGACCGTTATAATTTTCTTTTTTGCTGGAAATGTTCCAAGAGACACTAAGTGACCATGATGTAGGATATTGTAGAGGGGATTGAAGTTATGCAGTTGGATGACATTGGAGTCATTGAATAATTGGCACATACACTGCTATTCTCGTCTGCAAACTCATTCAAGGGATATGTTATCAGTCATGGCATTATTTGTGATGCTTCCTCAGAATCTTTCCAAACACAGAGCTCCAAGAAACTACTTCCAGTTGATCAGAGTTGGCATGTGAAATGAAAACAGCTACTCTGCCAAATTTATGTATATATAGTATAAAATAAGGGTTCCAAATCTGGCTGCACATCAGAATTAGCTGCCATGGAGCTTTTAGAACTTTTGAAAGCTGCAGATTCCCAGGCTCCACTCCAATTCCCCTAAAAAATAAAATGTAAGTTTTCAACCCAGGAATCTGTATAGAAAAACTATTGCCAGATGACTCAGATGTGCCAAGTCTAGCAGAGTGGCAAACTACTACTTATCAACCGCTAATAAAAGATCCATTCCAACTCTTTGGATGTGTAACTCTGTAAAATCAAGTGATTAAGCATGAAAATGGCTCTATGCCCTTGGATACATAAGCTAATTTTATCTTTGTTTATGTGTGCATATATTAGCTGTGCATGCAATAGCCATGTTTTCCATGTTTTTCTCCCATGAATGAAATTTTGTGCACGTACTATACTACAATGCAGATTTATGTATGCATCAGATTCCTGACCTATATGGACTGGATGAATCACACTACCTGTTAGAGTATAAAAGAGCAAACATTAGTAAAACTGATAATACGCCTTGTGGTGGTGACTCAACCAAAGCAAGCACATCTGTCACAGAGGAACAGCCTGCCAGCTTTTCACCAGGGGAAATGCAATTGAATAATAATGCATCATACATAAAGCAACTTCAGGAAAGCTCTCTGCCAAGTTAAATCCCCTTAAGTTGGAATTGTGTGCATATACTGGGCAAATGTACAGTCACATAGTATAAGCAGGCCAAAAACTTTGTACTCAGAATATAACTCAGTCTTAAATTCATAAACTCATCCAACAAGTGTCAGGCTTAGTACTGAGAACAGAGGATACAATGTTGAGCACAACAGACTTAGTCCCTGTACTTTCTGTCCTTCAATTAGAGTGGTGAAAACATAGTGTACTATATTTGGAAGTAACAGTTAAATCTAGTGTGGCCCCTTATGGCCTCTCTGTGATGATACCTTCTGAACTGTGCAAGTCACTCAATGAAGAAAAAGAGTGTCTTTGAATGAACACCCCAAATAAAGGGCACAGCAAGTACAAAGTTCCTGAGGTTGAAGAGTGCTTGGTATGTTTGAGAAATGCAAAGAGATAATATAATAGTAACTGGAGCAGAGGAAACCTGGGAGGAGACAGTAGTAGTAGATAAAACCAAAGAGACAGTCAGAAGCAAGATCTCAGAGGCTTTATAGGTTGAGGTAGTGTGCCCATTGAAATACGTATCAATGTATCATTGTGGTAAGCACAGATTGTTTAGAATGGAAAGTAAAATATCTCAATTAGCATTTTGAAAATTTTTTCTGATAAATTCATAGACTCTTCCCATCAGAATACAGAGGTTGGTTCGTCTCTTAGGATTCCTTTAATCTCTCACTCGCAATTTTTCATTGAGTAGGTATTCATTCATTTATTCATTAATTAATTCACTCATTTATGACACTCCCACTGTTTGCCAAACATTGTGCTAGTCCCTGAGAACAAATCAGTGTTATAAGTTTTCTTATAATACTGAAGTTCCCCAAGGCATTGATAATTCAATAGAAAATACAAATATATTCATAGGAAATAAAGTGGAGAGTGACAAGAGCTATATGCACAAAAATATTCAGAAATTACATGTGGCTGTATATCTCTCCAGTCCACACTCATAGGTGCCCTGGTGTAGGCAACTTTGAAATGGAATTCTGCGATCTACAAAGGTGGTAGAGCCAGTGAATTCAGAGCAAAGCTTTCTTTGCCAAGCCTGGAGAAATTAGCAATAAAGAGAGGAAAACATTATTTTGTTGTTTTCAACTAAACTCTATAACTGGAATAATATTACCTTTAATGAGGCTGGGGAACTTCCTGTGAGGAGTCTAAAGCCCTTTACTGATGCTATTCCATTAATTCTCCTTGTGTCTGGAACTTGGCACCTGAAGCACAATGCATTATGCAAAACCAAATCACACTTTGCGTAGAGAAAGGATTTTGTTTCAATGTTTCCCTTGTGCTAACCTTAAAAACCCCAGCAGAGCTCCCATCAGAACATGTTCCTATATCCAAGCTCTTGATGTTAAAAACATCCTAAATGGTATATATCTTGTACATATAAATATATATTTTTCTATATATGTGTGTGTGGGGGGGTGTGTATTTACGCACATATAGTCTTTGTCTGCTTCATGTTGCTGTAACAGAATATGTGAGTCTGGGTAGTTTATTAAGAACAGAAACTTATCTCTTAAAGCTCTGGAGGCCAGGAAGTCCAAGGTCAAGGGGGCTCACATCTGGTGAGAGTGTTTTTGCTGCACCATCCCATGGTGGAAGGCAGAAGGGCAAGAGAGCATGGATGAAAAAGAGAAAGAAGGAAATTATAAATTATAAAATGTATCCTTTTATAAGAAACACACTTTGGTAAACACTAACCCAAGCTCACGCACATGATATTAGCCTATTAAAAAAGGCAGAGCCCTCATGACCTAACATCTTAAAGGTCACACGTCTCAACACTGTTGCATTGGGATTGAGTTTCCCCAAACTTTGGGGGATACATCCAAACCACTATATTTTATATATATATATATGAAAGAGAGAAATGAGTTTGAGTTCGTTACACAAGAGCAAAAATGTATCTCAAATTCTTTATTGGATTTAAAGATAGGATAGATAGATAGGAAGCATCTAATTCAATAGCATTGTTTATGAAAACTTTTTGTAAAGTTCTATGAAAATTCTATGTGTTAAAATGCTTGATAGATAAATGCATGCACAAGTAAATTTGATACAACTACAAGGTGCTCAGTCTAGTCCTAGACATTTTGAAAAAGGATAATGAGATCAAGACAAGTTTTGTGTTTCAGGCTGGGAGAAATAACTGCTTTACATAAAGCAGTTAATTTACAACGCAAAACTAGAGCAAGTGCCAGATTAGGCTGTTTAGCCTGTAAGTGCTTCTTGGAGTTCAAAGAAGGAAGAGATCAATGTTGACTGGAAGGATAAGAAAATCTTTATGATGAGCAATAGATCTGAACTGATCTTTGAAGGTGAGGGAGGATTCAGAAAGTTGAATTTGCAACACAGTTCCAGGGATGGAGAGGTTGCCTATAATGCAAATATTCCTAAATCTAAGAGCAGCCTGAAGTCTGCTTCAAGTTTCTCCAAGGGTGGATGGGGTAGACTTCATACCATACAATTTCTGGGCCCAGGCTTCTTCTTGTAATTGTAAGCATTTCCTGATTGGTGGTGGAGTTTAAATGATTCTGTGAGCTTCTTGTTATTTTTCAATTTAAACTTTTTTTCTATACATTTTCTTTATCAGCTCTGAATACTCTGTGGCCCCTAGTTGGTCACACTGACTTCCCTCCCTTCTGCCATCATCCTTATGGCCTCTCTCCTCTTTCAACTTTGTTCCTCTTTTGCCTTGATTTAGTTTTAGTCAATGCATAAACCTGATCTCCAATGCTTCACTCGACAAACATCTGTAACCCAGTATCTTTGAGGGTGATCTACTTATTTTTCCTGAAAGTTTAGGGATAACAAAGCTGAAAGAAAACACCAAGAAAGAGCTACTTAAAACTGAACCTCTGAGATTGGTACAACTGGAATTAATGAACAATTCATTGTCCATCCTCTCCCTAGGAACCTCTTACTGATTTCTGGCTCCATGAACCCTAGCCTGTGATCTCTTTTTAAGGCCTTTGCCACACTATCTGGAGCTACCTGAGGTTGTAGCTTAGGGTCATCACTTTCTAGTTGTGAGGCTTCCAGCAAGTTACATCTATAAAATGGAGATAATACCTACCACAAAGGGTTGTGCTAAAGAGTAAATGAGTTCATATAGGTGAAACAGTATTGGGAACATTTTCAAAAGTAACAGAAGGCTATGAGCTATTAACATTATTATCACTCTCACCAAACTTCTGGGTTTTCCAAGAAACCTAGAGGAACAAAAACTCCCTGTTATTTTCATACTCCAAGGAATTTTACTTCCTCAGTTTCAGTCTCTACCAGAGAGGTGAAACAAATCCCTCCCTTTTACAACCTTTTATAAGGTCCATTAAATAATTTTCAAAAAGAAAGACGTTTATCCCTAAAAGAAATGCAGCTATCTTCCTTAAGTGTTTTTTTCTCCCTACCAGAGTTGCATGCATAGAGTCATATAATCCTAAAAAATAAGAGATCTCAAATGATCCGTAGAGACTTATGGAAGTCAGCTACCTCTGAGGCCCAGAAAGATGAATGAAATTTTTCAAGGTCATCCAAATAACTAGTAGCAAAGACAGAACTAAAAATCTAATTTCTTCCCCTTTCCTCCCGATGTATATCTCTTTCTGGCTATGTGCCCTTGCTATCTCCTTTCCTCGGGTGAAAATTCTCACTTCTACTTGTTTTGAAACCAAAGCAGGCTATATTCAGACCATGAGTGTTCAAATGTCTTAAATTAATTTTTTAAAACATTTTGGAAGACCACTGACCAAGTGCCTTAGTGTGTTCCCCTCAGCTTGGCTAAATTTAGATAGATTTCTTCCTTATGATAGGCCCCTGACCTCACTTTTCTTATAAAACGTTTAAGTTAGAAAACTTGTCATTGTAAATTTTTTCTCTGTCCCTTTGAAATGTAAACTTTTTCTAGCCTCTTGTAATTTTATAACCCAGCAATGTCTTTCTCCAGGACTTGGAGACATGTAACCAAGACACGTAAACAAGGGAGATAGTGCTCCTATCTCCCCATTTTGGTGGGATGATGGTAGGAGCCTAACTTAAAAAGGGGAAAATTAGCAAATACAGATGGCCTGATCGCTTTGACCACTAATCTCCAGTAATTTTCCACTAGCTCACTGAAGTCCTAATAAAGGCCCACCTTTTGTTTCAGCGAAGTTGAGCTCAGTCCTGTACTGAAATCTTTCTCATTTTTGTCATTTACTGCGGTAGCCTAGATTAAATCTGTATTGACATTTTTAACAAGTGCCCTGTGCAATTTTAATTTGACACCAAACAGTCCAGGAAAGAAGGTTGCTCCAGCCCTACTTCCCCTTTCATTTGGGAAAGCACATGCAAGTTAACTGGAAGCAGCCCAAATATTGCCAATTCATTTGCATTTAAATTGCCCAAATGGCATTTGGCAAGAGCTATTTGATGTCCAAGGAGGCTTTGGAGGCTTTTAAACTTCAAAACAGAAGGTCAGAATTGATCAGCAGGAAAAGAACCTCAGTGCTAAGTGGTGGGGCTGAGCTCTGTGTTTCCACATCTGGGAAGCTGGTTTCAGCTTGAAGTCTGGGGGAAGCAAATCACACGGGCCCATTCCAGGAAGAATGGCCAGAGCTGGACTAGGTGGGAAAGTCTTGGAGTTTTATTTTTTAGAATCCTATGTGGTGTCCTGTCCCTTTCCATAATTTGCTGGGAAAAGAGCAGGAAATAAAGGATCAAGCATGGATCCTCTAACTTTCTCTTTCCTAGAAAAGTACACATCTAAACCTCTTCATCTAGAGGAAGCTGAAGCACATTAGGTATTCACTGAAAAATTAGCATAATTAGTGGTTAAATATTTATTGTAAAAGATCAATAGTAAATATTATTATCTCATAAGGTTGATACACAGAATAATAACAGTAATAATAATAATGTAATGATAGTGATCATGACGATGATTGAGCACTTTCTGTGTGCCAGGTACTTATCATTTTTAAAGACCACAGCGTCTGGGACAAAGTGCTGCTTCGTCACAGCTTCCTTTTTTGCTTACAGCAACCTTATGAATACATCTTATTATTCCTATTTGCAAACAAAAAACAAGAAAACAAACAAACAAACTGAAGCACAGAAAGGTTAAATAACTTGTCGGCCAGGCGCGGTGGCTCACGCCTGTAATCCCCACACTTTGGGAAGCCGAAGTGGGCGAATCCTGAGGTCAGGAGATCGAGACCAGCCTGGCCAACGTGGTGAAACTCTGTCTCTACTAAATAGAAAAATTAGCTGGGCATGGTGGCTCGCACCTGTAGTCCCAGCTACTCGGGAGGCTGAGGCAGAAGAATCGCTTGAACTTGGGAGGCAGAGGTTGCAGTGAGCCGAGATTGTGCCACTGCACTCCAGTCTGGTGACAGAGCTAGACTACCTCTTAAAAAAAACAAAAACAAACAAACAAAAAAAAACTTGTCAAACATCTCACAGCTTGCAATAACAGGAACATGATACCAAAAGGCACATCAGTTCTGGAGAATTAATAGTTGATGTAAAATATTTAAGCTAGCTATTTTTTTCTATAAGAGGAACTCAAGAAATGGTGATGTTATTATCATAAAAAAAAAATCCCAACTGAGCCCTTTTCAAGACTGACATTCCACACTAAACTCAGCCATGACTTTCAACTTCCTATCTAGACTTTGGCCACATTAACTCTCTTGCTATGGTTCTCTGTATAACTACCCTGACCCAATTCTAGATCTCAGTAAGACTTTACTCTTGTCACAAGTTTGATGCCAGCTTTCCAGCTCAAGTCATGCCTTTTTTGCTGACCAAAGTATGCAGAAAAAGCCAGTGGGAGTAAGGAGTCTGTGAAAGTTAGAGGAAATAGAAAATGAATAAAATGTCCACTTTTGGTGCTTGACAGGTAAAATGGTATAGGCAAAAGCAATGGCACTGACAGGGTCTTGGGGACAGGATAGTGTGAAACAGAATGGAGGCATGACAATGCTATTCTGGTGAGGCATGAATATAAGGAATTGGGGCAATAGTGGTGAAAGATGATGCAGAAAATAGAATGTCAGAGACAAGCGTTGTTAAATTCTTTGAACACCATGCTAAAGACTGCAGAAAGATTGAAGCTTTGCTCTCCCAAACACAAGACATTACCAAGATCACCATCACTGATGGAGGGAGGGAGGCTTGAATACCCAGGTTTGAGTCTCACCTGCATGTCATTTAAATTCCCTAAGCTTGTGTGACCTACAGTACATTTATTTACCACCTGCTCAGTTCTGTGTGTTTATAGTTTATCTTGTTTTGCTTATAGAATAATGGTCCTAAAAACTGTCCTTAGAAATCATCTAGCTCAATTTATTCACTTTGCCAGTAAACACAATTTGGTTTAAAAACATAAAGTGAGGGCCAAGCACGGTGGCTCACGCCTGTAATCCCCGCACTTTGGGAGGCCGAGGCAGGTGGATCACAAGGTCAGGAGTTTGAGACCAGCCTGATCAACATAGTGAAACCCTGTCTCTACTAAAAATACAAAAAATTAGCTGGGGGTGGTGGTGGGAGCTTGTAATCCCAGCTACTTGGGAGGCTGAGGCAGGAGAATTGCTTGAACCTGGGAGGCTGAGGTTGCAGTGAGCCAAGATCACACCACTGCACTCTCGCCTGGGCAACAGTGTGAGACTCCATCTAAAAAAAAAAAAAATTCTTTTAGGACATAGAATCAATGGTCATCTTGCAATTATTTGCACTGTATTTTAGGAAAGTGCTTTATTTTTCTCAGTAAAATACATGAATCACAAATTTTAAAAACTAATCTTGATGAGTTTTTCCAAGAAGAGTTCAAGAGGTACACGTAAACTGCATCTATACATCATTGTTTTCATTGACTCATTTAAAAGCCATAATACGAGAAGAAATCTGGAAAGCAAACAAGCTGAAATAAAATAAATAACTTTCTCAAGTTCCTTCAGTACACTGAGTGAGGACACATTTCCTAGAAATGCTGCAGTGATACTAGAAATGACATAGACAAATTCAAAAAAAGAAGAAGGGTTGCTACTGATGCTATAGTTAACTGCAACTGATACCACATATCCTTTGCTTAAGCATCTGGACCACTGGTATCAGATCCTACACAAACTTGCCACTATATGACATCGTTCCTGAGCAATGTGGGTCACAGGAAACAGAGGCATTATCTGGGTTCCACTCTTTTAAAGAGAATTCCAACAATAATGAAAAAGAAATGGTGGCTAGAAAAAAACAGTGATTATAACTTGGGCTGTACAAATGAAGAGGAGTGCTGAATCCTCTTTAAATCCCACTCAGAGAAGCAAAAATATTATCTCTTTACACTCAGGTGTCTTATGCAAAGGATGGGGTTGGTTTAGTTAGACAACAAATATAATAGTAATAATAATAATATTGCAAGCAGAGACTTTGCAAAGATGTAAGGAAATGAAGCAAGAAACTTTGTGGATTCACAAATAAAAATGCAAAAATGAAAATGATTATATAGGAAGCTGAGCCTGATGTATCACTTTATGTATTTATTTGTTCATATTGATTCATTTCTTTATTCAAGAAAAAGCAATTAGAGTTCGTACCTGTATCAACTGAATCCAGTGCATGTGTTACCTACCCTTAGATAGAAAATCTTAAATCAGCATATGGGCAAGCAGGCACTCACGTCAGAGTTTGAAGGAAGAAAGGCCTTAGAATAGTTTAGCCATGCTAATAGAGTAACAATGGGCAAAAGGCATATTATAATATCATAGGGTTTTTTTCTAAGTGGGCTTTCTTGCTCCCATTTTACAGAAAAAAAAAAGAAGACTCTGAGGGAAGTTAAACAATTTGCCCAGAGTCTCATGGTTAGTATTCCACAGGAAGGATTTAAGATTGAATCTGTCCAGAAATTCCAAGTATATTACTGGAATGTGGCTACCTCCCAACATTAAAACAACTGCATTTATTGGGCTGCTTTATTGCCTATTTTTTATAGTTTCTCCTCTGCCTGAAATATATTTTCCATGCCTCATTGTAAATTCACATCCTTTGAGACTTGGTTCAAAGTCCGTCTTCTCTATAGAGCTTTACCTGAATCTTCTCAATGAACTTTAAAAAAGTAAAAGTTATTTTAAAAAAGGTAGCCTCTTCTACCTTTCAGCCCTCATGAAATTTTATCCCTACATTCCTTATAATTATCTCACTTTATACTCAGTACCACTGCTGATTATATAATTATTCTATAATTAATATTTCTGTCTCTCATCTGAGATAGAAAACTGTCATTTTGCTTTGCAAATCTCAATGTACATGGCAATTTATCAGGGCAGAGATTATGTAGTATTTGAGCAAGACCTTTGGGCTTGGTGTCAGAAGTACTGCAAGTTCCAGATTTCTCACTGCGTCGCAGCGTGCGCATCAGTGAATGTCTATGAGCCTCAGTTTTCTAATCCCTACCAAAAAAAAGATAAATAAAAATGTCTTTCATCATTTGTGTGAGCATAAAGTCAGTTAAGTTGGTTAAAATATGTTTTTATCAAATATTTATCAAAATATGTTTTTATCCTGCACTCTTATATGAAGGAGTGCACTATTGAAGGTAAATGTTTGGCTATTGCAAGAAAGAGACCCCAACATAAAAAGTTATCAAGAAAATGAAAATTTATTTATCTCGCATCTAGCATCATGAGGTAGCATTTCAGGTTGGGAATTGCTCTATTCCTTGAAGTAATATAGAGGCCTGGGTTGCTTGAAACTTCTTGCTATTTTATTATTGCTGTCCTTGTTTATACCTGTGGAGCGGGGTCACAGGCTCAACCATGTTCCAGCCAGCAGGAGAAGAAAGATGTGCAGTTATGATAGATTAGTTTTATATAAGTTCAGGGAGGCAGAAGTCACACACATAACTTCTGACTACAGTCACTTGGAAATAGCCTAGTTTCCATGGCCATCCCCAGCTGCAAGTCTCTAGTAAATGAAGTTTCTAGCTTAACAACTGCTATGGTATGAATGTCCCCTCCAAAATTCATGTTGAAATGTAATTGCCATTTTGATGATATTAAGAGGTGGGACCTTTGAGAGGTGATTAGGTCATGAAGGCTCTGTCCTCATGAATGGATTAGTGCTGTTATCATGAGAGTGAGTTAGTAATGACAGGAGTGGACTCCTGTCAGCTTCCACCCTTCCTCTTTCTGTCTTGTATTCTCACTTGCTGATATGGTGTGGCTCTGTGTCCCCACCCAAATCTCACGTTGAACTGTAATTCCCAATGCTGGGGAGGGACTTGGTGGGATGTGATTGAATCATGGGGGAAATCAAGATGTCACCCTTGCTGTTCTCATGATAGTGAGTGAGTTCTCATGAGATCTAGTTGTCTGAAAGTGTGTAGCACTTCTGCCTTCATGCTCTCTGTCTCTCTTCTGTCATGTGAAGATGTGCTTGCTTACTCTTCAACTTCCACCATGATTGTAAGTTTCCAAAGCCTCCCTAGCCATGCCTCCTGTAAATCCTGTAGAACTGTGAGTTAATTAAATTTCTTTTATTTGTAAACTACCTGGTCTAATGTAGTGTTTTATAGTAATGTGAGAACAAGCTAATACACTTGCCCTTTCACCGTGGGAGGATGCAGCCCAAAGGCATAGCTTATGTTGTCACCATGCTGTTGGACTTCCAGGCCTCTATTACCATAAGCCAGAAAAACTTCTGTTATTTAGAATTACCCAGTCTGTGGTATTCAGTTATAGCAGAAGAAAACGGACTAAGACAATGGCCATGGAACCATCTTGAACTTCATTATTGTAAAGAATGAGAGAATAAATTTTGGTAGAAAACTAGCACTTTCTGCCATAGGAAGTGATGACAAAATGAGATAGTATTATAATATAAACCTAATATAAAAACCTAATATAAACACCCATAATCACTGAGGCATGAACACTCAATGTAGGTCTGAAAGTTAGGTTTCATATGGGCAGAAGAATGTAGAAAATCTTTAGTAGTACAGTTCAATATGCATAATAAGGTTAAGTGATTTAGAGAGATGATCAGGTTATTTATATATGCTAATTGTGGGTGTCCATGAACAGATATTAAACTCTCAGGGAGCAAGCACAACTGTAGTTTATAGAATACAATCAGTGTTGATGATGCCACATCATTTCCAGTTGCCGCTTTTTTTTTTTTTTTAACACTTTTGTAATCTGCAAGAGACGAGATACTCACATGTTGCCTGATTTTATAGTTAGGTAATCAGTATGGCTATTACTCACATCACACTCATTACTGGGGATAAAATTTTTAAAATCACTTAAGTTAGACTCCAAGGAGAGCACCTCGATCAAAGGGTAGTGAGAGATAGTAACACATTATTATTGGAAGGCACACAATAGCCACCTACGGTTACAGGCAGGAGAATTGAAGAGACTACCTCCATGAGACACACTTTAAATCAATAAACAGGGATGTGGGCTTGATATAATGAAAACATGGGGAGTTCTTCCAATAAATCTTAGAAACATGATGAGATAAGCACAGAGAGAGGAGAACAGCTCCATACACTAGAGTGGTAACAGTTATTGTTATTTCTTGTTTATTTCCAGCGAAGAAATGTTTTTGGAAACTGCTAGATAAATTTTAATTATTAATGAAAGTAATAAAAATATTTATAAGAAAACAACTAGAAAGTAAATGAAGGAGCACACCAATGAATTAGCATTTAATTACTAAATATTGCAACAGACAGCTAAATGCAGGGCATCCGCTGTACAAGCAAATGGGGAAAGAGCCCTAGGACTTGAGTGTAAACTCTTCCAGAGATGGGTATTAGATACATGGGGCTAATTTGGAATTTGCTTCCTCAAATAACTAGGGGGCAAATTCTGCTTGTGTTAATTTTCTGGCAAATAAATATCTTTACACCTCAGTGTCAAAGCTGCACTCAAGGTAATTTATCAGTTAGAACTGCTTTTATCTCATAGTGACTTTTTGTTAATGTTTAAGAATCTTCTAATCGCTTACTCCATGACAATGGTTAAGTGACTTGCTCTCATTGAGCCTCTGGGCTTTTGTGCTACAAAATGAATAAAGAGAAGGTAGTGTAGGAAACGAGGTTGGGAATTGACTTGGTTACTTTCAAGTATATCAAGACCCTAGTATTTTGAGCCTACATTATCTTCAATCATGGATGTTTCAAATTGAATAAGTCAATTGGCTCTTAGAGGCTGGTTGAAAGAGCTGGTCCAATCCCCTGTTATGGAAGCTATCTGGGTTATCATGGGCATTTCAGATGTTGGTGACTTGGCGAATTCAGTTACCACTGGTATATAGTTGAGTTTTCCTGGGGCTATCTCTGAGAAGGGGATATTTGTTTTCATGGCACTGTAACAGTTAACAACTGCAGCTCCAGTATCAGCCAGCCTCTTTTAAAACTTGATACCGCGATTTTTTTATTTGAGTGTCTTTGGATAAGATATTAACATCTTCATGACTCAGTTTACTCATGCTTAAAATGAGATACTAGTGCTACTTATAGGAATCTTGTGAGGATATCAAGAAATGACTACCTAAAATGTTAGTGCATTGTTAGTCCTTAATAAGCACTAAGTAAATGCCTTTTGTGATCATTTCAATTCTCATGGAGAGTGATGCTAATTTGCAGATAACACAGCAGATAGATGAGGAGTTCACGTTTAGAAAATAAGGGAAGATGTCAATCTCAGGATTATTTTGTGAGCTTTAATAGGGTCCCTATACATACACTTTTCACTGGTGTCTTCCCAGCTCACTGTAACTCTACTTTCTTTGGAAACAGATGCCTTCTCCACCCATGGGACTGGGCCACTAGTATCCATGTTTATAGAGTTCTGCTCACGATCTCAGGACTTATTGGTCTATAGGATAACAATTAGACTCATGATAAGACAATTCAGTCTTTTGTCATTGGAATTTGGAATTAGGACTAGTAATCCCTTTATGATTACTCTCACAACATGAAAATTTGGGACCTGGGCTGTGGCCGTGTTTTTAAACATTCCAGCAAAAGACCTAAAAAGTCATTGGTCTAGATAAAAAAATTCAAACAGAAATGTAGTGATGAAATAAGGAAAAATAATCCTGGAGCCTTTCTAGGCTCTGCTTCAAACCCAGTGGTTTCTGAATCTGTATGTTTATTAGAATTACTTGGGTATCTTCTAAAAACTCTAAAGCCCAGATTGCACTATAGACTAATGAAATCACAAATTTTGAGGATGGGACACAGACATCAGTATTTTAAAATCTCTCTGAATAATTTCAATACACAGATATGTTTGGAATCCTTGTTCTAGTCCTTTCTGAGAGTCTATCTATAGAACTGCCCATAAGTTACAAAATCCATTCACATGTCTTTATAACAATATAAGCTGGGATTTAAGAATTATGTACTTTTACAAGACTAGGTACTAAATAGAGATGATATTGTACAAACTAGTATTTTAGATGGGGATTTAACCATTCATTCTTTATGCACACATTATTATTATAAGAAAACTTTATTTTTTTTAATTTTTTTATTTTTTCTTCTTTTTTTATTTTATTATTATTATACTTTAAGTTTTAGGGTACATGTGCACAATGTGCAGGTTAGTTACATATGTATACATGTGCCATGCTGGTGTGCTGCTTTAGAGTTGCATTCAAAGACATATAAAACATTGAAATATAGTATTTATAATGGATGAACAACAAATGAGGATAAACATTAGACTCTTGTAAACCACACATCTGGTAATAATGTTCCCTCATTTTTTTCCCTAAGTTTCGTGGTAGCCAAATAGAAAATGGCAACTAGTTTAGTCACGCCGTTGAATTTACATGTGAAAAAGTAAACTACATAGAAACATAAATGTTCTTTTACTCTTGGGGGTGTGTACTTGGGAGAAGAGAGTCAAGCAATTCCCCAAACCTACTCATTCATAAATGCCTGCCACATTAAATGTCTTCTAATCCCTAGGACTCCCTCTTAAGGTCAATATAGAGAGAATTCAAGATAAATTCTTTGTTGTTTTATCTGAGTACCCAACCACCTAGTCAATTCCAGCTCTTTTAAAGTTTCTTGGCTATTCAGTTAACTGTTTCTGCTTTAGACCCTCTGTGGACTTTTGAAATACATGATGAAAACCCTAGATATTCAAATGTCTAGTGTATAAATATATAATATATATATTTATGTATGATATATATAGCCCAGAATATAGTATACATATATAATACAGTATTATATATATAGTATACTATATAGCATATATAGTATAGTACATATGCTATACTATTTATATATACTGTATATATACACTCTATACACACTATATATATTCTATATTCTATATGAATGAATATATGTACTATATTTATTTTTAATAAAAATGAGTTTAAATGATTTATGGAAAAGGACCCAGTGTAGTGCCAGGAATATAATAAATTTTCTGCAAATATAACTTGCAGGTGAGAATAAAGACAGAAGTATAAGAGTAGTGAAGACACTCAGAACTTTCTAAGACAGCATTCTCCATGTCTGATGCAGATTTCATCAATATTGTCTGGAGGGTTCAAATATATATGTATTTGCAGAACATTTATTATATTCCTGGCACTACACTGGGTCCTTTTTCATAAATCATTTTAACTCATTTTTATTAAAAACCTTTACGTTAAGTATTATTTTCCCCATTTTACAGGAAAGGGAACTAAAGCTCAGGGATCTTGAAACCAAAATGAGTGTTTCAAGGTCACAAAAATATATGCCAGTTTTAAATAAAAATAAGACACGTTTTCTATTTAAAGAAAAAGATGAGATTTGGTTGTGTAGGAATTTTTGTAGCACAGAGTTGTGAATAACACAGAATAATACAGGACAGTCAATAGCTCATGCCTCAGTTTCTTCATTGTCAAATCAAAGATGGCACTGGTTTTAAACAAAGTTAGAAGACTTCAGGGAAACATGTCTTCCAGGTGCAAAATAAGATTAGCATGACAAGAAGCATAACAAATTGATCAAACTGCTGGTTAGACACCCAGAGTTCTCACAAAACATCATCTTGCAGCACTAAATGCCAATCAATGAGGATTAAGTGGATTGAATTTTCCTTGGAGAAACATGAGTTTTTAAAATGAAAAGGAAAAGTCTTGGATTAATAGCTACTAAGGGTTTTGCCGACACAATGCCAAAGAAACCAGTCATTTGATAAACTTACTTTTGAAAAGAAAAGCTTTGAGTTCAGAATCATGAAAGTAGTAAGTATAAAGTCTAGAAGGAACCTAATATGTGAAATATACTGATCACTAAACAAAATCCGCAATGTATCCAGGATACATTATAGCAAAAATTAATTAGATTATTTCCCTAAAATTTTCAATATGTGGAAAGCTCTCTAAGGGGGAATAGAAAGAAAACACATACACATACACATAGATACACAAAATTCTGATGGGAGGAGGAAAACCCCCATTTTATTATAATTCAAGACTAGTATATTGTACTCAGTCACTCTCAGGACATTAAATTTAGAAAGGTGGACCCCACAAGGGCAAAGTTAAGTCAATTGATGAGGCCAATTGAATTACACCAATATGGCCTTGATTATCTTTATCACACAGTGTCTGACCATAGGCCTTACAAGTTATTATCAGGTATTGAGAGGGGCCTGTATGTCCCCTTGGGAAACACCTAACATGAACCAATAAAAGCAATTCCAGCTAACAGAGATGCAGTGTGATAGAATCAACCAGACACTAGATGAGGCCGTTTAATGTAGTACTTGTGCCTGTAGCTGCATTTTCTATCCTGGCTCCTTAGTTTGGAGTCCCGTTTTTCTTTGTCACTTCCTGATCTGAAATGTTGGCTTCTCCTTGTTTTGAAATGATAGCTTCAACCTGCCGCTATCAACACCTGGCTTTTCTGATCATGGTCTGCAGCTTCCGTCAAATGTTTCTTTCTGGTCCTGACCCTGAGTGTCCCCACTTTAATTTTAATTAGGTTTTATTCTCAATAACAGATTAAGATACTCTATTAAAATACTCCAGATTAAGATCACTCTGCAAAATATACATATATTGTTTTTTACTTCTCAGGGCTCTTAGGTGGGAGAGAGGTACTCTGGGGACACCAACATGAGTTAGGTTAGCATATTTTCTGTGCTCATGAAATTTACAGCTATAAGAAAGACAGACAATAAAACAATCCCTTTCTATGAATGTATTAAGCAATCTGGTAGGAACAGTACAAAAACGTGCCCTGAACATGCTCCACCGGAGTCAGGGGAGGCCTCTTGAGGGAGGTGAAGTTGAATCTATGAATAGAGGAAAGAGGGAGGCAGAGACAGCAGAAATAAGTGTTCAAGTAGTGAAAGCAGCACATATTCAGGCCTGGAGATAAAGAAGAATCAATGTCTTAAAGGTGGAGAAGAAAACTCTGAGTGACTTGGGAAAAGATTCAATCAGAGATGTGGCTGAGAAGGATGCTAGAGGTGTGGGCAGGCGGGAGATGTGCAAGAGCTTTGAAATCCATGAAAGGAAGTTAGACTTGATTATGTGTGCAAGAAGGGCCCATTAAAGGGTTTTTAGTGGGTCAAGTAAGATGGTGAGAAAACTTATTCGAAAATTTATTCTTGTGGTATATAAGAATAAAAGACTTTCTGTTTTCCTGTCCTGCAACTGGCAATATTAAAGCAAATCCAAACAAATATCATTGTGGGAAGGGCTGGTCTCCGCTGAGGGCTGGCCCACTGGGTCTCCTACTTGGGTACCATTAAAGAACAGTAGATCTGGACCCAGTACACCTTTTACATCATCATTCTAGTGCCAAGACTGAGAAGACCAAGTAAATGGTATCTCTGAACAATAATAATCCCTAAGTGAGATATGCCATCCCTTACATAAGCAAGCAAGAAAAGACTGAGACAGGAACCAAAAAACAGACATTTTATATATCATGCCAAAGACCGCTGAGGGTAAGTAAAAATCTGAGAAATGCCATCCATCATCCATCCAGGCAATTGTCTGCTCTGACAGCTTATGCAGGGAGCAAGGACATATTGCTGGAGAGCTTGGAGGAAGGGGGAGAATTCTGTGCCTCTGTGTCCTTAAAGGTGAGCTTTAGACTGGCAACATCATTCAATTTCTCTTCTGCAAGGGTCTATTCATGTAATGGTCATGCAAGAGTTTCTTAACTGATTTGCATTTTTAATTTACATTTAAAATAGTAAGAAATCTAGCATAAAGTAGTCCAGTAGATTTCAAACTAGAATTTATAGATCTCGTGCTTCAGGGAATGTGCTTCAGTGCCAGGTCCCTACAACCTGCTTCAGTAAGAACAATCCATTATTTCAGTTTACATATTGAGATTAAGTAACATATTTCTGAAATAAACATATCCACTGTTTGGAAAAAATGCTAGAAAAAGATTTTGTGTATCGAAAGAGAATCAGGAGATTTGAGATTGATGAGCTGTTTGATCTTTGGCATATCCCTTCTTCTTTCTGAGCCATCTCCTCAGCAAAACATCGAGGAGCCAAAGTAAATAAACTTTATGGTTTCTTTTAGATTAAAAATTTTGACATATATATCAAATTTTGAGATATATAAATTAAAATTATATATTTACATCTATCTATCTATCATCTCTCTATCTATATATATATATATATAGAGAGAGAGAGAGAGAGAGAGAGAAAGAGAAAGAGAGAGAGAGAAAGCCAAAGGAATGCAAAGTAAAATTATTTACCTTCCTGGAAAAAAAATCTGATCTTATTCTGTACTTCTGAAACATCCTTTTGTTTTAAGCTTATTTCAATCCATAGAATCTGCCTTTAATTTACAATATAATTTTCTTTATTCCAAAATATGTAATTACATTCACATTTTCATGTGGGGGTTCTTAAAATAAGATGAAATTGTGAACTTACTCCTCAGAACTACCCACATATATATTCAGATTTGTGTGCAACTTAAGACCCCAGTAAAAACCTTCACGCAAATGTCTTAATAGGACTTATTCTAACTCAATTTATCAGTGCATTTATTCATCAAATGTTTGTAGGCTATCAATTATTGGCCACATAATTGATAGTCTAGGTTCTAAGAATTTAAAATAAAAAGACACAATTATCTTTATAAAATTGTGTGTTTTATTATTGTAGTTGTTCACAGCCCAGAGAAAGAGACAAATCTGTAAACAAGTCAAAAGCCCAGTGGTGGCAGATATTGTGACATAGAGATCAAAGAAGGAAACTGACATATCCAAAGTCACAAAGCTAATAACTTGCAGACCTGGGTTTCCACGTCTGTTGGGACTTTGCTCAATGTATTTTTTTTTTTTTCACCTAAAGTCACAAAAGCTGCTAACATTTGAGTTCTACTTCTTTCCCTCTAAAGGACATTGGAGGTTTTAGAAGACGTTTGATAGTCCTTGACTAGGAGGATTAAGACACTAAATTGCACTGACATGGTCCATAAATCACCAAATGAGTCAGATCCAGACAGTGGCTCAGTAGGAACAGGACACATCAAGAGTGATAGCCATCAAGATTGTGTTGGAGAATTGCAGGCTATATACAGGGTCCAGGCCAAGCATGGGAGATGCTTCCTCCTTCTTTGCACATTGCCCAGGAAGAAAGAGGGAGGAAGGCATTTCTTCTTTAAATCATGATGAGGACTGTTACAAAACTGGTCTACTTCTGGAGTCAGAGTCCCTTGTTTCAAATGCAGACTTTGCAATTCATTTTGTGACCTTGGACCCCTGACTTCATCTTTTTTAGATCCACTTTGTAGGGTGAGCCTACAGATCGAATGAAATAACAGGTGAGGTTTTTAGCTTGGCACTTACTAGAGTAACTGTTCAGAAGTTGTGAAGCGCATATAATTATATTTGGTGTCTTTTTAATCTCATCTTGGTTTGGCCCATTTTAGTTTATAATATTTTGCGCTGAGGGTGGGAGAAATTCACACCAAAGGTATTTAATCACTTACATTGTTAAAGCACACCAAATTTATTAATAGTCAGATGTGTTATTATATTTAAATTCTCCACAGATGACACATCACCTTATTGCCTGTACTTGGGGCAACTACTTCCACCACCATCACCCCCCCTGGACTAACCACCGAAACCTTCTTTCATCATCATTAGTTCACTTGCTTTTCACACCAATCTTGCTAGTTAGGTAGTGGTATTCACTTTTTTAAATGTTAAAACTGAGGCATGGAGAGATAAGTAATGATAATAATATTAATCATCATCATAATAGCTATTATTTAATAGTATTTACTAATATGTTCAACATAGCACAAATTACTGAAAATGCATTTTGATAATGACTCCCATCTAAACTCTGTGATGGAAATTGCTTGTTCCCCTGCCTCAGACAAAGAAACTTAAATTCCAAGAGATTAGTTACCTTGCTAATAAGGGTGAAACTAGAATAAAGTTGTAAGTCTATCTGGAGTTCTAGCCTCACAATGCTGAGAAATTTTTCTCCAGGTTACAGAGTTGAGATAGTAACCTGGTGACAATGCCACATTTTGAGTCCGGGTTTCTCCACTCTTTCTGCTTTGACATCCCAGAATTCTTGAGGCATATTAGTTTGCTAGGGCTCCTGTAACAAACTACCAAAGGCTGAGTGGCTTAAACAGCAGAAATGTTCTCAGAGTTCTGGAGGCTACATGTCAAGGATCTGGGTGTTGACAGGGTTAGTCTTCTGAAACCTCTTTCCATGGATTATAGATTACCATATTCTCTGTGTCTTCTCACAGCCTTCCTTCTGTAGGTGTCTCTGTCCTAATCTCGTCTTCTTATAAGGACACCAGTACTATTGGATTAGGGCTGACCCTAATGACTTCTTGCTAACTTAATTACCTGTTTAAAGATCCTATCTCCTAATACATAAATATACTGAAGCACCAGGGATTAGGACTTCAACATATAAATGGGGGGAAGTAGGGCAGGATTCAGCCTATAACCTGGGAAATTTGATTTTTTATCCATCTCTGGCCACCATTGTCTCTCTGACAAAGGAAATGTGCCAGTTATGACAAATATTCCCATATTTTAGAGAATGCATAAGCTGTGACCCAAAATGAAGGATAGCATTAACTGTTTAGCAAATAAGTAGTAGTCTTAAATGGAGAAGATTTAGAAAAGATTGACTAGAAAGTGAATCTATGAAATAAAATAATTCAACACATACAATCATTGTTATAAACAAGTTATATGTATTATCTAATTAACCCTTGCAATAGAGCTATAAGATAATTAGTTGATAATATGCAGAGAATAGGTAAAAATTGTCTTAAAATTCATCTGCATTAAAATATTTGCCCTTGGTAGAAGATGTGACTTCACTGATCAAGCTTTTATTGAACATATATGATACGTCAGGCACTGTTCTAGGTGAAGAATTTGTTGAGGACTTCTGAATAAGGAATACTTCAAGAAGAATCAGGATCAGGTCTAAGAAGAGCACAGTCATTAAACAAACAAACAAACAAACAAACAAACAAACAAACTACCCTGGTTGCATGGAATTCCTATACACACCCTAGGGCTACTTGTAGAGGTGTTCGACAATGAATCAATTAACTTCATACTTTTCTGGATGGGTTGTTGTTGCTGTTGTTGTTTGACAAATTTTTTTTTTTGGGTGGGTTTTTTTAAATTTATTTTTTATTTTTTTATTCTACCATCAGTTAAGACAAATGAGTTTGGCACAATATTTATCGTATGCCTTGGCATTTGGGAGAAAGGGTGTTATCAGGAGTTCCTTAATCCTTTATATCCCATTATACTGTTCGCATGAGTTCAAGCTATGGCCTTACCTATCTTAGGTTCCAAGGTCAACTGTGATTGAATGAAACTTGTGGTAAAATTCTCTTTTTCTCTCTTATATATAATTGTTGACATTGATTATCACCTGAGCTTATAGATGGTGCAGAGTTGAGATAGATGGTGGAGCAGGATCTACCTGGCAGAGGCCACGTGTTTTAGCAGGTGATAGTACAGTGACAGGGAAGTCATTTGAGAGAGAAGAAAATAGACGGTGTTCATGTGGAGGAGAGCTGACAGTAAGGGAGACAAGATAAATGAAAAAGGTTAGGGAACATTGATTCTTGGACAGAAAGAACTCACACAGTGCTCTATTTGGGGTCTATATCCTTCTATAGAAACTTGAAATCATTCACCACTCTTAATCATAAGTGTGAGTTACTGGGCTCTGAATTAGACACAGACTTCAGTAGATGAATCAGGTGTTGAACATGAAGTGTATGAACACCCCACTCCCCGTCCCCCAACCCCATTTCTTTTAAATACATGTGTAGCCTGTTTACATTCATAGTACCGACCCTATTTTTCTGATTGTTAAGTACTGTGATATTTACCTAGATTCTTAGATTTTTCTATGTTGAAATTTTGCATATGGCCAAGCCCATCCAGCATAGAATTTGGGGAATTTTATAGGTCAACCAGCACAAAATGCTCTGTGATTTTCCTTATTATTAAATGTTTTTATATCAGAACAAATTTGTCTCTCAAATTGGTCAAGGTTGCTTGCAATTCTATTATGTCTTCCCTAGACTACGGCTGTAGTTTTCCACATTCTCTGCTTCAAATAGTGCCTTATTAAAAAAAAAAAAAAAAGGGCAAGCATCATTAAGAATAGGATGAATAGATTCTTGCTGAGGAGGTAAGTCACTCCTGTGGGAAAGAGACATTTATGATCTGGCATATGGTGAACATTCTCTTCCGTGCTAGTGATTGTAGGCACTCGTTGGGTATAATTCACAATTAATTGTGCCCAACAGTTCAATAATAATTCAGATGGAAACAGAAATGCTAAAGGATTCTTAGTTCCTGGGACTTTATACTTGGCAGTAAATAGCCAGAAACTAAGTTTCACTTTGGGCAGTGCACTGTTATTTATTTATTTTTAATTTTTTTCCTCTTTTCTTTGTCTGAGCTCCCCTTCCCCCACCATTGGCTTTTAACTTGTTCTTTCTTTTTCAATCTCTCCTTGAGATTCTTCTTCAGCTCCTGAGTCTCTTTCTTCATCTTACAGGCCACAGAGCTGTCTCTGAGTGACGATTTCTCAATCTGGAGAGGCAGACCAAAGATAGTAGCTAGAGCACATCTCTGCGTGAGATAATAGGGAGCTGGGAAGAATGAGGTTCTTTTCTGCCTGCATCAACATAAAATACAAACACATACAATTACTTCCTTAATGATAATTTTCCCAATATTCCCTTCTCTAAATGTCCAGAGAAGGTTGGGAGTCTTTGAAAGAGGCAGGAGGGGTTCTTCTTATCCTTCTTAAAGGACGATAGACAACCAACAGACATCCTTTACTCTGTCTACAATCTGCAGTGAGGAGGAGAGCAAATTCAGTAGTTTTTGCAAAATTACCAACACAGCAAGAAAGGCAGGCAAACAGATTGCTCAGATGGACAGACTTTTAATAACTGGATCTATCAATTCTCAGATTTGCTGCTTGCTGAGAGACTTCAAAGTGGGTCTGCTTTTAAATATTTGATTTCTCCAAATTAGGAAAAACCCTCCGAAACATTTAGCAGTGTGGGCCACACTTTGAGAGACTCAGGGAGGCTGACTTTGATGCCATCTTCAGCAGCATGATTTCACAATTTCTCCAAAGAGTATGCTGTCATCTTGACTCCCTGCCTTTTGATTTATCCATGAGCCGAGTGTGCTGCCAACTTGCCAACTGTTTGTAACTGCAGATCTGCTCCCTACCCTCCTCAGCCCCGCTCTGTGCCCAGGAGGCTGTTATTGACTGCATCAGTAAGCTCCTTTGCCGATGGCTTCTGGTGGGTTTAGCCAAAGAGAGGTGTGACAACAGATCTGGAGGGCACGGGGAGACAAGGTTGGAGTATTTGCTTCTTAGGTCTCTTCCTTTTTGGTTACTGTGGCTTGGCTCTATCCCTTTATTGAAGCCACTACTTGTGTTAGGTGGCCCTTTGCTATTACTTGTTATTAATCCCTCCAGGTTCCTAAAACTGTCTAATCATCTTATCTCTTTAGACCAGGGGCACCAACAGTGCCTGGTTCTTGCTAACACTGTGGTACTTTCTCAATCCTTCTTGGTTTCCCATAACCCTATTCACCTGATTATTAACCATACCTATATTAAACCCTTCTACATACCACTTTTTTGACTGTGTACTACTTGTTTCCTAAAAGTACCATTATTTTGAGACACAAGCATAGGGACTATTCATACAGTCAGATGAGAGATTAAATGAACTGATGTTATATGTAAGTAGATTTGAGTTTACATATGTAGTGTAGAGGCTTAGGGAGGTCAAGTGCTTTATACAAGGTCACAAAGAAGGTCATTAGTGGGAGCAGGATTAAACCTATCTTATTCAGAATCTACATGACACACAATAGCAAGTATCATCCATGGGCCACTAGTCCCATGGGTTTGCCATAATCTAGAAGATGGAAATAACTACATATAGTATAAATATCATGGGGAGTCACAAAACACATTACCATTTTATAGGCTTTGAGAAATCCTATAGTAAGAAAACTGGTTAAACTCAATTTTGTTTAAACTAGAGATAACCACACATATTTTACTGCAGGGCCTTTTTTTTTCTTTCTCATAACACCCAATCACATCTCATTGACATAATGGTCTGTGAAATCCAGATTGGATTTCTTTGCTCCCCTAAGCATACTCAGGAAAGTGTACCACTCCAGTGCCCCAGAGTTTGTGTCTTTTTCTTTCAAGCTTCCAGCTCAGAATGAGTTGAATGTCTTAGCCCAGGTCCAACAATGGGGTTTGAGGGGATTGCCATTGAGCTTACCCTGGGTTGGGTCCAGTTCAGTGTATTCATAGTTGAAACAAGGCTGCTGGGACAAAGCCTTTGAGTTGGGAGGTATGCACAAGGACAGAAGCAAATTCTGGCTTTCACAGATACCCCAAATACAGCTGTATCATTATTTTCTGAAGGTGTGGCCTAGTGGTTCTTATACCCAAGAAAACAACTAGGTTGGGTGCGGTTGTTCACACCTGTAATCCCAGCACTTTGGGAGGCCGAGGCGGGTGGATCACCTGAGGTCAGGAGTTCAAGCCCAGTCTGACCAACATGGTGAAACCCCTATCTCTACTAAAAATACAAAAAAAAAAAAAAAATTAGCCGGGCATGGTGGTGGGTGCATATAGTCCCAGCGACTCAGGAGGTTGAGGCAGGAGAATTGCTTGAACCCGGGAGGCAGAGGTTGCAGTGAGCTGAGATTGCTCCTTTGCACTCCAGCCTGGGTGACAAGACTGAAATTCCATCTCAAAAACTAAAAACAAAAAACAAAAAAATACAACAAAAAAAGAAAGAAACTATTAAATAAAAATTGAGCATTTTCATTCACCAACAGTAAAATGAAGACTACCTAAACCTAAAATACCTCTTCTGAAAGCCAATACTTGCTTCTCTTTCCCATCCTATAGGTAGATGATTGTCTCTAGAGACACACATACACACACACAGACAGACACAGACACACACACGCAATGTTTGGCTCAGTACTTCTTAGATACTGTTTTCTATTTCCTCATGGTCAATAATGCCACTTAGACTTACTTAATGCAGTTTCTGCTTTAGTCATCACAATTCAAGGTGAGGGGAATAAGGAAAGGAACTAGCAATATTGAATGCCTATATATGCCACCTCCTTTATATCTCACTTCTTTCATTTATGACTCAGCAGTTCCCACATGAGAAAACTGAGGTTTGGCACATTTATGTTAATTTCCCAACTCTGAAAAGCTAACACAGGTTTCAAACCGCTGCCTGCTTAACCAACATTCATTCTTTTTTTTTTTTAATCCCACAGACATTCAGTGATGCCTGCTGTTAGCCACGCATTGTTGCAGACACTGAGGGTACAAAGGTGTTTTAAAAATTGCAGGAGAGATGACCTAAATGCAGTAACTAAATTATATCCATCAGATCATGGAGGCCACAAAAGGGGCAATGGCCAATTCTATAGGAGCAGTTAAAAAAGAAGGTGAGTTTTGTAATGAGGTTTGAAAACAGCAAGTATATTAGTTCAACATGGAGAGGCAGGACATTTCAAGGAGAAGCAGCGTGAGTCAAGGTCAAGGCAGATAGCATGATCTGGCAAGGTGTTTTTAGGAAATTATAATTCATTTAAGTTGGCTGAAATAGAAAATGCAAGAGGGGAGCATGGAGGGAGATGAATCCGGTTCTGTAGACAAAGTTCTGATCACAGGGGGCTTCACAGACCATGGTAAGAGGGTCATGTAACGTGCAAAATACACAGAGATAGCCCAGAAAAACAGGCTGCATGATGATTCCAGGACTTGTGAATACCACCCAGAGGAGACAGCATCATGCCAAGCCATGAGGTAAAAAATAACACAGAAAGGGAATGGTTATAATAGCACATCCACTGTCAGTGGCTCAAGAACCTTTTGGCTGCAAGTACACACTTAGAGGGTTGTACTGCATAAGTATTTCTCTTAAGACAAAGAAATCTGATTTGCTTTGACTAGAGCATTCTGTGTGAACCTTGAACAAATGACCTGCCCACAATTAACATTTTGCCAGGGTCAATTCTGTAGATCAATCTGGAGAGTTTTGGATGGGTGACAGTTTTCTCTTAACAACACGTAGAGTTTTCCCTCCAAATCAAGCTGTTTTCCAAATGAGTTTACAGAGAAATAAAATTGATTTGCTTTAGGACCACCAATGGGGAGCTGATATCCTTTGTTCAAGTTCCCCAAAGGGGCTATAAACTTGCATGTTTAACATTGTTCCTGCCTATGGGCTGTTGAGCTCTCTCAGGACCTCTTACCCAGAAAGAGCTTCTGCAGTTCTACTTTTGTATGCTAATTGATAATACTTATTTTTTAGTAATGCTTCTTTTTGCATTCTATTTGAATTGGTTGCACTGTAAATTAGAGTGAGGAAGAGAGCAGTGCCAAATATATGCAGCCAGATACAATCCTTAAAAAAGGTGGCAGATTGTAAAGCTGCGAATTGTAAAACTTGCCTTTGCTTCAAGTTTTCATCTTACACACCAAAGAAACCATTTTCTTATGAAAGCGTCGATAATTTCCAAACTTTACAAAATGGAATTTAGAGAGAAAAAATAATAAAACCTTTGTTAACGCCTCTCAATCTTGGCATTTGTTTAATTACTCATTTGCTGGTGAATCCACCCAACATATAACGAATATTTACTATGTATCACACATTGAACTAGGCACTGCTACATTGAGATGATTGTATGTGAATGCTGTCCTTAAGAATCCTTTTACTAGACTAAGTTCTCTGAAGGTAGGCACTGTATCTATTTGATTCACTATTAAGTCTCTAGAGCCTAGTGGCACATAGTGGATGTTAGGAATTTAGATGGGGTTTGATAATCCTACCTCTCATCTTTTCTTTGGTAGAGGCAAGATAAAAACTTCTTCATGATCACATCTGAAGGAACGATATATGTGGGAAAAAAATGGTTGAAATCTAACACAGTGCTTTTCAATTAATATTCACAAAGGCATCCGAAAATGTTCACTGCAAAGCTTTGAACAAATTGTGAGGGAGAAATGAAGTCCACGCCCATCTCTGAATTCAAGACTGCCTCTGTGGTGAGGTCATGTTACCTATCCAATTGCAGGTAATGATTAAAATAAAGGAATCTGAGAGCAACACACCTATCCAAATTTTCCAGGTCCTTACAAAATATTTTGTATATACTGACTGCATGAAGATAATGGAGGCTGGAGAGGATGGGAATGTTTAGAAGTGCTCTGCCAAAATTTACCTACATCACTTGATCTCACTTGATCAAGCTGAGGAGGGGTTTAACAATGGGAATTAATCTTTGAACTCTCAATGGCTCTGCCCATAGGTAAACCATCACCTAGTGAATGCCTTAGGCACTGTCCACTCAAAATAAATCCTCCCTTTTGATGGGTGTATTAGCTCATTTTTGCATTGCCATAAAGAATATCTGAAGCTGGGTAATTTACTTTTAAAAAAAGAGATTTAATTGGCTCAGGGTTCTGCAGGCTGTATAGGAAGCACAGTGCTGGCATCTGCTTCGGCTGAGGCCTCAGGAAGGTCCCAATCATAACAGAAGGCAAAAGAGAGCCAGCATGTCATATGAGGAGACTGCGAGAGCAGGAGCAAGAGAGAGAAGGAGGACATCCCAGACAGTGTTAAACAACCGGCTTTTGCATGAACAAAGTGAGAAAGAACCCACACACTACAAAGGAAAGGGTGATAAACCATTCATGAGGGATCCACTTCCATGATCCAATCACCTCCCACCAGACCCCACCTCCAACACTGGGAATCACATTTCAACATTAGATTTGGAGGGGACAAACATCCAAACCATATCATAGGGCTTTGACTTAGAAGTTTGAGCTTTATTCTGCAGACTCAAAAGAGATATCACACCTAGTGTGACAGCCACAATAAAGGGCAGCACAAGGGAGTTTCTTTGTAATGATGGAACTGTAGAGTGTTGATTGTAGTGGGGGTTATATACATTTAGCAAAGGACTAAATCACACACCTGCATAAACACAAACACACGAGGCATAAAAACTGGTGAAAACTGCATAAGGTCTGAAGTGTAATTACCAGTATTGTACCCACTGTGATTTACTGGTTTTGATATAGTACTAGATTTACATAAGGTGTCACCACTGGGGCAGCTAGGTAAAGGGTTCTTGAGATTCTATGTTTTTGCAACTCCCCTTGAATCTCTAATTAACTTAAAATAAAAATCAGGAAGGAGGGAAGAGAGAGAGAGATTACAGCTCCCCCCTCAATTAAATGCTAAGAGCTATGCTTCAGGAAGTTCAGATTTTGATAGTAAGATGAGTTGTGATGGGGAAAGAACAGAGGCTATTTCCCCATATGGAATCTCCTGTCTTTTTCCCTCTGGTAATACATTAGCAAAATTTCACTTTCCTAACTAAAAAAAGTGACTCTAGGGAGAGAGAAGCAAACACATCAATGATGGAATAAAACACTCAAGTGAAAAAATAATTATTTTAATCATGTATTCAAGCTTGGTACACACACCACAGGAGAGCAGCCTGAAGCCAGGGTAAATCTGTGTGTGACAGATTCCAGGGAGGCTGTGTTTAGAAAATTTAGAATGAATTTATGTGAAATTAAAGGATGAACTGAAGGCAGTTGTCAATTTCTCTCTATCGCACTATTTGCTACTCTTTAACAGCATATCACCTTTAGTTAAATGCTTTATGGATGCAGGACAAAATATAACCTAGGAGGGAAGCATCACACAAGAATAATATCTTTATGCAAAGAAGTTTTTAATGATCTAATGTGGTGTCACTTTTTTTTCATTTTACAATTGTAATAATTATTTCAGGGAATTATTGATAGGTTCTTTAATTAGTTTTGTTGTAGATAATAATAAATTTGTTCTTTATTAGCTTCTTTTTACTTTGAGGAAAGTGAGGTACAGAGTGTTCCAATGTCTGCTACCAGGATGGCACTGAAATTGGCATGCTGACCTCTGGAAGTACAACCACCTTGACCGTTACTCTCTGTGACCAGGCAGAGTTTTGGTTTCTAAGAAGCATCAGAACAAACACATTATGCCTAATGATGCATGGAAAAATGTAAACCTAACCTATGTGTTATCAGAAAAATGTGGAGATACATATTTTTCACACATTTGGCAAATGAAATTACAGCCATTTGCATGGAGCTTTCGAACAGCTCTCACTCCAAGAATGTTAAAATAACAGAAGTTGCAGCTGTCTGCAATTGTGTTCAAAGCCAACCTTTAGAGCTGGCTACAAAGTGAAGAACCCTGGAAAAACAGACACCACCATTGTCCCTTTCCAAAGACTCCGTTTCCTCAAATGTGTAAAACAATGATAATTTTTAGATAAATTGACCAATAGAAGAGGATATAATTTTACAAATGTGGTTACCTAATTTGCTACATTAGTGGCAATACAGTGTTGAGGGAAATATGACCCTTATTAATAAAGGGTGAAGGGGAAGTTGGATATATTGATAGAAAAAAAAATGTTGAGCTCCTGCCTTTGACCATACACTAAATTAAATTCCAGAAGGATTGCTGACCTAAATGTAAAAAAGGAACAACAAAAATTTCAAGAAAATGATAGGAGAAATTTTTTAAGCCCTGGCATAGGCAAAGATTTTTAAACAGTAAAATAAAATAACAATCAGAAGAAAAGGTATATTAAACTATCGTAAAATTAAGTATCTTTGGTTTTCCAAAAGATAGCATTATGGTAAAGAAAACTTCATGTCAATGTGGAAGAAGGCATTTGTTATGCATATTATTAATAAATGATTCTTCACAGTATCCTACAAATACATAGAACATCTACAAATAAATTTTTTAAAAAAGAGAGAGACAGACCAAACAATATATAAATGGGAAAAAACTTGAACTGGTACTTTACAAAAGATTTTATATATATATATATATAGAGAGAGAGAGAGAGAGAGACAGAGAGAGAGAGAGACTATATATATATCTTGTTTATTTACTATATAGTCTTGTTTATTGACTACATATAGACTATATACAGAGTATATATATATTTATATAGAGAGTATATATATCTATATATAGACTATATATAATGTATATATCTTGTTTATTGACTATATAGTCTTGTTTATTGACTGTATATAGACTATATAAAAGCTAGTTTATTGACTATAGTTTATTGACTATATATAGTCTATATAGATATATAGACTATATATAATATATTTTGACTATATATAGTCTATAGTCTTATATATATAGTCTATGTATAGTCTATATATAGACTAGATCTAGTCTATATATACTCTATATATAGTCTATATATTGACTATATATAGCTATATATATAAGACTATATATATGTATACTATATATAAGAAAAAAGATTAAGTTCATTGATAATCAGGGAAATGAAAATTAAAATCATATGACATCCTTATCACCAGAAAAACTAAAAAAAAAAAAAAAAGATGGAAAATATCAAGTGTTGGTGATACTCTGGATGTGGAACAATTAAAATACTCATATCCTGCCAGTGGGTGTACAAAATAGAACACACAATTTAGGAGACTGCAGGATACTGCTAGTATCTACCGAAACTGAGTATATGCATTACCTGTGATCCAGCAACTGGATCATGGGTATACACACATCAGAAATACATTCATAGTTAAGCTTACCATTAGACATAACCTACAGTATTCCTATAAATATGAATAATCACAGTCCCAAATAAGAAACTGACCAAGTGGCCATCATCAACATAATTTAATTAACAGAAAAAATAATATACAGCAATGAGAATGAAAGATTCACACAAAAGTTTAAGTGAATTCCTTGGATATCATATTGAGCAAAACAAATCGATTAGACACAAAGGAATACCTACTTTTATATGCCTTCATTTATGTAAACTAAAGTAAAAAACGAACAATTAAACAAACAAAAATAGGCACAACTAATGCCTCTTCTTAGAAGCCAGAACAGTGTCTTCTTTGTGGGGTGATAGCGACAGCCAGAGAATTCTTTTTGAGACTAAGTATCACTCTGTTGCCCAGGCTGGAGTGCAGTAGTATGAGCTCAGCTCACTGCAAGCTCCGCCTCCCGGGTTCAGGCTATTCTCCTGCCTCATCCTCCCTAGTAGCTGGGACAAGTGCCCGCCACCACACTTGGCTAAGTTTTTGTATTTTTAGTAGAGACAGGGTTTCACCGTGTTAGCCAGGATGGTCTTGATCTCCTGACCTCGTGATCCACCCGCCTTGGCCTCCCAAAGTGCTGGGATTACAGGCGTGAGCCACCATGCCCGGCCTCAGCCAGAGAATTTTTAAAAGAGATTTGGTGGGTGGAGATAATTTTCTGTCTCTTGATCTGGGAAATGGTTGCATGGGTTTTTTTTCAGTTTGTGAAAATTCATGAAACAATATATTTGGAGTAAGTGAACATGTCTGGGTGTATAGCATATTTCAAATTTATTTATTTATTTAGAGACAAGGTCTCGCTCTGCCACCCAGACTGAAGTGCAGTGGTGCAATCATAGCTCACTGCAGCCTACAACTTGGGGCTCATGCAACCTTCCAGTTTTAGGCTCCCAAAGTGCTGTGATTACAGGTGTGCGTTACCTCACCAGGCCTTATATGTGAATTTTAAAAGTTTATTCCTTGAACATTTTCCAGATTTTTTTTTCATTCGTCAGATATTTTGAGAACCTTCCATGTGCAGGTATATTTTCAAGCAATGGGGTTAATGCAGTGAGCAGGCCCTCAGGTTTAGTTATAAAACCCCTCCTATAATCCAGGTTTTCACTATCTCTTACCTGGGTTATTGCAAAAATCTCCTAACTGGTCTCTTTGCTGTGAGTCTCAATCCTCTCAAATCTATTCTCCACATGATACATAAGATGATATTTCTAAAATACAATATTCATCATGTGTCTCTTGGCACACAAGATAGAATTCAAGTTCCTGGAAAATAATTAGAATAAAATAAGATCAATAATAACATAGCTAACATCTATTGAACTTTTTATGATATGCTTTGATGATGTTCATATTTACTATTTTATTTAACCATGAAAAACGGATATATTTTATGGTCTATATCATCGATCATATTTTACAGATAAGGACACTGAGGCACAGAGAGGATATCCCACTTGCCTAAGGTCATACCTTAAGTAAGTAGAAAAATGAGAATTTAAACTGAGCTAGGTCTGTCTGTGGAGTTTATGCTCCTAACCTCATTTTACCTATTAGGCACTTTGTAGAGTGTCCCTGCTTAACTTTCCTGCCTCAACCCTTTTCCTCTCCTTGTGACTATCATCTACCCTGCTGGTAGTGCCCTGGCTTTTTTCAGCTGCCCCAATTCTCTGTTCTTGCTGACTTAATGCTCTTTTTTGCTCATTGGCCAATATGCATTCATCTAGTTTCTTTTTCTCAAGTCCTTTCTTCTGTTATAATCACCTTCCTCAGCACAATTCCTTATGTGGTGTCCTTGTTCAGAAATCTTCCACGTTGTTTTTGCCAACAGATTAAAGGCCAAAATTTTACATCTAAATATGTTGGCCCTTCATAATGTGATCCAATCTTACCTTTCCATACATGTACCCAATTACTCCTATCTACTCATTATACCCTTGTAAGATTCAATGTATTCTTAATTCCTTTTCATTTTCCATGCCTTTGATCTTCTGACATCACTTTTCTTGAATCTTCTTTCTCCATTCAAGATGTCCATATTCTACCTCTTCTCAAACCCATCAAATATTGCCTCTTCTGAGTCTTTCCTTATGACCAGAGCCTTCCCTAATTCTTCTCAAGTTGCCCCTCCTCTGGTTTTCTATTGGACTTCTATTTCCATCTAGTATTATAATATTACAATTATTTCCTTCTACGGTAGCAGGATAGTACAGGGCTTGTACTTTTATACCAACCCCCATTCCACTCCCCACCACACACAAGTATCTTTAATGCCTAGAATATGGTATATGCTCAGATCAAATCTGTTGAACTGAATTGGAATAAAGGTGCTGCAGGTGCCCAGTTTCAGTATCTGAAGGGCAAAAATGGACATACACATTTACACAGTGTTTAATGGTTGCATCATTATCTTTCCATGCCTTATTTGATATGACCTATTTAGGAACTGTTATCATCATTTATTTTATTGTGCAACTGAAGTCTGGGAGGTGGATTTACCCAACTAGGGTAAAACAAAGTTCCAAAAAGAAACCCAGGCCCTCCAAAATAGTGGGCTTCTCTGGAAAGCCCACCTTTAGAAATGTTATGTTTGAGAGGAGCACAGAAAACAAATTGAGGAAACACATTTTTGTTTAAAAAATTTTTTTTCTTGTCTTTGTTCACTGTTAGATCTTTCTGGTCACGTTCCACCAGCTTACAGATAAAAGGTTACTATTATCAAAATTGAGTCTCTGGTATTTCTTTTTGTTAGTATTTTCCCTTCCACTTTAAATTCTGCAGAGTGAATTCTCTAGAATCAAGAGGACCCAAGAGACATTATTTCAGCAGGAAACCAAAGAGATAAGATAATTGACCTGGAAGAAGAGGATTATAGGAGTCAGATGGACGAGTCTTCCTCCTTCTGAATTCTTAGCGGCAAAATCTCAGAACATTCATAATCTCCAGTAAAGAAAGCTGCAACTAGAGAAATCTAGTGTGTCTGGTGCGGCTGAGAAGCTCAAGATCAAGCCCCCATACGAGTTGGGAGAGTATTAAAAAAATAAACCTACATGAACTGCATTCATTTAATAACAATTAGGTGCCTAGCATTATACTAGGAGCCAAAGATACAGATTTAGTCTTCAGGTGTCACTTCACCTACAGCCAAGTGAGGAATACAGTTCTAAGTGATTCAACAGCTCAAACATATAATTATCAAAAGCAATGGTAATACAGCCCAGCAACGGTTTTTCTGGACACTTTCTCCAGAACAATGAAAATATTTGTTCAGACATAAATGTTCATAGATGCTTTATTTTTAATCTTCAAAAACTGGGAGAAAAAACACAAATTCAGATATTGTTCCCTGGTGACGAATGGTTAAACAAACTGTGGTACATCCATACTGTGGGATACAATAAAAAAAAAAACAAAGAGCAATTGATACAGACAAAATCTGGCATTAATTTCTAAGGAGGAATTATTCAGAGGGAAAAAAAGTCAATCCCAAGTGGTTACATAAAGAATGGCTCTATTTACATAACATGTTAAAATGACAAAGTAATTAAAATGGAGAACACACTGGTGGTTGCTAGGGGTTGGGTGAAGGAATCAGGGTAGGTATGAGGAGAGGGAAGTAGATGTGACTATAAAAGGGCAACCACTTATAGTGATACATTATTTTGTGTCTTCACTGTGGTATTAGACACATGAACCTACATATGGGATAAAAGTGCATAGAAATAAACACATACAAACATATGTAAGTAACATTCGGGAAATATAAATAAGATTGATGAAGTGTATCAATGTCAATATCCCAGCTGTACTATTGTATTACGGTTCCGCCAGAGATTATGATTGGGGGACTCTAAGTAAAGGGTACACAAGATCTCACTGTATTATTTCTTATAACTGCATGTGAATTTACAATTATCTCAAAGTAAAACATCTAATTAAAAATGCAATATGAGCTATGCAAGAAGACATTTGGTAGGATTAAGATATATAACAGGCCGGGCGCGGTGGCTCACGCCTGTAATCCCAGCACTTTGGGAGGCCGAGGCGGGCGGATCACGAGGTCAGGAGATCGAGACCATCCTGGCTAACATGGTGAAACCCCGTCTCTACTAAAAATGCAAAAAATTAGCCGGGCGTGGTGGCGGGCGCCTGTAGTCCCAGCTGCTCGGGAGGCTGAGGCAGGAGAATGGCGTGAACCCGGGAGGCAGAGCTTGCAGTGAGCCGAGATCGTGCCACTGCACTCCAGACTGGGCGACAGAGCGAGACTCCGTCTCAAAAAAAAAAAAAACAAAAAAAAAAAAAAAAAAAAAAGATATATAACAGAGGGTTTTGATCTAAGTTTAGGGTGACTAGGAAAATCTCTCCAGCAGACAAGACATTTGATGTAAGGTCAGAAGGATGGGTATGTGTTAGCCATGCAAATAGCAAAGGGGTTGGTTCTAGTCAGGAGGAGACGTGAGGTGTTATAAAAACTGAAACTGATTAAACACATGAAGAATATAGAATATTATGTGATAAACTAAAGAGCTAAGTGGAAACCGCTATCATTCAGTCCATTCAAGGCCATTAAAATGATATTATACGAGGAATGTCACGGGGCACTCCGGGAATACTCCAGGGAATAGAACTACCTCCCTTAATATACCAAAAGGGATGATTTTTACTAGAACTTTCAAAAAATCAAAGCTTTCTAAACTCTTTTTCATATGAGGCTGTGTTATAAAATAGTGAATTTTCTGTCTCTAGAGATATTCCATCAGACTAGTTGACCATTGTGATATAGGACACATATAACAATTAGGAGCAAGATTGAAATGGATGGTTTCTAAGTTTCCTTTCCATTTCTATGAGATTATATCTTAGTGTTCATTTTGCACAGGGTTGAAGGGGACAAAAAAGGCAGACAGAATTTGAGAAAGATACTAAAAACTGATCATAGCAACTTGGGCTGATTTAAGCAATTGTTCTAATGAGTAATGGTAGCATTCAGGTTGCAAAACCCTGAAGCAGGATGAGTGAGAATAGGCATGACATCACAGAGGATTTTAAACATGGTTCCCTGATCCCTAATCCCCATGGTCATCTCTTCCTCTGGGTGGATGAGTCCTCTCTTAATGGTCTGCATTGCAGGCTACTTATTCTGAGTTGGGTTATAAACACAAGCTCTTCTATTAATTTCAAATGATGCATTTCTGTCTATGGCTATGAATAAAACAGATCAATGCCACCCGCATGTTTTATTGGGCCTCCTGTGAAATGAATCTGTAGGGAGACTGCCAGCAGGATGGAGTTGACATGCAGATGAGATTTGTAAGTGAGGACATATTGATTATTTCCATCTCAGCTCAAGCAGTAATTCCACCCAACGCCACTTCCCCTGTTTGAGCTCATTATTTATGCCATAAAAACACTATCTCAATGATAATAACAGGCTTCATTTACAAGCCAGAACATAAAGCACCAGCGCTTAGGATTTCAAAAGGTAGGAGAAGAGGGAGAGAGAAATTTAACAAGTCCTAGAGAGATCCAAAACTGCCAAGGCTTACCTTGCAGTTTTTATTCCCTCAAAAAGCGAGAATGAAAGCAGGTGTTGGATTATCAGAGTCTTTATTAATAACTCCAGTTTGTACAGGGGTTGGATTGGTGAAACACTCAGAACTTTCTCCATAGTAAATGTTTCCTTATTAACACTTGATATGGGCTGTGCCATAGCACTGCCTCTGTTTAACGTGTAGAGATCCTTTCAGGAAGGTACCTCCTGAAATGGAATCACAGTCAAATGGAATCACATTCAGAAAATGAACCATTCTTCCAAGTAATGCGTTTTTTTTTTGTTTGTTTGTTTGTTTTTATTTTTTATTATTATTATTTTTTGAGATGGAGTCTCGCTCTGTCGCCCAGGCTGGAGTGCAGTGATGCAATCTCGACTCACTGCAAGCTCTGCCTCCCGGATTCACGCCATTCTTCTGCCTCAGCCTCCCGAGTAGCTGGGACTACAGGTGCCTGCTACCACGCCCAGCTAATTTTTTTTTTTATTTTTAGTAGAGACGGGGTTTCACCATGTTAGCCAGGATGGTCTTGATCTCCCGACCATATGATCCCCCAGCCTTGGCTTCTCAAAGTGCTGGGATTACCGGCGGGGGCCACCATGCCCGGCCTCCAAGTAATGTTTTAAATGGGTTATTTCACTACCTAGCATGGCCTACATCTATGGTTTCACCATCAATACTTTTATATTCTTTTTCTAAAGGCAAACCCAATAGAAGTCATTCCACTCAGGTCACAAACAGTGATTATGTACACATGAACCTTGCAGTGCTCTTGGGAGCTAGGTGGCTTTCCCAGTAGGATAAGACATGGTCCCTGCCATCAGAGACTTTATACCTTGAACGGAAGTCACACATACAGCAAGAAGGTCTAAAAACCTGTGGAGGAACACTCTAGGGAGGGGAGAAATAATAACATGGAAACACAGGAAGGCTTCCTGGAATAGATGACTCCTTAGCTAGGACTTGAAATTGATAGTATTCTTCTGCTACTTTTTTTCATTAAAAATAATTAATTTCCTTTAGTTCTTGAGTAATATGTTTATTAGGGAAATTTGAGAAAATATAGATATGTAGAAAAACAAAAGTAAATGAAAAATAGGTCATTATATCATCATACAGGGAGATAACTTCCATTGATATTTTAGTGTGTGCTCTTCTATACCTTTGCTGTTCAGATTTTATTTACAAAAATAGGTGCATATTTTACACAATGTTTTGTACCTATGTGTTTTCCACTTAAGAATGTGGGCAGGGCGCAGTGGCTCACACCTGTAATCCCAGCACTTTGGAAGGCTGAGGTGGGCAGATCACCTGACGTCAGGAGTTCGAGACCAGCCTGGCCAACATGGCTAAACACCATCTCTATGAAAAATACAAAAATTAGCCGGGTGTGTGGCACATGCCTGTAATCCCGGCTACTCAGGAGGCTGAGTCAGGAGAATCGCTTGAACCCAGGAGACAGAGGTTGCAGTGAGCAGAAATTGTGCCACTGCACTCCAGCCTGGCCAACAGAGCAAGGCTCTGTCTCAAAAAAAGAAAAAAAAATGTGTCATGGGCATCTTTTTGGGCCATTATACATGCTTCTCTATCATTTTGATGACTACAAAGTTTCTTTTACTGTCTCATACCTGTAAGGATGTTTCATACCTTATTTAGCGAATTTCCTAACAGTGGATGTTTAGTATTAACCGTCTATTCCAGGAAGCCTTCCCGTGTTTCCCTGCTGTCATTTCTTCCCTCCCTAGACTGTTCCTCCACAGGTTTTTAGACCCTCTTGCTGTATGTGTGACTTCTGTTCAAGGTATAAAGTCTCTGATGGCAGAGACTATGTCTTATCCTACTGGGAAAGCCACCTAGCTCCCAAGAGCATTATGATTAAAAAGAATATTCTAAATTAACCTTCTAGAAACCAAGTATTTACTCCCATCCATGATGATTGCTTTATAATAAATCCTAAAACTAGAATTGCCAGGTAAAAAAGGCATTTTTAAAGTTGTTGAGAGATAGAGCTATGTCATCTTTGAGAAATGGTCTATCAATCTTCTTGCCTAGCAGTGGCATAGGAGTATGACTTCTTAGACAGGCAGTTTATTGACAGGCAGAGCTGATGGGTATTTTTCAACTGACTAAATAACCTTAGCTAGGATAATGTAAATATTTGGTGGTATTCAGGCTTCACATCTTGGTGCTAGCTGGAGACTAAGTTGGAAGAGATGTTTGGAACAAGTGAGTAAAAAAAGGAATTTGCTTTTTTTCTTTTCATTCTGTAGCAACAATCAGGTAGAGATACATGTTTTAAATTTGTTTTGTTTTTATCATTATTATTAAAATAATATGTGCACACAATAAAAACAATGCTAAAGAATTCAGAGGTTATAAAATAAACAGTAACACTTGCTCCAAGTCCTTGATCCTGTTCACTTGCACAAATTCAATTAATAGGAGTTACTTCCTGTCTTCAGAAGGATCTGAGTTAGTCCAGTGTGCTTAGTGTGCTTAGATGGCTTATAACGAAATGAGAATACTTATTGCACTCACTTTGTCTTTCATATTTAATCATATTTCTTGTAGTTCTTTCTTTTGAGCACATACTTGTTGCCACCTGCATTTCAGGGGAGGGGCAAAGCTTTGATCCCAGTCCTCATTTTCAGATATAGGACATGCCATTTCCAAGATCATAGAAGAGAGTGAAGTAATTACTCCAAGTCACAATTTCCCCCTATGCTTTTTCCACAAGGTAGATCCATATATACCTTGATATGGATTTCAGTTAGTAGAACTGTCTGGCTTCCTTCTGCTCCCTTGTTTAGTCCACATACTCTGGAATGGAGTGATTTATAGGACCGGTCAATGCAGGGAGAATGGACTGGGCATGCTTATCTTAGCTTCTTCCTTTTGACTCTTTAGAGAGTGCTGACCCCAAAAGCATGCACTCCTATAGGAGTGCACTCTCTACAGGAGCAAGTTCTGCCCTGTGGGAAATGCTGTAATGGTCTAAGCCAGTCATAGGTATTTTAGGGAGCCAATTTGCCTACATATATAAGCCACATTCTTTAACATGGCCTTTATTGAATTTTTAAACAAGGATATTTTTGTCTCCACGTGTGCTTCTCTTTGTGTTTTTTCTCAATTGATTCTGAATTCAGGCAGGGAAATGGTGTGCTATTTGTTGGGCACTTTCTCAAATTTATTTAACCAATTTTCTATTCATGAGCATCAATGATCTTTATAATTTTTTTCCTTGAAATCACATACAAAGCTGTAAATGCTTTCAGAAATAAATAAGTACGAATATCTCTATGGGGTATAATCTAAAAAAATGGAACTACTCTTTGAAAGATATGCATTTTTAAAGTTTTGATAGAACAAAATTGACTTTTTTTTTACAGTTATGCAAGATCTGGTTTTCTCAACCACTGGCAATATGTAGTATTCTAAAACTCTAATCTATACCATTCTGTAGGTGACAAACAGCATCTCATTAAAATTTTAATGTGCTTTTCCTTAACTATGTCTGAGATTGCACTCTTTTTCATGTTTATTGGCCATTTGGATAATTCTTTTTGTGGACTGCCTGTTCATCTTCCTTGCCCATTTTTATTAGGCCATTTGTCTTTCTCTTATTGATTTTCAAGAGCTCTTTGCATATTAATAAAGTTAGCCTTTCTCTGTATTGTGTGCTCTGAATAATTTCTCAATGTATCCTCTTCTCATTGTGTGTAGACATTTTTGCCTTTTTGTTGAGTATCATAGAATCAAATTTCCAATTGCTTTTATGACTTATATAGCTTAAACTGTTACAGACCAAATGATCCTTAAGAGCTGATATTATCTAAATTGGAAAAGGAAATGCTAGAAACACAGACATGAATATTAGAAGAATATTATGATGACATTGATAAATGGTCAAGACTACTGTAATGATAAGGAAATTGAGAAGTAAAGGAATATGAGAGTCTTCAGAAGATAGGCACTATTAAGGTAAAACTGGGAGTGAAAATTAAGATGGGTAAAATTCCAATGTCAGAATGTAGATGGAACTGGAAGTTGATACATACATTTTCTCTAAGAAAATTCCTTTGCTTTCCAGTCGTCCATGAACTGTGTTAATCTGGACTTGGAAACAACTCTAACGTATTAGACCATTGCCAGTGCACAACACTATTCCATTATTGAAATGTCTCCCACTTCTTTTCTTTTCCTCAGAGAATGAGAAATTTAATAGATTAATGTTGGCATAATAGAGGATTGTCCTGGGACAATATCAGTTTTATAACTAGAGTATGCTGTTATGTATTGATAAATAAATTAATATTATATCTTCTTGATAACCTTAACACTTATAAAAAATAATGATATATTTACCTATAACTAACATTGTTCTCACTTAGATTAAATGCTTCATGAGGACATAGACTGTGTCTGTTTATTTTTTTATTCTCTTACACATACTAGATGTCCAATAAGTCCCTTTAAATGGATGACTAGAAATTTCAATTCATATAATATTCCTTTACATTTGAATAAGGTTTTGGCTCTGATAAAATATATGCATGTACGGAATTATACTTGGATGTTGAATGTCACAATAACTCCATGGGTTAGGCTTTATCACTATTTTATTGGGGAGAAAATTTAGGTTCAGATATGCGACATGACATTTCCAAGATCATAGAAGAGAGTGAAATAATTACTCCAAGTTACAGTTTCTCCCAGTACTTTTTCTACACTGTCATGCTTCAAGTTTAGAATCATATAAACTTCTGTATGAAAAGGTTAAAAACTTTCTTAATGCAACCAGACTTGGTAGTTAATAAGAACATGTTTGCTGTGTACAAATAATGAAATGATAATACATCTTCATTGGGTGGTTTATCCAATTGCTATAGTGACTCAGATGTTCATTATTATTTACTAATACTGTTATTGCCAATACACTCTAAGAGTGATACTGGATTTTTTTTTTGAAGCCAGTTTGGAAAGAATGTATCCTTATGTTATGGAAAACAGTATTCAAGTTAGTTAGTAAGAGGATATTAGTAATTTATAAGCCATTATGACTAAGAATAATTATTATAACTCGTAGGTGGACCAGATGTACCAAGAGAATAGTTTCTTATGACACTGAAAGTGGGACAAGAAGCTACTTCTAACTTCAGCATAGTCTAACCAGTGGGGAAATCTGAAACTCTAAAGTACTCATTCAACAAATACATATTGAATGCTGGTTTGTGTCAGGCACTCTTCTGAGAGCCAGGGATTCTATCTTAGAGAAGAGGTGCAAAATCTCTGCACTTCGGGAACGTATACATTCTAATAAGATGACAGAGCATAGACAATGAACTCATTAACAACCAGACCATAACAGATTTTTATTGTTGCTGCAAAGAAAATATATTGGGAGATAAACGAGAGAGTAATCAGGTATGGAAGAAGACATAAAATAGATTGGTCAGGGAAGTTCTGTCTGAGGAGGTGACAATTAAGCAAGATCTGAATATTAGAATAAGATATCCATTAGAAAAATACCCAAAATAGGGCAAAAAAAAAAGTGAAAGTCCAGAGGCAGGAAGCTTTATGTTCACAAAACAGGACAGGGGTTTTGAAGCTAGAGAACAAGAAAAAATGGACACAATGCAGTCAAAAAGGCCAACAGGAGCAGGGTCATGCAGGGGCACAAGAACATGGTCAGAAGTCTGAATTTTCTTCATTAAATGAGAAATCTTTGAAAAGTTTTAAATAGGGATATATTGTAATCTTATACATTTTCTTTTGATCTATGATGTCTGAGATAGAAAAAAAGCGATGATGTTAAGAGATTATGGACATTAGCAAAGTTTGATACAATCCTTGCTTTAGGGGAAGCACCAAAGTCCAATGGGAATCAGCAAATTTAGAACTAAATCAAAGAGAGTTGGAAGGGAGGGAGGATGACCTCACTGTCAAGGATTTACTGAAGAGAAAATGCTGCCGAGGGTAAGCTACTAGAAGCACCCGTGCTTTGAAGAACCTCTTTTATCCTCTTCTCTATAAAATTGATCACAGCACATCCTGGCCACTCACCCATAAGAAGTCTGAAAATTACCAGTGGAGAATCGAAGCGTTTTAAGAAAAAAAATGATATTCTTTACTAACACGAATGGATGAATGAATGAACAAACATTCCAACAAATGACACAAACAAGCAAACAAAACTACTCTTCAGGGCTTCAGCTGAAGATGAGATGTAAATTAAAGTACTGATTTCCTATCTTAGCTTGTCAGAATCATTTGCAAAGCTTTGTGAAGTTTAAAATTTCTAGGTTCCACTTGTTCAGATTCTCACCTGCTGATCAGTAGGGCTTTGTGCCCAGGAATCTGTATTTTTTTAAAGGTCCCCATTAAATGTTGATGTTCAGCCAGATTTAGAAACCGTCGAATTAGGTAAGCGCGCCAAGTCCCTTGCAGCCCAATGAGTCTGTAAATTATCAAACTGCAGTGAAACCAACATGGGACTATTGCTAGATGGTGCTAATGTGGATTGCCAAACTGTGTCATTTTAAATTTCATTTGAGGATAAAGCCAAATGATATTAGCAAATAAAAAAAGTTACTGGTGCCAAATTCTCCCAGCTGCTATGCACTGAAGGCACAAATTACAACATATATTCTAACTGTCTAAGAGAGTAAATGCATCTTCCGGGAGACTTGACTTATGGTCAAGGGGGTGTTTAGGCAGAGGGAGAAAGTATTTAGGATGATCATACATTATTTTTGTAATATTCCCTGTGTTGTCACTTTGGACAAACTTTTGCTCATTTGCTGCCATGTCTTCTGGCTATAAATGGTGCTCGATGGTGAGAAAGCTGATGTCAAAGGTATACGATGGGTTCAAGGACACACATTAAGTCATTGTCAAAATGGTTTCCAGTTAGGGCTCTACATTCTTAATTATTTAATTAGTCTCCCAAGACAAAGAAACAGCATAAACCAAGAGAAAAGTATCTAATTATTTCAATGGAAATTATATTGCTTTTCTGTACCACAGTGGTAGGCCCTGCTTGGAAAAATGATAGAATCTGGAGGTAAAAGAATATTGAGAAAGTCTTGCTTTTTCTACTGTCATGTTATAATATTTGAAATGTTACCATTAGTGACTCTTTCTAGAGAGAAAAACTACACTCATATTGGCCATCTGGGTTAGTTTTTTGTTTTGTTTCAGAATATCTTTGCAAGATATATGTTATGCCTTTTGCACATGTATTCGCTATTAGACATTCCTTCTATAGAGATTGAAAGAATTTTTTAGAACACCTGTTACGTGCCAGCCATTGTAATAGGCACTAAAAGTGCAATGATGACCTAGACACCCATCTTACTCTCAAGATCTTTAGTGTGGTGGCTAAGTCTGTGTTTGTGTAAATATACAGGACTAGGCAACATAAGACTATTCAGACTTTGTGCCCTTATTCAGTAAAAGAAACATTAGTTCTGGGTTGGTCTTCTAACAGATTTTAATTCCCAAACTTGGCCACAAATTAGTCCCCATCTAATGTGCTTCCTGCATGCTCCCTTTTGGAACACGTTCTCTTGGAATCCAGCTGTCATTCCCTGAATAGCCCAAGACACTGTGATGAGGCCTCTATATACGTTCCTCTGGTCGACTGTTAGAGCTGAGCCAAAACTTGGAGACATCCCTGTCCATGCCCACACATGCAAGAAAAGAAGCCTTCAGGTGATTTTAGCCACCAGCCATTCAATGCTTACCAGCTGAAAGCCCAGACCCCACGGGGCAGATGCCAGCTATCCCTACTACACTCTGGCTGACTTTTTTTTTTTTTTTGAGACAGGGTCTTGCCCTGGTGCCCAGGTTGGAGTGCAGTGGCACTATCTTGACTGAATGCAGCCTTGACCTCCCTGGCTAAAGCGATCCTCCTGGGTAGCTAGGACTACAGTCATATGCCACCACAAACAGTTAAATTTTGCATTTTTTGTAGAGAGGGGTTTCACCATGTTGTCCAGGCTGGTCTCTAAAATCTGAGCTCAAGTGATTTGCCTGCCTTGGCCTCCCAAAGTGCTGGGATTAAAGGCATGAGGAACAATACCCAGAACTCTAGATGATTTTTAAGAAAATAATAATAGCTAACATTCACTGATCTCTTACTATTTGCCAGGCACTGTGCCAAGGGATTTATATAACTAACTTACAGCTTGTTTAATTGTTAAAATGACCATGCAACATATGTTACTCTCCTTATTCCCATTTTACAGTTGACAAAGCAGAGGCTTATAGAGAATATGATTCTACATCCCAAGGTGCTGTAGCTAGTAAACAGTAGAGCTGAGACTGAAACTCACATATAGTTGTCTGTCTCCATGCTGCCACTATATTTTATTTTAGCCAACAATCAACTCGATTTATATATTTGTACAAGTACATGGCTGAATTTTCAAACTGTAGAATCCATGAGTATAATAAAATAGTTGATGTCTTATCCTACAATATTTGGGGTGCTTTATTACATAGCAATAGCTAACTAGAATAAGCCTCCCCCAATTCTACTGTAAGTTACCAAAAAATAAAAAATAAAAATAAAAATCCCCAGCCCTCAGGAACCAGTTTATTGGCCATTATTACAAGAAAGGGACAGTGACATTTACAGAACACCTACAATCCCTTAGAGTGTACTATGAGCTTTGCCTTAGGGACATTAAACATTTCCTTTCTTGACCTCATTTTATAGATGACCACTTTCACTTTGAGAATGGAGAAATGCTCAGAGACATTACCTAGAGTGTTCCTTTTTCCTGAACTGATCTCTCAGTTTTCAACGTCCTCTTTAGACTGCCTACCTCACAATTTTCCTCATCATCAGCCTAGATTTAATCTCCCTGGGAAAGTTTCCTATGACTCTTAATATTTAACTAGGTGGACCTCTCTATGTTCCCAAAGCACTAATCACCCAGGAATAGCAAGTATTTCTGAATTATAACCATGTACCTGCATATTTTTACTGCTATACCATACAATCCTTGAGGATGAAAATACAGCTTTGCTCACTGTTTTACGACCATAAAACTTATCAAGTGACTAGCAAATGAAGATGGCCTGTGGAAGTCAGAAATGGTATTCAACTCTGCAGGATCTTGCCTCAAACATCTTTAAAAAACCACATAGCCCTTCTACTTCTAATCAATACAAACCTCCACAAATTTTCTGTTGTCATCACCTTCTCTTTCACTCCCACAATCCATTCTAATTTAAAGTCTGGCATAATGACTGACTGACTGGTATTTAGATCAAGAAGAGGAGTAGGGAGGGAGGCCAAGGAGAGAGTGACAGGTGACCTGTGATATGAGGCAGACCGTTTATGTTTGTGGATCCTGCAGTTAGATTATTTATGTTTAAATCCTGGCTTCATTACCTTCTACCTTGTGAACTTGGTCCATTTGTTGCATCTTACCAAGCTTAATTTTTCTCTCTTTTAAAGTGGAGTTAACAGGGATTGTTGGAGAAACAAACGACAAGATGCCCATTGAGTACACATGGCAGTATGCATGGCTCATGGTAAGTATATTTAATTATATATTTAGTTATTGTCGGTGATATGCTAGACATCACAGAAATGGTAGCAGGAGTCATAGAAATAATGGAATTTGCACCAGGGTATGATTGCAAGTCAACATTTAAATAGTTTTCTTCTTTCTGAAGCCAAGTCTTTCAGTTTAATGTCTGAGTGACCCTGACATGGTTTTCTCATTGTATTTGGACCCTTTAAATGTCCATAGCTTTCACACTAATAATTTAAATAAAATGATAGAATAATGACATGTTAGAGCCCCAGTAGAAAGAGAGAGGGGATTTCCATTTATTGAGCACTTACTATATGCCAGGCACTTGCAGTGGCTTTTAAACTAGAGGACTTTTAAGTTATTTAAATTCTTAACTTTAGGAAAATAAAATCTAAGGCTGCATAATAAAATCTTACATGTGATATTCTGAACATAGAATTATTATATATAGAGAGAAATATTTCAAAAAAGTCAAGGAGAATAAGAGAGATGTAGTACCCTTAGGCTTTCTGATGATAACCCACAGATCATGGACTAGACCAAAATTCAGTAGGAAGCTGGAAAGTAAGAATAGGAACTTAAATTCATGAGGAAGGTTTTAAGTAGCTCTTTTCCTCTGAAAAAGCTGATGTTGTAGTGAAGTAACAAGAACCTCTAAAAACAGCATCGAGACTATCATTAATTAGAATCAGAGTCTTTGGAGATAGAGAGAAACTATTATGTCTCCCTTCCCTGGGGCCTGGGCTGGGATGATTCCCTACAGGGTTATTTCCAGTTCTGCGTGAGTTAATGATTCCATCATAATCAACCTCAGCCAAAGATAGTACAACATAAAGAACAAACAAAAGAAAATTGTTGGGATTACACATAAACTCTCTTTGGACATATGCTGGCTCACAAAGCTAATGAGCTCCCCATTCAGACTATCCAGTGGCAGCCTATTGTAATAGCCCTGAACATTCTGAGAAAACTGCTGTCGAAGTTGGGGAGAGGGTGGCTATTATGGCTGAATGCTGAAGAATGCAGTTTGATGAGGGAGGAAGGTCTTCCCTTGTCAGCTGCTTTTCACTAATAGAAAAATGCAAAGCCCAGGAAGGTGAGCCAGATGCTTGGCAAGGCCCATTTTGGCTTTTATAAAGTCATAAAGGGGATGGAGAGGGAAGAGGAAGAAAGGAGCTGTGTGTGCATGGGCACACACAGCTCATCCTAGCACAGGAGAACTGAGGTCTCCCTTGAGGCTTCAAGAGGCTACTTGCAGAATAATTCAACTGCATTCAAGGAAGGGCAGTAAACATACAAAACTCATTACACACAGCAAATAGAAATAACACCAAAAAAAGAGATGAATCTGTTGATTACTAATCTAATTTTTTGTAAAGGGAAGGGAGAGATATTTTAAGTATATCAAATATTATTATTCTCTCTGGATATAGCAAAACAAGGTAATATAGTTCAAGGTTTTTCACAATTTTTTTTTTATTATTCTTTAAGTTCTAGGGTACATGTGCACAACGTGCAGGGTTGTTACATATGTATACATGTGCCATGTTGATGTGCTGCACCCATTAACTCGTCATTTACATTAGGTATATTTCCTAATGTTATTAATGCTATCCCTTTCCACTCCCCCCACCCCACGACAGGCCCAGCATGTGATGTTCCCCTTCCTGTGTGCAAGTGTTCTCATTGTTCGATTCCTACCTATGAGTGAGAATATGCGGTGTTTGGTTTTATGTCCTTGTGATAGTTTGCTGAGAATGATGGATTCCAGCCTCATCCATGTCCCTAGAAAGGACATGAACTCATCCTTTTTATTGCTGCATAGTATTCCATGGTGTATATGTGCATAGTATTCCATGGTGTATATGTGCCACATTTTCTTAATCCAGTCTAACACTGATGGACATTTGGGTTGGTTTGAAGTCTTTGCTATTGTGAATAGTGCCACAATAAACATACATGTGCATGTGTCTTTATAGCAGCATGATTTATAATCCTTTGGGTATATACCCAGTAGTGGGATGGCTGGGGCAAATGGTATGTCTAGTTCTAGATCCTTGAGGAATTGCCACACTGTCTTCCACAATGGTTGAACTAGTTTGCAATCCCACCAACAGTGTAAAAGTGTTCCTATTTCTCCACATCCTCTCCAGCACCTGTTGTTTCCTGACTTTTTAATGATCACCATTCTAACTAGTGTGAGATGGTATCTCATTGTGGTTTTTCACAATTTTTAAAAATATCTTAAGCCATTTTTCTGTGAAAATTTGTCTGGAAGTCGAAATCATAAGACACATTACAACAGTATAAAGAGAAGGCGAAGACTTATAGTTGGTCTTCTCTCCCCAGTTCTTGGCCCCTACAGTTGCCCTGGACATACCCCCCCTTGAGACTCAAAGTATCCCAGAAATCCAACTTGAACATCTCTTGGGCTGGCTTAGCCATATAGTATCCAAGAAATGGTAGGCAATGCTGCTCAAACGTTCTTTGCCTGTTTCTTCATCGATAAAATGGCAATAATGGAAATCTACCAGGACTGTAGGAAAAGAGTTAAGCAGTTCAGTACCTGGCACCCAGCAAGCTCCCAACCAATGTTACGTTTCTTTTTAACCACTAAACTCAGCATAGATTTTGCATTCTCTGAAAATATTTCTTAGTACTTCAGCACACACAAGCTCTTTCTTCTTTAAATACTATTGACTTTTAGTCAGTGAAACACTTTACAATTTGCTCATCTGCAATTACTATTATTAACAAAAATAATGGTAGCAGCTACTGGTTCATTAATCATGCACTGTATATACATAAAACAACCCTGTTTTATACATACATAAAACAATCATGCACTGTATATACATAAAACAATATCAAAAATAGTTATTTTTCCCAGTGTAGAGATACAGAAAAAAAAAGAGAAGTTGCGAAGTTAAGTAAGGTATTTCCTAATTAGCTCAACTATGTGCTGTCCCCTTGGTGGGGAATGGGACAGGGTCATGGCCTAATTACAATACATGGTGGCAAGCTTGATAGGATCCAAGATTGATAGGAGTCTACTGTGGTCTAGACTTGCTAGATCCCATGCAATGAATGAGATGACAGTCAGGATCTCACTGATCCCAGTGAGATCCCATGCAATGAATGAGATGATAGTCAGGAGCACAAGCAGGGAGTGACAACTGAGCATCATCAGTGACATTGTTAAGACCCTTGGACACTCACACTTTCCCAACGAGAGTTCTGCATCTGAACCACAGATTCCAAACATGATTTCAGTAGTGATTTTCTAAGTTCTTCCAAGGAGAACTCATAAACAGATGCATGGGAGAGAAGTTAATTTGTTACATAATAGGGGTTCTTTGAGGCATTAAGAGTTAATTCTTTTACAGAACCCTGGTAGATAAAAACTGAAACTGACAATATTTTCTATGCTACAGGATCAGAAAAAGGGCAAAGAAGGCAGCAAATCTTATGCTGCATGATCAGAAAGTGAGTAGAGACGTCAGAGATTCTGAATCTGTAGAATCAGAAAAAGGGTAAACATACTTCAGCACTTAGGGTAAACCAGCACTCTTCAAGAATGAACTTTGCACTATTTAATCTAGTAGATTATGAACTCACCCTAAACACTCTTACCTAAAAGCATATGTTTGCTTTTGCACACTTAAAATGTGCAGCGTAGATTATGCACTTCCCTAAACACTCTAACCTAAAGCATGTTTGCTTTTGCACATTTACAGTGTGCATGAATGTGCGTGCATTTGTATGTGTGGACACAAGAAGCTTCTAATGTCTAAAATGATCTTAGGCCCCGTCGAAAGGCACTAGTGGTGGGATGAGATTAGTGGTGTGAGCAAGACTCTTGGGCCATGAATTCTCCCAGATAATTATTAACCCTCAGGCAATGGCCCTTACTAGTTCCGAGTTTCCACCTGCTTGGATGATTCTATGATGACCCTACATTGTGAAGAAAATAATATGTTTAATCAGTATTGCAATGTGCACAGTGGTAGCCAGCATGTAAGCCTGTGGTTCTTTGAGCGAGGACTCCAGAAGAGTCTTATAGTAATGTTGCTTATAAAGTGGCTTGGTGATTTACTGTTGTTTCTGGCCCTAAAAACTATTTACTTCTTGTATTGAGTAAGAAATCAGCATGGGGCTTTAGAAAGAGATGTGTTGTAAGAGAGAAGAGATCTGGCCTCTTTCCATCCTAGACAGATACCTGTGAGATGCCATGCACATAATATTTATTTAATAAATGTGTATTTAATTGGATTGAACTTGACTGGCTGTGACTCTAAGTGGCTTTATTAATAATATATATTTGTTATTAAATTACATATTTATTTGCTTATCTGTTTGTTGTCTGTCTCTTCCCCTAGAATATATACTCCATGAGTTTAAGGTCCTTGACAGTTTTACTCACTACAGTATTCCCAATGCTTAGAATGATTCCCGGCTCCTAGTAGGCGATCAATACATATTTGTTAGATGAATGAACACCTTTCATTGAGATTTCTGAAATATGCCAGGCACCATGCTAAGCAATTTGATATATATTATGCCATTTGATCAAGTGTGTCTCAAACTTTAATGTGCTAATGCATCTCCAGTGATCTTGTTAAATGCAGATTCTATTGAGTGGGTTGGAGGTAGGGTTAAATATTTTGCATATCTAGTAAGTTTCCAGGTGACGACAATGCTGCTGGTTCATCCACAACACTTACACTAGTAAGGATAAAATCGTCTTATCACATAGGCATTATTTCCCCTTTATTTTTCAAAGAATGAAATTGAGACTTCTGGATGTTCACCAGATTATCCAAGGTCACATAGCTAATAAGTAGGAGGTTCTGATAAATAAGAAAAGCTAACCCCACACTCATTAAGCAGTACCTCCCCATTCTCTACTCCCTCCAGCCTCTGTCAATAACAAACCTGCTTTCTGTCTCTATTTATTCACTTACTATGAATATTTCATAGAAATGGTAGATCATATATTATATGGTCTTTGAGTCTGGGTTTTTTCACTTAGCACAATGTTTTAATGTTCCTCTGTGTTCTAGAATGTATCAGTAATTCATTTCTTTTTATGGATAAATAATATTTTATTGTATAGACATAATTCCACATTGTATTCCATTCAACGACTGGAACAGTTAGTCAATTTCTACATTTTGACTCTTGTGAATAGTCCTGGTATAAACATTTTTGTATATTGTTTTGTTTGTTTATTTGTTTGTTTCAAACACATGCTTTCAATTCTTTGGATTACATATGTAGGAGTAGAATTCCTGGCTTATATGGCAATTCTATGCATAAATTCTTGAGGAAATGTCAAACTGTTTGGTTGAACCATTTTACATTCCCAACAGCAGTGTACTAGGGTTCCACTTTTTTTTTTTACATCCTTATCAACTCTTGTTATTTTCCATTTTTCAATTATAACCATCCTAGTGGGGGATGCAGTAGTATCTTTGTCATTTTGATTTGCATTTCTCTAATGTCTCATGGCTGCATCCAAGACCTTAGTCAAACCCCTGAACTTGCTTTAATGCTCAATCTCTTCATTCTTACAGTTCTGACCTGCTTCTGCCTGTATGCCTTCATTAAGAAAGCAAAGTATGGCTGGGTTGTTGGCATCTTCTCTGTTCCTTCATCAAACATTTTGTCTTTTATTTCTCAGAAGACTCTTTCTGTGTGATGCTTGGAACTCATTTTCAGCCTCTTAGCCTCTAATTACTCACCTCCAACTTGAGGCTGGGTTTCCCTCCCCTCTAGATATCCAATTCAACAGGATCCAAGATCTATCCACCTCAGCTTTCTTCATCTGGTACATGGAAAACACTCTTGCATTCTTGCCTTGTTCATCTCAGAAGTGTGTGCTGAGCTCACTGCAGCAACATTCTCATTGTTTAGTTGCCAAAGCTATTGCCCAGCCAATGGTCACCCTGTATTTATCCTGGGCAGGAGTCTTACATTAAACCATAGTGTCCATCAACCACAGGGACACACATATCAAGCTCTCTGGGTGATCCCAGGGATTCTTTCTCTCTCTAGTGGTCTTAAAGGGAATTGGGCCTCACAGCAATTCCCTTTAGGGGCTTTCTATAACTACCCTCTCCTCCCAAACTTTCCCCTCCTTCTCTCCCTCTCCCCATCTCTTCCTCTCTACCTCTTTCTCTCTTTCTTTGTTTGACAGAGTATAGCTCTATCACCCAGGCTGGAGTGCACTGATGCGATCATGGCTCACTGCAAACTCCACCTCCTGGATTCAAACAATTCTTATGCCTCAGCCTCCCAAGTAGCTAGGATTACAGTTGTGTGCCACCATGCCTAGCTAATTTTTGTATTTTAAGTAGAGATAGGATTTTGCCATGTTGACCAGGCTGGTCTCAAACTCCTGGCCTCAAGTGATCTGCCCACCACAGCCTCCCAAAGTGCTGAGATTACAGGCTTGAGCCACTGTGTCCAGCCTCAACTCTTTCTTTTTGATGTCCTTCTGTTTGCATGGTCTAAGAGTTGTGAAACCCATTACTTTACTTTTACACTGTAAATTCTTAATAAATTATACCTATGGCCATAATGAGGATTTGTTGAGTATTTACCTTTGTAATATCCCATGTTATGGGCTGAATTGTGCTTTCCATGTCTCCAAATTCGTATGTTGAGATCCTAACCCCCTGAACCTCAGAATGTTACTGTATTTGGAGATAGGACCTTTAAAGAGGTGACTAAGTTAAATAAAATAGGCCATAAGGGTGGGCCTTAATCCAATCTGTCTGGTCGTTGTGAGAAAAGAAATTATTATTATAAGACTTACAAAAGGCCACGGATGATGCATGTGCACAGAGAAGTTCATGCAATGAGGCAGGAAGAAAGTGGCTATCCGCAAGTCAAGAAGAGAGGTCTCAGAGGGGTTCAATTTTGCTGGCACCTAAATCTTGGACTTCTAGCCTCCAGAACTATGAAAAAACAAATTTCTGTTGTTTAAGCTACCTAGTCTATGATGTTTTGTTATGGCAGCCCTAGCAAACTAACACAGCCTCTCAGTGAAAACCTATATAGGAAGTGGCCCATTCCAACGTCCTGCTACATATAGGAAACTTGGTGGTCACTGATGCTATGGACTGAACATTTGTGTCCCACCAGGATTCATGCATTAAAGCCTAACCCCCAATGTAATGGTATTTGGAGGTAGGGCCTTTGGTAAGTAATTAGGTCATGAGGGTGGATTCCTCATGAATGGGATAAATACACTTATAAAAATAGACATGAGAGAGTTTGCTTCCTCTTTCTCTGCTCATTACCTTGTGGGGATTTCAAGGAGATGACAATCATCTGCAAATCAGTGACCAAGCCCTCACCAGACACCAGATCTGCTGGCACCTGGATCCTGGGACTTCCCAGCCTCCAGAACTGTGGGAAATAAAAGTTTGTTGTTAAGGTCACCTAGTCTATGGTATATTTGTTATAGCAGCCTGAACTGACAAGACACTGGCTGTGGAATGCCATATATTTTATTTGGGACTGGCTTTAACCCTTACTAACTAAGTGCCCTCAGGCAATTAACCTTGGCTCTTCAAAACTATTTCCACATGTATAATATGGGAATATTAATGGGAAAATTGTAGTCATCCTCCTTTATTGAGGGTTTTAAATCAATACATAACCATTTATTTGCTCATGTGAATCTCATTACAACTTTGTAGGATTGTGAGGCTCAAATGAATCTATGTGAAAGTGCTTTCTAAATTCTAAAGTGTTATAAAATGTTCATTAATACAATCACAACATCTATAAAACTGTTAATGGGAGGGAGAGGAAATCAATTGCTGTGTGATTTTGTTTTGAGTATAGGGTCAGGGTGTAAACTGGTAAACACTCCCCTCTGCCTGTCAGCAACCAACAATTAATCTGTCTCAGGGTATTTTTAAACATTGGGAATCACGTATTTTCCATTCACCAGCTGGAAGACTGCCATCCAAAGCAGCCAGCATCAGCTACCAGCTGAATTAATACTCGCTGTTACTAAGAACTCAGTTTCTCCGCCTCTTCCTTCACTTCCACAAGTTCATGCAAAGCAGCCAACATAAAGTTCTCTGGAGCTGAGCTTACACATATATAGGAAGCCTGAAATTTTGACTCTTATAGCCACAGGATCAAAGATCTATTATTTCTTAAGGATCTTATATGTGCTAGGAAATGTGTTAGACATGCCACATGCATTTTTTTTCTCACACAAGGGGTGGGTTCAGTTCTTTGGCAGCTAACAGCCCAAAGACCACAACCAAGGACAGTTTAAAAGAGGATTTTATTACTTACAGTAAACAAGGAGAACACCAGAGATTGCTCCCAAAGCAGAACCTCCCAGAGCTGGAGGCTGGATCAGGCTTTATAAGCATAAGGTAATAAGGCATGATCTTGCAATGAGGTGATGCTGGAAGGCATGATCTGACTGGATCCTGCCATGGGGTGGTGCCACAGCTCAATCCAATTGGATCCTGGATCCCGTCATGTGGTTTGGGATTCTTAATTCAGCCTCCTCCTAGGTTGGAGCACTTAGGTTTCTCCTGCGGCTGCACACTTGTTTTATCTAGGCATGCTCAGGATAGGTGACCAGAGGGTCCATGGCAACTGAAAAACAACTCATTAATTTGTTACAAAAAAGTTAAACCAGATTGGTCTGGTGCAGCTACATTTTCTTATGTAAACACTTGTAGTAGTCCTTTAAAAGAGGAGTTAATAGCTCCATCTTCAGTTTAAGTAATTGAATTTTAGAGAGGTCAATGACTTTCCATTCACTCATTTGATGGGTTATTCATTGAGCACTTTCTCTTTGCTAAGTCCTGAGTATATGCTGGAGAATACAACATGGAACTTGCAATCTTAGTGGAAGAATACAACATAAAAACCAAACAAGCAAATCTATATAGAATTTGAGTTCTGCAAAGGAAATTCACAACATAGGCACTTTCTACATGGACTTTAACTCAAATCTTAGTTGGGGAGCAGACAACAAACAAATAACCACAGATTTAAGTTCCATAAGCGGCTTCACAGAAAGTGGTAAAAATACAGATGGGTGGATAAGAAAGTACACTTAATGAGAAAACTGAAGCATAAAAAGTAGCCATGAGGGATAAAAGTAGCCATCTGTCTAAAAGAATGACATGAAGACAAAGCACTAATGATACAACTTAAACCGCTGTATCTCACCATGAAGGACCCTTGTAATTTTCTGGTATAGGAATTGATACATAATCTTTTTTGCTTAAGTTAAAGTTAAGAATCTTGATATAGACCCAAGGATAGAAGAGCCAAATTGTAAGACCTTTTTGTGACACCAGCTGGTGTCTTGAGGAAATTCATTTCAACTTTCTGAACTTTCAAAATTGCCTTGTTAAACTTATGCTATTCTGAGGATCAGAGAAGTAGTATATAAAACGTACTTTTCAATGTGCTACACAAATGTAAGAGATTACTGAAAACACCAACAACTTCCTGCAGGCAAACAACTGTGATTCATGCATGTCACTCAACATGATGTTAATCCAATAGGTTAAACATCTTTTAGTAGGGTTTACCAAGTTGAATTCTTAACAACAGCTCTGGTCACAAACTCACTAACAAACTTTGGTTAGCTCAGAACCGCTTCCCAAATAAGAAATATGTCACCTAGTCTCGCATTCTCCCCTCCTACTACCATACCATCGCTGGTACAATGTCCTTATTGTTTTCCAAATTTCCAGCATTTAAATAATCGTCCAGGGTCTTGTGGAGACTTGATAAATATCTGAGACCCAGTTTCTGACTTACTGAATCTGAAATTCGGTAAGCAGGTGAAGCCAAGGAAATCTGTGTATATTTAATAGGCAGCACGGGTGACTCACTGGACCCCAAATTGATGTGCATATAAGAATTGCCTGGGGAGTTCATGAAAAAAGAAATTCCTAGCAACAGCCTTCAATAAAATGTCTAATTTAGTGAGCCTGGGGAACCACCCAGAAGTTGCATTTTTTAATAAGCATTCCCCTGTTGACTGTGGTCTGTTGTTCAAGTGTAAAAAAAATCATTCATCTAGAAATGAATTTATTACCATCTCTTGTACCCTCTGAATGTCCACCTTTCCAGCCTTCCCTTCACAGCCTCCTAGCAATCTAAATTCATCTTTTGCAAGTAGTTCTAGAATTACTGCCCTCTTCTCCACTGCCCTAGGGTTTTCTAAAACATTTTGGGAGAGATACAGACATGCTAAGTCACTCTGTCTTGTGGCTTGGATCATTATGTCACAAGATCCTTCAGGTGTCACTTCATCAGCTGGAAACCTCTGTGGTTGGCAGTGCCTCTGCTCGAGTTTTGCCCGCACCCACTGGGCTTGTCCCACCCACTCGGCCCAACAAACTGCACTTGGCTCACACTACTGGCCCAGATCCCATGCCTGTCAAGGGAAAGCCAGACATGGAGTGGTGAGGGGTGTGAGAGCAAGTGAGCACCAGGTCCAGCCACTGCATGCAGCCAGGCTTGCTGGTTGCCATGGAGGGGTGGGCAGCTCCAGGCACCAACACAGACACCAGTATAGGCACTGGATCCATGCTAAGCTGTGATGGCACCAGACGTACCACAAGCGGCTTCTGCTGCAGGCACCATCATCTGGATGAGAGGAATGTAGTGGTGCCCAAAAGCTCAGAGATTCCAGGAGCTGCAGAGCCCCAAAGAGGGTTTCATAGCAGGTCACAGCCTTGGCTAGGGGATTCCCAAGGTCTGTGCTCCCAGAAGGGCCACATCTCTTCTCTCCTTCTCCTTGCCCACAGTGCAGTGAAGTTGGGGTTGGGGGGGGGGTCATGTTTCAGCCTGTTTGTGTTACAACTCTTTCAGTCCCACTGCCTGGCACCGGCCCATGGCTCCTGGGCTGACCTACCTGACCCCGCTGCTGCTTCTTGTTGCATGGAGTGGTTACGTGGTGCCAGTGGAGGGTGGGAGGGCTATAGTGTAATGGCTTTGGCTGGGGGAATCCTGAGGTCTGGGTTTCCAGAAAGGTCACCATTCTTCACTCCTACTCCTGCATTCTGGGGGCATGCCATCACCCGCAGCTCAGGAAGCCAGCCAGGAACATGTTACAGCCACTTTTGCTCCCATCGTTTGGCGGGTCCTGAGTTCTTGTCTTGAGTCCAGGAAGAATGAGGTTACACAGACAACTGGAGAGTGAGCAACGTGGAGAAGAGCTTTATTGGGTGACCAAAAACTCTCAGCAGAGAGGAGACCTGAAGTCTGTAGTTCCTATCTGCAGACAGGTAGTCCTGATGAGTGTCTGAGTCTGGCTGAGTCTGGGGTTTTTATGGGCTCAGAATGGAGGAAGTGCATGCTGATTAGTGCATAGGCAGGAGGAACTGTGTGCTCATTGGTCCATGGGAGGGCCCAGAAAAAGTACCACTTTATTGACCAAAAGGCATCAAAGAAATTGTCACTCCTGGTCAGGGCAGGAACTGGCAGTCCAGCCCCCAAGCTTCAGGCCATCCCTGGCTTGAAGGTGGAGTTTCACCTGGGACCCACCCCTTCCTGCCTAAGAACCTGTCTGCTTTCTGCCGTCAATTATTAATTAGATATTATAGGGAAAATTAAAGATTTGAAGAAAATTTAAAAGGGAAGGAGGGAGCAAATAAAGAAACAGAATAATTGTGTGTTTTCAGTGCCAGAAATGGGTATGATTATCAAAAGTTTCTGGAGTCAGAAAAAGCAAATGTGATGTATTTCTCCTACATTTTAATGGGGAGAACAAATGTAGTGGAAGCTTATTCTATGATAGTGTAAGATATGTGTGCACCACTACAGAAATTCCTGGCTTCTTGGAGCAGAAGGAATAGATGTTTAGGTAATCCTGAGGTATTGTTTGGGGGACTTTCAATTCACACTTATTATAAGAATTGTAACTATTTAAGGAATATATAATTTCTCCTCTGAAGTGGAAACTGGGAAAAAAATGAACAAAAGAAATGGGTAATTGGAAAAAAATGTTACAACATTTATCCAGGCAAACTATAATGCTTCCCCAGATCAAATGCAGCCCACATTCAACTTTTCTGAATCATTAAGTATCCCAATTGCCTGTGTGCAACTTCCCCAACTCAGCTACAATCATCAGTGAGAGGAAACGTGCCTAAGAGCAAATGTGTAAAGTCAGCACCAGAGGGATTTTAGGGTGGAGTGGTGGGGGATGGTGGTGAGTAAAAATAAAGGCCGCCTGCCTGTCCGTACTGTTCCACCAATGATTTCATTGATACATTCAGACTCAAATTTTGTCACCAGAGACACCTGTGATGCCTGCTGGCATTTCCTTGCAGCCTCAACTGGACTCTCTTCCTAAAAGCTCTCCAGTTTTTCCCCTCTACTGAAACTACTTAATCCTCCCTGCTTCTTTGGGTCCTTTGAAGCATGGGAAAACAGAGACTGAGTCTGACTGTTCACTGTGATTCCTTTCTATTTAGATCCAAATTAAAAATGATCCTATTTGCTGCCTGCTACCGAAGAATATAATTTAAGAGTTGTTTCCAGTCCAACAAAAACAACTGAAGACTGGGTGATTCACCTGAGTGATATTTTTGGAAATACATGTGTTTATATCATGCAAACCACTGGCCCCTGCTTTCTCCCATCCCTGATGTACTCACAATTTTTAATGGCTTGAAATGCACTTCTAATAGAAACTAAACTTACTAAAGAGCCTAGAAGGATGTGTATGATGCAGCCTCCATGACCACAGAAGCTTGCCCATTTTCCTCCATTGCTTGCCATCTCCTGCTCACTCACCATTTTACCCCACTCTCTAGCCAAGGCTCTTTACCCCACTCTCTAGCCAAAGCTCAGCCAAAATTTCATTTCTTCAAGAAGCTGTTCCCAGGATCCTGCAGGCTCACTGTGGGAAGCTTATGGTCTCTTAACTCCTGCATTTCTCCTTGATATCACTTATCACAATTAAAACTAAAATAATAACAATTATGAAATTTCTTGCTTGATGATGATTATTAAATTCTCTAGTACAATGCCTACTCCATAAAGATAGGAAGGCACTTTTGTGTTGAGCATCTCGAGTTTGGTAGGGTGTCAGAGGACCCATAAACGTTCTCTGAATGAATTTTAAATGGAGGTGAAGAGTGTTTATAAGAAAAGCCTGTGTTGGTATCATGTGGTGTTCATTTACAAATACACCTCAATTAGTAGCGCAGCAGAAGGCCTCTCTGATCTTCAAACCCCAAGCTGAATTAGTCAGTGCTCTTAACTCCAAGGGCCTTGGATGTCCAAAAGCACTTATCCCCAATAATTTTCTGTAGATTTTTAGAAAGTATTTTTGTTTTGGGGGACTCTCAGCCTTCGGGCCCTATTTCCAGACCTTCTCTCCTTTGTACCATGCTGAAATTTTAGCTCAAATATTCACTTCTGTCTTCCACTTTATAAGTATGTAGATTTTCCCGAAACATTTCTGAATATGGGCAAGATGGCCGAAGACTTCAAGCGCTGGGAGGAGGCAAAACAAGTGTTTACATCACAGGAATACAAACAACCTTCAAAGTCTCTGACCATTGCCCCCATCACCGCAGTTCCCCACTTACCCCACCACATATATTCTCTGTTTCCTGACTCTTCTCCCAGCCTCCCATAATATATACATAGTTTTAAATACTCGTTTCTCCTTATCCATGTCCCCTACTTGATCTCAGAAATTCCAAAGAAAATACTGCCTTAGTCTTCAATAGGTACGTTTTTCCCTCTCTTTTAATGCCATGACATATTCCAAAAATGAATCTGACCTACTTGAAGTAGTATTTCCAGTTATTTCCTCAACAAAAATAGTCTCCTTCACAAAAGGAATCTCATTCTCAGATAGTAAGATGGTGTTTATTGATTTCGTCTCACTGTTATGTCCTACTTAAAAGTTTAAATTTGTGTCATATTTTCTTCCCAAATGGCTTCTTTTATAGAAGCTTGAGTCAATTCTTCCAAGAGAAAAACAAAGTGATAATGAAACCACATAGAGCACTGAGAGCTAAGGAGACAGAAATCTAGGTTAAAATCTCTTTGAATTTGTAACCTGTGGGACTGCAAGTAAGTTATTTAAACTTTCTAACATTCCACTGCACTATCTGTAAAATGAGAATGATGATTTGGGATTTTTTCAGTTACATGGAATAATAAATCACTTCATTGCTTAAGCCAATGTAAAAGGCTTTTTCTTTGCTTACCATCCAAAGCTTGATAAATGATCCACTTTTATTAGTTCATATGTTCATATACAGTTTTCTCTATTTCAGCAGAAGCTCAGTTTGCATCTATATTTCTATGTTTGCTAGGATACCACAGCTTGGATTTGAATATTCAGTAAAAATAATGATGAAATTAATAATAACAAAATTATTAGTTTACTTTTGAAATATTCATAAATACTATTCAAGCAGTTTTTATTTTATAATCATATTTCACTTGTATCATTTAAAAATAAAATTGTAATCACATACATTTATTCATATGCATATATATATACATAACTTGTTTCCTCGTTGCCTAGCTAACATCCTTTCCATTACACCGTTCCAATTTCATGGAGATTTTCCTCTTGCTAAGCCAGTCTCCTACTACACCGCTGCCTGGTGAGGAGTGGTGTTGACCTTAAACCCTAACCTGGCACAAAATATGTGGCATTCCCCTGACCATAATGTTGATTCATAAGGGTTTAGTTAGCACTAACATAGGATCTTTTGTTTGATAGTGGTGGAAACCTACCCAGTCTGTTACCTTTTTACGGATAAGGGGCAACAAAGCCTTAATTGATAATATGTTGCTATCTTGAAGCCATGAGGAAGACCAGTCTGAAATGGGGCTGACATTGAGAAGAAGCCCGAGTTAAGAGAACCACAGAGAAATGGAGGTTAAATCTTTGAACAAACCTTACCTGAGCCCATGTAATTTTGAGTTTTCCAGTTTTGTGAAGTAAGCAATTCTTCTTTATAATTGAAGCAAGTCACAAGTAGTTGCAATTAACAACCAACCAAAGGCAAGCTAAATAAGACATTCACATTACCTGTGTGATCATATATTTCTATTCAATTTTACTGTTTTATGTTTCCGTATTTTCAAAATGTTACTATTTTTATTATCTGGTAAGACTAGACTGCCCTCATTGATCTTGACTTATTGAATATTGGCCCTTTCACCTACTTACATTTCTAAATGAATATAAAATCATTTAATTAATTTTCAAAGATAAGAAGATTTGGGTTTTGGTTTGAATTAAATTAAATCTAAAAATCATGGTTAATAGACAATTTTCCAATATTTTTTCTTCCCATTCAGGAACCTAGTGTATCCAACCATCTCATCAAATCTTTTTTTATATTCTCTCTAATATGACCTTACAGATTTATTTATGACTACATATTGCCTATTCAATTTATGCCTCACTATTTCACATTTTATTGCTATTATGAAAGGATTATGAAGTATGTTTTCCAAATGGTAATTGTTATTATGTTAATATTCTTCTTGGCAGTTCAGAGTCATTTTCAGAATCACAAAGACTTGGAAGCAGACCACTTGGATCTAATCATATATCAGCCACTATCTTTATGCCCTTGAGCAATTTATTGCCCCTGCGTCTCAGAACCCCCATCTGTAAAATGGGACATACCTCTTAGGGATGTTATGAATATTAAATGAGCTAGTACTTTAAAAAACTTAGGATAGTATCTGACACCTAGCAAGTCCTCTAGAAATCTTAACTATTATTAATTTTTGCTATCATTCATCTAGTTTCAGTTATCTACCCTATTAGTTTTAAAGGTAGACCTTAGATTGATATTTGCAAACTTCTCACACACTTATTCTCCAACGTACCTATTATCCTCCTAAACTTTGTTTTGTTAATGTATTTGGGAGAATGTATAAAATTTGAAATGACAATAATAATCTTATTGACATGGTGATTTATTTATGAGTTTAAAAATAATTTCTATGACTTTCTTCATTGGAATCATATTAATCAAATTTGGTTTTAGAGTAGCCCTCTTTACTATTTTCGTGTGGATTCCCTCCCACACACTTCCTTCTTTCATTTCTGCTTTCCTTTTTCCTTGCTTCCCAGGCAGTACATAAATATGTATTTTCCTCTGAAAAATTCAAACAATAACAAAAGATAATAGAAGTCAAAACTTTCCCTTCAATGCTGACTTCACATTCTTGTCTTCCACAAAATTTTTCTGGTTAGAATCCAGAACGTACCTTTTAAGTCTTTCACTGTATATTTATTTACATATATATGTGTATGTATATACATGTACATTAATATAATTTGGAGGGTTTGCTTTTCCTGAAAATTACTTGTTCTGACCTTCGATTTTTGTACAAACTGATTTATAGATTATTTTTAAGTGCTGCATAATATTCCATGGTAGCTATATAGTAATTAGTACCAGTATGCTATATCTGTTTTTAATCATCTCTACTTTGCTCTACTACAAGTAGTGTTATAGTGAACCCTTTTGTATGTATCCTTTGTTTGCTTACATAAGTGACTCATGGAGGAAAATAGCTAAACATTTAACTGATGGGGCCATGGATATATTCATTTTTATTTGACAAATGCTTATAAATTGATTACTAAAATTTTTTTAAACATTTTTATTCCTAGTTATTTACTTTTTAATTAACAAAAATTGTATATATTTCTTGTTTATAACTTATTGCTTTGAAATATGTATAAATTGTGTTATATTCCTGTTACTAAGGTCATTGCTTAGGAAGAAAGTGCTGTTTGATTTTCTTTATTAACTGCCTTAGGCATACAATTGTTCATGCTTGTGCATATTCTCATACTCCTTATTACCATGGTTTAATATATTAGTGTGTTCTCTTAAACTGAATCATTAGTATATTCTTATTCAAAAATATTACACATATTGGAAGATAGAAAATTAATTGCTAGAGTGTGGTAAAAAGTAAATATTAATAAAATATTAATTATTAATGAAAACAATAAATAAGAATGTTTTAATTCCAGCTAAAATTAGTATTGTTTGAAAAATATAAGATTATATGACATCATGTTATATTAATTAGTTCTAGAAATGTGAAAAAAAGGCAAAAGTGTAACATACCTTAAAAAGTTATAAATGAGTATATGTCATCATTACATTCATATCATGTTAACAATGTTTACTATAAATTTTAAGATAGTGACAAATAATTTCCAAATCAGGTGTTTACTTTACAGATCAACCTAGAATATAAAATACACAAAAATCTATACAGCCAAAAACATTTGCAATATAGACAAAAAGCAAGTACATTTTTAGCTTAACGAAAAGGACAATAGCTGACATATTGTTATAGTATTCTCCAACGATATCCTATGTTCACTCATTAAATATATGACTATGATTGGTTTGAATAGACAGTTCAATAAATCATTTATTACCAGGAACTTGATTAATCCAAATGAGTCGCAGAAATGATAGCAATAAACATATAGGCAAATAAACCCTTACAAAATCTAAGAAACAGTGTTGAAAATATAGACTCAGAATTGAAAAATTGTGGCATAAAGATGGCCATTGAACTATGACAACAGGAAAACTTAGGTCATGTACTATTGGCAATCTTAAAAGGATGAAATAAAGCATCATAATGTATAAAGCGAAAACTTCTTAACTTATAAGGAGAATAATAGAAACATGATTAGAGTTGTCAGATTTAACTCATCAGTATTACTGTTTGACAGCTACGGTAGGAAATAAAAACACTGAGATAAGTTATTTTTTATTACAATACCCAGAAGAGACTGTTTTTCAGCTTAAACAGATTTTTGCCTCAGTCCAGGTATTTTCATAACTTATTGCTTTATTGATTCTGGATATCATGTCTAAAAAGTGGATGTGGCTACTGTCACAGCCTCCATTACTGAGGAAAGTATGTCAATTCCTTCAGCAGTGCTAGTAAGAGAACACAGCTGAAAAATACAGAGGTAGTTTGTTTGTTCTTAAAATGTGACAAAAAATATATCTAGTGATGTATCCCTTCATAGAGAACACATATTTCTTTTCTATAAATATAGCTTATATTAAGACAATGGAAAATTTACTAACAAAAGTGCAGAAAGGAAAATTCATGTACTTCAGATTCTAAGCATAATTCTTCAAAACTAGAAGTTAATAGCATAGGCCAGGCATGGGGGCTCACGCATGTAATCCCAGTACTTTGGGAGGCCGAAGCGGGCAGATCATGAGGTCAGGATCTCAAGACCAGCCTGACCAATGTAATGAAACCCCGTCTCTACTAAAAATACAAAAATTAGCTGGGCATGGTGGTGTGCACCTGTAATCCCAGCTACTCAGGAGGCTGAGACAGGAGAATCGCTTGAACCTGGGAGGCAGAGGTTGCAGTGAACCAAGATCACACCACTGCACTCCAGCCTGGGTGACAGAGCAAGACTCCATCTCAAAAACCACACACACACAAAAAAAGCAGAAGTTAGTAATATAAAACCCAAACACAGAAGACAAATAATTAAAAGCAATTTTGATAAATGAACCTGATACTAATGAGCCAAAGATGAAATGAGAACAATGGATAAAATATTTTAAATATAACATAGTGATTTAAAGTGTTTCTTACAGGTTCATAATTTTATTAAAAATAAATTTAATACAAAAAGAAAGTTTGTTTTTCACCTTAAATATATAAAATTGAAAAAGACATTCCATATTTTTAAATGAAGGCTTTTTATTAAATATGATAAAAAATATATTAAAAAGTACTTTACTAAATATGTCAAGGAGTCAGGGTACCCAAACCTTATAGCTAAATGAATGAGAGCACGCTAAAGATTATTTTATTTAGGCAAACATGTGACTGTCCTTTACTGGTCTAAATCTAGCATTTCAAATTTTGGGATAATTTTAATATTTAAAAAAATCATAGACATATATTGACTCAAGCAAGGCTGAGAACCAGTTAAATATAACAAGAAAAGATCATTGGGTAAATTACACAGTTCCAATCCTAGTTCGGATTCTTTGATCATTTTGGTCAACATTTCACACTTTGCTTGAGTTGTATCACACTGACTTTTGTGAACCTCCCTTTTATCTTCTGTAATGGAGAGAGTGGCAAAAGAAGAACGTAAGTCTTTAACTAAGTCACATACACTGTCATTTTCAGATCACAAAAACACTGTGGAAAAATGATCTGAGAAACATATGCTTAAAAAGATGCAGATTGAATACATGAATTTTTTTCTCTATTCTCTTTAACCTCATGATAAATAATTTTTTAAAAAGTAATAAATCTCCAAAGAAAGCAAATTTTTGGTAGCCATAATGCTGGATGGGCAGTAATAGACTTTTAAAAAAACACCATTCACAATAACAAAGTCACGGAATCAACCTGTGTCTACTACCCGCTGACTCTGATAAAGAAAACATGGTGTATGTACACACACACACACACACACACACACACCCTGGAATACAATTCAGTCACAAAAAATGAAATCATGTATTTTGCAGCAATATGAATGGAGCTGGAGGCCATTATCCTAAATGAACTGAGAAACAGAGTCAAATAACCACATGTTCTCACTTGTAAGAACTAAACAATGGGCACACCTGGACACACAAAAGGGAATAATAGGCACTGGAGACTCCAAAAGGTGGGAAGATGAGGTGGGGGGTGAGGGTTGAAAAATTACCTATAGGGTACAATGTTCACTATTTGGTTGACAGGCACACTAAAAGCCGAGAATTTACTATTATGCAACATTCCTACATAGCAAAACTACACTTGTACTCCATAATTCTATTTAAAAAAGAAAAAAGTAAAATAATTATTTTTTAAAAACAGAGAAAGCTAAAATCTAAGTTTTACAAAAGCTGGTGGCAACAGGGATCAAGTAGATCAGTGTTGTGGAACTAGAAAAAAGCTCATAAAAAGTTTGGGCTAAAATGATGTAGGTTGGATGAAATTATGAATTAAAAATAGTTCCCAAACTCTCCCACTCACGTCATATAGCCAGGAAACTACCGCCCATGGCCGCCTCTGTAGATAGAAAGTAAGTTTACTGGTTAAATAGAAGAAGAAATGCATGGGATTCAGTGTCACCTGACACAGGAGAGAGCTAAGGTGAAAAGGAACTGGATTAAATGGAAATCTACATATTGAAGAATGAAACACTAGCTCTTTTTCTCCAACTCAGCTCGGAATAGTTAGTGGTCAGGTATACCACCCACATTGGAGACCAGAGAATTCCTGTGGAGAGAAATGGACCCAGTTCAGAGGTGAAGATGTTGTGCTAATCTTCCAGTCTCTAATAATTGCCCTGCAGATAGCACACTAGTAGACAAGTCTCATCAGGAACAGATAGGTTATCTAATGCCTCATTTATATATGCATAATAGCTAGGGATCACGAGAAATTTAAGAATAACTTCTATCCTGAAGGAGACAAACACAATTAAACAAAAGAAATTGGTTGAAACAGAATATCTGAAGCAAAACGAAATACCAACTAAAATCAACATCTTGGGATACATAAGAAAAAAAATTACAGCTACAAAAACAGAAAAACAATAAAAAGCTCTCAGAAATCAAATCAATAGCAACAAATATTAAAAAGGTCAAATATCAGAATTTGAAGATAATTTTGAGAAAATCTAAAATAGCGCAATAAAACAAAAAAACAAATAAATGAGAAACAAAACAGAAGAAAGTCAGAAGCTCCACATAGTAGGACCCAAATCTGACTATGAGAGGTCAGAAACAGAAAGAAAAAATGGAGGGTACAAAATGATCAAAGATATAATTCAGAAACATTGTCCAGAAGTAAAGGATATGCCTATCCAGATTGAAAGAGCCAGCCAGGCACTCAGCACAACAAATTGTAAAGCTCCACACCCAAGCACATCAGCATAAAACTTCAGAATTCCAAGTATAATGATACTATCTTTTTTGTTTCTTTGTTTGTTTTATATAAGGAGTTCTGGATTTTTTTCCCAGCTTCATGGAGATATGATTGACAAATGAAAATTGTATACATTTAGGGTGTACAACATGGTGTTTCGATATACTTATATATATATATACATATATGTGTGTACACACATTCTGAAATGATTATCACAACCAAGCTAGTTAACATATCTACCACCTCACATAGTTACCATGGATTTATATGCATAGTAGAAACATAGTGAGAACACTTAAGGTCTACACTCCTAGCAAATTCCAAGTATGCAAAGCCTTGTTCTTAATTACACTCACCATGCTGTACAGTAGGTTTCCAGTAATTACTCATTTTATCACTGAAGGTTTTATTAATGTCTTTTACTAATATCGTCACTTTTTCCCCACCTTGTAGCCCCTGATAACCACCATTCTACTGTGTTACTATGAGTTTGACTTTTTTTTTTAAAGATTCAACATAGAAGTGAGGTTATGCAGTACTTGGCTTTCTGTGTCTGGCTTATTTCTCTTGGTATAATGTCTTCAGGGTTTTTGCATGTTTCAAATAACAGGATTTACCCCCTTTTTTAAGGCTAAAATAATATTGTTGTCAGGTATGCTTCAGAATTACTTGGAGCACCCTTTTTGCGAAAGTTACTGGAAAATATTCCCCATCAGAAAATGGACTAAATAAAACCAGGGGGAAAATATGGGATCCAGGGGACAGAAGATGCAACAGAGAAGAGTTAGGAAGGGAATTTCTTGAATTATAGTGAAGGACAATCCAGCAATAGCAGGTGTGTACAGCAATAACCAAGCCAGATTTGGGCAAAAGCATAGAGGGTTCCAAGAAGGAAATTCTAAGGAAAAATGGGACTCCTATATAACCAGATTCACAGCTCAGTCTGGACATAAAAGGGATAATTATTGATATACAGAAATCTAAATAACAGAACGAGATACAATTTTTTACTTATTTATTTTTTTGAGACAGAGTTTCTCTCCTGTCACCCAGGCTGCAGTAAAATGGCATGATCTCGGCTCACTGCAACCTCCACCTCCAGGTTTCAAGCGATTCTCCTGCCTCAGCCTCCCAGGTAGCTGGGAATACAGACATGTGCCACCACACCCAGCTAATTTTGTATTTTCAGTAGAGACGGGTTTCACTGTGTTGGCCAGGCTGGTCTCAAACTCCTAACCTCAAGTGATACGCCTGCCTCGGCCTCCGAAAGTGCTGGGATTACAGGCGTGAGCCACCACGCCCGGCCTAATTATTAAATAGTTTAAACTAAACATTTATGAGGAACGGGGAAGACTACTTCAGTTCACCATGTCGTTCCTCTATGCAAAACATTTACATAGTTATATTAGTATCGTAACTGAATACAGATTGCACCAGAATTTACAATATTAATTTACTATGAAAGCAGGGTGTATGCATGTAAAATATATGAGGGACAAGTATAACAGATAAATTGCCAACTTTTATAGATGTAAGACAATAGAAACATAAATGGTATCTAATCAAGAAATAGCACATATTATTTAGAATACGAAAAAGTTGAAAGTGATGGAAAACTGGCTTGAATTAAGGGAGAAGTGAGGTTTTTGAAAGTACACATGAATCTAACGTCCATAAAGATGAAAAGGAAACATGCAAAAAGTATATAGGACAGAAAATACTGTCCTCAAGAACTAGATTTGTATCTGAGCTTCTCTGAGGTCAAGGGATAAAGGGAAACAAGACAGGTAAAGAAAAACACCCAACGTGTTGGCGGGAATTTCTAGGGTTTTAAGCACAGATCAAGAATATGTTTGTCTGTGTTTAGGAAAAAAATAATACATTTTAAATTACTTTAAAAATTAGAAACACATTGGTAACCAAATAAAAATTCATTACAAATGATATGCTGTTCAAATCTGCCTCGAAATATACTAATTTCTGTCAAAGAAAACATTCTGATAGGTATCCATGGAAGATGCTGTACTGTAGAACACAGAGCTGCAGGCATAAAGAGCAAAATCAGTATGAGATTCATACTGACAAGATTCCTGACCCCTGAAATTGTATGCAAAATTATGTGTATGAGTGTCTGCATCTGTGCAAGTGTGAGTGGAAGAAAAAAGAAGCAATGAGAGAGAGAGGCTCAAATGTCCTAAAGGTCTTATGAAATTTCAAGTGTTAAACCTCTTTCATTCTCTTTTCTTCACCACCTCCTTTTCCAGTTGAGTCAGAGAGGCAATTCCATTGGAAAGTAAGACACTACAGCTCCATTAATATAGGGGATAAGGATGAGAGAAGTCTCTTTGCTTCTCACCTAATAAATGTTTTGGGCTCCTCAAATGTGCCACAAACATTCTCGATTTTAATAATTTGTTATAATTTTTAAAATTTTATTTTATTGTAAGAACACGTAACATGAGATCTACCCTCTTAACAAAATTTAATGTGGAGTATGATAATTATTGTTTACTATAATTCATGTTAAACAGCAGTGCATTCAAAGAAATGTTATTTCCTCCACCTGGGGCACCCATCACTCTCTTCCTTACCTCTTTCTGCTTTGTTTGGCTGAGTCTGAACTCTTCCGGTATCGTGGTTGATATCACTCCCTAAGCAGTTCTTTTCCACAAGGGGATACACTTTTCTCGTTAAGCTTTTCTAATGCATCTTCAATTTCCTTTGCTTGCATACTTTATCACATATATAAATAATTATTTTCTGTGTCAATTTGCTAAAAAACTGAAAACTTCTCCATGAGGGGAAGAAATGTGTGTGCTATGCTTCAGGCTGTATCTCAAGTATACTAATACTAATTGACTATGTCAAAAGAGAGGAAAAAACATGCTCCTAGTGCATTGCTTTCTTGCACAAACATAAATTATCTATTTTGAATAATACAAAGGAACAATGTTCCACTCTATACAAAGGTGTATAGTGATCACTAACCCCTAAACTTTCATTTTTTTTAATTTATTAATTCAGAGCCAATAATACGTAAAGATTTATGGAGGCCAGTCACACTGGTTCATGCCTGTAATTCCAGTACATTGGGAGGCCGAGGTGGGTGGTTGGCTTGAGCCTAGAAATTTGAGATCAACCTGGACAACATGGCAAAACCCTGTTTCTACAAAAAATACAAAAATTAACTGGGTGTGGTGGCACACGCCTGTAGTCCCAGGTACTTGGGAGGCTGAGACAGGAAAATTGTTTGAGCCCGGGAGGCAGAAGTTGCAGTAAGCCGAGATCAAGCCACTGCACTCCAGCCTGGGCAACAGTCTTAAAAAGATAAATACATAAATAAAGGATTTATTGAGCATAATAAAACATAAAACAATTATTGAGCACCTACTCTGTAGCAAACACTGAGATAATTCCTGGGATACAATAGTAAATCAGAAAGCAGAGGTCCTCCTTTTAGAGAACTTACATTGTAGTTGAAGAAACAAATCAGACAAATTAAAGTATATTTTATTCAGCATTATTTAGTTCAGCTGCAAGGAAATTTTATCTAATACAAAACTTTTAAGTTTCTGGAAGATGAAGAAAATCTTAAAAATATGCAAATTTTTCTTCTATTGAATCAGTTCCCCACTGATTAATAAGAACTACTTCCTGATGTGTGGATTTCTGTGAGATGGTCTGGAACTTGAAATACACCTATAGATCGGCTGGGAAACTCTCCTAGAGCATCTTTGGGCATGGAAAGAGTTCTGCCTGTGTCATTGCTGATTAATTCTTGTCTCAGCTTTCAGCTACCTCACAGTGAGCTAACTGTAACTTTAAATATTGATAACCAAGCTCATATATCACAGAGCTGAGAGAATGACAGTTTCAGCGCATAATGGCTAAAGCTTTCTACAATAATCAGATATTCAATAATTCATGAAAATATATCCCCTCAAATCAAATTGGAAGCTATTTTGTGTAATATATTATTTAAAATTCAATATTATAATGCACACAACTTCTCCTTAGCCAGAGGAGGACCATTTCAAAATGTGATTATGTGCGAACTCTATTTAAAAGTGACAATTTTGCTTTTCATTTGTTTAACGGCTTAAGCGAAGGTGCTCAACTGGAACTAAGTCATCTGACAATGAAACCAGAGCAGCCACAAGCAACTTTGCAAAAGTGACATTAGAACTTAAAAAATATGCACACATATTTGGATAGGAGAGACACGTGTATTTGGGAAAACAACTTTTTTTTCTTTTGAGATGGAATCTCCCTATGTGGGCCAGGCTGGCCTCAAACTCCTGGGCTCATGTAATCTTCCTGCCTCAGCCTCCTAAGTAGCTGAGATTACAGGCATGCACCACCTAACCCTGCTGATTATTCTTAATTTGTTCAGTCTTATGTCAACTTGCCCCAACGAGTCCTTTCCAAATTAACTGTAACTTGTCATCACCATAAGACAAATTATGAGCTCCTAAGTCTGACAGTCAGGATACCTCCATCCTACCTTAATGTTGCAGTAGTCTCAGTTGCTTTAAAAACCATTGTTTACTGTTTGTTTTGAGTGGATTGGGAAAAAAAAATTGTACCATAAGTACATAGTCAGTATTCTGGTTTCATTTTGTTTTCTTCGTAGACACTTTTTCTCTTCTCCACTGAGTGAAGCCTTCCCTGACTTTCCAAGAGAGATATGACTTGCCCTTTCTCAGAACACCTGTAATGTTAATTATCTAAAGCATTCATATTATTCTACTAGCTACCACTTATTGAACACTAATCACAAGTCAAGCCTGTGTAAAATGTTATGTGCTAACACTGTTTTGATGAGACATCAGACCACCAATGCTACCACAATGTTATTTCTGAGGAAACTGAGTCTCAGCGCTATTCAATGAGTTGTTAAATGATACGAAGCAGGAAGGACTAAAGAGGCTAAGTTTGTTTGGTTCATCATTTCCCTGGTGCCCAGAATGGTGCCTGTTGTGTAGTTAGGGCTCCATAAACGTTGACTGACTGAGCCAATAAACAAATTCCTGAGTGTACATCTCATGCCGTCTTCTTACCCCACAAACAACATGGTTGAAAGGGGCTAACAACATTACATAAGTGAAAAGAATAAAGCATGTTGTTTTAGAACAAGCACTGCATTTGTGCTAGTGCAGGATTCCACTAATATTTTGGCTCTATAACTTGTAATTATAGAAACTTTCACAAAGTTGCTGAGTTTTCTGTGTCTTGACAGTAACTATAGTAATACATAACTATAATATGTTTCTATTCTATAGTAAAAAATTTGATGAAGCCATATAGAGTTGTAATTTTAAAAGTAGTCTCTGAAGCCTGAAGGCTCACAGTTAGTTGTCAGCTCTGACTTTCAGGACAGTTGGCAAGTTACTTAATATCTCTGTGGCTTAAGTTCCCCACATGGAACATTTGTTTACTAGTGCCTACATAATGAGTTTTATATGGTTTCCTAAATGCAAATCTTATAGCACAGTGCCCACCACATCACAAGCTCTAAATAATCTTAGTTCTCATTGTCAGGTCCACATACTTGGCCAATGCCTAGTAGGTCCTCACAGAATGTTTCTTTCTTTTTTCTCAGCACCTTCAAAAATTCACTTAACTGTGTTGGGACTGTATTTACCTCATTTATTAAATTAGAAAAAAAAAAATGACCTTTCTCCAAATATCAGGGCGAACTGACATTTTAATAATATTTTGAGCTCTAAGATGCCAATGGAGTGCGTGCAGTTCAGAATTTCTTGGCTGGAAAAGGCAAACATCATCCTCAGTATTAAAAAATGTTAGAATAGGAAGTACAAATTCAAAGCTATGCAAGAAAGCAGAGACAAAGATAAAAATCTCATGAATCGTGTAATTAAAAATGAATCTATAGCAATCTTGGATTTGAACTGGGTCCTAATAGATAGATAAGAATAGGAATGATGGAAAGGATAAAAAAAAATTATTAAAAAGGAGCCTACTTCACATAGATTTCTGCCATAATTTCATTTAATATCTACTGAGTTAGACAATTTGATTAAATTTTGCAATGTTTTCTGGCTGTAGACAGAGTAAATAACATAAAGAAATAACTCCATCTCACCTGTAATCCCAGCACTTTGAGAGGCCAAGGCGGGCGAATCAAGAGATCAGGAGTTCGAGGCCAGCCTGTCCAACATGGTAAAACCCCGTCTCTACTAAAAGTACACACACACACACACACACACACACACACACACACACACACACAAAATTAGCTGGTCATAGTGGTGGGAGTATTTCTGCTGAATCCAAGAAACACAATTAGGATCACTGTATAGAAGTCACAAGAAAGCTTAATCTAGCAAGAGTATTTTTTTAGGCAAAGTAATAGATTCCTTCAGGTAGTCACCCTGCTCTTCTAGTGGCCACCTTTCATCTTGCCTTGCCATTGTTCCTAGCTGTCATTGCAACTCCATGCAAAAAAACAGACATCTTAGATCTTTACTTGCCCCATGGTTGCAAGAGAACATTTAACAAGAGGCAAAAAAAAAAGCCGCCCTGAGTTTCAACTTGGTAGTGAGGAAAGCATCCTCTTCTGCGGAGGATGAACTGGGGCATAAAATTTTCTCCTGTGTGTTCAAGATGACCACTATGTCCTGTTGTGGGAAGCAACAAACACTCTAGGCATTTCCCACGAAGCCATCAAAGCTCACTAAGCTATTTAAGAAAGTCATCCTTAAATTCAGGTGCCTTCCTGTCCCATCCACCAGGTCTTCAACTGTCTTTACCTTCAAGACTCAATATTTCCCCAAGGTCCCTGGTAAGTGATATGTACTCTAACTTAAAATGATTACTTATTCTCTTAGTCTGCTCAGATTATCATTACAAAATACCACAGGCTAGGTGACTAAAACAACAGAAATTTACTTTCTCACCATTCTGGAGACCATAAGTCCAAGATCAAGGTGCCTGCCAATTCGGTTCTTGGTGGCAGATTTCTTCCTGGATTGCAGGTGGCCACCTGCATACTATGTTCTCACATGGCCTTTTCTAGGTGCTTTCCTGTGGGGCAGAGAGAGATGGAGAGAGCATGTGCTGTGGTATGTTTCACAAAGATACCAATCCTATTGCATAGGAGGCCCACCCTTATGAGCTCATTTAATCTTAATTACTTCTTTACTCCAATAAAGCCACATGGAGGCTTTATACAAAATTCAACATATGAATTTTGGAGGGGCACATTATTGCACTTCATAGTGTCTACAAATCTTTAAGATGCCTCAAGCTCCAATCTCATTGCACCTTCTATCATATTTGTTTGCCATCAGAAGTGCAAGCATCTATTAATCATAATATGGACAGTTTATGTCTTATACATCACTGATCTCATTATTTTTCCTTTTCTTTCCGGTCTTCCCAATTTTGGGGAACTTCTTGGTGTGTCTTAAGCAAATTATCTTTTATCCTCAAATTCCTCTGGAACGTTTATTTCACCTTCTTTTCTAAGAGATCCTTGGCACAACCACTTCCCCTTAAGTGTAGTCCTTTCTTTCAACCACAGGTATTTCCAGGAAGACTTGCAGGTAGATAAGTGTTTTCCTACCTCCCCTTTCCAAATGCACACCCCCCTTTCCTTCCTCTTTCCAAATGGGTTCTTTTAAAGAAAATTATCAGACACTTGACTATCTGCTATGATTGTCTATTGTCAGGGTCAGCTTCATGGGTGTACAAACTGTGCAGTCACAGTCTTTGTGCTTAGAAGAGCCCCATGCCTGATTTAATTATCTGCTAGTTACCTTCTGGAAATTTTTAACGCTTTTTTTTTTTTTTTTTTTTTTTTTGAGATGGAGTCTCACTCTGTCGCCCAGGCTGGAGTGTAGTGGCGCAATCTTGGCTCACTGCAATCTCTGCCCCTCAGGTTCAAGTGATACTCCTACTCAGACTCCCGAGTAGCTGGGATTACAGGTGCCCACCACCATGCCTGGCTAATTTTTGTATTTTTTAGTAGAGATGGGGTTTCACTATGTTGGCTAAGCTGGTCTTGAACTCCTGACCTCAAATGATCCGCCTGCCTCGGCCTCCCAAAGTGCTGGGATTACAGGCATGAGCCACTACACCAGGCCGAAATTTTTATGACTTTTTGAACAAGAGGCCCCACATTTTAATTTCGTACCAGGCCCTGAAAATTATGGAACTGTTTGTACTCGTTACTATCATCTGTTGCCTTTCAACCTTATTCATTTATATTTTAGCACCTAGCTCGCTGCTTTCCCCCATGCCGTTGTTGCTTTCATTAGTTTGGGTAACCTCAACATCTACGGAGAACTATCTGACTCTTAAGCTACAGTTCTTTACCTTCCTTAGCTTCCACAATCTTTTCTACCAGCCTTTCGTGATCTTGCAACAAGCATATACCTTAGATCTTGTTGTCAACAATGACTACTCCACCACTCCAGCCCTGAAATCTAGAAATTAAATATACCACTTCCTAGCTCTCATCTTCTGTCATTCCAATTTACTTGTCCTAGTTATTCCTTCTCCAGCAATTCTTAGACCTCATCAATACTTTCAATCCATTCACTGTATCACTTATTTTTAAAAATTATGTAGCACTTGGTAACTGTAAAAATATATGTAATACATAAAGTTTGGAAGCATTATAAAAACAATTCTCAGGAGCATTTCACCTGACTTAAAGCAAAACAATTCTAACATCACTGAAGTTAACTCTTTGTTTTATCTTGGACACACCTCCTTCTCTCTCCTGCTTCACCCTGATCATTTTCCTGAATTACGTATGTGTCTTCTGATGCTTTCTTTGCACACTTTTACTATATATGCATATATTAAGCAGGGTATCACATACTCTATGTAATTTTTGCAACTTCTTTCCCATTCAACATCAAGTTTCTAAAATTTGGTTGTATTTTTGTGAATAGGTGTATTGACAATAGTTAATCTTAGCTACATATGTGGAACTGGAAAGTCTGGATAGTAGCATTAATGCTGGTTCCACTTTATAAGACAATGTCAAATTGTTTCTCAAAGAGCTTGCACCAATTTGTGTTTCTACCTAAAGTGTGTTAAGTATTCCCATTGATTTACATTATTTCTAATTCTAAAATAATAGGTATAAAGTTGTCTCATTATTTTGCAATTCCTGATTACAGAAGATGGACATCTTTACTTGTTTATTTTACATTATTTTTTCCTCTTTTGTGAGATACCTCATCAACATTTTGCCAATTATTCTATTGAGTTGTTTGTGTTCTTTCTTAATGATTTGTGGGATACTTTATGTATTCAGGATATTAATTCTTCAGCAGGTATCTTTTTCTAGTTTGTGGCTTGCCACTCAACCTTACAGTTTGTTTTGCTAAACTGGAATTCTTAATTTTAATCTGATTGCATGATCAACCTTTTCTTTTAAGGAAAGCTGATTAGATCTTGTTTAAGATGCTACTCTCTAGACAGTCATAAGGATACTCATGCACAATGTCTTCTAAAAGATTTAAAGTTTTGCCTTTCACATTTAAAGTTTTGAGTCATCTGGGATTAATTTTTCAAAATTGAGTTTATTGAAGTATAATTTGGCACAGTAAATGTGTATAGTATGTGCATAATGTGTATAGTTGTATGGACCTTGACAAATTTATATGATCTTATCATTACCATTACAATCAGAGATATAAAATATTTTAAATGATGAACAGCTGGTGGTATCCAGTTTTTTATAATAACAAATCAAACTGCTATGAATATTTGAGCATTTTTTTGTGAACATCCATCTTTATTACTCTGGGGTAAATTCATTGTTAGATCATATGGTAAGTTTATATTTAAATTCACAAATGGCCAAAATGTTTCTCCAAAATTTCTGTGCCCCACAGCAATGTATGAGAGTTCTAGTCACTCCTCATCTTTCCCAGTAATTGACATTGTAAATTTGTATTTATTTAAGCCATTTAAAAATGTGTGTAGTAGGCCAGGCGCAGTGGCTCATGCCTGTAATCCCAGCACTTTGGGAGGTGGAGGCAGGCAGATCATGAGGTCAGGAGATTGAGACCAGCCTGGCCAGCATGGTAAAACCCCGTCTCTACTAAAAATACAAAAAATTAGCCAGGCATGGTGGTGCGTGCCTGTAGTCCCAGATACTGGGAGACTGAGGCAGGAGAATTGCTTGAACCCGGCAGGTGGAGGTTGCAGTGAGCCAAGATTGTGCCACTGCACTCTAGCCTGGGCGACAGAGTGAGACTCTGTCTCAAAAAAAAAAAAAAAAAAAGAAAGAAAGAAAAATAAAAATGTGTGTAGTAGTATTTCATTGCACTCTGAATTGAATTTCCCTAATAACTGAAGATGTTTAACATATATTCATGAGCTTATGCATCATCTGTGTCTCGTCTTTGGTAAAGTAACACTTCAAATCCTTCTCTGAGTTTTCTTCAATTGGATTTCTTATTATATCATTATTAAGTTGAAAGAGTTCTTTACATATTCAGAATAACAGCTCTTATTAGTACATGTATTGAAAATCTTTTTTTCTCAGTCTAAGACTTGAATTTTTATTTTTTTTAACAGTACCATTGGAAGAGCTAAAGTTTTAACTTTTGCTGATGTCCAGTTTGTAATTTTTTCTCTTATATTCATGCTTTTTGTATCCTACCTAACAAATATTTGCATAACCCAATATCAGGCCTCCTAAAGGGCTGGGATTACAGGTGTGAGTCACCGCTCCTGGCCAAGTTTTAAGTTTTATATTTATGTCTATGATCAATTCTGAATTATTTTTAATATGATTGCAGTATAGATTTAGGTTAATTGGTTTTGTTTTTGTTTTTGTTTTTTGTTCTTTGCATAGGGATATCTGATTTTTCTAGAATCAAATGAAGAAATTCCTTTCTTTCTCCATTAAATTGTCTTTTAAAATTTGCTTATACATTTAACTTATGTATGTGGATCTGTTTCTGGATTTTTGAGTTGTGTGCCACTGGTCCACGTGTCTACCCTTTCACCAATGTCATACTTCCTTGATTAATATAGCTAAAGCTTAAGTCTTAAAACAGTTAAGCCTTAAAATTAGTACTACAGGTTATTTAAAAAAATATGCTGTTCTAGGTTCACTGGTTATCTATACAAATTTTAGATTCAGTTTTGTCAATCTCTAACAAGAGTCTTGCTGCAATTAATATTGGGATTATGCTGAAACTTAATGCCAGTTTTGAGAGGATCTTAATACTCAGTATTATAATCCATAAACACAGTATCTTCCTTCATTTACTTAGGTTTTCTTTCTTTTTTAATTAATGTCTAATTGTCTTGCTTTGTATACAGTCTTAGAGATGTGTTAATTAGGGCTCAGCCAAAGAGGAAAAACCAGTAGGAGTTATATATTAATATACTCCTTGCAAGGAAACAGTTTATATAGTTGTTGGGACCAGGAAAGTCCAGAATCTGTAGAGCAGGGCACCAGGAAGAAAGCCAAAGCCATCAGGGAGGGCAGACTGGGACCCTAGGTCATGAACTGAAGCTGCTGTCACAGTAGGAATTTCTTCTTTAAAAAAGCCTCTGCCAGGTTTTTTGTATTGGGATGATGCTGGTCTCACTTCTCAAAAGGAAACATTTATGCGGCCAAAAAACATACGAAAAACAGCTCATCACTGGTCATTAGAGAAATGCAAATCAAAACCACAGTGAGATACCATCTCACGCCCCAGTTAGAATGGCGATCATTAAAAAGCCAGCACTCCAGCCTGGGCGAAAGAGTGAGACTCCGTCTCAAAAAAAAAAAAAAAAAAAAAATTCAGGAAACAACAGATGCTGGAGAGGATGTGGAGAAATAGGAATGCTTTTACACTGTTGGTGGGAGTGTAAATTAGTTCAACCATTGTAGAAGACAGTGTGGCGACTCCTCAAGGATCTAGAGCCAGAAATACCATTTGACCCAGCAATCTCATCACTGGGTATATGCCCAAATGATTATAAATCATTCTACTATAAAGACATGTATGTTTATTGCAGCCCTGTTCACAATAGCAAACACTTGGAACCAACCCAAATGCCCATCAATGATAGATTAGATAAAGAAAATGTGGCACATATACAACATGGAATTCTATGCAGCTGTAAAAAAGAATGACCTCATGTCCTTTGCAGGGACATGGGTAAAGCTGGAAACCATCATTCTCAGCAAACTAACACAGGAATAGAAAACCAAACACCGCATGTTGTCACTCATAAGTGGGAGATGAACAATGAGGACACATGGACATAGGGAGGGGAACATCACACACTGAGGCCTGTCAGGGGGTGAGGGGCTCAGGGAGGGATAGCATTAGGAGAAATACCTAATGTAGATGATGGGTTGACGGGTGCAGCAAACCACCATGGCATGTGTATACCTATGTAACAAACCTGCACGTTCTGCATATATATCCCAGAACTTAAAATATATATATATTAAAAAAGCCAAGAGAGAGAAAAAAAAAGCCTCAGCTCTGCTCTTAAGGCCTTTCAACTGATTGAACAATGTCCCCCTAGATTATCTACAATCTGCAGTCTAAATTGACAGTTTAGAAACATGGAGACCTCAATGTTAAAAAGTCAACTGTATCTGTATCTTAAATAACATAAGGTTGTCACTAAGTGCATTTCTATCAGCAAAAAATGAGATTAAAGGTGTTGCCTGTACACTTCTGTACACTCACCAGTTTTAGTGACTTCAAGGTAGGAATTCATAAAATTGAGGAAGATAGACATAAATATAGTCACAGGATCTAGCAGATAAGCAAGGAGCATGAACAATATTAAGGAACATGAACATGAAGACTACTTGGTTGTGAATATACAAAGATTGAGACTCAACTTTATTGTTGTTAGGTTTTCTTTCCTTTTCTTTTCTTTTCTTCTTTGTTTGTTTTTTTTTTTTTTTGGTATTTTATTACCAAAGAAACCAAAGAATGTCTTGCAAAAGACAGTAATTGCTCACCTCTAAATCTACCTCTGAGGCCATAAACTTATATCAAGATGGAAAAAAAAAAGTGGAAAGATCTGCTAGTATCCAAGGACATACTCTACAATTTTCATTTCTTATATGGCCACAGGGAATATTAGAAAAGAAGGGTTATTCAGAGGATAAAGCCATGGGTCATGAAGAACAATGGATAAATGCATGCTTCTCAGAGAGTCAAACCAAGGTCCAAAAAAGCAGGTAACTGTAATATCATGAGAGGGCATATTTTCTGTTCCAGACAAGAATGACTCTACTTTGCTATGGAATAATAACAGCTGCATGATTTTCATCTTCCATTTTCAGAATTTGGCTCTTATTACAGGATGAGCACCCTGTTTCTATTTAATCATTGTATATTTGACTTGTGAGAAGGTGTATTTTTAAGAATTATTATTTTATATACTTTAAATGTTATTATTCTATATTATAATGTATTATATTATTATATGTAATATTTTATATATTTTACATATTACATATTTTATATATTAAATATTTATTATATATTTTTAAATATATAATTATATAAATTATGTATAAAAATTGTCTTTTAAAATTTGATTATAAATATATCATATATGGATCTGTTTCTGGATTTATACATTTATATATAATATATAAATATATAATAATTATAATTAATATATAATTATATATAATATATAATAATTAACATATATTATTATATATTACATAATAATTAATATATTATATATTACATAATAATTAATATATTATATATTACATAATAATTAATATATTATTATATATTACATAATTATTATTATATATTATTTTTATATATTATTTTACATATATTGTATGTGTTGTATATATTTCATATTTTATATATATTATATATTATTTTACAATATTAGTATATTTTATATTACTTACATAGGTTCTTAGACTCTCAAAAGCTACACCAACATAGGATGGAAAGGGATCCTGGACTTGGAGCTGGATTTGACTTAAGCGTTCTGCCATAAGCAGATAGTGGTTGTGTAGGGTCTACATGGATATCTGGGAGGCTGGAAGATTAGACGGTGGCAAAGGACACAAATTTTCCCTCGGAATACATTCCCACTTTTTTACTGTTAAGATTTACTCTTCTTGCCTTATTTTAGCTGGGTACTTGGCTGTCCTTCAGAAAATTTTATTTCCTAATCTCATTTACAGTTATGTGTTGCTATGTGAATAAGTCTGAAATATTGGAATGTGACTGAAAGTGATTTGTAAAATTTTTAGGTCACCTCCTAAAAAATGAAGGTGTTTGCCCTCCTTCCTCTACTTTTCTTCTGGTAGGGCAATGACAATAATTTGAGCTCTGGATCAAGAGATAAAAATCCATATTTTGAGAAAAGCAAACTCAATGAACCAGTCTGGGTCCAGAATAATTTTATAGGAAAGAACCACTTGATAATCTCTGGACTATTAGGTTAGAGAGTAATAAACTTACCTGATTTAAACAACTGGGGAAAGACAAGAGTTAAATTATAATAAATACTAAGTAGGTCCTATCGGACTGACCCACTCACAGATGACAACTACAAACTCTAGACAAATTGTAAATAAAAATCATGACATAAAGACACTGCTGAATGAACCAAAGTGGACAGATAATACAGGGGGTCAAACCTTGGGATAAAGAAATAATAGTGGATGAATGTCATGTTGTTAATGCCTTTTAGCTTAGGGTGTCCCCAGAAGTCAACCAACAGGGAGGATAAGACACAAATAAAAACCCATGTGTTTACTGGCTTGAAGAACCATAGAGCGGGATTTGGGGCAACCACAGAGTTAGAAAATGTGAAGAGAAAACCCAGACAGGAAAGAATCAGAGAAGGAGAGCTACAAATTCTGTGTATAAAATATTCCAGAATAGCTAGCTGACCCCTAAACTATGCATGTATTGAGCAGAATCTCAGCAGCCTGATTAAAGATAAAAATCCTAAACTGGAGTATCAGAGTTTGGAGTTTAAATTCAGACAAATCAATTGCCTGCTAAAACCCAAGAATATAAATAACAAAAATCCATACTTTTTAAATAAATGTGAGATGATCCAGAGTCTTTACAGCATATTACTGAAATGTCCAAGGTTCAAACTAAAATTATCAACATAAGAAAAAATCAGGAAACTGTGACAGATTAAAAAAAAAAGATAATTTACGGAGACTAACTTTGAGCAGCCACTATAATTCTGCTCAAGGATATAAAATACAATATTCTAACAACGAATTTTAAAAATAGAACATTTTAATAGAGAAATGGAAACTATGAAACATTTCAACTGCAAATATAAATAAAAATAACAAACTCTACAATATTTTAAAAATGAATAGTCATAAGAACAGATATAAGATAACAGAAGGAGTCAACAAAATAAAAGATGAATAAGTGGCATCCAATATGTATAAAAAGATATTAAGGAGGTAGACAGAATCTTTGAGTCTTCTGGGGAAATATCTAATGCTCCAATATAAATATAAGTAGGGGCTCAGAAGACAAGGAGAGAAAATGGGGCAGCATAAGTATTTGAAGAAGTAACAGTTTAATTTTTTCCTAAAAAGGAAACCATGTCTAAGCACAACATATTGATTGTAATGAAAATCAAAATTAATTGGAATTTTTTTTTTTTCCCTGAGACAGAGTATCGCTCTGTCACCCAGGCTGGAGTGCAGTGGCATGATCTCAGCTCACTGCAGCCTCCGCCTCCTGGATTTAAGCGGTTCTCCTGTCTCAGCCTCCTGAGTAGCTGAGACTACAGGCGCACACCACCATGCCCGGCTAATTTTTGTATTTTTAGTAGAGACGGGGTTTCACCATGTTGGCCAGGGTGGTTTCGAACTCCTGACCTCGTGATCTGCCCGCCTCGGCCTCCCAAACTTCTGGGACTATAGGCATGAGCCACTGCACCAGGCCTTAAAATTAATTGGAAAATCTTGAAACCAATCAAAAATAATAATGACACATAGCATATACAGGAACAAAAATTTAAATAATCACTGACTTATCAGAAACAATGAACTGACATTTTAAAAGAACTGAAAGAAAAATAAAACAACACTGAAACCTCTAATGATATATCCAAAAAAAGTGTCAAAAATAAAGGTGAAGTAAAGAATGTTTAAGATAGAAGAAAATTTTGAGAATTTGATACCATTAGAAAGAATCCTAAAGGAAATTCTTCAGCTTGAAAGGAAATAATATCAGATGGAAACTTGAATCTTCAGGGGGGAAAAAATGGAATGAAAATGGTAACTATATGGATAATTATAAATTATAAATGTTCTCTTAACTTCTTTAGAATATATGTGAGTACTTAAAATAATTTTAACCTTATGATAAGTGATCATAAGGCACATGAGAACTGTATTATAAGGAGTGTAGGATGGTTAAGTAGATTTCTGCTGTTTTGAGTGTCTTATATATTACTTACAGTGGTACAATGGTAACTTTAAGCTGAATCTTAAAACTTTAAAAAGGAAAATTTTAAATAAAAATTTAAGAATATATATTGTATATCCTTAAATTGTATATTCTCTAGCACAACGCACTAGTTTTCTAATGATGCTGCTGCAACAAAGTACCACAACCTGGTGGCTTAACAGCAGAATTTTATTGTCTCACAATTCTGGAGGCTAGAAGTCAGAAATCAGGGTAGGAGAAGACTCTTTCCTTTCCTCCTCCAGCTTCTGCTGGCCTCAGGCATTCCTTGGCTTCAGATGGCTTTCTCCCTGTCTTTGGATCATCTTTCCTCTGTGCATGTCTCTCTCTATATCCAAATTCCTCATCTGCTTTTTTTTTTTCCACAGGGACATCAATCAAAATGTCTTATGGATCACCCTAATGACCTCATCATAACTCGATCATCTGCAAGGACCTTATTACCAAATAAGGTTACATTCATAAGTACTTGGGATTAGAACGTCAACATCTTTTGAGGAGACACAATTCAACACATGAAAAACAACTAGTAAAAAACATAATGGAAAGGGGTGTACATCAATGCCAATATATTATTTAAACCATGGAATGTTAGGAGCTTTCTCACACACATATCCTAAATAATACGGAGTTACCACTATCATCTCCAGTTTACTAATGTAAACCCTGGGGTTTTGGCAAATGAAATAGCCTGCTCAAAGTCCCACATCTAGTAGAGGGTTCATGTTTTTTGTGATTTCAGAACACACATTTCAATCATTACATTGCATTCTTTAGCCTCACCAAGATTATGTGCAGATATCTCAAGGTCACAGCCCTGGCTACGGCTGTGCAGGGGTTTAGATCCTCAAGCCAGAGATCTTTTCACAATAGCAGTTGGCCTCCTCTGTCTCTCTCAGTTTGCAGAGACCTGTAACAATAGATGTCCGTAGGGAACACTTGCTTAATGAAGTTGATTAATTTTTCAAAGGAGGTGACAGTCACCATGCATATAATTCACTTAGACTTCTAGTAGACTTTTGATACAATGCACGTCAAAGGTTAATCCATAAGGTTAATGTAGAGGGAATTGGTGGAGAAATAGTCAATTGGATAAACATTTTACAATGGGTTTAGTAATAGAGGGCAAAAGGTCTTATGGAAAGTGGCCTTGGCTCAGGTCAAAAAGATTAATCAATGCCAAGCTTAATCTACCTCATGCGTCAGTTACCTAGGAATGTTAAAAATCTGCTCTGTTCTGGAAAAAAAAAATTTTGTTGGTGACAAACAACAGACCAAAGAAATCTCAGAAAATCACATGGAAGTTGGATCATTAAGAAAAAGCAGGACAATTAGCAATTAATCTGTAGTTAATTGACAGATATTTATTCATACAACAAACACACATCTCAGTTTGCCTGTGATAGTACTAGTTTATGGAAGTTGCTCTGACGTAATTATAATTAGAAACCCCTTTAACCCTGATTTTAACAATAAATTACATAGTCACCCTATTTGTTGAGCATTCTCTCTGCACCAGAAATGGTGTAAAATATTTGCTGAGGCTTTGAAAATGAAAAAACATATATTATTTGTCAGTAACCATAGCATACTGTCATACAATGAGCTAGAAATCAAGAGACTGGACACTTTATTATTGGATATATCTCGTCACCTCTCCTGGTGACAGGTTTGTCCTTTATCAAATGAATGGGTGGAATTAAATCATAACTAAAGCCCTACTGCTATCTTTTCATGACATTCTACATCTTCTCTGTTCCCCTCAAATGCCTTACACATTGTCAGTCTGAGATTTTTTCATGCTAACAACCTTTCTTCTTTTCCCCATTCAAATTATGTGCTCTTGGAGTTGGTACTTACATTCCATTTCATCCATGAAAACTTTCCTTTCTTCAGTATCTTCTTTGAAGTCGAAGTGTATTCAGAAATGTATCTCACATTCTTTACTTGAGGTACCAGGAATGAGCCGCAGCCAAAAGATTTGAGCTCTAATTACCCTTAATCTCTAATCTTTGAGTGAATTAATGAATTTTTCTGGGGAAAAGGCTTACCACCCAGCCCAAGGATGAGAATATTGTTTAAATAAAAACAACTAACTAAAATTATCAAGTTCTTATATGAAAAACTCTTGCTGCACATATTACAGATATCTTCTTTGTTCTTACAATAAAGCCTATGATATACAGGGTAGTTTGAATCCTTTTTTTAACATACTAGAAAACTGAGGCTCAAAGGTATTCCATAATGTAATCAAGATTTCTTAATTATTAATAAGTACAAAACCAGATTTTAAATAGGAGCCCCTTCTCTAAACCATGATACTGTATTAATATTACATGGCCCTGCTTTTTTAAAAGGAGTCCCATTTCCTCTCATGGGAAGGGATATCTATGATGACCTGTGGAACAAATGACCCTCCGTATCTTACAGTGTGTTCATCAAATACAACTATTTATTTCTCTGACATTTTTTCTAAACTTTATAAGAAGAGAAGATGAAACAAATGTGAAATATAGAATGAGAACCCATGATGATCCTTAGGCAATGTGTCAGGAATAAAAACTTATCTGTGACATATGAAGATCCTTTTATAACAGCCCTTCTGAAATTACGTTTCAGGAGGCCTGATTCCTAATTTTGGCTCTCTATTTAATTTATGTATTTCCTAGAACTTGACTCTTCTCTTTGTCATGCAGGCCCAATTTCTGAATGCTTAACTGTAGGATATAGTCCAGAGAATCTCTAAGTGTCCTTGCAGCTCTGAAGATCTAGATTTCTGTGATCATACACTTTGTTTCTGCTGAGAGTAGAGGGGAGAATCTTTAACAAATAAAATAAATCATTCAATGATTATCAGAAAAATGTCCTTTTTCCTTTCCTGTTATAAGAATATTTCCATTCATTTCTGATGGAATACCCACACTTGGGGCACATGTGCCTGTAGCAATAATCTCTGACTTATGACCCCTATTGGGTTGGGGATCCTGATTTTGTTTTATTTTGTTTTTTAAATTTTCCTTCTCAATGTACATCCACTATTCATGAAAGAACATGATTTCTACTTGAAAGAATAACTAACGGAGAGTGGAAAAGAGGACAGATAGTCTGTGGTCTTGCCTGTTGTGGGAGAATCAGATGTCAATGGAAATATATGATGTTTCTTAGAGATTCAGACTCTTGTGACCATGGAAAAATTAGCCCATAAGACAAATTACAAATCAAATAAAGACAGGACTATGAGAAATATTAGGGGTATGCGTGCCCCCTTTTGTAATAGATAATTTTCCTTTGTGACTCATCATGTAGTCACTACACTTAAGCATGAAAGTCACCAATGGTGGATAAGGGACATTAGATGCTTGAGAATTATTGATTATAGAAATCTTCTTTTGTGGCTCTTATATAATTCCTCATTAATTTTCATTTAAAAAAGAAGATATATTGTTTTGTATCAGATTTATATGATTCAAGACTCATCTTCTGATACTCATTGTGATGGTTACTTATACATGTCAACTTGACTGAGCTAAGCAATGCTCAGAAAGCTGACAAAACATTATGTCTGGGTGTGTCTATGAGAGTGTTTCTGGAAGAGATTAGCATTTGAATCAGGAGACTGAGCAAAGAAGATCTGTCCTTACCTGCGTGAGTGGGCATCATCCAATCCCTTCAGGGCCAAGATAGAACAAAAAGTTAAAGGAAGAGTGAATTTTCGGTATCTGTTTTCTTGAGGCATGACACCCATCCTCTTCTGCCCTTCTGGATTTTGGACTTTTGAACTTCAGGACTTACACTATTGGCTTCCTTGGTTCTTAGTCATTCAGACTTGGACTGAATTACACTGCTAGCTTTCTTACTATCTATCTGTCTCTCTATCATTTATCTATCTATCTCTATCTATCTATCTATCTATCTATCTATCTATCTATCTATCTATCTATCTATCTGTCATCTATCTATCTATCATCTCCTATTGGTTCTGTTTCTCTGGAGAACCTTCACTAATACACTCTTCTAGTTCCCTCTTTACTTGAGCTACTAGGAAACTCAGTGCTGAGTTTTAAATTCCCCTTTTATGCCCTATCTTAGCTAATTTAGCAGCCTAAATGAAAAAAAAATCCAAATTGTGGTAGCTTAGTGGACTAAACAAGTTAAGGCTTATCTGTTACAAGATGTCAGAAAGTAGGCTGTCCAAAACTGGCATGGGAGAGCCACAAAGTCCTCAGTAATTCTACTTCCTGCAGCTCACTGCCCTTAATCCCTCGTCATTAAGACCAAGAAAACTGCTAGAGTTTAAATGACAATTTTGTGGGTTCATATTAGGTGTATATATTTATGGGATGCATGAGATGTTTTGATGCAGGTAGGTAATGTGAAAGAAACATATCATGGAAAATGGGGTATCCATCCCCTCAAGCATTTATCCTTTGAGTTACAAACAAACCAATTACATTACTTTTTTCATGATATTTGTGTTTCAGGAGGCAATAATAAGAAAGTGTAAAATGGATGTTGTAGTAGATAACTGGAAGTCTCCATCATGGGAAGTTTTGAAGTTATCTTTAAAGTTATTACACACACACACACACACACACACACACACACACACACACAGTGACATGGTAAACTTTGCCTTCTCTCCTTTTCCCGCCTTCGTTCCCAAATGGATTTAATGACTTGAAGTGTGCTCAATTTATTTCTAAGTTCAGAGTATGGGAGAGTCTAAGAACTGAAATAAATAACATCATTGAGAATGTTGGTACATACAAATGAGTGAGAATCAGTTTTCTGAGTTGTTTCTTGGCTTTCCTATTGCAGAAGCACATAAAGATTTTAGCAGGTGCCATCAGTGGGTTTTTTTATTCCGTCATATCCCCCACTGGAGAGAGTTGTGTGTTCCATCCCATCTTCTTACCTTCCTACTTAATATGACCTATAGTAAAGAATATAGTTGTTACATGCAATTAATTGTACTGGGAAACATTGAACTCAAATATTCTTTTATTTTTTAATGTAAAGAAAATAAGGCCAAGAGACATGAGGTGATATGTCAAATGTCATGAAATAAGTTAAAGGCAGGTATCAACCTATACATTAGCATAAGAATAACGGGTAAGAGACCTACCTGCTAGACCCTGTAATCTGAGGACAATTTTGTTTCTTCCACTTACTAGCTGTATGTTTTTTGGCAAACTATTTAAGTTCTTTCTGTCTCTATTTTCTCCTCTCTGAGATCTGAATTAAAATAGTACTAATTTCAAAAATTTTGTGAAAATTAAATGAGATGATGTGTGCAAAATGTTTAACACTATGTTTGGCCTATAATTAGTGCTTAAAATGTTTTAGCTAAAAATTAAGAAATGATAGAGGCTAGTAAACAATTTGTCAATAGATAAATAAATAGTATGTATAAGATGGGCTTTGCCATGAGTTTAGAGAAGATAGCAATCTCTATGGGCCTGGGTGATGTGAGGAAGCTTTTGCAGAGAGAAGCCCGCAGGATTTCTCTAGCCAAGCATGCTTACTTCGTAATATTTAAAAAAAACCTGCTGTCCAAGCTGTTAGCTGGAATTGAAAGATAGAGGGATGGTTAGAGGGCCTATTTAGTAAGAGCAGAAAAATGCACTGGGAGTGAATCATTTGTCTGGACATAGAAGGCTGAGTCAGTGAGGACGGACTGTCACGTAGGCAGGTTGAGCTAAAGCCAAAAACACTGGGCAATGATTGCTCTGAGGGACAACTTCCAGCCAAGCATTGACACTCCCTCTATGCCCCCAACTAGTCCCAAGTTCAGAGTTTCTCCCATGATCCCTCAGTCAGAATTGCAGGGAGGGCAGGACACCCTGGCAAAAGTAGAAAAATGCCAGCTTGCTGTCCGCTACATTTCTGATGGCATCCTGAAGTTAATTTTTGTCCAAAGAGTCCCATAAGGTAAAGGGAAAAATATTGATTCAATATGAGAAACTGCTAAAACTCCTGAGTCTTTAAATGACAGAGAAGCCTCTCCTTGGAAGCAGTGAGTTCTTCAAAGCTATAGGGTTTCAAGCAGCAGACACTGTACAGGTACACCCAAGATAAACTGTAGAGACAATTTTTTCATTAAGAACAAGGCCTATTTTGATGACTTTCAACTCAAAAAGTTCATCACTTTATACTTTGAGTTGAATTAAAAACCATAATTAAACATTTGCTTTCCTAGCTGAAAAATGTAGACTGCACCTAAGCCAAGGTAAAAAGTAGTAACAATCATAAGCTATCAATCAATAGTAAGTACCCACCCTGTAATAAACAGTGATCTAAATATTGTAGAAAATAGAGAGTTGCATTGTACAGAGCCACTATCTTCACACAGTAACTTTAAGCACTAAGGCTGAGTGGAGAAAAATATTTTCACATTATTAGAATATTCATTATTTCTTTCCATCTGAAGGCAAAATATTCATTGGCAACTCCATTCCAGGCTAGAAATACAGGGATGTTCCAATCTCTAGGGATACAACAATAAATAAATTCAGGCATCTGTCTCCAGAAGGAAGGATAGCCACTACAGATTTGGGAGGTCAAGAACCGTTTCTTGGCCAGGTGCTGTTGCTCATGCCTGCTATCCCAGCACATTGGGAGGCCAAGACAAGAGACTCGCTCAAGCCCAGGAGTTCGAGACCAGCTTGGGCAACATAGTGAAACCCTGTAGTCCCTGCTACTCCAGGAGCCGAGGTGGGAGGATTGCTTGAGCCTGGGAGAGCAAGGCTGCAGTGAGCCAAGATTGCATTCCTGCATTCCAGCCTGGGTGGCAGAGCGAGACCCTATCTCAACAACAAAACAACAAAAACCAAAACAAACACACAAACAGACAAACAAAATCTTTTCCTTGAAAGATATATACATTCAAATGAGAAGAATAGGAGCAGAAGGGGACCTTTTCATATTCAGTTCATGTTGTGGTCAAAAAGGGCGGAAAAGAATGTCTAGTGTCTGTAAAAATCTGCAGGAAGTTCAAATCTTGGCAAAGTGAGGGAGAAGACGGGATAAGGTTAAAGACGTAGGAAGTTTGTATTGTGATATTTAATAGATGCTATGGATGTCAAACCCAGATTCCTGTTGCCTGGCTGGTGCACCAGTTCTCCAGATGCTGTAAGTGTCGGATGCTAATGGCTCACGGTTTACTCCCCTCAGCCAACAGGAGTCACTCTGCTGGAAGAAACATAGGCATTTACATCTCCCCACAGGGTGCCTGAAGACAAAGACTGATATAAATTGAGATTAAAAGGCTAACACCCTAACCACAATGTGAAACCAGCCCTGAGACACAATTCATACTCCTGAGATTCCCTGGGATTGGGTTCGAAGTTAGACTTCAGCTGCAAAGACACCTTTGTTTGGAGGCATCCCATGCCCTTTTCTTCTCCTACTCCTTTAAAGATTTCTTCTGTATGATATCTCCCTCAATAAGCAACTTATCATCAATCCCCAACTCAAACTCTGCTTCTAGGAAGCTCAACCTAAGGCACTATTGACTCAAATTTTGTTCATTTTCTTTCTCCAATCCAGTTATTTTCCACATCCCTAAACATTAATTTGTATGATCTGATTGGAATAAGACACTATTCATCTAGGCCTCATTGAGTTAAATGTACACATCATAATGTCCTCGCTATGCAGACAAAAAAAAAAAACTTATTTGATTTGGTTGTATCTGTCTACCTTAAAGAAAAATAAAATAGATGCTCATTGTCTGAATAACATATATATTGAAATCTTTCCTTTAAATATTCTCGGCTTGCAAAGTTCTTATGGCCACTCATTTCAACAAATAGTACATCTTATTATCTTAGTCACCACCTCTTCTCTTGCACATTGGCTACTGGGCACAGTAATCCTATTCCTATTAAACAGATGAGGAAACTGGGAATACTTAGAGGTTAACAGTTTTGCAACAGTCATAGAACCAGACCTATAATCAGTCTCCTGATTCTCCACCCAGTGAAGCTTTCACTACCCCAGTGTAGAGAAAATGCTAAGGGTCCATGGATGCCACTTGTTGTTTGCTCGTTTCTTTCCTGTTTCTATTTTTTTCCTCATGTGTTTCCAATGAGAGAGCATTTTGATCCCTATTTGGCATTCCAGCAAATCATTTTCCAGAAAAATCCCAGATCCAGAGATTTGTCCATCCCAAAGGCGTCATGGAAAGACCAAAGTGGCAGGACAAATCCAGAAGCCTGATTTCCATGGGCAGTTATCACAATTCTTTTGTAACAGGGTTATTGCATATGCGTTAACACGTATGTTGGCTCATGGTAACGTGAAAAGCTGGAAAGCTGAGCTGAAGCAGAAGAATGGAGGAATTGTTCTAAGGAGTACAGTTACAGAGCCTCAAAAATCTAGATCCAAGCTAACTCTTCTGGCTCCCTAGTCAGCATTGATTGAATGTGTTTGCATGTCTAGCAGAATGTGTGGAGCTAGGACAATAACAGAAAATGTGTATTACATATTTATTCTAATATTACAAATTGACTCTGAAGCACAGTGCTGGGCACATAGCACGCTATAAATGTTTATTCACTAAATGTTTGAATTTTACCATATATTTTAAGACCAACTCATCTGTCAAGCAAGGTGGAAGATGTAGTTATCTAAAATAAATAAATTATTTTTCAGTGATATACAATTGCAGGGATAGGAAATGTCCCTTTAAGGACAAAGTGTGCCTGAAGGATAAAAAACTTTAGGAAGACCTGGCTTAATTGTATGCTGTGCAAATAATTAGGTGTGTTGAACTGGCAAGTGACTTAACTTTTCTGGTTTCCGGTTTCCCTGAATATAAAATAAGGGGTCAAGCCAGGTGATTGAGTACCATGGCTCCTTGAAATTTTAATATTTTCTGAATTGTACTAAAGTTTCTACACTATGTAGAAGTTTCCCCAGCCCTAAAAAGAACGCTGAGGTTTGGCTTCCATTGAAACATCTTCTAAAGGAAGTGTGCATTTCCCCTACATATAGAATTTGGTGACAGGCAGGTTGCCTAAAAAGATATTTTCACTGCAATTAGTTTTCTTTACTCCCTGACAGAGGGTTTCAGAGCCCAGAGGCAACTTTCACCAGGATAAAAATACTCTGCACTGTCAGTAGAAGATATTCTTACATAACATGCACTGATTTCTTTCCCCCATTTTGCAAGTGCTCAGAGGAATGGTAGGGTTTGCTGACATCTTCAAGCAGGTCAACACGCATTAAGGCTTTACTCCCTTGTCTGATATAAGCAGAACATTGCTTATTTAAACTATTCTCTGAGTAAGTTGCTGAAGAGAACTTTAGGTCAAGGGTAAAGATTATTTTCACTTTTATTTATAGGCGTTCTTTCTTTTTAAAATAATGTTGGAAAAATAATGAAAGCATTTTACTACAACAGTGGTTCTCAACTGGAGGTAATTTTTCCTCTCCCAGGGGATATTTGGCACAGTCTGGGAATATTTTTGTTTGTCACAACTGGGGAAGTGTTACTGGAGTCTAGAATATAGAAGCCAGCAAACATTCTATAACAGGCAAGATGCCCCTTGCCCCTACCAAAGAAATAATCTGGCTCTATTTGAGAAAAACTTGCATTAAAATTTCAAAAAACATACATTCTAATATAGCAGGTGATTTTATCTTCTTGTTCAAATGTGAATTACATAATTATAATTATGTTTTACATGTAATTTAGCATTTTCTTCCTTTTGTTTGTATCACATTATAAATATTTCCACATTTATGATTTCATCTTCCTAATTATTATTTTAATGGCTGCTTAAGAATCCATTGGGTCAATCTGCCATATCATGGAATCCCATTTTCCTATTGTTGATTATTTAGGGTGTTTCCAACATATCCCTTTATTTTGAATGATTTATTATGATAACTTTTCAGGGATGTAAATTACTGTGTCATTGACATGATTATGTTTCAGGCTTCAGCTTCCCAAAATTTTTTCACAGTTAAATATTAAAAATTAAAATATCTTTTCAGTAATTTGATCAAGGTTACTTAAAAGTTTATGGCAATGACATGAATCAAATTTAGATATTTAGATCTTGCATGTCTCATAAAAAAATGCAATTTGGAAAGTCAAAGCTAAGCATCCTAAATTATTTACTTTTTTGATCTCTATAAATATGTTTATTTTCTTTTTCTTTTTCTTTTTCTTTTTTTTTTTTTTTTTTTTTTGAGACAGGGTTTTACTCTTGTTGCCCAGGCTGGAGTGCAATGGTAAGATCTCAGCTCACCGCAACCTCCGCCTCCTGGGATCAAGCGATTCTCCTGCCTCAGCCTCCCAAGTAGCTGGGATTACAGGCATGTGCCACCACGCCTGGCCAATTTTGTATTTTTAGTTGAGATGGGGTTTCTCCATGTTGGCCAGGCTGGTCTTGAACTCCTGACCTCAGGTGATCTACCCGCCTCGGTCTCCCAAAGTGTGGGATTACAGGCGTGAGCCACCTCTCCTGGCCTATTTTCTAGATAAAACTCAAGTCCCTTGTTTCCATTCCCTAATAAAAAAAAAAAGTGTATTACAAAGTTCAGTGAAGATTCAGAACTGAGCACAGTAATGCATGAAACATTTCACATGTCTCTACAGTTGTGCTCCAAATCTTCATGGAAAGAAAAAAATGCGAAATGGAGATCACCCTGCTGTCCCATGTGGCACATAAATAATGGGTGATCTATTTAAAAAAAATCTCTTTTCCAATGAATGGTCCTTTTTATTTTCCAAAAAATAACCTTTAAAATATTCTAACACTGTATTATTCTACGTTTTCTGGTCCCATTCTGACCTCTTCCATCTGAGCTATACTAGCGTAAAGACCAACACAGAGTAAATTGTCCCGTTCACCTTGAATTGTATTTTTCTCCTTGATTAGGAAAAGAGTCAAATAAGTAGTTATTTGAGAAATGCTTGAATAGACAAAGTTAGTCAAGGCTGGGGAAGAATTGAAAAGGTAAATAATCAACCACCAGAAAGATTGTGGAGGGTGGCTCTTTGTCCTCCTTGTGTCGTAAGTAGGAGTTGATAGTATGAGCGATGTAAGAGAAATGAGTTGTCAAGTGGAAGGGAAGTGCACAGAAAAATGAATAAACATACACAAATCTAGCACGTCTTTCAGGATTCAGCATAAAGTTCTCCCTTCATAGAGCCATTCCCAATCCTCCTGAAAGAAAGTGATCTCTCCCACTTGTTTACACACAAGGATTCCTAAGAAAATCCCTTTTGTGAGATGTTTTATTTTCTACTTTTTAATTTTATTCCAAATGATCATTTTATTCCAAATGATAATATTACTGATGGCAGGAGATGTGCCTCATTCATTTTCCTATTCCATATGGCAGCTGGTACAATGTATTAAAGATAGTAGCTGCCCACTGAAAAGAGATTTAATGAAATGAAACATGAATATTTACCAAACAGTACAATTAAAGGAAGACCAGGGTGCTGACCTTTCCATTATGCAGGTGATGTTTGCAAATACGTGATTTGGTTTGATGGTTACTGAGAGCAAAGCATTCTATAGTTTTAAACGTCACACACAATTTGAAATTAGTGCACCCCAGAACTATGACAGAGACAAAAGAGGAATTGAAAGAGGTTCAAATGAAAGAGTTAATGAAGAGGAGAAACATGAAACATCATAGGTTGCATTAATTATCTATTGCTACATGACACACTACCCCAGAATGTAGTGACCTAAAACAACACACATTATCTCATAGTTTCTGTGGGTCATAAAATCAGGGGCACTTAGCTGGGTCCCCTGCCACAAGATCTTTACTTGGGCTGCAATTAATATGCTAATCAAGCTGACTGTCATCTGAGGACTCGACTGGAGAAGGATCCTCTTCCAAGTTCACTCTCATGGTGATTGGAAGGCTATGGACTCTGAATAGCCTCAGATTCTCAGTGGCTATTGTTTGAAAACATCAAATTCTTGCCACATGGGCCTCTTCATAGGCAGAGGGAGGACCGTGAAAGTGAGAGCAAAAGGAGGACAAGCAAGATAAAATTCATATAATTTTTCTAACTTCATCTTGGAAGTGACATCCTGTAACTTTTATCATCCTCTGCTTATTAGTAGCAAGACAGTGTGTCCAACTTACAAATCGAAGGGAGAAAATTACAAAGGGCATGAATATCAGAGGAGAGGATCATTTTGAGCCAGTTTAGAGGATACTTATCACACGGGTTAACAAAGCAAAATAAAAAAAGTTGACAATGAGGTTGTTTTAAAAATTTAAGAAAAAAGATAAAAGCAGCTAGTAGAGAGAAATAACAGAAAGAAAAGAAAAAAGGGAAAGAAGAGAGCAAAGTAAAAATAGAAAATAAAAGGGGAGGGCATGAAAAGCAAGAATCTTCACCCACACATTTCCCAGTTTATGTTTTTTTTTCTTCTAAAGTTGCTCTAATGAAAGCAACAAATCTCTCTAGAGAAACTGTCTTCAAAGTAAACCTCCCAAGGGGAGGACGCGCTACCACAGAGGACACAAATGCTGTTTATATTCTCCATCACACCTGACTATCTCATTGGGCCTTGGACAACCTTTTAAAAAAGAAGTTTTGATCCTGTAGCCTAGGGAAGAATGTGTTGCAAAATTCTTGACCTTTTCCAGTGTTCCTAGGGGCCAAAAGTGTTTAGAGAAGTGAAAAATTCAATTTCTCTGCTTGACTTGTCATTCAGACCTCAGAAAGAATACAGAGACAGATAGATCATTACAAATATCCCCATTGTTTTGCTCCAAGTCCCTAAGGGAAGGAAAAAATGGGGAAATAGAAAACACCTCACTGCCTCATGGTGGACAAAAATAATCTCTGGACAGAAATGAATATTTTCTCCAAAACGGACGTTTTTTAATTTCAACAAATAACCTTTTAGTTGCTTTAACATTCCATTATTGTAAATTATGTATGTCTTCTTATATTTAAAATTTTAAGCAATTTTGTATCTCACAGTAAACCAAAAAGAAATGGAGAAATCCAAAACGCTCCTTCTCATGTCAGAATTCCTCCCCTTAACTTACATACCAAGGACAAAGCTAATTTCCTTCCCACTCAGTTTTAAGCAGAACACTAAGAATTTAATAGCTATCTGTATCATAAAAGGCTGATACTGGACTCTATTTCAAAAATTTCTGATGTTCTTACTAGTTTATGCCAATGTTTCCAAAAATGATCATCCACTAATATCTTTTGCAAGTGCTCCTCTCTCTGCCTGAAATTTCTTTCCTACAGCTTGCTCTGCATAGTGGTTATCATTATCAATTTTAGGATTAGCTTAGCATCCATCTCTTTCATAAAACCATTTTTGGCCATGCCTCATCTTGATTAGAGCAAGTTTTCAACACTTCTTATACTAGAAACTTGGGCATAAGCCTATCAGAACTTATCACAATATACTCTAATTATATACTGAAAATAGGAACTGTGTCCTTTATCTATAAATTACAGGCACTCAGCTTATTGCCTTACTTATAATACATGCTCATTATATATATGTTGAATAACTGAGTAAACACATTCAGATACGTAACTAGGTTTAAGAACTGACATGCTAGAACATTTCCCATCTTTCCTAGGTTCCCTTTGCAGAGAACCTACACCTATAGCTCCTGCAAAATTGGTCATGCACAGCTGTGCTGTAATACCTGGCCATGAGGCTACTTATTAGAAGCAAGGAACTTGAAGTTTGCAATCAAGGAGAGAGAATTACACGACATAAATATCATTGGTCTACAAATGGATATCTGACCCCATCTGGGTAAATTGAATTGTTTCCCATGGGAAATGTAAATGTGGTGTCAGAATGTCTACCTAATTTCTATTGAATATTCATATTGAGCAGTCATGAGGAGCCAAAGCAGAGACAGCCGTTGTCATACAACATGCTAATAGAGCAGAGTGGTACTCTCTTTTGGAAATAGAGAGGCAGAGACACAAGACAAATGTTTGTATTTGGCTCTATGTCAAGTGGAAGCTTGGCCTTGGCTCTATGGAGACTAGTATGCATGAGAAGGTTTGGCTTACCCAGATTCTTAGTGATATAAGAAAACATCAAACAGAAACACGTACAGGGTCCCAAGAGGCCATCTAGTCCTTCCCTGAGTCTCACAGGATGAAGAAGCTGATGCCCAGGGAAAGTGAATGGGAAATACTAATAGAATACTTAGCTTTCATAATTTTCAGTTCAAAGTGAATGAAACCCCAATTATTTCCCTTCACAATCATGACAGTCTTGTGTATGGTTTAAGAACTCCAGTTTTGTAACTAGATGTCGTATTTGAATGTTGACTTTACCATTTGCAGACTTTCACAGGTTAATGGTGGCAACTAATGAAATCACTATGAACCTCCATTTCACTGTTTCTACTTGCAGGTTTCTTCTGATGATTAGTTAATATTCATAAATCATTTAGAACAGATTCTGGCACATAATATATGCTCAAATAATGTTAGCTATTGCTCTTACCATTATTATCATTATCTTGTTATAGCTCCTTGCAACAATGACCATATATTAAATACTTTAAGATGGGAATGATTCAATAAATGGATCATTGATGTTACCTATTCATGATGTTTTCCTGGGCTTCTTTTCACACAATGCCTTGTAAAGGCTACTGTTGTCTCACAAATGGTGTTATTTTTTCACATCAATAGCCTTACCAGAATGTTTACTTCTTAAAGTAAGAACTGCATTTTCTTTTTTAATTGCTCCAGCATTAACCAAGGGCCTAGCAAATGTTCTGGTATCAATTTGTTAGCGGTGGTCTAATGGTGTGATGGAACCAAAAAACGCAAACAAAAACAACAGCAACAAAAAGGAGCTCGTGATATCTTCAGCAATGAGGCTCATTTGAGAACTTCTAAACTGCACCTTTTGTATCACCATCCTCATCATTACCCACATCATCATTATCACTGCTAACATTTATTGAGAGCTTACTATGTGGAAATACTAGTCTCGCATTGTCTTTAAATCATCACAAACCGGGTGTTAGTAGTCATTATCTCTCATTACAAATGAGAAAACAGTTTCATGGAGTTTCTCAAACTCAGCTATTATCTGAGAAAAAAATCAAACCTATAAATTGTTTTTATTTCAAAATTGAGGTTCTTAACTATCAAGCCATGTTGCCTCGAATCCAGTTTTTCATTCACCCATTTATTCAGCCTTTCATTCAACACACATAGGTAGTTAGGAGGTGGTGGGCTCTGTCCTATAACAATCTTTGTTGTCATTCCATCTTGCATGCTAATAAGAAATTTTCCGGAGAGACAATATGAGATATTCCCTGATTGGCTTTGCCCAGGCATACATATTTTACCCACAATCTTTACCTCTGCCTGTATCCATCCCATTCCCTATGTTCTCATTTTCCCATTTATAAATGGGGGAAAAAGGAACCCAATAGCCCTGTTAATTCTCTTAGTGACACAGCCAAGTTTTCTTGGCTCTGAGGGACTTGGCCTCCTGACTCAATACACCATGTACCAAAGGTAATTAGGGCAACTTATTTAAAACTTATGATCTAATTAGTGGCTTTTAATGGTAGTTAATTACACGGAGAGCAACAAAGCATTTACATTTTCCACCAAGCTTTTTCCCAGACTGAGACAGGAACAGGTATTTATTCAGAGTCATAAAGGAGAGGGGATACTAGAGTTAACATCTAATTACACAGAATTGTCCCTGGTAATTATGAGCAATGTGATTTTATTTATCTGACAATTATAGGGGCTTTGCAAAATCTTTGACCTGAGAGACTTGGAAAGGAGACAGAGAAGGCATTAAATGACTTACAATGTCCAGGCATATTTTTAAAAAATTTCCCAGGTGACTGGAAGTAGGAATGCTCAGGTAAAAAAAGAAGAGAGAAAAATGTTCACATTTCTATTGGAGAGGTAATATAACATCTACTGAAACGTAGAATATAAATAATGTAAGATTGAATTAATTAATGAAAATTCTAATTCAAATACCGATTTCACCACTTGCTAGTTTGGCAGAAAAGTAATCACTCAGAGCCTCCTTTTTCTAAAAATAATATTTACCCTGAATATCTCATAGAAACAAACTCATTTGTTTCTCGACTGTTTACTACATGAATGTTTATAGTAGCACCTGATGTAGGGAGAAATATTACGTTCTCTTTGCCCTCATGAGTCTTCAAGTTTAGTAAGAGAGACAAATATGCAAATAAATAACATTAATAGTATAATTTTAGGTTCTGGATATACTGCTCTGAGGTCCTGTGAAAGTGATTTAATATTGTTCCGGGTAGATAGGCGTGCGCCGGGGCAAGACGGGGCTTTCGGGTGATGGTTCAGTAATTATCGCATTGCCTCTCTAAAAATGATAATTCGGCAGCCAGGGAGAGACAAGCTCCTGATTGTCCACACCGGTTAACATTACAAGTGTTAATTGAATGAAGGCCCCCGGGAGAAGCAGCTTCTTGGGGATGCCTGTTAAGAGACAAAATGTCAAAGTGTGACATTCCGGGTCACACGCCACCAGAAAAAGGAAAAATGCCTCAGATGAGCGTGTATGTAACTCCCTAAACACACTGCTCCTGCTCAATTCCAAAGGGTAAGGAAAGCACTGCGCATGCGGAAAGCCCACCTTAAGGGAAGAATCAAGGGGAAGTGGCGAGCCTATAAACTCTAGGATCACGGTTAAATGTTCCCCACCCCTGTTCCCCCCACCCGCCTTTTTATTTTTATTTTTTTAATTTATTTACTTTTTTTGCTGTCTTCTCCTGTCTCAGACCTTCAGGCGTACGGCTTGGGTTTCTTCCAAGCAAATTTTCCTTTCTTTCCCGTTCTAAAGTCTTTTCAAAATAAACTTCCACTCCTGCTCTGGAACTTGCCTTGGTCTCTTTTTCTGCCTCATGCCCCTCAGTCCAATTCCTTCTTCTGAGGAGGCAGGAATTGAGATTGCTGTAGGATTGTTGCAGATCTGTACGGATTGGACGCCGGTAACTCCGGGTAACTCGGATCTCTTCCACTGCTAATACTATTATAATTAGTTATAATATTAGTATGAGTAATGTATAGTTATAATTGTTATATAATTGTTACATTATTATAATTCAGTTGAACAAATATTGAGACCTTAGTACATGCTAGATACTCCTGTTGTCTGCCTAACTGTGGAAGGCACTATTTCCATTCATACTTATTTAAAATAAAGTAGAATCTCAACCAAATTGTGAAGTGTTCTTTTAGTGATTCCAGCCTCCATGAACTCTATATAGTTCTCTCCACTCCCCAGGGTATCTTCTCCAAGGCAACCAGTGTCCTTTGTAGAGGTGGGGCTTTGTAGTCAAATAGAACTGAATTCAAATCCACATCCACCCTTTGTAGTTCTATACAATGGGAAATTCAATTTCTTCATGTGCAGAATGGAAGCAAAGCAGTGTTACTTCTTGAAAGGATGAAACGCCCCAACTTATTTCATACCCTTTCAAGATCACCTTTATTAAGGTTTTATGATCCAATTATTCCTACTGAAATATCAACATCCATGATGGTTATAAATTCTAGGTTTGGAGGCAATATAGTTAATGAGAAAAGGATAGTTCCTAAACTCAAACAACCTGGGTATAAATCCTCACTTTCTCACTTAATATGCCCTAATTTTCTTGCCTTTTTACAGTTTGATGTCTTTACCTTGGGTATATATAGTTATGTCACTTGAAATTTTAGTTCTCTTCTATCTTTTTTTGGAATTCTGTCTTTTTTTGGAATGTGACATTAAATATTGGTTTTTAGATAAACGCAGCTCAGTGTATAAAAATTGCAAGAAATGAGGACTAGTTCCAAACTGAGATCACATGATTTGTTTCATACCCCAGTTTGCCCATAGGGTGCGTGATATTAAACCAGTCACTGGCAGGAGAGGAGGGGAGCTCCAAAGTTCTTTTCATTATTAATAAGCAATGGTTCTACAAATATTTTATTTTCACTTTTCCTGTCACCTGATTCCCTAGAGAACATGAAGAGAGAGTCCCTCTCCATTCCATTCCTCCCTCTAAGTAATATTCATCTTAAAAGTATTTTTGAGAAACTATTATATGCTAGAAATACATTGCAAGATTAATGTAATAAACACATGTACCTCATATTTTGTTCTTTTTTTTTTGTTTTTCATTATTAGTTTTGGTTCATCAATGAGATAAGAACAGCAGGAAACATGCCACAAAGTTCTTTTTGATCCTCTGTCATGCCTTAGAGTTGCAGGCACATGATCAGTAGTAGCTGAACATCCTTGTCAACTCACTATTGAATGTGGTTACTAATAGAAAGGGGCATCAAAAGGTCCCTTCAGTCATCAGGAGCAAAGGAATAAAAATATACATAGAAGGTTTTGTTTTACTTGTTATTTTATATTCATAAACTCTATAACTTGAATTTCCATAATTTCTTACTTCTAAAATGCAAAGTCATGATCCAGAGGAAAAAAAAAGAATTCTAGAAGCTGGCAAATGATTATTCATAGTAAGTCTGTGTGCCTGAGGGGGTGGATGGGTGGGTGGTGGTAAAGGAGCCTGTGACTTGGCTCCAGGCCCGGCTCTGCCACTAAATCACTGAGTGATACCAAGCAAGTTGCTTAACCTCTGACTCCAGTGAATTGCCCATGCCCTGGCAGGGTACAAGCCTAATAAGAATTTCAATTTATGTTCCCAGGCAAAGCTTACTTTTCTTGGAGTAATTCAAAGTCCTATTTCTAGGCACTAGTTGTCCTTCAGCATTCATTTCTTCTGTTTCTTCCCTTTTTCCATCCGTTGATCCATTTATTGAAAATATATTTATCATGTATCCTTCATGAGTAAGTCATTGTTTTAGACACTAGAGCCTCAAAACAGTAAAAATGGACCAAAAAACCATCTTTTTATGGAGTTTACAGTCTACTTCAGTAGACTGTAATCAGTCTATTGTTTGCAGTCTAGACAACTTTAAAAAAGCAAATGAGTCAAAATACAAGTGTTGGTAGGCAATAGTTGCTGTGGGGGATAAATAAGTTGGCAAAGTATATCAGGAACGTTGGGAACATGGTAATTCTAAATGAATAGTCAGAGAAAGCCTCCGTGGAATGAATAAAGACCCCAAGTTGGTGAGCGAGACGTGATGTGATCTGAGAGAAGAACATGCCAGGTAAAGAGAAGAGCAGGTGTAAGTCGTGTTGCAGATGGGCCTAGTGTACTTGACAGCAACACAGGGAAGACTTGTGGCTTCAACAGAGTGGGCAAGTAGAGCAAATTTGCTGATGAAGTCAGAGCAGAAACTGGCAGCCATATTATGTATGGCTTTGTAGATTATCGGCTTTCCCTTAGTCAGAAAGGGAAGCCACAGTGGGGCTTGGGAAGAGGTAGCTGCATGATCTGAGTTTTATTTTAATAAGATCGTTCAGGCTGCTGTGATGATCAGAGGGACTATGGGTGGCTACTACAAGACTAGAGACTGTGATGGCATAACCCAGGGTAGTAGCAGTGGAGGTGATGTAGGTGGTCAGATTTTAAATATATTTTGAAGATTTTTTTCCCATGATGTTAAATACGGAGTTTAATCCTTCAGAGTTACTGAGCTACACTAAGTGCTAGAAACTGCTAAATACTAATGATGTGAAAATTAATAGAAACTTTTCCTTTCTGTGTAGGCAACGTATGTCTACAGATTACGGTTGTTAGCTTTTCACCAGCTCTGTTATGTTTTCTTTCAGTGATATATTTCTATAACCTACTGTGATTCACACATATGAATCAGAGTCACACTATAATAGTAAGAAATTTACAACCTAAATTCTAATAGTGAAATATTATAGGTAATTAATATCCAAATATAATTGCTCAGGACCCATGTTGTACTGGTCTCTCTTCATCGTTTAGTAAAGTGTCACATCTCCAGATTTAGTGCCACCCTAATTCATGAGATCTGAGCAGCAGCTTCACCTTGTCCCATCTTGACCCCTGCCCTACATGGTCCCACTATTCCCTGACAGCTATTCCATCAGAGGCCTCTCAAACTCAAACCACATAGTGCTCAGTGGGAATGATTGTTTGGGAGTTGCATGGAGTGAATCAGAACCAACTCTCTGAATGGAACGTCAGTGAAATTTAACCTCAGGATTTTAGGAACTATATGAATATTTGAGGGAAGCCTATTGCAAATCTCTGATAAACTGGTGCTCACACAATATTTGTGCCACTTTTTTTTGTCATAAAGGAAATGGCTCTCATCAACAAATACATATGGACATATGGGCAGTGCTATGTTAACATTCCTGGTATATTTAAACTTCAAAGATATGTGTCTGCATTATGAGAGCTTAGTCCACAGGAATAATTGTGAAATCTCAGAATGTTAGGTGCCATGGGGTAGATTCTTTTGAATGTGTGCGTTCCAGGGACTCTCTTCATAACACTGGCTCAGAGGCAAGTAGAATCTTAAGTAGGATGACAGCATAAGCCATCTAGAACATTCCTTCCTACTTTAAGACAAGGAAACAGATCCAGAAGCAGGGGCTATCCTGGCCACAGTCACAAGGTTAATAAGTGGCAGTGTCAACATCTGATTCGGTGCCACAGACCTCTGCATTATTCTGTCCCTGTCACACTGTGCTGACCATTACTCTTAACAATCCAGTGGCCACACAGAAAGGGTCCCAATGGGAAGAATTCTTCTTCATCCTTATTATAATATATTTATGCATAAGAAAAATAACCACATTTATTTCCCCAGATCCTAACAAGTGAATACTGATACTCAAAGTTTTGCTTTCTTCTTATAAAACACATGGGGGAATTAAGATATGTAAAGATCATCAACTCATTCCTCCAGACTTCTCTGTTGGAATAGGTTTCTTTCTAAACAGGTAGCTCTAATTTCAGATTAGCCGTAAACATATTTTGACCATATTTTTCTCCTTATAATTTTAGTATCTTTAGAAAATTTTTTGTTCTCATGGATATGTATTCTATTGGAGGTTCAGCTAGACTGAGTCAGGGGATGGACATACACTCACACATATTACATACGTACATGTGCACATAGATATATGTGCACACACACATGCATGCACACACACACTCGCACATGTGTTTCAGTCACATTGTCAAGTGTTAGACCAAACATCTCACTATAAAATATTCAAGGACCACAGTTAGCTATGCTGAGTTTGTAGAAACATTTGAAGAGCAAAAGAAACATTCCAAAACAGATTAACAAATGAAACACATAGATTTTAAAGCACCATGTACTTATAGTATTATGCTACTCCTGTCATATTTTTATGTCTCTTTATAGTTTACAAGAAGTACATATTCATCTTGTCATTTTTAAATTAAACAATTTTGAAATTAGGTAAGGAGCATAGTTTTATATGTTTACACAGATGGATAAATGAAGGATAAGAAAACAAGCAGCCTTGCCCAGCTAGTTTTGAGCAGAACTGAGTAGTAGACATCACAGTTCCTCATACTTTGTATATGTTCTGATCACTATTGTATAGGCCAATGTAGTACTGATGACTATGTGAAGTAACAATGGGTATCCAGTTGAGGAAGAAATCAACAAAAACATAGTCCACGAGACTTTCACAATACCCTTTAAGAAGTCTTAAGAATAATGTGTTTGGCAAACATAACTAGGCATTTGAAGGTCATTACATTTGTACCTATGAACCATAATGAATTCCTCTCCAAAATGTCAAAAACTCCAGCAGTGCTTTATTTATTCACACACATGAACTATCCTTCTTGTGGGCTCCTGCTTTCTCCAGCAGCATTTCCCCCCTGCCTGTGGAATATCTTTACGCTAAAATTGACCAAGCTGGTAGCAGTGCTGGGGTATTGCTCATCACATTTCTGCTCTCTTTGTATGTGGAGCCATAGGAAGGGGTTATAAAGACAGCATGCCAGGAGAGGATGGGACCATAAAAACCATCAATCATACCCTACAAATGTCAATGCTAAGTCCTGGAAGGTTCAAATGACTGTCTCTGTGGTAAAATCTGAACTAGATTGAGGGATTTTTTTTTCCCCAGGAGAAAGTAACTGAGATAGGATTTTCTCTCCCACTCTAAAGAATCAGAAAACTAGGCAACATATATGAAAAAAAATTTTCCCCCTAGATATTGGACAAACAAGCAGAACAGATTGCAACTACTGAGAAAAGAAACCAACAGGGTGTGATGTACAATCCCCCAGAATTTCCATCTGGAGGAAATTTTGGGACCACTATGGTAGCTAAGTTTAATACATTCAGTGAGGTTAGGATACAGAGATCAGAATTTATGGAGGTGAAGATGGCTAGAATTTTCAGGGCAGAATTTGGAAAAGAGAGAGAGCCATGCTTAGCAAAAATCTCAAAAATCAGTATGGGAGACTCCTGGAGTCCTTTACCTAATACTAATCTGCATATATGTATGATAAAAATTGATAAGACCATGTGAAAATAACAAATTCTACAGAAAGAAATATTACTATAGAGTTGTGAGCTTGAGTATTTGCTAAGCTCCCACAGGGCTAGCAATCATTTAATACCCTACTGGACTGAATGAAGAGAAGTTGACGAAGACAGGGCCATTAACTAAAGACCCCCAAAAGGTCACACCTTAGTGGAGGGGTGACACTAGCTCTTGAGTAAATGCTACTCTGGACCCACAATAAAAAAGCTTTAAATTAAACCTCAAAATTATCAAGTTGATCTGCAAATAAATAACTACTGGACTAAGTTAAGTTCAACTCTCTTTAAGGAAAACAGCAGAATTCAGCACTTAACAATGTAAAATTCATAGTGTTTGGCATTCAATTAAAATTTATTGGATATGAAAATAAGCAGGAAGAAAGTGACACATAACCAGGAGAAGAAAAAAGTCAATAGAACAAGAGTCAGAATGGCAAGGTAGTATGGAATTAGAAGGCAAGAACTCTTATTTAGCTAGTAAAAATTGTATAAATAATGTGCTTGAGGAATTAAACAGACATAGACATAATAAAGAAACATTGCCTGAAATAAAATATTTATCAATTTGGTTCAACATCATAAGACAAGCTAGTAAATTACAAGAAATAGCAACAGAAACTATCCAAACCAAGTGCAAATGGCAAAATAGTTTAAAAAATAAAAAGAGCAGTATCTTACAGAATAATATCAGGCATGGCAATTTGAGTCCAATAAAGAAAAAGAAAGAGGTAGAAAAAGAAAAATGAGAAAATAATGACTAAACAAATTACAATTTGATGCAAGCAATAAATCCAGGGATCCGAGAATCTGAAACACTTCAAAAGGAGAAAGGACAGCAAAGAGAACCACATTAAAGCCCTTCCTAATCCAATTGCTGAGAATTCCTGATGAAGATAAAATCTTCAAGCAACAATAGGCAAAATATACAGATTAATTATAGAGGAACAAAAACAAGAATGACTATGCAAACCGATAATGCAATGGTATCTTTAAAGTGTTGAAAGAAAACAAAAATGAACCTAGAATTCTCGAACTCATGGAAAATAAAGACTTCTTTCAGATGGAAAGAAGAAAAAAAAAGCTGAGAATACTTGTCACCAGCAGACATAATCCCTAAGAATTATTAAAGATAGTTTCTCTGACAAGTAAAAGAAAATAGGATAGAAAATTGGAACTAGAGAAAAAAATGAAAAGCACAGAACTGGTAAATGTTAAAAAATGTTTATGATTAATTTAATTTTTAAAACATTCTTAATTTTAAAGCAAAAACATAATATGAGGCTTATGACATATGTAGACTGTGTGTGTTCTCACAACTCCTACTCAACAATGCATCAACCATCCTAACTAGTGCTGTATGAAGATAGAAAAAACATTTAAAAAGCTACCAGAGCTATTAAGTGATTTTAACAATCAATAGGGTACAAAGTTAACATTTAAAGCCAGAAGTGTTTTTATTAACTAGTTAAAAAAAGTGTAACAGAAAAAAATACCATATTGTAATACCATATAAAATTTTTATTAATTTGAATAAATTTAATTAAATATGTATAAGACCCATGCAATAAAATCTACAAAACATTGCTGAGAGAATGTAAAGATTTAAATAAATGGACAGATACACAGTGTTAATGGATTGGAAGACTCAATTTCAATTGAGGAATATACCTGAAAAAGATTCTAGGAATATACCTGAAAAAGATTAAAACTTATTTTATCACAAAAAAATTGCATGCACATGTTTGCAGCATCTTTATTCCTAATAGCTAAAACCTGGAAATAATACAAAGTTCAATCCACAAGTGAATGTGGAGGATGTGGTTTGGATTTGCGTCCCTGCCCAAATCTCATGTTGAATCGTAATTCTCACTGTTGGAGGAAGGGCCTGGTGAGAGGTGATTTGATCATGGGGGAAGACTTTCCCCTTGCTGTTCTTGTGATAGTGAATGAGTTCTCGTGAGATCTGGTTATTTAAAAGCATATAGCACCTCCCTGTTCTCTCTCTTCCTCCTTCTCCAGCCATTTAAGATGTGTCTCCTCCCTCTTCACCTTCTGCCATGATTGTAAGTTTCCTGAGGCCTCCCTAGCCATGCTTCTTATACAGCCTGCAGAACTGTGAGTCAATTAACTCTCTTTCCTTTACAAATTACCCAGTTACAGGTAGTTCTTTATAGCAATGTGAGAACAGACTATTACAGTGGATTTACACATTTTGGCAAATTCTTCCAATAAAATACTACCAGGGAATACCACATTTGAGATTCATCCATGCTTTTGCATGTTCATTTATTTTTATTGTGAAGTAAAAGGAGCATAACATAAAAACGATATACATAGTATATATTGTAGGATATGTTATAGAAAAGGCAAACTATCATGACAGAAAACAAATCCTACATGACCAGGTGCTATGTTTGGGGTGAGGGTAGGAACACAAGAGACATTTGGGGGATGATGAAAATGCTTCATGTAATGATTATGTTGGTGGTTACACAACAATACACATTTGTCAGAATTCATAGAACTGTGTACTTAAAACAGGTCCATTTTGTTGCATATAAATTAAGCTTTAATACAGTTGAATGAAAAACATCTAAACTAGATTGTGTCTATGCTTTCTCATGATCAGTCTCTTGTTTCCTCTCAAACCCCATTTTCTACTTTTCTCCTCTAGACTTTGTTCTGGCCCTATTGCCTTACAGTTTCTCAAAAATGCCAGGCAATATTCTGCCTCGAGGTCTTTTTACTTGCCATTACCTCTGCCACAGATATCATATGGCTCTCTTTCTTACCTTTTAAAAATTTATACCAATGTTATCTTCTGACTTAACTTTTCCCTGAAAGCCCTATTTAAAAAGTCCAGTTCCCTCCTGAGCCAAAATATCCTAGGCTCTTTGTTTACTCTCTTTTTCTCCATAGCCCTTATTTAGCAGGCTGAATATTTTATTTATTTACTGATCTATCTGCTCTACCAAAACTTAAGATCCACACGGGCAGAGATTATTACTCTTTTGTTCATTTCTGTAATCCCAGTTTCTAGAAGAATGACCAGTGTAAAATAGGTAATCAATAATTTTTTGAATAAATGATGGTTATTTATCCAGTGTTTTTCTCTTACATTATTCAACTATTTTTTACTGCATTTACATTTTCTTCTGGCACAGGCTCTTTGAAACCATATAAAGGCAAATTACAAAACTTCTCACTGCAGAATGTTCCAGTGATACCTACCAAAAAACAGTTTTAGAAACAAGGATAAAATGATGTGAGTGGGGAGGGAGTATTGCCATTTCATAGAATTAAGCCAAAGAACTGGAAATTATTTAATATTTTCAATAATGTAGAAACTCTTTAGAATGTAATTCTTAAAGAAAATTTCCATGTACAAAACATTTTCAAATCGTAAGGAATATGAGAGTTTATTGTTAGTGGAAACTCTGACCATATACATTCTCATAAGCAGGACTTGAGCACCTGGAGTGTCCTCTTTAGGCCAAATATTACTATTCCTCTATTTTCCCCCCAAAATCCAATATCAGATCTTTGATCTTAAACATGATCCAAGCTTAGTAAGATAGGGAGGGGACAGAGAGAAAGAGGGAGAGTGTTTTGGATATTTTAATGGCAGTGAGTCCTCACACCCACTATCCAGTATGGTCCAATCAATAACTTGACATCTGATCAGTTACATCGGTATTTCTTCTCCTTGAGAAGAGCACAGGTAAGATAAAAATAAAGAACCTAAAAGTAAAAATAAAGAACACTGAGTACCCCCCTTCCCTGTGTGACACTAGCAACAGTGAGTAAGAGAACAATTTTCTTTGTAATTTTCCAAGAAGTTCCTGCAGATACTCAGTTACTCAGAAAGTGATATCCTAACCCTAGTAGTGGCCAATTAACCAGCACCCTGGAGATGGATTAAATGACCTTAATGTCATCAAGATGGGTGGCCGTCCCTGCATAATTGTGTGTTGCTGTGGCCTGACTTGCTGTCATCTTTATGGTTCAGTACCACAAAGCAATTAACAGTGAAAGAGTGAGCTTCCCCAACCTTTACTAGAAACAGTGGCTGTTTATCATTGTGTCAGAGTCTTGGCAGATTCAAGAAATCTAAATTTAACAGGTGATTGCTTCTTCCATGGACGATTGCAGAGAATGGATCTTCAGGATACCTAGTCCCAGTCTAGTGATCTGAACCAATGAAACAAGCTGCTGAAAAGAATGGGAATGAATAAGGCCCAATTCAGAATCCATCACACACAAGGACCTCTATACACCTCTTGAACTCTTACATAATGACTTTTTCAATTGATCTCAGCATATGTTGATGACTGGCTCCAATTTAAGTTGTGGTAGCAGAAAAATAGCTGGAAAGATATAGATTAGAGAAAGAGAGAGAGATAGGTGATAGATAGATAGACATACATGTATATATGTGCTATTACCCTAGCTTATTTTTATATCATTAATAGCTATCTTTTTGGACTATTATAAAATAACTTTTATTTTTAATTGCTTGAGGCCAAAATTGGGCCAATAAAGCCATGCTAGTCAGTATTTAAGTCCCAGTTCATCTGAATTGACTGGCATAGTCCTAGGTATATAGTTATCTTCAAAAAAGAACTATGCTACTTTACCTCACAGTTATAATCCCAGGATGGCAGATGACACCTGACAGTGGTAACTTTCTGTGTAGTTCAAGTGATGAAGACTGATCACTGGGGCTAATGAGAGAGGCCCATTTCCATTGTTAAGAAAGGGAGTTATTTCCAGAAACTCTGAATAGCTTACTATTTCTCATATACAGGAGAATGAGACTATGGACCAGGGGAAAAAAAAGGTACTAGGAATAAAAACTCTAATTCTGCATCTCTGGGCTAGGAAAAGTCTAATTTAGTCTTTACAATAAACCTACATGAGAGATATTATTATCTTTATTTTACAGTTGAGGAAAATAAGACAGGAGAAAATAATATTACTTTCCTCAATTCGTACAGTCAGAAGTGATGAAGCTGGCTTTCAAGCTTCAGGCTTTTTTGCCTGAAGCAAGCATCAGGCTACAGAATCTGTGATCTTCAGTAATACGCAATGGCATCTCTCAATGTTAAGCCTAGTGTAAACTTCTACTTTAGGAATCTGAACATTAAAGCTAATCTGTGACCTTAAGCATTCTTCTAAGCTAATTCCAAATTTTCCTTAAGAATATAGTCAAGAATAAACAAAATGTAATATACATTTTGGAATGGAATATTATTCAGCCATTAACAAGGAATGAAATACTGATCCATGCTACAACATGATGAACTTTGAAAACATGTTATATGAAAGAAGCTAGACAAAAAATACCATGTATTGAATGATTTCATTTGTATGCAATATTCATAATAAGCAAATCCATAGAAAGTAGATTCCTCATTGTCAGGAAAAGAGGGGCGAGGGGAAGAAGGAATGTCTGCCAACGGGTATGAAGTTTCTTTTAAAAGTGATGAAAACCATCTGAAATTACATATTACTGATGTTTGCACAACCATGTGAGTATATTAAAAATCACTGAATTAAACACTTTAAGATGGAAAAATTTATAGTATGTAAGTTATATTTCAACTTATGAAATAAATATAGGCAAGACTGAGAACAGAATGAAATACAAATAAGCATTATCCTTTCATGCAGATACATATCAAAATTGTGCAATATTTTTAACTATTTCATTTAATTCTCATGACAAGCCTAAGAAGTAGGTATGTTATTACTCTCATTTTACAGACAAGCAATGAGAGGCACAGAGAGCTGAAATGGCTTGGCCCAGTGTCATTTTGGTCAGTGGCTGTGGCGGGGAATGAAGCCCGTTCTGTTGGACTCCAAAGTTAACACGCTGCTGGTCTACAGCCTCTTGCATAAGATCACCCTGTTTCCTTGCTAACCTGCAAATAAGATGTTAAAAAAGAAGCCAAATAGATGAACCTGATAAATATTTAACACCTTCTGTTTTCACAGCTCCCTTATGGCTAGAAATTGAATGTTTCACACCTGGGCCATGCTCCACAAGCAAGGCAGAAAGTGACTGCACATGCGCTCATAAGTGGAATGAAAGGGAGAGGAGCTGGGCGCTAGGATGCTGGCCCATTCTGGAGCTGGTGTCTGCAAACATGGTACCTCCCCAGTGTCTCAGACAGACTTCATGTTGTGTATGTTTCTCAGAATATCAAGGTTTATTGGGAGACATCGACCTTCAGTATCTGGAAATGGCCAGAGATGGTGCAAGCTCAAGTTTCAATAATCATTATTTCAAACATTTTATTTTTTTGAGAATGTATTACATGCCAGTAGCAGTGTAAAATTTTGACCATTCCATAGGCTATTCATAAAAACCCTATGGTGTAAGTACTTTTATGAACCTTATTTACGAGTAGTAATATTGATTACAAGGCTAATGATGATTGAACACTTACTATATTATTGGCAATGCACTATATGCCTTACATGTATCATCTAAATAAACAGTTCTGTGAGATTTAGAAAATTGAGACTCAGTTAAAAATATGTCCAAGTTTATATAGATCTTAGATGTTGGAGCTGGGATTTAGAAGGCAATTTGAATTTTCACAAGTTAAACGCACCTGTATAAGATGTGACTAACACTCAGCTCAGGAAATTGAATATAACCAACATCCCAGGAGGACCCTCATGCTGTCTCCTGGTCCTTTCTTTCCCTGACCCAAAGGTAACCACTATCTGGACTTCTATCACACTCAATTTGTTTTTTGTTTCTGTTTTTGAGCTTTACATATATGGTTTTTATACAATACGCAATTGTTTATAGCTGGGTGTTGTTGTTATTATTTAGATTTTTCAATGTTGTTGCATTTAGAAATAGTTTATTCATGGCATTGCTTAGTGTCCTGTTATATGAATCTACTGTACTTTATCCATTCTACCATTGCTATTTTTGTTGTGTTAAGGTTTAAAATATTTCTGCTGAATAAATATCCTTTTACGCCTTTTGGGAGTGCACAAATATATGCATTTCAGTTGGATATTCCTAAGAATGGAATTGCCATGTCATAGGGTGTTTATTTGAACAGCTTTAGCAAACACTGTTTGACAGTTTTTCAAAGTAATTGAAACAATGTACACTCTCATCAGCAGTGCAGGCAAGTTCTAATTTCTCTACATCTTTGCTAATATTTTGTATTGTATGTTCTTGTTATTTTTATTTTGGATATACTGGAGCCTGTGTAGTGATAACACTTTGTGATTTGGGTATGTATTTCCCTAACAACTAATGAGGTTGAATATGTTCTTCTTTTGAGATGCTTGTTTAAGTCTTTTTTTCCTATTTATCCGATAACTTCTCTTTATTTTTTCCTTAATATGTAGTTGGTTTTTATGCATCTGTTTGTACATTTAATGTTGTGCATTATACATTTTTATACATGTCGGTTATAGTTCAATTGAAAAATATTTTAGTAAAGGGAACAGTATGATTCCAAGGATTACATATTTAACCACTAAGTTGACATTTGTAGACTGTTTTGCATTTAATGTGCATATGTATTTCTTTCTTTCTCTGTTCTGCTTAATGTCTTCCCAAAATACTCAGCAAATAGAATGCATCATTATTTCCATTTTGAGATTAAAAAAGAAAGCTTAATGAGGCTCGTTCTCAGAGACAGTAAAGTGGTGGTGTCAGTCCTGGGAATCATATCTTCTAACTTCTATACTTATGTTCATCCACATTTAAAGTAAGCGCTCTCTCCTTGAGTGCTCCTTGGTGTATTCCTGTGTATGCGATCAGCTTTCTGAAACTTTTCCTTACTATTTAAATGTAATCAAGATTCATCTCATACTCCACCTTCTCCAAGAAGTATTTTTGGATATCTTCCTATTCTTGTCCAGAATTCTGTAACATCATTTACTTATATCACTGTTATGACTTATATTATTGGTTAGTTTTCATGCACGGATTCTCTAGCTTCATAAGTAGACCTTAAACACAGAGGTCATGTCTTCCATTGATTTGTTTACTCCATGGCAGTGGTTCAGGCAGCATTTATCTGCACATTTAACCAAACAAGAGGATAGAGCGTAACAATTCTTGTCTGCTGAAGTCATCATCCTTCTGGGATGGATTCACTGGCTCTGAATTATCTTGAAGTGAGTGTAGTTGGAAGATAAAATGGTGAAAAAAAAACCCCACTAGATGTAATGTGTGAAGACCTCGTTCTAATTACTAATTGTTGCGTGATCTTGGATGTATCACTTGCCCTCCCTGTACCCTACTTTCCTCATCTGCAAGTGAACAATTTACTAAAGGAAAAAGTTTGATTTCAGGAGTTACATATTTAGCCACTAAATTCAAATTTTGTAGACTGCTTTGCATTTAATGTGTGGTGTATATAAATATGTATTTCTCTGCTCTGCTTCATGTCTCCCCCAAGTATTTGGCAAATAGAATGCATCATTATTTCCATTACTGAGATGAGAAAATAAAGCTTAATGAGGTTAGTTCTCAAAGACTTACCTACTTATACTTCAAGATTAATGTGCAGGTCAAATGAGGTAGCATACATGAAACTCTTTGGAAGACTAGCCAGCAGTGAAAAATATTAGCAATCATTATTTTTCCAACAAACTATTTATCAGTATTAACTTCAGATGTTATCATACTAAGTGGCAGTAACACTCAAGGACTCAAGGATCAAAATTTCTATGTTTTTTTTTTAAGTTCTTCATGGTGAAATGTCAGATACGATGGCTGTCTGAGGAAGGTATTTGAGTGGCTTACCTGCTCTTGCTCACATCATATCCTATGGAGTTCAGCTGCCTTCTGACTATGGAAAAATCCAGCTGGGAGAAGCAGGAGATAGAGAAGTACATAGAAAGTATTACTGGATGTAAATTAAAGAACAATATAATATGGGGAGTAGAAATAATTAAGTTGATGGAAAAAAATGAAAGAAATATCAAGATTTAAAAATGCCTTATAGAACATCTAGTTGAGGCCCCCATTGAATGCTTATTTGGCCCCTTCAACAATTTGTCCCAGAAGAGCATTTGCAAATAACTTTCATTTCATTTTTGTATGCAAAAACCTGAGTTCATTTTGGACTTCATCCACACCAGCCTGTGTTTTCCTGGCTACTTCCCAAGGTGTCCCCTTGCCTCTTGATCTCAGCAGCAGTCCCCCAATAAATCAGAAGGAGGCTCTGACCTTCCCAACAGGATCCAGAACTTTGACTTCCCTTTTCCAATCTGTTACTTTAGATGCAGGACCAGAGTGAGGAAAGACAATCACAATCTCTGTTATTTGTAAGAACATTGCCTGTATTTGCTAATGTTTGCAAGCTGGGGACAGTCAGGGTTGCTGTTTAGAAACAATGGTCTGACATTGACTGGTCTCAGCAAACTGAGAGAGGGCACACTGCAAGACAGAATGAGATGGACAAGCCTCTCTCACTGCTTATACTGGAGTCCAGAAGGAACCAAAAGAAGAAAAGATCTTGGCAACTGCCAGCTCCCTGATCCTAACCTGTCTCGTTCATTGTTCCCTGTGCCAAGCTGAATGCCAGCTGGAAATGCCCCAATTACTGTGGTTGATCAAATACAAAAAATTTTTAGGCCAGAGTTTTCTATTTTTTTCTTTTCTCAGACTGCTGTGAAGTCAGCTGTGCTGCCTGTACAAATGTGACCTACAGGCCTTTATGTGCCAGATGTGAACAGATGTGCACTTAGCACGAATTCTTTATGCCAGCTACTAGTTAGTGGAGCAGCTGATTAAAAGAGACAAGATAGAAAGAAGCAAATGTGACTGCATAACTGGCTAGCACAGCAATATAGACTTGCAAGCTAAGCAAAGGTCGAAAATCCAGGTAAAATGGGACCAAGCTTGAAAAAGGAAGGTCAAGGGAAAATAACCAAAGATAGAATATAAAATAGGATTGGAGAAGGATGAGAAAAACTTTCTTTTCTGAAACTTTATAGACTTCAGAAGATGCCTGTAAACTCAAACTTTACAAATTTAGCAGTATGCATGTGCATACATATATATTTATTTAAAGGTATATTTATTTAAAGGCATTAGTAATATTAGATGATTTCAGTGGGCTAAGAAACCCTGGGTTAACTTTCATCAAGAAACATAAAGCACAAACAAAAAGCCATCTATTTGACATTACAGTTCATTCAACCAATACTTATTTGGGGACTTGCTAATTAAGGGTTTATACTGGATCATGGAGAAAGTAAAAAGATAAAAAGGGAAAGCAGATCTTTCTTTAAAAGAATTCTCAATATTATGAGAAAAAACAATATTCTTAAGCAGTTGATGCAAAGCAAAGCATAAGCATGTGTTAGGAAGATCTGAGGAATATCAGAAGGGCTAGATTTTTGATGGTGAGCAGAAGGGAGTAGACAATTTTGGTTCTCAAGAGTAGACAGTTTTGTCCCCTGAGGAACATTTGGCATTGTTTGGAGAGATGGTTGGTTCATAACTGATGAGTGTGGAGGGATATTGACACTTAGGGAGTAGGGGTTAGTGACCATGGACCCACAGATGTTGCTAAACATCTTATAATGCACAAGACAGTCCCTATAGCCAAGAGTTATCAGGCGCTGAACATCAATACTGCCATGGCTGAGAGGCACTGCCTCAGTTTAGGATACAGAGAGAACATTTCTGGCAGAGGAAAAACCTTATATAGAGAGCTGACACTATTGGAGAACCCCAAGCAAATCATTGAAACTGAAGTGTGGACCATAGGAGGTTAGGCCATAAAAGGAGGTGATCACTCACTTGTAGAGGGCTTCCAGTAGCCTCTTGAAGAGTTGGGGCTTCAGTTTTGGTTAGGGAAAAGAGAGTCATAGAAAGGGGTGTAGCTCTAAAACAATGTGCTTGACTGATGATTCAGAAAGAGCTCTTCGTGAGATGTATTGGAGAGGCAGAGAATGGAATTGGGAAGACAAGAGCTCAGGACATAGTAACATGAGGCTCTGTACTGAGGCAGTGGAGGTTGGAGTCCAGAGTGACTACAGCTAGTGGAAGATGCTCTACAAGGATTAGAGTGTGGAATGTGTGAGCTGTACCTTAGAGAGAGGGTTCATGTAGAATGACAGAATTTTCAGAGTCATATCTGGGGACAAGGGAAGGAGTAAACCAACCTTCCATAGTTGCCTCCACTATGGCTGGTATTATATAATTAAGCCTTTGCAACAGCTCTCTAAACTAGCTAATATAACCCTTTGCTTTTTATTATTATTATTATTATTTTAGAGACAGTGTCTCCCTCTGTCACCCAGGCTGGAGTGCAGTGGCACAATCATAGCTCACCATAATGCAAAATCTTGGGTTCAGGCATTCTTCCTTCCTCAGCCTCCTGAGTAGCTAGGACTACAGGCATGGACAACCATCTCTGGCTACATTTTTAGACATTTTTTGTAGAGATGGGATCTCACTATGTTCCTGAGCCTGGTCTCAAACTCCTGGCTATAAGTAATCCTCCTTCTTTGGCCTCCAAAAGCATTGGGTTTATAGGCGTGAGCCACTGTACCTGGCCTGTTTCTGTATTTTAACAGGTGTTGCAACAGAATGACAAAACACCTAGGTTTGCCCAAGACTAAGAGATTCTCAAGACGTGAGACTTTCAGTGTTAAAATGGGAGGCTGGGCATGTTGACTCATGCCTGTAATCCCAGCACTTTGGGAGGCCAAGGCAGGAAGATTGCTTGAGGTCAGGAATTCAAGACCAGCCTGGCAGCATAGCGAGACCCCATTTCTACAGAAAATTAAAAAAAAAAAAAAAAACACAAAAACAAAAAACAAAAAAACAGGCATGGTAACATGCATCTGTGGTCCTAGCTATTCAGGAGGCTGAGACAGAAGGTTAAGGCTGTAGTGAGCCATGGTTATGCCACAGCACTCTAGCCTGGGAGACAAACCAAGACCCTGTCTCAGAAAAAAATAAATAAATAAATAGAAAATAAAAGAAACAAAAAACAGCAGGGGAAGAAGGGAAGTCCCAGGCAAATGGAAAGGATTTGATCACCTTAGCTTCTGAGCTCCAAGCTTTTGAGTGTTTACGTAGCCAAATTCATGTGGCTTGAAGGGAGCAGAGCTAGGATTAGTCTTCTCTCACTACAAAGCCCACCCTTCTTTCCCACACCACGCTGACTCTCAAGGAAAAGAACACAGCTCTTCACAGAAAGGCAGTGCAGAGGAGAAACATGTCAGATTCAGACTGGGGACAAAATGGGGGTAAAATGTTCTATTTTGGAAAATTGACATTTGAGTTTTTAAAAATAGAGGCTTTCATTATGAACTTTTCGTTTTAGTCTTTTTCTCTCATCCTCAGTGTTCACCAGGCCCTCCTTCCTCACTTTGTTTAAAGCCTCGATGCAGAGTGGTTATTTTTGTGACTGGATAATTACCCATATTTTAAGCTTAGGATCCAGACTCTGAGTAAAGGTGTGATATGCATCTAATGAATAAATATCTGCCTGGAAAATGTGATTCACTTGTGACAGGACGCCTTCCTCATTTTTTCCAAGAAGCAATGACAGGTCAAGTGTTGATCAGGTTCGTGCTGCAATTGCTGTGTTGATATGGGGTGAGGCTGAGACCCTCAGATGAGGCACTGTGAAAGGGATTCAGTGAAGAGTTGACCATTAGAATCCCATCACTTTCCTTGTCTTGAATCCCTGCTCATTTTTTTATTAGGTCAGAGAAATTGAGGCGCCTGACCAGTGGTATTAGCCCCCACTGGGAACTCCCAAAAAATTCATATTCATGCCCTCACCCCAGACTTACTGAATTAGAACCTTTGTGGTGGGTCCCAGGAATTTGTGATTCTCACCATCACTAAAGAGTTTAAGCTCTGTGAGCCAAGATACAAAATTGAGGAGATTGTGTAGGTGCTTGTATCTTATATGGTCACTGTCACAATTACTCTACTCAGTCATTTCAGCACAAAAGCAGCCATAAGCAATGCATAAATGAATGATAGTGGTTTGGGTGAAATACAATAGACATTAATAGACATTGAAATTTGAATTTCATATAATTTTCACTGGTCGTGAAATAGTATTCTTGTTTTTAATTCATTTATGTCAAATGCAAAGATGCCCAAACTGTTGTTAGGTATAATGGCAGACAAAGATGGAGAAGGCAGGATTTGGCCTGAGTTATAGGTTCAGGAATCCTATTTTAGAAAATCAAGATTGAGGATATAAGATAAGGGGTTTTTAAAGAAATATATTGTCTGGGAGTGGTGGCTTATATCTGTAATCCCAGCACTTTGGAGGCTGAGGTGGGAGGATTCTTTGAGGCCAGGAGTTCAAGATCAGCCTGGGCAACATAACAAGACCCAAGCTCTACCAAAAAAAGAAAGAAAGAAATATAGAAATATTTATGAGTAAATAAATATAATGTCAAGAATGGAATTTGCTTCAAAATTTGCTTCAAAGTAGGATGGACAGTGGGGGGTTATAGACAATAAAATTTGATAATTTTATCCAAAAATTATGGCTTGATAATTATGAAAAGCACATGATAGGGGCACAGGGTTAGGATTTTATTTTCCATGCTTTTTACATTTACATTTGTTCATAGTGAAATTTTTTTTTCTAAGTAATGATAATTTAAGCAGATGAAGATGTACTGATGTGGAACCATATGCATGCTATACTATTTATCAAAATAAAAGCAGGCTACAGGATAATATGGAGAAGATGATTTATTTATATATCTCCCAAGTGGTTCTGCACCATATAGACTCTTGCCTTTTTAGCCTATGACTCACAACCCTCCAACTGTCTTTCTAAAACACAACTTAGGGCCTGCATTACCGATGGTTAGAAAACTCTATACAGCTTTCCCTTCATAACAGGGTGAAACGCAAATTTCATAATACTGCATTCAACTTCCTTCACAATATGACCATAATGTATTTTTCCAGACATTTCTTATTCCATCCTCTTTTCCAACACACTGTATACTTTAGGTGAAACAATTTAAGTGCATATAATTTAAAGTCATGCAGTCATGTTGTAGCCAAATTCTGATACTGATACTGGCCATGTGACATTGGAAAAGTTCCTCTGCCTCCCAGAGCTTTAGGAAACTCATGTACAAAATGGAAAAAATAACAATGCTTGTCTTCTATGGTTGTTGTGGAAATTAAGTGATACAATATATGAAAAGTGCTTAATATTGAATTCGACACTAAATAATAATCTAATAAATCTAGCTATCACTGTTAATAATTATAATTATTTAGCTATTGATTCACTCACTAATTCAAGAAATATTTATTGAGCTCTCTTTAAATATCAAGCACCATCCTAGGCTCATACCAGAGTATTCACCACTCCAGAAATATGTAATGCGCCTTCAGAATGTCATGCTTTGGCTTGGGCCATCTTAGTTTTGTGGATTTTCCTTTTAACTTCTCTGGTAAGTTCACACTTATTTATCCTCAAGACTGAGTTAATGCTTTTCTTTCACCTTCATTGCTGCACCCAGAATGACTCATAGCTCTTTTCTCCATATGATTTGAACACTCTGCTCAATCTGTGACTTCAGTATTTATCAATCCAAATATGTACACTGCAGTCAAGGATTGAGTCCTTGCCTGCAGGGTATATATCAGTCTTCGCACAGATTGTGAGATCCCTTAAGGAAGGATCCCTTTTAAATTTACTTTTGTATCTTCAGAGCCTTGAATCTGCTCTGGTTAGGAAGGACGCTCAAGCATTTTTATTTATTTACTTTAATAATGAGACAAGTTAATCAGTATTGGCATATTGAGCTTGCTTGCCTTGGACTGAGGGTCAGAGAGCGCTAGTTATAGCTAAGCTGAAAAGGTAGCTGCCGTCTTGAGTTAGGGGGATATACAGTTCTCCCATCCTCAATCTAAGCACAGATGCATGGAATCTCTTGAAAAAAGGCCTCTAATTCATAGTGGGAAATGAGGTCACAAGTAAATGACTGTCACGGTCATCAAATGTTAAAGCAAAGGAAGCTGAGACATTCTGAAAACAAATCTCATTTTTCAGATTATCAAAAAGAGTGTTGAAGAAGTACACAATCTTTCCTGCCCTTCAGCTCATTCATTCATTCATTCATTCATTCAATAAATATGCATTTTGTGTAATTCTGTGCCTGACAGTCTACCAGAAGCTGGAGCTAGCACTGTTCTTTCTATGGCATCATGTGATCTCTATGTCTCTATGGCTATCAATAGCCTTTTTTTTTTTTTTTTTTGAGGATACCTCTGGATATGAAGGAGACACACAGCTGGCTGTCTAAATGGGAGCAGCATTGCCAATAGGACAGGAGGAGGAAGGGATAGAGAAAAAACAGTGTCCAAGAAACCATACTTGGCTGAAGCCACATGTTTTTTTCTGTGGTCAAACATATAAATTATTTCCTGGCTGGCTTTAGGATTCTTGTAATCTATCCCCAGTTCTTTCTCTAGTAGTGATTTAGGGAAATTATCTTAATGACCTTCTTTCTGCTTTCTCATTTTGATAGTGAGTGGATTAGACCTGTCAATCGTTCATAATTTTGTTGGGTCACAAGAACAATTTGAGGTCTAATGAAAGCTCTGAACTTTCTCCTGAGGAAGGAAAATTGCACAAACACATGCAAACACATAAATACACACTTTTGCAGCATTCATAGAATCACTGCTTTCTAACCTAAGGTCTCAAGATTTCCACATTAAGAACTCCTAGACTCAGAAATCTCCATGACACATCTAATTGTATGATACCACCATGTCATCTTTGCTCAAAACATCCTTTCCTGCTGGATCTTTCAGACCTAGGGTGTGATTGAGAACTTTTACTCCAACTTCCTGCTCTGTCTCCCTCAGCTTAAGACTACAACAAAAGGTGCCTGGCAAGCAGATGCACATCAGCCATGACAGTCTGTGGGTGGTGCAGAGAGGAGAAAGAAATGGGAATTCCAGCCATAGTGCAATGTCTGTCTCCTGCCTGCCTTGCTGGGTTTCACTTATTGAATTAGGACAAATTGGAACTTTCATAAACTGTGATATAAATCATTATCTCACGTTAGCAGATGCAGTCGCACCAGGGTAGAACACTGTTAATAACTCTGCTGGATTAGGACTGATTGGAACGATTTGAAACTTGTTTCTCTCAGCTTGATCAGCCTCATTGTAACCACTGCAATTATCCCATTTTACTTTCAGTGGCTCAGCACAGACATGTACCTACTTTATATCCATCCCTCTTAATGAAGCCAGCTCAGATTTTTGTTCATTTGGCAAAGTGCTGTCATATGCAAACAATAAATAACTCCACCCCTTGGGGGGCAAGGTGTATGTTTGCAAGGCTGAGATCTCCAATGGGCTAGACAAATATAATTCATATGTTGATCATTTCATTGACTTATTTATTCATTTCATCCTTTCTTATTTGAGCAGCCGCTTTGTGCCAAAAAATGAATGTTTTAGGCTGTGGGACATATCGAATTGGATTAAACCATACAGTGTTGCATCTGTGTCATTGCTATCTCCCTGGTGAAGTGTACATCTTTGAAGGAAGGGAATATCCTTCAATAATATTAATAGCTACAATGTAGTGGCTCTCTACAATGGTCTATGAACTATGCTAAAACTAATCAATGTCACAGAGTCGCAAAGGAGTCTATAGGAGGCAGCCCAGTCTTTGCACTGAACTGATTAGCAAAGACTTCATGAAGGCAGAGGCATATGAGCAGGACTTTAAGAAATAGAGCAAATTGAACTTGATAGGTGAAGGATGAAAAAGAAAATATATTTTACACACAGGGAAGGGCATGATCCAAAGATATCCTTCATTACTTTATTGAAAATCCAGATGAAATATTAGATGGCACAGATAGGGTAAAAATTGCCATATAAACATCCATTTTAAAACCGCATAAACTTGGGCTGGTTGCCAATGAAATATAAATAAAAAATAAATGTGTATTCAACATTTAGCATATTTGTGACTTTCAGGTTACTTGAAGTCCAAGGCCTTGACTTTTACGAGTGTTCAACATAATAAATTTTGTTCATTGCTTTGGCGAATACAAAAGTAAATAAGATGCAATGTCTTAATGGGTTGCCTGTTGAATTGAGGAGCTAGAATAGGTTGAAATCGGTTTCATGTTGGTAATTGGTATCAAAATGCAAGCAAAAGTTTAAAAAGGAGTGAAGTTAATGGAGTGCCTTTCCCTTCTACTCCTCACTCCCAGATTTCCACGTTTTACTTAGTTATCGCTTCTTCAGAGCTATTTCCACAGAGACGCAGAGAAGCTATTCCTATCATATGCCCCTTCTAAATCAAGTATGTCTCATTTTGATTTAATATAATAGAGTCATTGAAAACACTTTTTTGGCAAGCTGTAATATCTTTTTATAGAAATATTTTATTTTAGGGATCATTTCATTCATATATATATATATGAACCATTCTTTAAAAATATATATGAAAGAATATATATAATATATATATTCTTTTTTAAGGTACCCTCAGAAAAATTCACATATATATGAACATTCATATATGTGAATGTTCATTCATAAATATATGAAAGAAATAGTTCATATATTCACCTTCCAAAAAAGAAGTAAGATTTCCCTAAAAAGTTACAACCCTTGAATATTCCTACTAGATTCCATTCTTCTCTCTTGTTCTCAGTCCCACTTTGAGTTAAGCACTTTTATGAATTTGGTTTCTATTACTCTTTGTATATACCTACAAAATCCATATAAATGTGTTATTACATTATTTAAAGCACACTTCTTTTGTCTACTCACATAAGTTTTTGAGATGTAGCCATGTTAATAGGTTTAGTCTTAGTCCATTCATTATTACTGTTGCATGCTATTCTATTTCATGTGGGTAAAGTTGGTAACATATTGCTTATTTGCCTCTACTACTAGGGCCAGAGCTCCATGATGCTCTTAAGGTAGGCTGTCCTTAGTTCCATCCATAGTGTCTGCACACCTGGCACAGAATAGCAGTTCAATCACTGTGTGCTGAATGAGTTAACATGTCCACAGGAGAACTAGAAATTCATGCTATATGGGAATTCTGGGAAGAGAATATGGTATTCAAGGTTCAACTTTCACAGTATTTCTTGTCTGCTGAACATTAGATATAGATAAAGAAAACCCATGAAAGTAGGAAATTAAGGTTACACATGGGCATATAATGGCCTAACAGTGACATGTGTTAAAAAAATTAAAAAATAGAGCTGGGTAGAATTTACGGGGCTGGAATGATGAAATCTTGGGAACCACATAAAGAGGAGGCCTGCAATTTTTCTACCTGTTTGCTTTGGTAACACCTGGTAGTTCTACTCATACCTACTGGCTATCAGAAAGAGAGAACAGATGCCACTATTGACATTTGTAAATAGTGAGGAAAGTCTAAACATCACAGGATAATGGCAACTTCCCATTAAAAATTTATAAATTTAAAGTCTATACTTCAACTAATCTCCTAGTACTTGAACCTCTGCTTCTGATGAATTGCACCCCCTTTCACCTTTGCCGTATGTTCACTGGCAGAGTTTGTCCAGTGGAAACTAAAACCTTCTAAAACAAACTTTCCTAGCATGTTTGACTTATAGAAAATTTATTTTTAGTAACAGGTTAAGTAATATTAATGATAACGACAGCAAAGAAATGACTGCCTTTAACATACCTCCCATGTGCCAGTCAGAAAGCTAAGTTTTCTGTGAATTAGTATATTTAATCCTCACAGTATCTCCATGAAAATAATGAAGACAGATTTAATAAATATTAAATATAGGAATGCCAATGTTATTCCTATTTTATAAAGGAGGAAATATAAGTAACAGAAAAACCAACATTTGCACATAGCCATACAGTTAGTAAAAGGGAGAGGTGTGATTCAAATCTTATCCCGGCCACCATGATATATGAGCCTCCCAAGGAAAGGATGCTTGCCTATAACTGTCTCCCAGTGATTGTACTTCCAGATAACAGTCTGACCCCAATTTTTTAACCATGTCAACATTTGATATATTTGAAGATAGTAAACTTTGACCTTATAGGGTATCCTCTTCCTACTTATCCCAGCATTCTTTGTTTCTTCAGAGATTTCTCTTTAGACATAGCTTCCTTTATTCACATGATCTTTGTGTAGGATTTAGAAATGAAGTAGGTCAAAACTGAATTGAGTCAGGGTTAATTAGGAGCTGAAACACTCCAATAAGAGCAGTCTATTTGGCACCTCAGAGCCTAGTGACATATTTTAACTACTGCTGTTGTAGCATTCCTGCAAAGACCCTGTCTGTTCTAAGTTTCTGCCCCAAAGTAATTGCTGGTTGCCCGTGCCTGCTTGAGATGGGTTGTCTTCCTTTCTGAGACTTGTGCCATTAAAATGAGTCACAGGAAATTGACATAGCAGTCGCTGACTCCTGAGGGGTGCAGAGGATGTGATTAGGGGTCATTATGTCCAAGGTCGTGGGCTAAGATCACATTCATATATGGGTTGCCATGGAAACAGAAGTGAAATGACCTGCCTCTTTGCCCCCACCTGGATCTCTCCCTGAGAAGCTGATTGAAGACGAGGATTTGGATGGTGCTCCAAAGAGTAAGGACCCATTAAGTGACCTTTTATTTGGCAGCAGATGCCACCAAGTGAAGGCAGCAATACCATGAAGAGAGAAGGAATGATTGATAGCAGTGGGAAACCTCATAGCATTATGGAATAGAGCGCTGATTACCCCATAAATTGGAGTAAAATAGACAGCAATTCAAAAAATGTCAATGTCCAATTTATTGAAATGGTGTTAATTTTTCACTGCCTAAATTCATTAGGAGAATCATATCCAGATCAAATTATATGTGCTTAAGTAGTATTGAAGAAGAGATTTTATATTTAGCAAGTAAAAATGAGAAACTATACATTAGTTACGTTTACTTTTTCATCCAGCTAACTTTGAATGCCTTTTGGTAGTATCAAAAGAGCAAGAGTTTTGCAGCCAGAGACACCCTGGGTGAAATCCAGCTTCAATAATTACCAATTTTCTGACCAAGTATTTTAACTTTTGGGGAGCTCAGTTTCTTTACCTGTAAAATGGGAATAACTACATAAGCAATTATTAAAATGGATGCAATAAAAAATAAAAGATGTTTTTTAGTAAACATTTACTAACAGTTTTTTTTTTTTTATGGTAAGTGGGTGTCTAGGTTATCTCCTATAATCCTGTCCAGTCTGCATCAATTACTAGCTGTGGGACCTTGGGCAAGTCACCTAGCCTTTTCTAACGTTATCTCATTTGCTAGATGTGGACAATCTACCTGAAGGTGATTGCAGTGCTTACATGACAAATTACATATGAAGAGACTATCACAGTGCATTGAACATGGTAGCCACTCAATAAGTGAAAATAATTGTTCTCATTTAAATTTTATAGATGGAGAAACTGAGACACAGATAAGCTAAACAAGCCATCACAGTCAACAGTAATTGACAGAACTTTATTTTGGCTATGGGATTAAAAAACAAACAAAGACCATAAACAGGTAAATTATATACCATATTAGTGCAAAGTGCTTTGGAAAAGAGGAAACTACAGTGAGCACTGCAACAGGTAATTGGGAGTGTTGAATGGGTGGAGAGAAGTAATTCGTTTTAAATTGGCTGCTCAGGGTAGGCTTCACTGAGGTGACATTTGGGCAAAATCTTGAAGGTGAGGGAGTGGGCAATATGCGTATCTGGTATAAGGCAATGCAAGACAGAGGGGAAAACCTTAGGCCTTACAGTTGTAGCCATTTGGCCAGAAAAGAATTAGAAGGAGGTAGAGAAGCTGAAGAAAGCAGAGAGGTAATGATCTTACACATTTATTAACAGAGGAGTACCTGATAGTCAGAACTTACGTGACTTGTCAGCTACTATAGAGACACTTGGCTTTTAGTGAGTGAAATGGGGTGCAATGGCAGGATTTTAAACAGCAGAATTACATTATCTCACTTACACTTAAAAAGGAAGTACCTTTCAAGTGTAAAAGCAGGATACAGATATTGGGAAGCATGCACAAACTGAAGGAACCGAGGACCGCCCCCCAATCTCTTATTTGAAAAAGCTCCTATATGATTTCATTTGACTGCATGTGGATCTAACATTATCTCAAAATAAAAAATTATAAACATTGGAAAACACAATAAACCAAAAATTGACACCCACCCCCACCCCCCCGACCCTTTCTAGGACAGAACCTCACAATTTGCAGGAACTGCAGGGGTGCAATCACAATTTAACACGAGACAAAGGAAAAGACAAAGTCCGGAACTGTGCCCCCAAGACTGTAGCCACTAACCACGTGTGACTACTGAACACCTGAAATATGGCTAGTGGAATTGAAAAGTGCTCTAAGTGTAAAATACACACCAGAGATTAAAGACTTGCTAAGAAAAAGATCCTAAAACATCTTAGTGATTTTGTATTCATTACACATTGAATTGAGAATATTTTGAATAGATGGGGTTAAATAAAATATATATTTTGAAAAACAAAAAGCTTCCAGAAGATGAAATCAGGTAAACAAAAATACAAATGATGACAAAGTAATTGGATGTAAGCCATAGGAAAAGGGTCAGGGGTGATGACAGATTTCAATTAAATATACAATTAAGTTGATACAACAGTGAAAATTGTGGTTTCAGACCAGAATACATAAATGTTTTCAACCTTCCTAATAATAGCATATGAGAGAGGGGGACTGGAGAGACAGAGAGGGAATAAGAGAGAGAGGGTATGAGAGCACTAGTTTCTTCACAGCAGGAGTCAACAGATAGGTCTAAAATGGAAACATATATTTTTTAAAAAGAGTGTAAGTTAAAATTTCTTGTTACCTCTTTTTCTTAATTCTAGAGATATTTCAGACACTAGTCTCTCCTTGTGGTGGAAAATACTTAATTTGGCATTCATCAGTTCTTTCATGTTTACTTCAATATATTTTACTTATTGCTAAATCAAGTAAAACTAAATTTAAACCTTTTTTATTATTATACATTAAGTTCTAGGGTACATGTGCACAACGTGCAGGTTTGTTACACATGTATACATGTGCCATGTTGGTGTGCTGCACCCGTTAACTCGTCATTTACATTAGGTATATCTCCTAATGCTCTCTCTCCCTGCTCCCCGCACCCCACGACAGGCCCCGGTGTGTGATGTTCCCCACCCTGTGTCCAAGTGTTCTCATTGTTCAATTTCCACCTATGAGTGAGAACATGAGGTGTTTAGTTAAACCATCTATTTTAAAGTAGCCCTGTAGGACATTATAATAAGTGAAATAAGCCAGGCACAGAAAGACAAATATCGCATGATTCCACTTTTATGTGGAATCTAAAAAAGTCAAACTCATAGAAGCAGAGAGAATGGTGGTTACCAGAGGTTGGGGGCTGAGGCGATTGGGGAGATGTTGGTCAAAAGATATAAAATTTCATTTAGACAGGAGGAATGTGTTCAGGGGATCTGTGGTGTATTATGATGACTAGGGTTAGTAATGATATATTGTGTAGCTGAGGATTTCTGGAATAGTGAATTGTGGATGATATGATAGTTACGTGGGGCGATGCATGTGTTAAATAGTTTAATTTGGCCATTTCATGGTGTATGCATGTATCAAGACATCATGTTGCATACCATAAATATGTATCATGTAAAAAATAATAATAGGCCTAGCACTGGTGGCTCATGCCTGTAATCCCACCATTTTAGGAGGCCGAGGTGGGCAGATCACGAGGTCAGGAGATCGAGATCATCCTGGCTAACACGGCGAAACCCTGTCTCTACTAAAAATACAAAAAAATTAGCTGGGTATGGTGGCGAGCGCCTGTAGTTCCAGCTACTCGGGAGGCTGAGGCAGGAGAATGGCATGAACCCAGGAGGCAGAGCTTGCAGTGAGCTGAGATCTTGCCACAGCACTCCAACCTGGGCGACAGGGTGAGACTCCATCTCAAAAAAAAAAAATTAAAAAAAAATAATAATAAATAAAATAGCCCTTATAATAGCATTACATTTTTATCTGTCTCTCAACTCATCTATCATGTTTCTGTATATTCTTTAGACAGGGATATATATATGTTCCTTAGAGAGATGTCAGAGTGACAGCCACCAGATATCCATGACAGTTGTTTTTGGGTAGTGGATTGTGAGTACTTTTTTACTTTTTACTTTATAAATTCCCATATTGCTTATTTTTGAGGGTAAGGATTATTTTATCCCTTAAAACATTAATCACTTTTTAAAATGATAATTCTAGCTACCATGTTGAAAATGGACTCTAGTGGGGAAGGATTGATGCAGAGAAACCAGGTAAGAGGCGACTGCAGAGGAAATAGAAACTATAAGACACACCTACATACACGTGTGATTGGTGTCCTTAGTGGGGTATGAACACGTTCTATTAAAAATGGCAGAAAATTTAGAAGTAAAAAGTGTGGAGTATACTTTTAAAATCCAAAATATTTTTAAAATAATTCAGTGGCTGGGTTGGAAGATAAATGAGGAAATCTCTAGAAAGTTGAACATAAAGACAAAAATACAGAAAACAGAAAAGAGAAGAGAATGATATCAGACACCTCTGGGAGGTCCAATATAAATCATATTTATGGAAAGAGAGAATATAAAAATATAGAGGAGAGAAATTTTAATATATACATGTATATCTACACACAAACATACACTATATACATACTATGCACTATATATACACACAGTGTATATATACTTATGTAAACTCTATATACACATGTGTGTGTATTTGTACATAAGTGTGTGGATACATGCATTTAAGAAATGAAGAACATTAGCTCTTAGATTGAGGAATCCCATGTTCTCATCCCCCCAAATTAAAAAAATGCCCACATTAAGGCACTTCTGAAATTTCAGCATGCAGAGAAAAAGGAACATCTGTAAAATCTTCCAGAAAGAAAAGCAGCATTCCTCTGCTCAATCTATTTCCATCACCATATACAATGATCAAGTATCTAGGTGACATCACCAGCACAGAAATTAGAAGACTGTGGATGAATTCCATCAAAATTTTGAGGGAAAATTATTTCTGGCAAAAAAAAAATAAATACAGATAATTCATCATTATGTATTAGGGTATAATAAGGACGTGTTTAAACAAATAGTATCTCAAAAATGTATCTCTGAAAGTATGTGAGAAAATATTGGAAGACATGCTCCAGCAATGCAAAGGTATAAACCAGGAAAGAGAACCGTCTTCTGAAAGAAACAGAAGTTCCAACCTGGAAGAACAAACAAGGCAACTTTAAAATTATGGTGAAAATATTCCCATGAAAGAGCTGCAAATTCCTGCTAGGGAGTGATTGAATCCACAGTTGGGCAGGATGAAGGACTCTGAGGTGTGGGGGTGAAGGAGGATGTTTCTCAGCACATACATACATACTGTGATGATTGACTAAAATAAGAGAAGTTCTATGGTTGGTATTGTTGAAAAATTGCAGAATGAAATAATGTTTGAAAATAAGGCAAATGAAAATAATGAAGCAATGATCAACTCCAGGAGGAAAAAAAGTCAAAGCGAGTAAATGCAAACATAGTGCTATGGTTTGAATGTTGTGCTCCCTCAAATCCATGTTGAAACTTAATCCTCAATGCAACAGTATTAAGAGGCAAGGCCTATAGGAGGGGATTAAGTCATGAGGGCTCAGCCTCATGTGGATTAGTGCCTTATAAAAGGGCTGGAGGGAATTAGTTAGGGCTTTTTTTTCTTTCCTTTCCTTCTGCTGTGTGAGGACACAGTGTTTCTTCCCTCTGGAGGATGCATTGTAAAAGGCACCGTCTTGAAAACAGAGACCAGCAGCAGCAGACACCTAACCTGCCGGTGCCTAAGTCTTGAACTTCCCAGTCTCCAGAATCAAGGGAAATAGAATTTATGTTGTTTATCTGTTACCCAGTCTCAGGTATTTTGTTTTAGCATCACAAATGGGCAAAGACACATAGTAAACTACATGACTCAGTTATGAATACTATTTATATAGTAAAATAACATAAAATATCTCTGTCCCATAACACAGCTATATGTAATAATGAATATAAGGGAAATATATATATATGTATTTTGCAGGGAGAGTGGGGAGGAAGATTTGGGAAGTGGTGTAGGAGAGTTAAAGTCTCAACTTCCTTTAAAAAATTTAGTAGCTTCTACTAAAAAAATGAAAAATTAATGACATGAATTATGAGCCCATTATTTTGAAATTAATGTAGATAACAAAAGAAAGTTGAAATACATATTTATGTGCATGTGCATGTGTGTATATGTATATATGTGTATGTATGTATATGCGTGTGAATATGTGTATGTATGTTAAGAAAGTGGTGTGTTTGGGGCTGTTTTGGGGAGTAAGCACGGTGAGACATGCAAGACAAATCTTGATTTTTTAAAAAATGCAGATGGACCCAGGAAACAGCCACCAGGAGGTAAATGCCCTTGGTCTGGGTTGGGGAGTGATCAAGTGAAAGACAAGAACAGGAAGTACTACTGAGTTAATGTAGTCAGGACTTGGGAGCAGATAAGAAGGTGAAGAAATTGAAAGAATCACCTTACTATCTTCCCTTCACTCTGTCATCCTGCTTCTGTGTCTTTGCTTACTGTGTACCTCCAATCTGCAATGCTCATGCTCGTGCTCCGTAAATCTACCCCTTCTGCAGTGCTAGTAGCAGACTGACCCATGAAGCATTTTCCAATTCATTAAGGTCCCAAATGTTTCTTTCTCTGAAATTCTATAATTCACTTCCAGGGACATTCCTACTTCCATTTTATGGGCTTTGTCTTCTCAGATAGAATATTCTTTTATCAAATCAATCCTCTTACTGCACTTTATTTTTCTGTATAGCTGTTGTTATTACCTGACAATATATCCAAAGCCAGAATAATGATTTTCACTCCAAAGTACCTTTGGATTAAGTGGAGCATTTAAATGCATGTAAAATATGTGTAAAACTACGAACTAAAGAAATTAAAATAGGGTACTCAGGCAGAGGAGAGTAGGATAAGAGTGGTAAAAATAGCACTCACTATTCACTAATACTATTCACTAAGTTTATATTTCTTATATACTTTAAAATAGACATATTTTATTGTCATACTTTTAAAATGGGGAAAAGGTAACTTTGTCATGGAAAAAAGGAAATATGCCATTAATGAAACTAAACGCATTTGAAGGAAATGAGAAATACTACGTTCAGTCAGGAAGAGTAGAGGAAGTTTTAGGGAAGCTGTGGCTTTTGAAATGGTTCCTGATACGTGGAGTGAGTACATAAGAAGGAGAGGTTAAAGGGACTACTTAGGAAGCAGAGTAACAAAGGCTGAAAAAATAGATATGGAGCATTTAGAACGAGTTTGAGATGAATCGAGACCTGATGGCTACAGGAGATACAGGTGGTCTGGTAGTTAGTAGAGAAACCTTCTTTAACAGAGGTAGTAGTGTCTTATTTCTTGACTGTCTCTGAAGTGACTTTTCACCCTTTGTACAAGGACTCATGCAGTCTTGGAAGTTGGTAGATACAGATTCTTTCCTTTGTTTAAGTGACAGTTTACAACAGAATCATGAAGATATCTATTATCTCTCTATGCCTGTTATCCACCCCACCTCTATCCTCCAAAATGACAAAAATAGTTTGCTCTGCTTTTTTTGGCATTAATGCTGTGAAATAAAGAAATAAGTACCATTCACCAGACAGATAAAAGCCCATTTTCAGAAAAATTAAAGATTTTATGTAATCATTATGGGAGGATATATCAAAATGCGTAATTCTCTTCTTAGTCTGAAATGAGTATTTTTTGTAGAAAATGATGACCCGGCTGTTATATCTGCCACCTTGTGTTGCTAGGGGAGAAATAAGCAACAATCTTCTATATTATTATACTATTGTTTCAAAGCTCCTTCACCTTTCTTACACCATTGCTCTGAGATAAATAGAGCAGGGGTTGTGGCTCTCAAAATACAGATTATTCAGCCAAGACAGAGAGATTGAATGGATTGCCTAAGGTCAATGTAGTTGTGGTTGAACCTGGGCCCACATAGTGCTTAAGAATAAGACTTTGGAGAGAAATGGCTTGAGGCTAACCCTGCCTTTGCCAAGTAGTTGTGTGAATGCAGTAGGTAATTTAACCTCCCTAAGCCTCATTTTTCTCATCTTCAAATGTGAGGTTAATAAACCTAGCTTTTCATTGTGAAGACTGAATGACTTTTGACATTACGATTGTAACTATACATTTATTAAGGACACAGTTTAGAGCAGTGTGTTAAACACTTTATTAAGTATTATCTGATTTAATTCTCATAACACTTTGTAGTGTGAAAACAGTGAGCTATAGGATGATTACATGAAAATGGGTTTGAGCTCTGGTTCTACTGCCTCTCACTGTGTAAATTTAGGTAATTGCTTCATCTCTCTAAGCCTCAAATTCTTCACTTTCTAAATAAAAGAATCATACAGTTCATCTTGGTTTTATGTGACCTACATTAGAAAATGAATGTAAAGCACTCAACTTATAGTATTACTCAAAATCTACTTACTGTAGCTTTATGACAACGTTGACAATTTGACCTATAACCTAAGGACCACTTGAGCAGAGGAGATAAAAATAACAACAGTATTACTACTAATAATTTCAACAAAAAGTCAGTGCTATCTTAAGACTTCCTATAGGAAAACAAATCTATGGTTTTAGAGTCAGAAGTTATGTTTGGAGAACATTTGAGGGTATATCTTGAGAATATACACAAATGGGACTTCTGGGGTGATGTAACGATTTTATGTATATATGAGATACTTTGCTAACAAAAGTGAGTTTATATATCAAAATTTCTCAAACTGTACACTTATAATTTGTATGTATATTATATTTAAATAAAATGTCTTTTACTTACCATAAGTCCTATCTATTGAGATCCATGTCTAGGCTCTCTATACAATTCCTCTGATCTTTTCCATAAATTAAATCAGCCAATATTCCTTGGGCATTTTTCTATGTACTTGAAATATATCAGCAAACAAAACATAATGTTTGCCCTCATTAAGCTCTCATTCCTTCTCTATTCCTACACAACCCATCCATTTGATTACATTGGTTTTACAGTATGTACTAAGATCCGTTGAAGCAATTCCCCTTCCCTGCTGTTCTTTTACACAAATTTTTGGACTCTTCTTTGCCATCTTTTCTTTGTTTTAAACTTTAAAGTTATGTAATTTTATTCCATAATTTCTGTTGGGTTTCCAAGGTGAATTGCATAATTTTAAAAATACAAATTAATATATTAGTTAAAGTAGTACTCGAACATAAATTTTAATTCAATTAATACAGTATACTTTACATTTTTTATGTATATACTGTGACTTTATTGTTAAAATTATATTTAGTTATATATGATTTTTGTTCTTGATGTTAATAGAAATGCTCTCTTTTCGAAATGGTGTTTATTGCTAGTATAGAGAGGGGATATTGACCCTTGAGTATTTATCTTGTATCCAATCACCTTACCCAATTTTCTTATGATACTATGTGTTTGTTTTTCCCACTATAATCTCTTATTGTTAACAAATTATCTTGACTTTTTTTATATTGAATCTGCTAGAGCATTTAAAAAAATACTAATCATGACAATACTGATTTTTTGCCTAGTACATTACTTAAAGGGTTTTGTATTTTACCATTTAGAGTCATGTATGCTGTAAAGTTTTGAATACAGACTTTATAAAATCTAAGTTGTTTTATTTTATACTAATTTTATTTGGTAAGCTCTCTGATTTTTATCAAATGCTTTTTTAGCATATATTAATGCAATCCTATGATCTTTCCCTTTTATTTGTTGGCACAACAGATTAACCAGTAGTTTGAATCACCCGTGAATATTTAAGGATAAATCTGTTATTCTCTTTTTGGCTTCATACCTTCATTCTGCTTGTTAATATCTTATTTGGAGCTTGTATATATTTATGTGCATATAAATAGATATTAAATATATAATTTGGAGTTTATACATATAGCAACTCTATAACATTCTTATTAGCATTCGTCTATGCTTTGATTTTAAAGCCCTGGTGTCTTCATAAGATAAATTGAGTTGATGTTTTATTCTAGGGAGCATCATGTTGAAATTATTTATAAGTTAGATAGACCCAGTCTGTGAACTTATTTGTTTCTGGTGACTATTTTAATGATAGCTACTTAATCATACTTCCTGTCTTTTATTGGACTTGACTTATTCACATTTTCTATTCCTTTGTGATCAATTATAATCATTTACAGATCCCTAGGAAATCATCCTTTTCCTCTAGGTTTTCAAAATTTTACTCTAAATTATCCCTTGATCAAATTTTTATTTGTGGTTATACCTCCTTAATATTTCTTAATTTTTAATACATTTTATCCTTCTCTTTTATTTTTAATTAAGCTAAAATGTTTTACGTATCTTACTTGCTTTTACAATGAACTGGTCTGCATGCCATTTATATTTTTTTCTGCAACTTATTCGTTCTATTTCATTAATTTCAGATTTTATCTTTATTAATTTCATGTAGAGAGTTTTTATAATTTTATTTTTTGTGTTTTTTTCTTAATTCCCCTACATGAGCACTAACTCATAGTTTTTAACTATCTTTTTAAATTGTGAAAGCATTTGTGATACGACTTCCTTGTGTTGCTTTCTAGATGGTTTGCAGTTTAGTTTCTCTTTGATCCAAAGGCTACATAAATTTAATTTATTTAATTTTCAAGTTGTAAATATATTTTAGTCAAATTTCAAATAACTTATTTTTAATGAAATTGGATTATTGTAAGATAATGTGGTCCATCGTGTATTTTAATTAAGAATTTGTTCTGGTTGGTACAGATGTGTGATAAAAAATAAATTAAATAAATTTAAATAAAAAGAATTTGTCTCCTGCAAGTATATGACCAAATATTATAAATATTTCTTAGATATAACAAAAATGTATATCATTTCATAAAGCCTCCTTTATCTTTCTCTCTCAATCAGAAGTATGGTAATTATTTTAATTTGTTCTTCTAATAAGTTCTTTTCAATTTTGTCTGCTAAAACTTTCCAATTATGAGAGGTATCTAAGTATTTCGTTGTAATATATATTATGTTCTCACATTTTTTATGGATTTTGCTTTCTGTGCTTAGTTGCTATATTGTTTGCTGCATAAAGGTTTATGGCTCTTACTGTTTAATTTAAATTTCTATGTGACTAATGCTAATATTTTTATTATAGTGGTTTGTTGTTGGTACCTTTGTTGCTGTTCATATTTGTATAATATCCCTTAGGCTATCCCACTACTTTTTAGCCATTCTTTATGGCTTTGTTTTAAATGCATTTTTTGTAAACAGCATATAACTATGTTTTGTTGTTTAACCTCATCTAATAATTACTGACTTACTCTTAGATATTTCAATTAACACATACTTAGAGTAATAACTAATATGCTTAATTTTATTTCTTCCATGTTACTATATACTTACGTTGTATTTTATTTTCCTCCTTTCACTTATACATGCTATTTGATTAAGCATCTATTAACATTTTTCTCACCATTGTAATATTGCAAGTTCCTTAGTAATTTTCTTTCTTTAGTGTTTACTTTTTCCTCAGATGAGTTCGCAAGAAATTGCAGATTCCTCTACAATTACTTAAAAATAACATACCTCTATAAAACATTATTGTTTTCCCATTTTATCCCTTTCTCAGTAAAACAAAGCTTTGAGAACACTTCCTCTCTCCTCACTCCTCCTCTCTGACTTAACTCAGACGAAACCTTTGCAATTATTTTAATTTCTCCCTCTCTTCTTGACGGCCATTTCCTAGGTAGCACTAAGAACGTTTAAAATTATTATAGGCTAATAAGAGTATTTATTTTTAATATGGGCTTTCTAGTTAAAAGTATATTTATTTAGCATTTATATTACTTTCAAGTAATCCATGCATCACACAGACACAAACATACACAAAACACCCACATCTATTGGTTATTTTTATCTTCCTCTATCTTGTGGAATCTTTTCTCTCATTTTTATCCAAAGTGCTTTTGCATATACATTTTCATATATGCAACAGTGTGTATATATATATATGTGTGTGTGTGTGTGTGTGTATGTGTATCTATATATGTACATATAGACTTCATGTTACTAACTTGGGTTCTAATAGTGACCTCTTTAATTTTATTCCTTATTATTTTCTGATTTAGTTATAGTTGAAAGTCATAAATTCAGTTCCAGGAAGCATTTTGTACTGCTCTTGAGTTTTCTTACAAGTTGTTATTACTACTGTTACTGTTTTTGTTAAGTCATCAAATTGACCTGTTCTATAGCTCTATTTTTCTGAATGCCTATTCTGTTTGAGCATCTTTCTCTGTCTGTGTATTCCTCAAGATGTGTAGCTGTTTTCATTTGTTAGTTCACAGTCTCTCCTGCCTGTCTCCTGGATTACTCTAGGTAATTGCAGGTCCAAGAGTGATAGAAAAATGAATATTGTTTATTCCTTAGGTTCAGTGATTCAGGAGAAAATGAATTCCAGTTCTGAGCCTGAGCATCCTTGTTACTTCTTTGCTTTATCTCCCTCTGCCAGTAACAGGAATGGGGTATACTTTAACCACTGTTCATTTTTTAGTTCTTTTCCTGTGGTCAGAAACATCAAGCATGTTAGTATGAAACTGATGCTGAGCTTCCCCATTAAGATTCATGAACTTGGAAAGTCAATTCTTCCCTGGATTTGCATCTTTAAGACAGACTCTATAGAACTGGTCCCCAGTCTCTTTCCTGGCACACAGCAGAGGTGCTCTTCATTCCTGCTCTCTGCCCTGAAACTTATGCCAGCCCAAAAGTTTATTCATACTCATCTTTCCACTTTCCCTGACAGAAGCTGGGCACAGAATGGACATCTAGATTAGAGTTGATAGTAGAAGGGAATTGAGACAAAAGTTAGGTTACCATACTGTTATAACATATTTTACCCAAGGTTTCATTTCATTGAGAAGTTTCAGTGGCACCTTGAAGTGTAGCCTGAAGTGTCAACACCAATGCTCAGAAATCTCACAACCGCTCTCCCTTACCGAATCTTTCTCTCCTAGCCAAGGAAATACTTCCATAGGACAGAATAAGCCTCTCATTCTGCCCTCTTCATGTTCTTCTCTTCTGCATAGTCCTATGTTACAGATCAATAGAATCATTCACTGTTTTTCAGCATTCATCTCTTTCTTTTCCATATATTTCCTGCACCTTGTACCTCACTCATCAACACTTACAAAAATTTTGTATGTATGTGTATATATCTTCGTGTGTGTGTGTGTTTGTGTGTGTGTGTGTATACTCTCTTATTATACTTGGATATCCCCTGGAATGCAAACTCAAGTTTATATATGTATATATGAACTCTTTATTGTTTACCTGGAATTACACTCACTCCTCTCAGTGATTCCTGCTAACCTCATTTTCCTCAAACTTGAATAAATTTTGGCTATTTAAAAACTCATTGCACTTTAGTTTATATGTTGAATATGTATATGTGTATGGGTGTGCATTGTGTATATGTGTGGCATGTGTTTACCTAATTGTTTACACTAGAGTGTGACTCCCTTGAGAGTAAAGATAGTGTTTTATCCTATTTCTATCCCCAAAGCCTAACGCAGTTTGGCACATTGCTGGTATTCAAACATTCACTTGATTTGAATTTAATTAGATACAATGAACATATCTCTTAAGCAATAACTCTCAAACCCTAAAATAAACAGTGACTGCATGAGCCTGGTATATTTGGCGAAGGTGATTTTGAACACGAATCTCATTGCATTATTATTTCTGGGCCCTCCTTGCTAACCACTCCCCAGTCCCCACTCTCCAGCCCCAATAGTTTTCATTTTCTGCTGCCAGAATACCCAGGGAATGCAGGGGCAGATTCAGAAATGTTGTGAAATGCAGCCACGCAGTGTTTAACAAACAACATAACAAAGGCATCTGTCACAACGCATCACCTTCTGTTCCTGGGAGACTTCTGCCAGCATGGTGGCATGCTCACCACCTTTTCTCTTCCTCTCTGCTCATTCTGTCTAATTACATGTGGCATTCTCTCTCCATCACACAATAAAAGAGGCCCTCATTTTGGCAGGAAAATAGAGAAGATTGGCTAGGGAATAAATCCTGCCACAAGCAACGTTTCCTTTTCAGACAGAGAATTTGGGCCAGGTCACCTACATGAATTGATTTACAGAGATTGAAAGGCCACTTCATGCCTAAATAAGCGCTCTGATTGACAGAAAACCAAAAATATCTCCATTTTCTCACTCTTGTCATTAAAGCCCCAAATCTTTAGAACCACATTCCATGCCCTCATCAATCTGATTCCTACCTATACTTCTTCCCAAACCTCCCTCTGCATTTTCTCAAAAACAGAGCTGGCTTCCAACTTATGCACTTTATAGCCTCTTTACACCCCAAGTTTTTGCTGCATATCCCCTGGAATGCAAACTCAAGTATAATAATAACATCAATAATAGCAGCTGCTTGCATTTCTTGATTACTGTGTGCCAGGAACCATGCCAAATGATTTTAGCATTTATCTTATATAATGCTTACAATGATCTCATGAAGGATGTGGTATTATTTTATCCATCTGTTAGATAAGGAAACTGGAGCTTAAAAAGAGGTTATAAAGTAAAAATAACATTGCACACCTAGGAAGTGAGTGGCAGAAGTAAGGTTTATAATCTTTGTTATAAATATCTGTCTATTTCTAAATGTATGGATTCCTGTCTCAACGCTGGAGAAGAGCTAATGTCAGATGCCACCTTCCCTACAAAAGCCGGCTCAGATCTCCATAGATGGAATCATTCCTCTCTTGTCTATGCCCAACATCATTTTTTTGTTCTTCTCTCATAATCAATACAGCTGCATCCACTCTACCCAGCGAAGAAAGGTATCTCTCCTGGGACCACCTTGGCTCTCCTTCATGGGAGTTGTATTGCAGCAGGCAGCTCATTATTCTTCTGCTCCTGGAAGTATATGTTTCAATAACGATCTGCCTTGTGTTCAGGTAAGGGGAAGGCCAACTGAATCAACTTTTGTATTCAAATTAAGTTTTACACGGTTTCAAAATCTAACTGGTGTATAGATTCCATCTTTCCATATTTATTAAAATAAATATTATTTTCCTCCCATTTCCACTCAACCCATTGGCATTACAATTAGTGCTCTTGAAATAATGAACCCTTAATGATACTGATAACATTTGATTCTTCTTAGAATATTAGTTCGTTATTCAATCCATTTATTCATTCATCAAATATTTACTGAGCACCTATTATATTCCATGCACTGACCTAGGAATTAGAGACTCAGCAGTAAACAGCTTTGATATGGCTTCTGTTCAAAAGAGCTTACCATCTAATCACATTAGCAGTCCAGTTGGCAGAAAGAAAATGCAACCGATTATTGAATAAGGCCGGGACATTGTTAAAAGTAACAGTTCACATTCATTCAGCTTATTCTTTTTTTTAACACTATGCTGTACAAAGATTAAATTATCGTGTCTTTACGAGATTCATCCCACCATTTTCTCCATTTTATAGATGACTTCTTGAAATAAATTGTATTATAATCCTTATGTTTAAAGATGAGTAAAATGAGGTTCTGAGAGGTTAGGAAACTTGGCCAAATTCACAGAGTTAGCAAATGAATGGTGGAGTTGGGATTTGGACTTATATTGGGCCGACCAGGTTCTGTGCTATTACCTGTCACATTTGAGCTAAAGCAGCACAGACTACACTTTATAGCAGACTTCAGTTTTGAGGGTCTGATGTCAAAGGACATAAAGGACCTAGAGTTCTCTGTACACTATGTTGACAAACCACCCACCCCTGCAGTGACTTTTTAATCTAAAGAGAAGATACTCAGCCTGCCTTCCATGCTGATACTAAAATCTAGTAATAAATTAGGAAGAATTATTATCAGCCTGGGAAGTGTTGCTCCTGGAATACATTTGGCAATGTTGGGAGGCATTTTTTATTGTCTCAACTGGGGCTAAAAGTGAGCGCTACTCTCATCTAGAGATTGAAGACCAAGGATGCTACTCAATACCCTACGATGCACAGGACAGCCCCTCACAATAAATAATTAATATGTCAATGGTAGTGCCATTGAGAAATACTAGCATAAAGGAAAAAGAGTTGCTTCTCTATAGAAAATACAGCATCACTGGACTCATGTATAGGCTCGTCAACAAACACTAAAGTCTGAGATGCTAGTCTTGATTTGCTGCTTAAATATGTTATCTTTTTAAGCTCACTTAGCAAAAACACCCTACATACTTACTACATGTGAGATGTCACCAGGCCATGTCATGGAAAAAAAAATCATACAACATTGGATTCTGCTGTAAGTATAGAAATTAAGATCTGATGATCTGGAGTCAAACAGACCCAAACTGAAATCCAGGCTTCAACCCTTCTTTGCTCTGTGACCCTTATTTAGTTGTACATCGAGCCTTCATCAGACTCATTTGAAGATTGAGAAAATAATGTTTTGTCTCTCATAAGTTGTTATGGGATTGAAATAAGATAGTGCATGTGAGGCCTTTTGCAATATAAGCTTGGTATCTGGTCACTGCTCAATAAGACAGCTATTTTTAGTATTATAGGTAAAGACAAAGTGGGTCTAGAAGGCTAAAGCTGCTTTCTCAAGATTGCACAGCTAATAACTTTCAAGATTCAACGTAAGAGTCTCAGACCCACTGAGTGGGTCTTTGGTGCATCTTCCCATGTGTATTCTCCATGGCATATGCCAATTGCTCCTATATGTTTTTATTCCACTTTTCCAAGGACCCCCATATCTGGCCCAAACCTCAGGGGATATAATTAGCCTGGTACTTTGACTGCACATCTATACAATTTTCATCTTTCCACCTTCCTTATGGCATCACAATTGGAAACATGGCTTTCATTTGTAAACCTAGCTTCATCAATTTCTGAGCCAGTCTGACAGGGCAGATGGTATACTAGCTTCAGGCCCATAAGAGTGTGTGACATGGGAATGAATCCTGCTGCTTTAAATATCCACCTGGTATTTGCCGCTTAGGATACACTCCCCAAACCTGGGTGCAGAGTAATTTTTTCCTGATTTTCCCTGCTGTCTTGATTCCATTTGTATGCCTGGGATGCTGCCTCAGTCTCCCTGCCTGGCAATTCAATCAAATGGCGGACCTTAATCCTGCTCTCTGACTCAACCCATTCAATTATGGTCCTGGAACCCTGCTATGCTATCCATTGGTTGAAGATTAGGGACCATGCTTCCGAATTCCTCGACAACCTGTTGTAAACCATTGTATCTCTCTTAAAAATAGAATCTCTGCTGCCTGTCTCTCTATGAGCACCAGCTGCAGGGTCTCAATATGCTTCCTCAACCCCTGAAATATCCTTATTATATTTGTCTACCATAATTGAAAATTTACAATATGCCAAGCACCATAAGAAGCAGTTTACAAACATTAATTCTTTTAATCTGTATAGCAATTCTGAGTTACCCCATTAAACAGAAGAAGCAAACACGTACGGGCATTAAGTAACAAAGGTCAAATGATTGGTAATAGGTAAAACTAAGACCTGACTCAGTCCTGTCCACTTCCCAAATCCACGTTTATCACCTTAAAGTGAAGAGATGCGATCTCAAATCACATGACTTCTCTTTCCAGATTTATTGCTGAAAACTGCTTCAATAATCAGACCTATGCTCCAAACCCCTCTTCTGCCTGGTTCCTTCTGAATTCTCTTTTCTACCAGACTATGTGGCAATAGTTTAAGCATCCTTTACTCCAGAGTCCATTAGATTACACAAGCTCTGACCTGGTTTGCACTGTCTGGATTCTTAGTACCTACACATTCCTTCTTTCTACACTAACTGAACAATCCGTCATCTATGTTTTCTGTGGATATAATCTGGACTTCTCAGACTTCTACTGGTCCATTACTACTCAGGACCTAAAGTTGGCAGGTTTTAGAATCATCATCATAATCACCATCAGCAACGGTGTCATCATTGTCATCGTTGACACTATCATCACTCAGATAATTATCATCATCATTACTATCTTTATCATACCATCATCCTTATACTTTTCCTCCTCATCTTCATCTTTTGGCCTCTATGATGTACAAAGAATCCAAAAGCTAATGCTGACCCAGCCTATGAAGTTCATGAGGATGTATGGCATGAATATGTGCAAAGATAACTAACAGTAAAAAATAATGAAGATTAAGTCCACCTCTTTATATGTTACAGATGATTAGAAAACTATTAAAGTGTGGCTCTAGGAGGAAAATAATCAGGAATGACTGTGAGAAAGAATAAAAAAATAACAAACATGAGTGGAGTTTACCTAAATATACGAGGATTGGAATGATTTAGGTAGAAGAATATGAAGAAGGTATAGCAGGAGACACAAATGGTGTGGACAAATATTAAACGTAGAGGAATTCACGAGATTTTCAGTTTTCTATAAAGAGATCGGTTTGGCTCAAGCCAGAAACTTATCTCCTCAAAGAAATGGTATCTATTTTGGAAGGACAATGACAAAGAGTAGATGAAGTGTAAAAAATAAGAGTAGAATGAGCATTTGGCTCTCTCTCTCTCTCTCCCCATATCTATATCTATATCTATACATAAATATATATATAGGAACAATAGCATCTGTAATCATATGAAAAACTGTTCAATAATGAGCAAAAGCATCTTAAAACTCTTTGTTTAATACTCAGTCTTACCAAACATTTTAACATTCATTATTTCATCTGACACTTTGAGCAATCCTCCCATTGTTGATTTCCCTGTGAGCTAGGTATCATTTTCAAAATAAGAAAAGAGAAACACTAATAGACATCGAAAGACTTACTTAGGGTCATCTAGCTAGAAAGTTAGGGAGCAGAACTTGAATCCATGTCTGATAGCTCCTGTTAGGTGGCGCCAAGAGACCAATATTATGTTTCAGGGCAAGGCGTGAAAAATGGAAAGTCAAAGTTGATTCCAAGCAAAGCAGACAATGGCCTTTTCTGACTGAAAAGCACGTGGACAGATGCATACAGCATTCTTAGGCTTTGAAGTATTGAAGTCGCAAAGCCCTTGGCTTCCTGTTGGCTTAATAGTCCTATCCTCCCTCACCCATTTCAGCCAGACGATTATAATAACTTCTATCACCAGGGCTATAAACAAAAACAACCTCGAAAAAAAATCTATATTACAGGTTGTTATTAGAAATAAAATACACTGCAGCTCTGTGCTTAGAAACAAATTATTGCCATCTTGGGAATATTTTGATTGGATCAAATTCTTTGGTTTCTACTCCATGATTATTTTCTCTCCCCCCAAGAAAAAGAAAGCAAAAAGAAAAAAAGCCCAGATAACATATTTCAATAACAAAATAGCCATACTGATTCCCCACGGTGTTGGTAAACAGCAGAGAAGCTATCAGAAGGAAGGGGAAAAGTTCAGCAGGAACTAGTCTAAAAAATAGCAAGATGTAGTGTGATAAACACCAGCCTGCTCCAGCTGCTACCTTGAGTGGCCATTTCCCCTCAGAGTGACACTTTTCAATTACAAGATGGTGGCTGAGAGCATTCTGGGCAGAACTGCAGTTGGCTGCTGTTCCCTTGCCCAGTTTTTCATACATGCCAGGAAAAAGAATCCTTGTTTCTACAGCCCCTCTTTTTCAAATAGTAACAGTAAAAGAGTGGGATGCGATAGATACATACATATGTAGTGTAATGGGAGCCTACTGTATGCCAAGGTGGTGATCAGTGAAGCTTAGTAGGGGAAAGAGCCATACTCTGATTTGGGGAAGTTTACTAAGGTCAATGTTAACCTTAAAATAATATGAAAAGCATCCCAGGACAGGCATGGTGGCTCACATCTGTAATCCCAACACCCACCCTTTGGGATCCCAAGGCAGGTGGATCACTTGAGGTCAGGAGTTCGAGACCAGCCTGGTCAACATGGTGAAATGCTGTCTCTACTAAAAATACAAAAATTAGCCAGGCTTGGTGGTGCATGCTTGTAGTCCCAGCTACTCAGGAGGCTGAGGGAGGAAAATCCCTTGAACCCAGGAGGAGGAGTTTGCAGTGAGCCAAAATCAGGCCACTGCACTCCAGCCTGGGCAATAGAGCAAGACTCGATCTCAAGAAAAAGAAAAGATATGAAAAGCATTCCAGGCAGAGAAAATTACATGCTCACTGTTTGAAAGCTTCAAAACCACCACATATTCATGAACTACTGAGACATTTGGTGTGACTAGGCTATGGTATGCAAGTTAGGAAGTGAGGACAGAGTTGGGGGAGAAAAACGAAAGAGTGGATCATAATTCTTCTATATATGATGATCACTCTTCTGTAAGCTATGATGTCCATCTGCAAACAAACAACAACAACAACACAAGCAATTAATCCAGTGCTTAGAACAGTGATTTGTTTATAATAAGTGTACTATGAATAATTGTTAAATTTAATTTTACTAACTGTATAAATCTTATAAGGTCAGTCTCATACTAAAATCTTGTTTTGAATATGGGCATTCAAGATGCATTCCTTGACTTCAAAAGGCTTATAATCAGCTTGGAGAAAGAAAAGGGGAAAAAGGGTGCATCCACAGGCACACAATAATAAGGAATTCAAATTAATATAAAACCACAAAAAATGATATAAGTAAAATATATGTGCTTTAGAATATTGGAGGACAAGGGGACCCTTAATGGGTTTACTCTGCATGAATGACATCTTGAAAAATATAAAGACCCAAGGACCAAGAAGAATAAAAGACCAAATTGATGACGGCATGGAGGTGCAGATAAGGTTACTATGTGAAGGACAAATTGGTGAGATTAACCTCGTAAAATGGTGAAGTGATTCTTTGGATGGTAATAATTGCATGAAGTAGAAAAGAACGCATTTGCTTTGAAAGAAAAAGCCTTAGATTCTAGCTTCTTACCTACCATTTTTACTCTGTATCTTGGGAACAAATCACCTCACCCTTCTTGGAATACCTTGGAAGCCTCCTGAAGGATTTGTTTCTTCTGCCATTCAAACTGTATGTTTGCACAAAGACCTATTATTAGAAGGTTTTACTCCATCCTTTAACCACTGGTTACATTGATTGGTACAGGGATGGTCATCCAACCCAAACTTTGCTAAACAACAGAGCCCTTTCTAGGGCATTTATTTTCAAATTGTATCAAAACGAGAATTTTCCCTTTTCTTGTTCTGGGAATTATTAGATGGGATACTAGAGAGCTGTCAGCTCCTACAATTTTATTTTATTTTTTTACAATGTTGAGGTAGCTGTTCTGCAATGAGAGAGAGTAAAGACAATATACCAAAAAAAGCATAGACGAGATATAGAGGCCTATTGGGAGTAAGGTCCCTGAATTTTGTTGACACTTAGTTTTATCTACTTCTTCCCTGTGGTTTGCCTGTCCAGATTTCTGTTTGAGTCTGTTATTTTTCCAATGAATTGTCTACTTTGCCTAGGTCAGCTTAAGTTGCGATTCTGTCCCTTGTAATTTAAAGAATCCCCGTGAACATATTTCCAATGCAATTTCCTCATGTCTAGGAATGAGTAGGCATGAGACACAATTAGTTATTATTATTATTGAAAGAGAAGAGTAGGTAGTTTGAATTCACCTGAATGTGATATTTCCAATTGCAGCCTTTGAGAAGATTGACTATATTAGAGGTGCTAGGGTGAGATTTACTGTACTTTTAGATGCTATTTTGCTAGAAGATCCAAGAGCATGTGCATTCTGCTTTGAACCAGTAATCTCTGTCTTAAAAAAATTCCATTCCAAAGATTGTGTGTGTGTGTGCATTTGTGTGTGTGTGTGTGTGTGTATATAGAAAACGGGACACTGGGCAACAATGTAATTATTAGCTCATTAAAAGTAATCTTTAAAGATGTACTCCTTTGTGAATTAAGCAATGTCATATCATTTAGCCTAAAGTTCAAAATTAAAATCTCTCCCTCTTTTCTCTAAACTAATTTTTCCAACACTGGTGATCACACAAAGAAAATAATATCTTGAAGTGTGTGAATAAAAGAAAACAGAGAATAGTAAATAAGCATTAAGTTACCAGGCTTTGCATTAGCTGGTCCAAGGGAGGCAAAAGCGAGAGAAGTCCCTTCATAGACCTATGGTGACCTGGCCCACTGGTAATCAAGGCTCCATCACTTGGGACCTAAAACTCTGCTCCAATCATGTTACTATGTTCTGCCATCACGGAAGTGCAAGGACAGGCTCCTTTGTCCGTATCACTGCAGTATTTTCCTGTCAATTTTCCCCACCTAGTGTCTATCCTTTTCCCCACTGACCTTACAACTGTTTACTTTTGAGTCATAGTGTCCTCATTTTACACAATAACAATGATAATCACTAGCCCTCCTAATCTCTTAGAGAATTAAATGAGATAAATCATTTAGTACATTGTAGGTGCTAAATAAATGTAAATGTTTCTTTCCCTAGATAGCATGATTCTAACGGATGCCTCAACAATTGCTAAAGAGACATCTTCCTTATTGGTTTTATTTCACTTTAGGTCAACATAAAATAGAGCTGGATGCAAGACATTTAATTTTCCCCTCAACTATTCAAGTTGTCTAATACAACTGCAACCACACACAGCAGATAACACCATATCTTTGTCCAGTTTAGTGCACTGTGATGAGTCAGAGAAAATTATGTAACCAAGACACATAGTTCAGACTGTAATTATGATGATTATTAGCTATAATAATAGATCATAATAACATCTGCTAGCACCACCACCAGAACTCTGCCTGGGCCTCATTAATCTGGGCCTCACTAATTTGCAATGTGTATTTATTTGACTTTAGCTAGATGAAAGTGCATCCCCATCCAATCTTTAAGTTTAATTTTTAATGCAACTCAAAAAATATTTAGGTACAAGCCTGAGTGTCAAGTACAGAGATAGGCTCTGATGTAATAATTAAAGAGTCTCTAGGCTGTAAAGTCAGGATGATCTGGATTTAAATTCTGTGACTGTCATGTTCATATTTCTGTGAACTTGGCTGAATCTGTTTTTTTTCACTTGGAAAATGGATATAATAGCAGCGAATTGTTATCATAAAATAATTCTTGTAAAGTCTGTAACACAGTCATGTAATAAGGCTTTAACATATTGTAACTATTATTTGTACTGTTCTTGTCCATAATGAGGATGATAGACAAGTCAGGGATTATATACTTAACACAGACACATAAGGAAATAATTGTTGCATCATGTATTAAAAAGCTGTAGTAGAAATATTCACATAGTGTTGTGAGATCATAAATTAGTTTCTAACTAATTCTATCTGAAGAAATCAGGAGAGGAGTTCCTATCTGACAAAATCTTATAGAATGAGTATCATATCCCCGGTATTCAAGAAAACAAGGAGATTCAAGGCACAGTAAAGAATATAAATTATTATGGAAAATATAACAATCTGGTATGATTAAAGCATGGATTATCAGAAAGAGAACATGAAGTCAGGCAAAAGGAAAAACGTATTAGCAGATTAACACTATAAGGACTTTCCCCCCACCCAGGGTCAAACTATTTAAGATGGTTTTAGAAATTCTAATGAAGTGATTTTAAAGTCCTGTGAACTGTGGTAATTATATGTCTTGTCTATTTATCAAAAATTATGTAACCATTTATGCTTTTTTCTCCATATGAAATAGACAGATATATTTATTTTAAAAGACTCATCAATTTACATGTTTTATTTGTTTAGAGTAATTTTCTCTTAGTAGTATGAGTCAGTGAGGTTTAAGTATTGAAATCATGATAGAAAGCAATTATGAGTCACTTTGAGTAAGCTATTTATCCACTCTCTAGATGAGTTTTCTCAGCTTTAAAATGGGGACCATGGCTTATATCTAATGTGCCCGAAAGTTGAACAGGAGCTGGTCTGGATTTCAGTGTTTAGTGACCATATACTTCTGCATGATCTCTTGTGAGCTGATCCTTCATCAAAATCTCCCTCACATCCCTAGTGACTGACACATGGTGGTTCATAAATGTCATTTGGAATGAATGGAAGTAGCTCTGTAGTAGAAATAATATATGGCACTATATGAATATAAGTTATTATCATGTTAAAAAAGGTCATCAAGGTGGCCTTCTTTCTAGAACATTAAAGAAAATAACAGTACAAATATCCATAAAGAAAAAGAATAAATTGGAAAGATTTCAGTATTTTCCATCAGCATAAAGCTTATATGTTAGGTAGCAAATGGTCATTTCTTTCCATATTGTTTCTAAGAATGACTTAGGCTCCAAGGCACAAACGGTTCTGTGGCCATCTGCAGTTCCAGGGAAGACTGAAGAATTGTATCTTGACTGCTGCTAGTATGTATATGGTCAAAATCAACTATTAATGATCTCTGACTCCATGGAGAACAGCTGTTGTAGACAAAGGAACTTAGAGTCACGGCCAAGTCTCCTTTACTATTGTAGTAAAAGAAAACCACAAAAATGACAACAAAATTATTTCATACATTTTGGATGAGAGTAGGCTGGTTGGGAGCTACAAAGTGAGAGACACCTCTACTGTGTGCCTGCTGTGTTACGGGCACTAACACACCACCTTGCTAACATGATAAGGCTGACAGAAAGGCATCATTACACCCATTTGAAAGATGCGAAGAGTAAGCTGCAGAGAGATTAAGTAATTTCTTTTAAGTCTTATGAACAGTAATTGGCAGAGGTAATATTTAAATCACCATCTTCTTCCTCAAGTCCCTTGTTCTTTTCTCTTCAATAGTTCTTACAAAGCATCTTTCTCATCATTTAAGACTTAAGTAGGAAGAAATGCTCGATGAAATAAGTTTAGGAGGCTGAGTTACTTCAAGTTCAACAGGCTTAATTAAGATTATCTGCACTGGGCACAGTGGCTCACACCTGTAATCCCGAGACTTTGGGAGACTGAGGTGGGCAGATCACCTGAGGTCAGGAGTTCGAGACCAACCTGGCCAACATGGTGAAACTCTTTCTCTACTAAAAAGACAAAAATGAGCCAGTAGTGATGGTGTGCTCCTGTAGTCCCACCTACTCAGGAGGCTGAGGCATGAGAATCGCTTGAATCTGGGAGGTGGAGGTCACAGTGAGCCCAGATTGTACTACTGCACTCCAGTCTGGGCGACAGAGTGAAACTCCATCTCAAAAACAAAACAAAACACAAAAAACAAAAAAGATGATCTGCAATGAGAGCTTCCAGGATGGAATACAGAATGTATAGCCCCCTAATGTCTTTTTCAACAGGGCCTTTTTTCTTCTTCACTTTTAAATCCTTACAGAAATTTAAAGCTGCCTGTGTTTATCCATCTAAAAATATTTATCAAATAACTGTTATATAAGATTTGTGGGTAAAAAGATGGACAAATGTTGTTTTATAAGCAGTTGAGTTAATCAGTCAATAAAAAGTTAAAAATAATCACAATTTACCAGATAATGTGTCAAGGTGATGTTGAGACTACTCCGATTATGCCCCCAAAGAGTATATCTGAGTGGAAAACAATTAAAAAGTAATTATCATTATATGAAGTAGGTGCTATTCATTTATTCAATGAATACTGAGCACTTACTCTGCGTTAAGCACTGGACTAGACTATGAGGAAACAGTGGTCAACAAGTTATAGATATTCCCCACCCTCATGACACTTACATTGTGGTGATTAGACAGAAAAATAAAAATTACAAAATTTATACTTTTATGGGGTGAAAAAGAGCAGGACTAGGGGACAATGAGTAGGTAGATAGTGGGAAGAGTAGTAACAAAGGGCTTGATGAAGAGATGCCAATTAAATTGATTTTTGAGTGATGAGAAGTAGCTAGCCAAATCCAACACTGACCAGGGAGCCAGGAGGTAGACAGGGTCCAGTTTTCATAATATCTTAAAGATTTTCACAAGGAGTTTGGACTTTCCTCACTGTCCAATAAGAAGCTACCAAGATGTTTTAAGCAGGGAGAGTAACAAAATCGCATTCATATTTTCAAGGAATCTTTCCTACCGATGGAGAATAGGCTGTAGTTTTCCAGGAATGGAGCAGAGAGGTCAGCTGAGAGGCTAAGTAGTAATCATCGTGAAAGGAAATGATTGTTTGGGCTAGGATGGCCAAGGTGAAAGTGGAGAAAACTGGATAAATACAGGATATCTATTTTAAAAGCAGAGGAAGATCACTGGCCAAAGGATTGTTTTGGAACCAAATAAAACAGGGAGGGGAAGTAAGGAAGTAAGGAAAAGGGATGATTTCCAGATTTCTGACTTAAACACAGATGAGGGTGTCATTGACTGCAATGGGAAAGAAGGCTCAGGCAGTGGAAGCAGAGGTTATGCTAGCCCCTGTTTGGAATATCTAAATCGCCTGTATGTGAGTTGAGCAGTAGGCATTGAAGACTTTCTCAAAGAAAGTGATAGTTAATAAACACCAGAAGAATAGAAGGAGTTAGCCAGGCAATATAATTTACGCATGCAGAGGGAATGTCCCTGGACAGATGTAAGAGCCTCTATCTTGACCTCATGGCAGATAATATGGTTAACTTGGAAAATGTAAATAAAAAGGTGGGGGACCAAGGAGTTCAGGTAGGTATTGGGGGGAATGGGTGGAAAAGATAATATGCAATGAGGTTTATACCTTAGGCAGGAGCCAGATCAAAAGGAGCATTTTACATTTGATCTTAGCCAAAAAGCCAAGAAGCATTTTTTTTAAAGCCTTTTAAAACATGCTACCAAATTTGAACGTTTTCCTAATGCAATGGGAAGATAATAAAATTTATTTAGCAAAGGAGCGGCAGGATTCATCTTAAACTTTTGGAAGAATCATTCTAGATGCTTTATGGAAAATGAATTGACGTGAGCACAAGAATTCTAAATGCATATGTTCAAAATGTTTTCAAAATGCTGGCAGCTTTTAGAGAGAAAAAAATTTAGGATGAAGCTTAGCCTAATGGAGTATTAACACAATTTTCATAAAAAGACACTTCTGGTAGCAATGTTAAGGAAAAATAGAGTGTAATCCACCAGTGCAAGGCAAAACACAAGTTAGAAATGCATGTTCTATGACTGTTCTCTGCCATCTTGCAGATTAGAATGGTCTGTTTAGATGAGTTTTATGGGATAATGGGAGTGACTCTGGGACTGTACTACGGATCTCAGCTCCCAATGGCTTTAGTTACCCTTCTCCATTTTGAAGATAACCAAAATTTCTTCATCTTCTACCTCATGTTTTTGGCTAGGGAGATGGTGGTGTTTCTACTACGTACATCTCCCTCTGTGATTGTTTCAAGGTGATTTTTTAAAAAATTGTGAGATACTATAACAAGTTCGCAATGTCTTTCTACATAAACTGCAGCTGAAATCCCTGTCAGATGGCTGATCCTGCCCTTCTTCCTCCAGTATGTCAAGACATGTTCTGGAATATAATTATTTTAGATGATGTTTAATTTCAATTTCTGTATTGTCATGAAAATGTGAAATGTCCTATCCCATTCCTCATCCAAAGGTAATTAAATAAGGTTTATTTTAACTAACTAATGAGCTCGCTTCCAATAATATCAGCCCTACTTTTTGTCTCCAGTCAGCCCACGGAATATAGGGAAGATTTACAGGAATATAATGAAAACGGTAGCAACCCCTCCTCCCCAGAAAAGAGGAGTGAGGGTGGTGGTGCGCCAGAGGCAAGAACTGTGAGTACATTTAATGGTGACATACCATTTTTAGATGCAATTATGTAACTTCATCCTAGAATATTGTGAGTGAGGGCTGGGTGATCATTTCCCCCACTACCACCCACACACATACACACCCGGGGATTTACAGCAATTATGTCAATTGTCCTATTTATGGTACTTGACACGTTTAATGTAAGAAAGGGACAATGCATCCTATTACCTCTTGTTACAATGCAGCATGGTGATGCATGGTATAATAGTGATGATAATTAAAATGTGTTGTGCATACTTAAACATGAGATTCAAGGTTTGAAGAAGTGCCTATTATTCCAGCCTTCTTTCTTCTAAAGAAAGACTCGAGGTCTTCCTCTGCTTGTCTGCAATTACTTAGGTGATTCAGAAAAACACCCATATTACCTAGAGTTTGTTCCCCTTTATGCATTTTTTTCTTTCTTTTGGATACTCTGTGTGAGACCTCTGAATGCCCCCAAAATCTCTATATTTAGCTCTTGCAGCTGAGAGTTCTTTAAGCAGAGATCCCTGAACTCTAGTATCTACAAAAGTCATGCAATATTTAAATGCAAATCAGACTTAAGTTTGTCCTTGATACTGCCAGGACATCATAACACTGACCCCTGGCTCAGCGGCTCTCCCACTCCTCTAGATGACATTTTCTACCTTTTTTGTTCTCCTCAAGCCTCCAATCTCTTCATGTTAATGCTCAGTCTCAACTAGTTATTTTGCATTATATTTTATTAAAAAAGAAAACAACATGGCTAGGTGTAGTGGCTCATGCCTTTGATCCCAGTACTTTGGGAGGCCAAGGAAGGCAGATCACTTGAGCCCAGGAGTTCAAGACCAGCCTGGGCAACATGGTGAAACACCATCTCTACAAAAATAAAAGCAAACAAACAAACAAAAATCTAGCTGGGTGTGGTGGTGCATGCCTGGTGCACTCCAGCCTGGGTGATAGAATGAGAGCTTGGAAAGAAAGAGAAAGAAAGAAAGAAAAGAAAGAAAAAAGAAAAAAGAAAGAAAGAAGAAAGAGAAAGAAAGAAAGAAAGAAAGAAAGAAAGAAAGAAAGAAAGAAAGGGAAAGAGAAAGAAAGAGAAAAAGAAACGAAGAGAGAATTTCCATAAGCTCCCAGCTCCCTGTCCCATCTAATAAAACTATGTACTCATGTTCTTTGATCCCTCCCATCTAAATTGATATCCAGAACCTTAACATTATTCCCCAGTATTTCTTTTGCTGTCTATGTTCCTGTCTAAAGCCAACCCCTCTACTTGCCCACTAGTTCCTGCTTAGTTAAAATATTTGAAGATACATATATATATATATATATATATCTTCTATATACATAGAGAGAGAAAGACAGAGACTCCTTTTGTCTTTTCCTCTGCTACCTTTCACTGCAAAATTTTCTAAAAGCATTCTCTAAGTTGTCTAACTCCCTTTCTCAAACCCCTTTCTCTCATCCTCCCTTGCAGTATGTCAGTCACTCATGACCACTAAACTTGTTCTTATCAAGGTCAGCAATGATATTCACATTGTGAAATCCAGTCATCAATTCACATAGAAGGAATTTTTGTGTTTTGTTCAATGCTGTATTCCAAGCTTCTAGAGTAAGTGCTAGTGTAAGGACAGTGCTCAGCAAATACTTGCTGAATGAATAAATGTATATAAGGCAGACCTAGATTTTAATCCAGATTTTCCTAGGTTCTTATCATATGCCACTGTGAGTCCCTTAATCCTCTCTGAGTCTCCATTTCATCATCTTTGAAATAGTGATAATAATAATGACCTACATGGATACTGTAAAGAGGAAATGAAATAATGCATGTGTATTACTGGCAAATAGACTTAATACCTAGCTGATGGTTTAACAGGTACAGCAAACCACCATGGTACACATTTACCTATGTCACAAACCTGCACATCCTGCACGTGTACCACAGAACTTAAAAAATTAAATTCAATTAAATTTTTTAAAAAGGGGAAATTCTTTGTTGTTACAGTTCTATTTTAAATAGTGCCATAAACATTATTTGTTAGCAAGGCTGATTAGTAGAGTGGGAGATTTCTGAGGATGTTTCAGATGCTTAAAAAGTTTGCTTTGAGGATAACACAACAAAATTACATAATAGTTTTGTTTGGTTTGTTAGAGGTTGAAATTTCTTGATGAGACTGGGACCTCCCAAACATAACTGTTGAACATATTGAGCAGGCAGGGGTCTCCAAGGTAAGACAATGGAGACCTTGTTGAATCATTATCTTGTGTGATTGCTAAATCTAGAAAAATAAAACACATACGCCCATTAAGACTTCCTAAGGGTGCAGTATGAAAAAGAAGCAAGTAATTCATTCCAAAAGGGTAATGACTGCTAACCAAGGTCTCGCTCATTTAACAGCCTAAAAAGGGCATTATTTCAACAGTCCATGTCATCAATGGGTTCAATGAAATTCCCTGATCTTCAATTAGTGGAGCTGATGTGGCACATTTCAGGGGTTAACCTATGTAACCAAAGCCCTCGACTGGTGATCTGTTTGTCTCTATAAAAGCAGCATAAAATGTCAATGCTCAGTTTTGTTTAATACTAACTTATTTACATCTTCCTTCTCAATATTTCCTTGTTGATTGTTCATAATGATACTGATGGGTTTGATCTTTTTATTTAAATGATGGCTACAGACTTCTTTTAGAGATCTTTAATGCCCAGGAGTGAAGTTTAGAGATGAATAAATAGAATACTGAAATTTAGAGGATATTAGAAGTTCGGGGACCATCTTTTCTCTTCCTATTTTTGATGCTTTCAGGAACGTCAAGGCAGGGATGCCTAAAACAAAGACATGAGGAGCCGCTACTTCATTAGAAACATATAGAAAATGAACCAACTTTTGTTTCTGAATTCTTTATCCAATGTGTTTTCCTCCTCTCTTTCTCATACACATATACGTGCTTACATACACATATTCACGTACACTCAAGTCATAATGTATCCATATTAAATGCATATTTTCTTCATTTACTCTTTTTATTTTATTTTATTTTACTTGCTACAGAGTCTCACTCAGCCACCCAGGCTGGAGTGCAGTGGTGCAATCTTAGCCCACTATAGCTTTGACCCCCAGGCTCAGGTGATCCTCCCACCTAAGGCTCCATAGTATCTGGGACCACATGCTCATGCCATCACAGCCAGCTAATTTTTGTATTTTATGTAGAGATGGGGTTTCTCTATGTTGCCCCGGCTGGTCTAGAACTTCTGGGCTCAAGCAGTCCACCTGGCTTGGCTTTCCAAAGTGCTGAGATTACAGGCATGAGCCACTATCCCTAGCCTGCTTGTACTTTTTTCCACTTATAAGCACACACACACACACACACACACATTAAAACTCATACGCTATACCAACTGGCATATGGCAACTAAAATATATGCATTCTCATCTATGCACACTTATGAATACCCCAAAATGCATAAACTCATATGAAACTGCATATAATACACATATACTACATAATACACTTAAACATGTGTGCACATATACATAGATACATGTAGTATAAGAAAATACCAGTTTTATAACCAAATTTTTCTTTTAAATAGGGTGAGTACTTTGAAAAGAAAGTTTATTTCATTTATTTACTTTCCCAGCTAGGCACAATAATGGATTTGGAATATGCAACCATGACATGATTTTTTTTTACCTATGGTAAAAAAGAAATATCCCCTGCATATTGCCTCACATAAAGTAAGTAATTGATAAATATGTGATGAGTGAGAGTGTGAGCTGATGAGTGAATAAATGATTGAATATGAGAAGGAGAGAGCACATTGCTCTGTATAACTGAGAGCAAAATTCTGTGGCTCCCTGGTTAGTATGGAAGTGAAAATTTGAGGACAGGTGGGGTGGGAAAGAAGAAAGCAAACAAGATGGACTAATTTCAGAGTACAGAGGGAATGCAAGTGCTGGCTAAATTCCCAAATAGCTATTAAATGAATAAATCTGTTTTAATTGTGGAACCCACAACCATTGGCCATTTCCTCTTCATGATGTCATATTTTAAGATGTAACCAACCCCAGTCTTGCTATCTAAATTGCTTTTTCAGGGAGAAAACAGAAAGGAACTTATGGAATTCACTTGATCCCCATGACCAAATGTATCAGTTATCTATTGTTGTGTAACATGAAACCCCTTAACCTAGTTACTTAAAGCAACACTGATTTATTATTTCTCACAATTCAGATGGTTGGTTGGGCTGGTTTCATCTGGAATATTTCAAGCAAGTACATTCAAGTATGTTAGAAGCTCCCAGATGCCCACACTTCTACACCTGACAATTGGTGCAGAAACTCAACTGAGGCTCCTTTGTTCTCTTTCTTGTGGCATCTTATCTTCTGGAATGCCATTCTAGCTTTCTTGCATAATGGTCTCAGAGAATATTTCTGAAAGAACAATCAAAATAATTAAAGGTATCTTGAGGCTTAGGCCTTGGAACCTCACAATTGCATGATTGCTACTTAACATTAGTCAGAGCAAGTCACAAGGTCAACCCAAGTTCAAAGGGTGGAAAAAGACCCTATATTCTGATAGAGGAGATGCAAGTAACTTCTGGCCACTTTCAACTTGCACAAGACATTTTCCTGATATCTCTACCTTCTTCCTGTAATCTTTGAATTTCTGAATCTCTGCAGGTAAGTTTCCATCTATCCTTAATGCATGCATACTATCCAAGGTTGCTTTGCAGAAATGGGCACTGTGGCCCACGAAGATAGTCTCAGATTTCAAAAAGAAGATGGATGCTTGACTGATTCTTTTTCCCTTGATAGTGATCTGACAGCTGAGTGATCCAAGTATGCCCATTGTGAAAGGAGATATTTGTCAACAGGACACACGTCCATTAGAAACTAGACCAAAGCCATGGATTCATTTGTCATAGCTTCCAAAACAGCCTTGACTGGTAATGAGTTCTTTGCTCTAGAAACCAAGGTTAGTATGAAGAAAAGGCCTCTTAACATAGAAAAAGCCCACTAGGTGACTGTGTGAGTGTGCATAGATGTGTGTGTAGGTATCATTGCATATGTTTTACCACAGAGTAAAATAAGTCTATAGAAAAAATATACAAATTATATCAAATCATTTTAGATGCCTCTTAACATATATGTATGCTTCTGCATATTTGTAACCAGGGCATACATTTGCTATTTTGAGTTATCATTTTCTAAATTAGTGCAACATTTCTCTTAATACTAATATGTAAACCTATATGTTTCTTTTTTGTCATTCCATTGTGAAATAAGTAAATTTCTGTTAAGGTACTCATAACATCCAGCCTTACATTATTATTGCTATCTGTGTATGTCTTACATCCCCTAATTCATCATCCATGTAGGCATTCTTACCCTCATCATATCATTATCTACATTCCATCATTATCATCAAGGGCATTATTTGAGCAACTACCATTAACCATACAGCTTATAAAGATTATCTCCAATGCTCACAAAACTCTAGAGAGAGACTTATTGTCCCCATATACTTAATTTAGAAAAAAAAGTTAATTCTCAGGTGGCATTAGCAAGATGGCTGACTGGAGGTATCTAATGCTTGTCTCCCCCACAAAAAAGACCAAAAATATAAACAAACAACGATATTTTGATGGAGTATTTGAAGGAAAGCACTTTAGTACAGCAGGGGAGTGCCAGAAATCCTGTAGAGCACAGAGACTCAGGATAGATGCATGTAAAAGGGAACAAAACACCCTGCCTTTGCCACCTGTCTCCACTTTCTCAGTTTGGATTGGCTCTGAACCAGGAGGAACTCTCTCTGCAAAGAAAGGTAAGCAGGAGGCTCCCCAGCAACCTCCATGAAAGCTGCAGAGACCTACAGTCTTTGCTGCAGAAGAACCCTGCAGTCCTCCCAGGCCCTGAGCCCAGTATAGGGAGCTGCCAAAAAAGCCCACATGGTTGCATAATTCCAAAGATGGAGCCTATTTTGTGCCCCGTCTCCACTGTGATGCAAACTGCTGTGGCTGTAAGACATTATCTAGAGATCAGAGCCATTGTGAGAGTATGTCTTATGACAGAAGACAGTAGTCAGTGCATCTCCCTTTTCCTGAGGCTCTGCTGCCCTTATATTAAGCTCACAAATGGTAGTGTATCATTCCCCAGCTGAGAAGTTACTATAGCTCCTGACCCCCGGGAATAAACTGCCTAAAAGGCACTCCATCTTCCTCATTCCAGTGACTACAGCAGCCCAACCCCAACTACTCAGATCCTATGCTTAGCATAACAGAACACTAACAACTGAGCTGATAAGGTGTTCTTTCCCCAAAATCAAGTGGCTATGCTCAACAGAGAGACCATGACAAACATGGCAGCAAAACAGCTACTGAATAGCTTTAGGGCCTGATGGAACAGCCTGGTGCTTCAAACCCCATCAGGTAGGCATACCAGTAGCAAAGAAGTCCCTGCACACCCACAGCATTCAGAGCATCCCCTCACTCTCACCCTCAGCAGAGAGGTAGTGCCCCAGCAATCATAGCAACTCCTACAGCCTAGGCCACTAAGGCACTCACAGACTTCCCTGACTTTGACTATAGCTGAAGAAACTGCACGGAGACTACACTAATACTCCCATGCAAAACCAAAGCCAGCACATCCTGCCTAACTGAAACCCTAGAACATATTTGCAGGTAAAAATATTTTAATACAACAGCCATTCTATAAAATTGGAAGAGCTAACCATTCTTTAAGATGCACAAGTATCAACAGAGGAAAAATAAAACATGAAAAAGCAAGAAAATATAATACCAACAAAGTAAGACAATAACTCTTCAGTAACTGACACACCATCAATGAAATGTATGAATTGCCTGAAAAAATTCAAAATAATGGTCTTAAGAAAACTCAGCAAGGCACAGGAGACAGATAATTCAATAAAATCAGGAAAGCAATTCCTGATCTGACTGATAAATTCAACAAAGAGATAGATATTATAAGCACTTAAGAAATGGAAATCTTGGCAAGAAATATGTCAATGAAACAGATTTAAAAATATAATTGAGAGCTTCAGCAGCAGACTAGATCAAGCAGAAGAAATAATTCCTGAGCTACAGACAAATCATATAAAATAACTAAGTAAGATGAAAAAGAAAAATGAATGAAAATGGACACCATTGAAAATGGACACCATTAAGATAACAGTTATCTGTATTATGGAAGTTCTAGAAAAAAAAGAAAACAAGAAAGGTACAAAAAGATTAGTAAGGAAATAACAGCTGAAAATTTCCCAATTTTAGGGAGTGATATAGACATTCAGATTGATGAAGCTCAAAATACCTAATTAGAGGTCCTCTCCAAGGCACATTATGATTAAACTGTCAAAAATCAAAGACAAAAAGATAATTAAAAAATCAGCAAAACAGAAATATCAAGTCATATATAAGGCAATCTTGATTAGACTATTAGTAGATTTCTCAGCAAAAACTTTGCAAGCCAAGAGAGAATGAGATATTTCAAAGTGCTGAAAACAGCAACAACAACAAAGTACTGTCAGTCAGGGACACTATTTCCAGCAAAGCTATCTTTCAGAAATGAAGGAGAAAAAAGTCTTTTTCAGACAAGCAAAAGCTGAAGGAAATTATCATGACTAGACCAGCCTTACAAGAAATCTGTAAGGGAGTGCTTTAACCAGAAGCAAAAGAACATTAATTGCTACCAAAATCATATGAAAGTATAAAATTCAACTGTACAAATAAATGCATAATAAAATTCAGATTACTGTAATGGTGATATGCAATGTTTTAAATCTCCAGTGTGAATTTGAGAAGTCAAAATGGTCAACTATAAATATAGCCAGAAACAGAAATGCTTTTACACTGTTGGGAGTGTAAATTTGTTCAACCATTGTGGAAGACAGTGTGGCAATTCCTCAAGGATCTAGAACCAGAAGTAGCATTTGACCCAGCAACCCATTACTGGATATCTACCCAAAGGATTATAAATCATTCTACCATAAAGACACATGCACACATATGTTTATTGCAGCACTATTCCCAATAGCAAAGACTCGGAACCAACCCAACTACTCATCAATGATAGACTGGATAAAGAAAATGTGGCCCATATACACCATGGAATACTATACAACCATAAAAAAGAATGAGTTCATGTCCTTTGCAGGGACATGGATGAAGCTGGAAACCATCATTGACAGCAAACTAACACAGGAACAGAAATCCAAACACTGCATGTTCTCACTCATAAGTGGAAGTTGAACAATGAGAACACATGGACACAGAGAGGGGAACATCACACACCAGGGCCTGCCAGTGGGTTAGGGAGCAAGAAGAGGGAGGGGTTTAGAAGAAATACCTAATGCATGCAGGGCTTAAAACCTAGATGACGGGTTAATGGGTGCAGCAAACCAGCATGGCACGTGTATACCTTTGTAACAAATCTGAAAATTCTGCACATGTATCCCAGAACTTCAAGTGTAATAAAAAATAAAAATAATAAAAAAACTATAGCTACAGAGTTTTAAGGAATGCACAGTATAAAAAGATGTAAATTAAGGCAACAAAATTACCAATTTTGTGGAAGAGAGTAAAAGTCTAGAATACTTGTGTGTAACCAAAGTTAAATTGTTACCAATTTAAAATAGTCTTCTATAACTATGAGATTTGTTATATAAGCCTCAGTGGAACTACAAAGAAAATAAAAAATGACAGCAGAAACACAAATGAAAAAGAGAAAAGAGTCTAAGATTATCACTATAGAAAACCACCAAACAAAAGTAAAAAACAAAAGAGAAAGAAAAGGTCTACAAAATAACAGAAAACAATCAACTAAATGGCATAAATAAGTATTTAGCTATCAAAAATAACTTTGTAAATGGATTAAACTCTCCAATAAAAAGATACAGAGTGAATGAATGTATTGAAAAAGAAAGACAAACAGGACTCACTCTATGCTGCCTACAAGAGATGGCTTTCACTGGTAAGGGCACATATTAACTGAAAATAAAGGGTATGGAAAGTAATATTCTATGCAAATGAAAACCAAAGCGAGCAAGAGTCACTATATTTGTATCAGATAGAATAAACTTTAAAATGAAGACTATAAAAAGAGAAAATTATGATTATTATATAATAATGAAGAGGCCAATTCAGCAAGAAGGCATAACAATTATAAATATATATAAGCTGAACACCAGAACACACAGATATATAAAGCAAAGATTATTAGATCTAACTGGAAAGTAGACTGCAATACAATAATGATAGGGGACTTTCACACTCCAATTTCAGCAATGAACAGTTCATCCAAACCCACACATAAAATTAACAAAGAAACGTCAGTTTTAAGCTGCACTTTATATCAAAGGGAGCTAAGAGATATTTACAGAACATTCCATTCAACAGTTTCAGAATACACATTCTTCTTATCATCACATGGATCTTTCTCCAAAAATGATAACGTGATAGGCGACAAAACAAGTATTAGTAAGTTTTTCAATATCAAAGTCTGATCAAGTATTTTTTCAGACTGTAATAGAATAAAACTAGAAATTAATAACAGAAGGAACTTTGGAAGCTATACCAACACATGTAAACTAAACAACCTACTCCTAAATAGTGGCTCCATCAATAAAAAAATTTTTAAGAAATTAAAAAATTTCTTTAGAAAAATGAAAATGGAAACACAACATACCAAAACCTATGAGCTACAGCAAAAGCAGCTTTAAGACAAACACATCAAAAATTTAGAAAGGTCTCAAATAAACAATCTAATATTGCAGCAAAATGAATTGGAAAAACAAGAATGAACTAAACCCAAAATTAGTAGAAGGAAGTAAATAGTAGGGATCAGAGCAAAAATAAACAAAATAGAGATGAAAACATATAAAAGATCAGTGAAACGAATAGTTTTTTGAAAAGATAAAAATGAAAACCCTTTAGCTAGACTAAGAAAATAGAGAGAAGACTCAATTAAGTAAAATCAGAAATGAATGGGGAAACATTACAACTGATATCACAGAAATAAAAATCATCATAAGAGACTACTATGAGCAATTATATGGCAACAAATTGGATAATCTAGAAGAAACTGATAAATGCCTAGGTGCATACAATCTACCAAGACTGAATCATGAAGAAATAGAAAATCTAAACAAATCAATAACATGGAAAAAGATTAAGTCAATAATAAAAAGTCTTTCATCAAAGAAAAGCCCAGAACCTGAGGGCTTAACTGGTGAATTATATCAAACACTAAAAGAAAAATTAACATCATTTTTTTCAAATGATTTCAAAAATTGGAGGGAATTCCTTTAATTATAGAAGAAACATACCTCCATATAATGAAAGCCATATATGACAAACTCACAAGTAACATCATACTGAATAGGGAAAACATGAAACCTTTTCCCAAAGATCTGGAACAAGACAAGGATGCCTACTTTCACCACTTTTATTCAGCTGAGTACTGGAATTCCTAGCTAGAGCAATAAGGCAAAACAAAGAAATAAAGACATGCAAATTACAAAGGAGACAGTAAATGTTTCCTGTTTGAAGTGACATAATCTTACATATTAAAAAAAACCCCAAAGACTCCACTAAAAACAGTTAGAACTAATAAACAAATACAGTACATTTTCAGGATACAAAATTAACATGCAAAACACAGCAGCACTTATATATCACCATAGCAAACTATCTAAAGAAAGATATTAAGATACCATTTACAATAGCTGCAAGAAAATTAAAAGAAAATGCACACTTAGGAATAAATTTAATCAAGAAGGTGAAAGAACTTTACAATAGAAACTATAAAACATTGATTTTAAAAATTGAAGGGGACAAAAATATATGAAAAGATACCCCATTTGTATGGCTTGGAAGAATTAATATTATTAAAATGTCCGTTCACCCAAAGCAATCTACAGATTCAAAGAAATCTCTATCGAAATATCAATAGCATTCTTCACAAAAATAGAAAACAATTCTAAATTTGTATGGAACCACAAAATATCCCAAATAGCCAAAGCAATCTTGAGCAAAAAGAACAAAGCTGGAGGTATTACACTACCTGATTTAAAAATATACTACAAAGCTATGGTAACCAAAACAGTATGGTATTAGCATTCAAATAGACATAAAGACCAATGAAATAGAACAGAGAACAGAGAGGCAAATCTGCACACTTTCAGCCAACTGATTTTTGACAAAGTCACAAAGAACACACATTGGAGGAAGAAAAATCTCTTCACTAAATGGTGAGAAAATTGGATATCTACATGCAGCAGAATTAGACCATTCTCTCTCATCATATACGTAAATCAACTCAAAATGGATTAGGTGCTTAAATGTAAGATCCTAAACCATAAAAACTGCTACATGAAAATGTGGGAGAATACCATCATGGTTTTCACACCATGCCATTGCTTTATTAACTAAGCTTACATGATATTCTAAATATGTTATTTTCATTTAAATTATGTTCATAGAATCTTCACCAGGAGTAGATTCCATAACAATAACCTACTTTCTTTGCTCATTCATAAGAAACAACTCTTCATTGGTTGACATTTTATCAGCAGATTGCAGCAATTCAGTCACATCATCATGTTCCACTTTTAATTCAAGTTCTCTTGCTTTTTCTACCAAGTCTGCAGTTACTTTCTCCACTGATGTCTTGAACTCCTTAAAGCCATCCAAGATGATTGAAATCAACTTCTTCCAAGCTCCCGTTAATGTTGTTTTGAGCTTCTCCCATGAATCACAAGTGTTCTTTTTGGCATCTAAAATGGTGAATTATTTCCAGAAATTTTTCATTTTACTTTGTCTGCATGCTTCAGTGCAATCCCTATCTATGCAGCTATAGCCTTATGAAATGTATTTCTTAAATAATAAAACTTGTAAGTCAAAATGACTCTTTGCTCTATGGGCTGCAAAATAGATGATAGGTTAGCAAGCATGAAAATGTTAATCTCCTTATACATCTCCATCAGGATTCTTGGGTGACCAGATGCATTGTCAGTGACAGTAATATTTTGAAAAAATATTTTTTTGAGCAGTAGGTCTCAACAGTGAGCTTAAAATATTCAGTAAACCATTTTATAAACACATGTGCTGTGATCCATGCTTCATTGTTCCATTTATAGAACACAAGCAAAGAAGATTCAGTATAATTCTTAAGGCACTAGTAGTTTTGTAATGGTTAATGCACACTGGCTTCAACCTAAAGTCATCAACTACATTACCTCCTAACAAGAGTCAGCCTGTCCTTTGAAACTTTGAAGCCAGGCATTGACTTCTACTTTCTAGCTAAGAAAGTCCTAGATGGAATATTTTTCAGTATAAGGCTATTTTGTCTTTAATGAAAATCTGTTATTTAGGGTAGCCAACTTCTTGAATTATCTTAGCAGCTAAGTCTTCTGGGTAACTCGCTGCAGGTTCTACATTAACTCTTTCTGCTTCACCTTGCACTTTTATGTCATGGAGAGGACTTCTCTTAAACTTAATGAAACAATTCCTGCTAGCTTCAGACTTTTCTTTTGCAGCTTCCTTACCTTTCTCAGCCTTCATAGAATTAAAGAGAGTTAGGGACTTGCCCTGGATTAGGTTTTGACTTAAGGAAATATTGTGGCTGGTTTAATCTAAGTAGACCACTAAAACTTTCTTCATATCAGCAATAATATTGTTTCACTTCCTTATCATTCATGTGTTCCCTGAAGTAGCAATTTTAACTACCTTCAAGAACCTTTCCTTTGCATTTACAACTTGTCTGTTTGATGCAAGAGACTAGCTTTTGGCCTATCTCAGCTTTTGACATGTCCCTTTACTAAGCTTAATCATTTCTAGCTTTTTATTTAAAGTCAGAGACATGCAACTTTGTTTTCATTTGAACACTTAGAGGCCATTGTAGGGTTATTAATTGGCCTAATTTCAATATTCTTGTGTCTCAGAGAATAGGGAGACCTGAATAGAAGAAGAGAGATAAAAGAACAACTGGTCACTGGAGCAGTCAGAATACACACAAAATTTATCCATTAAGTTTGTCATCTTATATGGGTGTGGTTCATGGTGTCCTAAAAACAATTACAATGGTAATATCAAAGATCACTGAATACATGTCTGTAATAATGTCATAATAATGACATAATAATAATTATTTAGTAATGACAAAATCATGTCATAATGTCATAACAGATATAATATTATAACAGATATGATGATAATTTAACAATTTGAAATATTGTGACAATTACCAAAGTGTGACATAATGGCACGAAGTGAGCACATACTTTTGAAAAATGGCATGGATAGACTTGCTTGACACAAGATTGTCATCAACCTTAAATTTTTGAAAAATGCAATATCCGTGGAGAACAATAAGGTGAAGCACAATAAAACAAGGCATGCCTGTATGCTGTTGGTGGGAATGTAAATTACTACAGCCATTATGTAAAGCAAAATGGAGGTTTCCAGAAAATTAAAGATAGAACTACCATATAATCCAGTAATCTCACTTATCCAAAAGAAATGAAATCAGTATGGCTAAGAGATATCTGAACTGTCATGTTTATTGAAGCACTATTCACAATAGCCGAGATATGGAATCAACCTAAGTGTCCATCAACAGATGAATGGACAAAGAAAATGTCGTATATATACACAATGGAATCCTATTTGGTCATAAAATAAAGATGAAATCCTGTCACTTGTGGCATTGGCAACAAGGATAAATCTGGAGGACATCATATTAAATAAAATAATCCAGGCACAAAAAGATAAATATCACATGATTTCACTCACTTTCAGAATTTAAGAAAACTTATTTCATGGATGTACAGAATAGAATAGTGGTTACAAGAGGCTGAGGAGGGTAAAGGGAAGGGGGATATGGGAAGAGATGGGGCAAAATGTACAGTTACAGGTAGGAGGTATAATAAGATAGAATGACTATAGTTAAAAAATATTACATGTATACATCAATATAATTAGAAGAGAAGGTTCTGAACATTCTCATTACAAAAAAATGATAAATGTTTGAGATGATGGATAAACTAAATGCCTTGATTCAATCATTACACAATGTGTACAGGTATAAAAACATCACACTATAGCCTATAAAAATCTATAAATATTATGTCAATTAAAAATAAAATTAAATTAAAAAATCTAAGTGTTAGATATTTATTCACTTACCTGAAGTTCTGCCACTAGTAGAAAATAAAGGGAGGAAAATATTTTCACATTCGATACTGTGATTATAAGCGGATTATAAGAAATCTGAAGATAAGATACACATCAGAATGATTTTTGTGTACCCCATTATATCTAGCAGGGCCTATGCATGTAAGAAGCATTAACATATATTTTTCATATATTTTTAAGAACACATTATTTTATATAGCAAGTCTATATATGCAATGTCCATTGGAGATTATGTTAATAACATATTCAATTGTATTTTATTACTATATGATATCATATCATATAACATTACAACACAATTTGCTTGATTGACCATTTCTCTACTGCTGGGAATGTCTGCTGTTTTTCCATGTGATATCCCATTAAGATTATAATGGTGTCAGTTCAGAGACAGGAAGGCAGAGTATTTAAGAGTCAATTGTATCTGTGTGAATCCTGTTGACTTTGAGAGAGTCACATACCGACCCTGGCCTTAACATTTTCATTAATAAGAGAGATTATGATAGGACTAGCCTTGTAGGGCTCTTGTAAGTATTAAGCAAGAATTCAGGGTTAAAACAATTATTATTGAGCATCCAATATACACAAGGACAGACTGTGCTGGAGGTAAACAGGAAACGAAACACAGTCCCTGATCCTAGAAAGGCTACATTCTGGAGGGAAACACATTATGTAAGTATAATATAAATATTAATATAATATCTAGTAGAGTAAATCTGCCCGAGCAAACTTCTGTATTTGCTATTTTCAGATCACCTCATACATTACTTATTCTTCAGATTTTAGTTCAAATGTCACTGCTCCAAGGAAAATTATTTTAAAACCTCAAATTAGTTAAATTCCTTTGAGCTATTTCTTTCAAAAAAAGGTTTTTCCTATTGTAGCTTTACATGTATTTCTGTGTTTATTTATTTCATTCATTTCTTTTTCTACTCTAGACAGTATGCAATATAAGGATGGAAACCATGAGTATTCTTGCCCACATTGTATCTCTATGGTGTAACTCTAAGGTACCTAGCAAAGGATAGACATTTTAACAAGAATTCATTGAGTAAATAAACTTGATGGATGATAGGAATTAATAAGGTCAGTTTTTATTAAAGGAACAAACTTTCCAATTTCTTCTCCTAGAACTATTCTACTTCAAGACACTGTAAAATCCAATTATGTGGATCTTCACAAATTTCAATGTAACCCAGCAACCACACAAAATCAAAGAGTGGTGGACCAGTAGAGTCAAGATTATTTTTAATCTGCACCTAAAAGAACTTGAACACATTTAAAGAGGGTTTCATTATCCTTTGTTTTATTCAATTTGAAACTAAATAAATTAGAAATTAGAAATCTACAGAGATTATTAGCTCCTTGTTGTCCTGAGAAAGAATAGACATAGTAATGATTTATGGTTTATGAGACAGTGTTTCGCTGAATTTCATTTAGTGTCTGGAGATGCTTATCATAGGTCACTCATATTAGTGAAAAATGAATTCCTGACTATAGTCACCTGCACACCTGAATTTGGATAGCAACTGGCATATATCAATTGCAGGGGAAAGAACAGTGATAGAGTAAGTGGAAAGAGGGAGGACTTTGTAATTAATGTTATGATAAGAATGCATGAGTTTGGCTTAGAATTCTCATAAATGGGTTTTCTGGATTGAATTTGGCAGTTGGGTTAAGAGGAATGTTTCATGGCTTATGTTCATCAATATGTATATGTAACTTCATGCCTGAGGGTTTCTATGTGTGTGGAGTATAGAGATATGTACACACACATACACACACACACATATACACGCACATGCATGCACACATGTACACACATGCATGCACACGTGTACACATACACACATGTACACATGTACACACATATGTACACACATGTACATATCTCTAAACTACACACACATAGGAAGGTGTGCATCCCTATGTACACCAATATTATGCATGTATGTGTGTATGTGTGTAAATATAGTAAACTTATATATGAGTATATTATTGTATGCAGTTAATTATGACTATTATTTTGATGACTATGATTTTAATGACCATTATTGTGTGCAGTTGAGTATGACTATTATTTTGATTTTTCTTCATGAGTTTCATTCAAAGAGAAAGAAATTAGGAGAGCTTTGTTGGGAAGAGGATAGACTTCTATCCATTTCCAATTCCTACTAAGGCAGTTTTTTGCCATTTAAAATATTTTAACTTATTTTTAATAACAACCAAAAAATTAAAAAGCACATTTAAAAATTGATAGTTTAGCTTCTGCTGTTTGTGGACCTTCAAGAAAATCAAATTCATGATTTGAGAAAAATCTGCCGCCATTTAAATATCTTCACAAGCCTTCTTCCTAGGCCAGGCACACATTTGCTGAATAAAAAGCACTTAAGCACTTAAGCTATGTTTCTTTATATTATTGATTAGGATATATATGTTTAATTTAAAGCAAATAAGCATGCTTCTATTGTGTCTATGGAAAATAAAACATAATAGCATAGTCACTGTGATGCAGAATATTAAACAGCAGAAACTGAGGGATTCAGACCACTCCATGCCCACTGGTCCTGCTCAGCAGAATGCAAATTAGAATGCTTCCTAATCTAAGGCATTGCTCTTAATTTTACATGTAGATGTGTGTGCCTTTGCAGCTCCAGATGCATTTACAAAATTAAAAGCATAATTTATCTCCAAAAAGCAATATTCCATCAGCCTAGTGACTTAGTCTTGATGAAATACTGGCTGTAAACAATGTTTTTTCACTGTTGGATCTGGTCTCAGGAACAGCAGTGGGGCAGTAATATTCAGTATCCAGGACTGGTTACGGGGAGGTGAGGTAGCTCCACTCCCTTCCTCAACCAAATATAGGTAATTGAATCAGACTCATCCTTTCCCCCATCCTTCACCACACATCATCAACAAAGCGATTCAAACTATATGAACTACTAAGAAAAGCACCCTATCCCTGGAAGACTCCAGGGGAAGATGTTTTTCCCTGGACCAAGGAGTCAGGCAGTGCCCTTTTAACCTGTTAGCACCAAAATGAAAAATGTAAGTTCATGAATAAATTTTAGTTGAAATAACACCTAAAAGTAGCTATAGAGAGGGACTGTAAGGTACAGCGCTGAGGTGATAGAAGGGAATATTATGCCCCAGGAAGGGCTATGTCCATATCTGAATTAGAGGGCACAAATGCAACAACAGAGCTGGTTGTAGCAGATGTAGCTCAGTTAGCTTACCACAGACAATTCTGAGTAGATAATATTTTGCTTAGGCTGGGCCTCTTTCAGTCTTCCTCAGCATCACCCCTGAAGCTCTACACTGCATGATTATGCACCCATTAACGTATTTCAGTCGTAGAGATAGCATAGGGTTTATTCATGTTTGTGTATGTGTTTGTTGATTTATTTTCATTGTATTTTACAGTTATAAGGATTCCTAGCAATCACTGAGGAAAGAGAGAGAAAGGTATTTCCCCAAGGTTATAAAACAAGTTGAGAAACAGCCAAGCTTGGAAGACAGATTAACAGGATTCATATCTACTAGTACTTTCCTGTGTACTTCCTATTAAATCAGAAACCAATTTCATGGTGAGTGTGGTTATGAATTAAAGAAGACAATGGGCAGATGCTTATGCATTAGGGAACTGTAGATGAGGATTAGCCTTCATCTGCATCACCTTTTTTTATTATTTCCTTTTTCTTTTAATTTTTTTATTTTTATAGATTGAGGATGTCTATGTGCAGTTTTGTTACATGAATATATGACAAAATGGTGAAATCTGGGGCTTTTGGTGTAAGCATCACCTGAGTAGTGAACATTGTGCCATTGTATTAACTCTGAAGTTTTTTTTAGGACTAAGACTTTTATAATGTTGGTTGAGAATCAATTCAGGTAAAAGTGATCACAGCTGTTGTTTTAGTGTGGTAGGACAATATTTATTAAATATAAAAATAACTCTCTTTATTGATATTGGTATATTACTTTTAAAATAGAATTTTACAAAAATCAATGCTGATGGAATATTCTCTGAATTGAGGAACCAACTGGGGAACAAATATATTGAGACTGTTTTATAAATTTGGGATTATATTTTTCTTTATTTTCTACTTTGGTTGGCCTTGATTTACATTGATACGTGGCTGTTTCTTTTCTTAGTGGCACATTAATTTTTCCTTTTTCAAAGGTCATACAAGCTAATAGACAACAAGAGGTCAAAGGTATTCATTGCCAACTTCTAGTACAGGCAGCAGATTTCCAATAGCAAAGAGTACCTACTTTGAATTACTTGGGAGGGGGTATCTGTAAATATTTCAGCTTTGGAAAGGGTATCATTCATGAACTGGTTATGTGAACTTACCGAAGTCCAATTATAGCCTATGGCAAATGGGTATTTACATGTAACAACGTATCTACCTCCCTTTATGATTTTTTGGATAGCCCATGCTTGGTTTCTGCCCAAAACACATTACATGAGTTGTTTTTGTTTTGTTTTGTTTTGTTTTTTAATCAACACTAGCAACTGGTTTCCCTTCACTTTTTTAAAATCAATTTAATTCAGTATTGCAAAGGTGGAGGTTAGTGCCTACATGTGTTTCAGGCTTCCTGCAACCACTAGACTAATCTAAGCATAATGACCCAGACTAGAAAGTTGAATAAGAGAGAGGGAACTGGCACATTCTGGAAGTTAGCAGGGCCAGAAGTTGTATTCAAGGTCATTCAAGTGAGAATAAAAGGCAGGCTGAAGAGATACAAAGTCAGTGAGAAGAAGCAGCAGGGATATGTGATCAAACAAGAAGACTTGTGGGAACTCAGGCAGAGGATGGAATTAAAACTCATGTGACACATTAAGGTTAGCCTTGGCTATGAAAAGTAATGTTCATATGTCTTTAGCCAAAGGGGAGGAAAAGCATGATATGATGGTGTGTGTGTGTGTGTGTGTGTGTGTGTGTGTGTGTGTGTGTGTGTGATCTATCATGACTTGCAATTTAGGTATTATTTGCTCCACGACATTCAGCTGGACAGGGCATGTGGGCTGAATGCCTGACCTAGGACCCATAAGGATGCATTCTTTCACAATGGATGTTGAATGTGAAATTTCTGTTTTATCTTTCTGAAGTTCAGTAAGCTATAATGGAGATTGAATTAATTAGGTAGTAGCAACTGTCATAGACCATGGCTCAAACACACAGTAGACTTTTTTGTTTGTTTTTTCTCTTTCTTATAACCCACTGTGTTGTTTCTAATAATCGGACACCTCTCTTCCGTACAGTACTCAAGAAATCTATTTCTCATGTAACCCAGTATCCCAAGATCCCCGTATCCCTTGGCTCTGCTATATTCTAAGACCCTGTAATCATCTGCAACTACCAAGTGGAAAGCAGGAAAATGCATGAAGGAGGTTATCCTACTTCAGAAAAGCTTTTGCCTAAAAATAGCTCACATTATTATTATTATTATTATTATTATTATTATTATTATTTTGCTCACATTCTATTGACAATAACATCACATTATTACATCCAGAGGTAAAGCGGTTAGGGAAGTATAATTGACTGAACCATTGTTTCTCAGGGATAGTTCTATACTTTTGAACGCTGAATAATAGCTATCAAAATATAGCAGGTTCTAATGACTGAATCCTGTAAATTTTACCTTCTGAGGAAAAGAGTCTTTGTAGATTTTATTAAATGAAGGATCTTGTCATGGAGAGATTACCCTGGATTGTTCAAGTAGGCCTTAAAGAAAGAGGTGGAGACAAAATAGACAAATGAGATTACATAAAACTAAAAAGCTTCTGTACAGCCAAGGAAAGGGTGAATCAACAGGGTGAAAAGACAGCCTACAGAATGGAAGAAATATAAAAGACCGCCGACAGAAGGGAAGAAATATTTACAAATCATGCATCTGATAAGGGGAAAGATCCAAAATATATGAGGAACAAAAACAACTCAACAGTAAGAAAACGAATAACTCAATTACACAGTGGACTATTATTCAGCCATTAAAAAAGCATGAAGTCCTGTCATTTGCAGCAACAAGAATGGAACTAGAGGCCATTACATTAAGTGAAACAAGTCAATCAAGGACTTACAAATATTGTATGTTCTCACACATATATGGGAGCTAAAAAAGTGGATCTCATGGAGGTAGAGAGTAGATTGGTGATTAACCAAAGGCTAAGAAGGGGAGCATGGAGAGGGAATGAAGGGAGAAACAAAGAATATAAATGCATTTTATCACCACTAAACTGTTGTATTCGTCTGTTCTCACACTGCTAGTAAAGACATACCTGAGACAGAGTAATTTATGAAGAAAATAGGTTTAATTGACTCACAATTCCACATGGCTAGGGAGGCCTCACAATTACGGTGGAAAACAAATGAAGAGCAAAGTCACGTCTCACTTGTTGGCAGGCAGAGAGAGTGTGTGCAGGGAAACTCCTCTTTATAAACCCATCAGATCTCATGAGACTTACTACCACAAGAACAGCATGGGAAAGACCCACGACATGATTCAATTGCCTCCCATTTGGTCCCTCCCATGACACATTAGAATTATGGGAGCTACAATTCAAGGTGAGATTTGGGTGGGGACACAGCCAAACCATATCAACTGTACTCTTTAAAATGGTAAAGCTGGTAAATTATATGTGTATATTTTAACTCAATAAAAAATTAAATTTAATAAAATAAAAAAGGTTAAAGGATCAGAATATGCATATCTCAAAAGAAGATATACAAATGGCCAATAGATACATGAAAAATGCTTAAAATCATGAATCACCAGAGAAACAAAATAAAACCACTAGGAGATATCACCTCACACCTGTTAGAATGGCTATTGTCAAAAGGACAAAAGATAACACGTTTCCACAATGAGGAGAAAAGTGAACCCTGTACACTGCTCTCTGTATGAGGTACATGTAATCTTCTCTGGGGAACTGGTTAGCTATGCATGAGTCAATGGTTTTCAGGAATGCCCCCACCTTTTTGTATTTCAGACTCCATGGGTCAAGGGTTAATGTCCTCCTACTGCAACATAAAGTATTTTTCATCTGATCACACTGTGGGCATTGGCTGAAAAATGAATCTGCTATCCATGAGGGACCAAGACATTGAAAAGGCTGTATTTGGTGTGCTCTCTACCCTCTTGCTGTAAGCAAGCACTCTACCACTTGAGCCTGATGTGCATGCTGTCTGTTCTCAGTGACCTCAAATCATGTAGTGGTCTCTTCCTTGAGAGGTACCTAACTGTGTTTTCACCTTGGCCACTTTCATGCTATAGTCTATCCTGTTGCATAACTTGACCAACTGGTGAAACACCAGAAGATGGAAGAAGCAAGGAATACATTCTCCCTTAGAGCCTCCAGAGAGAGCATGACGCTGACAGCATCTTGGTTTTGTTTCAGTGGAACTGATTTCTGACTTCTGGCCTTCAGAAATGTGAGAAAATAAATTTGTCTTGTTTTAAGCCATCAATTATGTGGCAATTTGTTATGGCAGCCCCAGGAACTAATGCATACATACTCTATTCAAGAAGATAACATATTTGGTTGGACAGCTGGTTATTTAGGCTACAAAGCTATTAATCACTACCTCATAGGATTATTGCAGGCTTAAATGGAATAATTCATGTAAAGAAAATAGGACAATTAGAATTCAAATTGCAGGTAATTGGTTAAATATAAATAAAGTTTGTAAGTAATTTAAATATGAGAATGGCTCATAATACACTTGTGCTCTGATATTATTTTTGGATATAAAAGGAAAGGGTGGCATTACCATACCCTGTGACTGGCCAAATACCCATGAGAGCCTGTAGCATATGTGCATGCCATCAGCAATGAGTGGCAAGGAGAGTGGGTGGTGAAGGCTTTGAAAATTGGAATGTGTGCAAGTTAATACATGTATTAGTCAATTCCTATGCTACTAATAAAGACATACCTAAGACTGGGTAATTTATAAAGAAAAAGAGGTTTAATGGATTCACAAATCCACATGGCTGGGGAGGCCTCACCATCATGGTACAACTTGAAGGAGGAGCAAAGGCAAGTCTTACATGGCAGCAGGCAAAAATAGTTTGTGCAGGGTTACTGCCCTTTAAGAAACCATCAGATCTCATGAGACTTATTCACTATCATGAGAAGAGCATGGGCAAAATCTGCCCCCATGGTTCAATTACCTCCCACTGGGTCCCTCCCATGACACGTGGCAATTATGGGAGCTACAATTCTAGATGAGATTTGGGTGGGGGCACAGCCAAACTGTATCAGTACAAATCAAATAAACCACTAATGAAAATGGTTAATAAGCTCTAAATTGTTACTTTTTTTCCTTCCAACTTCTTTTTTTATCTACCCTTTCTTCTTCTTTTTAACAAATATATTATTTGTGACTCTATGAAGACACAGGCAGCTTGGGAAGATGGGAGAAATGTATAGGCATTGCTACCAGGAAGAGTGAGAGGTTAAAATTTCTGTCAGTAACCTCTGTCACTTTGTGTAATTCTTAGAATAGCAAACTAGAGAATAAATTGAAAATGATATTCTCAAGCGAATATCTGTATTAAGGGTATGTTCCACTTATCTCTTATCTTTTCACACGTGGAAACTCAAGAGTTAGTTATATTTACTCAAGTCATTAAATCTATTATGCCATCAGAAATCCTCTCAGAATGCTTATCTAAATAACATATTTTAAAAATCTTCTCAATTTTCTCTTGCTCTAATAACAGATGTACATGGTCAGTACATATCTGATCATAGTTCTGGATAATAATAATATAATAGTATTGGAATCTGTAACATTTAGCAGGGGACTTCAGCTCTTTGTAGCATAATTCTTTTTGTATCTTCTTTCCTCTTTCATCCTCATTCTCAAAGTCTTAAATTCCATGTACATACATACAAATATCTACCTAATCTACCTAAACAAAAACACTAGTACAAAAAATATATGCTACATATGTCACTAAACTATGTTTAGGTGGAGAAAAAGGAAATGCAATAGTTGGCCCATTTCTAAGGTTGTAAAGCCCCCTACCTCACCCATCTTCAAGAACTGGAAATTTAAACTTTAAAGCAACAATAGTAATCATATTATACACAAACAATCCTAATGGTTAGTCAGTACTAAAATAAGTAGTTTAGCTGCATTGTCTCATTTTTTAAACTTTCTTAACATGTTGATGGGACAGCTATTAGTGCCATCATTTTTGACACAAGGAAACAAATTTTCAGAGTTTAAGTGATTTGTTCAGAATCAGATAGCTGGAAATGCAGAGTCAATGTTTTAATCACGAACTTCCTATCTCAGAGTCTATGTTTTCAACCATAGCGAGGATAGCAAAGCAAGAATGGACATTCTGGATAATCTATGAAAAACTCCATTTCTAATCAGTTGCAAAAAAAGACATATGGGGAGGACAGGTTACAGAACCCACCTAAAGCCATGAAAATTTTCAGAGAAAGGTTCCAAAACAGACTTTAACTTTTGAAAATCCTAGCTTTTTTTTCCCTCTAAAATTATATTAAAATTTTCATGTTAGGTTTTTAAATATGTCATCATATCTTTTTAAGCATGTCTATTGTGGACATTATGGCTCTGTCTTTATATTCTATTTTTTTCAGCTTAATTGAGATAAAAGTAACAAATAAAAAAACTTTGTATATTTAAGGTGTACAATTTGATGTTTTGATATCTCTCTATATATATGCATACAATGTGAATGATCACCACAATCAAGCTAATTAACATATTGATTACCTCATGTAGTTACCATTTTCTTTTGTGTGCATATGTGTGTGTCTATTTGAACACTTAAGATTTATGATCTGATATGGTTTTGCTGTGTTCCCACACAAATCTCTACTTGGTTTTGCTGTGTTCCCACCCAAATCTCAACTTGAATTGTACCTCCCATAATCTCCACATGTTGTGAGTTCTCACAAGATCTGATGGTTTTATAAGGGGCTTTTCCCCCTTTTTCTTGCCACTTCTTGCCTGCCACCATGTAAGACATGCATCTACCCCTTCTTCACCTTCCTCCATAATTGTGAGGCCTTCCCAACCGTGTGTAACTGTAAGTCCACTAAACCTCTTTTTATTTATAAATTACCCAGTCTTGGGTATTTCCTCATAGCAGTATGAAAACAAACTAATACAGTAAATTGGTACTGGTAGAGTGGGGTACTGCTCTAAGGATACCCAAAAATGTGGAAGCAACTTTGGAACTAGGTAACAGGCAGAGGTGGAACAGTTTGGAGGGCTAGAATAAGACAGGAAAATGTGAGAAAGTTTGGAGCTTCCTAGAGACTAAGAGGGCTCAGAAGACAGGAAGATGTGGGAGTTTGGAACTTCCTAGAGACTTGTTGATTGGCACTGACCAAAATGCTAACAACATGAGCAATAAATCCAGGCTGAGGTAGTCTCAGATGGAGATGACAACCTGTTGTGAATTAGAGCAAAGGTGATTCTTGTTATGCTTTAGCAAAGAGACTGGTGGCATTTTGCCCCTGCCCTAGAGATCTGTGAAACTTTGAACTTGAGAGAGATGATTTAGGGTATCTGCTGGAAGAAATTTCTAAGCAGCAAAACATTTGCAAGGAAGCAGATAATAAAAGTTTGAAAAATTTGCAGCCTGACAATGCAATAGAAAAAGAAAAACCCATTTTCAGGGGAGAAATTAAAGCCTGCTGCAGAAATCTGCATAAGTAATGAGGAACTGAATGTTAATCTCCAAGACAATGGAGAAAATGTCTCCAGGGCATGTCAAATACCTTTATGGCAGCCCCTCCTAGCACAGGCCCAGAGGCCTAGGAGGAAGAAATGGTTTCCTGGGCCAGGCCCAGGCCCCCGCTGTTCTATGTAACCTCAGGACATGGTGCCCTGCACCCCAGCTGCTTCAGCTCCAGCCAAAGCTAAAATAAGCAAATGTACAGCTCAGACCATTGCTTCAGAGGGTGCAAGCCCCAAATCTTGGTAGCTTACATATGTTTTTGAGCCTGTAGGTACAGAGAAGTCAAGAATTAAGGTTTGGAAAACTTTGCTTAGATTTCAGAGTATGTATGAAAATGCCTGGATGTCCAGGCAGAAGCTTGCTGCAGGGGCAGGGCCCTCATGGAGAACCTCTGCTAGAACAGTGTGGAAAGGAAATGTGGGGTTGAAGCCCCCACATATAGTCCCCACTGGGGCATTGCCTAGTGGAGCTGTGAAAAGAGGGCCACCATCCTCCAGGCCCCCAAATGGTAGACCCACTGACAGCTTGTACAATGTGCCTGGAAAAGCTGCAGACACTCAACACCAGCCCATGAAAGCAGCCAGTAGGGGGGTTGTACCCTGCAAAGCCATGAGGTTGTATCCTTGGCAGAGCTGACCAAGGCCATGGGAGCCCACCTCTTGCATCAATGTGACCTTGGTATGAGACATGGAGTCAAAGGAGATGATTTTGGAACTTTAAGGTTTAATGACGGCCTTATTGGATTTTGGACTTGCATGGGGCCTGTAGCCCCTCTGTTTTGGCCAATTTCTCCCATTTGGAATGGGTATATTTACCCGATGTCTGTATCCCCATTGTATCTAGGAAGTAACTAAATTGCTTTTGATTTTACAAGCTCATAGGCCTTGTTTCAGATTAGACTTTGCACTTGGACTTTTGGGTTAATGCTGGAATGAGTTAACACTTTGGGGGATTTCTGGGAAGGTATGATTGTGTTTTGAAATATGAGGATATGAGATTTTGGAGGGCCAGGGATGGAATAATGTGGTTTGGCTGTGTCTCCACACAAATTTTATCTTGAATTGTAGTTCCCATAATTCCCATCTGTTGTGGGAGGGACCCAGTGGAAGGTAATTAAATCATGGGGACAGTTACCACCCATGCTACTTTTCTCATGATGGTGATTGAGTTCTCGTGAGACCTGACAGTTTTATAAGGGGCTTTTGCCCCTTTTTTGGGGGCACTTTTTCCTGCCATCATTTGAAGGACATCTTTGCTTCCCCTTCGGCCATGATTGTAAGTTTCCTGAGTCCTCCCTAGCCATGTGGAACTGTGAGTTAATTAAACTTTTCCCTTTATAAATTACCCAGTCTCCAGCAGTCCTTTAAAGCAGTGTGAGAATGGACTAATACACCATCTTAGTGAATTGCAAGTATAAAATACCGTATTATTAACTATAGTTGTCATTCTCTACATTAAATCAGCAGAACTTATTTATCCTGCATAAATGAAACTTTGTACCATTTGGGCAACATCTGATATCTCACTCCCCACATCTGCTGGCAGCCACCATTGTATTCTCTGCTTCCATGAGTTTCACTATTTTAGGTCATCTAGTATTTGTCTTTCTGTGCGTAGCTCATTTCACTTAGCATAGTGTCTTCCAGGTTCATCCGTGTTGTCATAAATGTCAGGAATTTAATTTCAGTTCCAACATAACACATGGCTTAAAAAGCAAAGAGGAGCTCAAATTTACTCATTTACACCTAGGTAAAATTTATCCAATAAGAAATATGAATTGCATTGCTGTTGACATATGTTCTTTGTTCCAAAAATGCACTGTTATGCAAAAAATTTAAAAAGTAAAAATTGATCTTTACCGAATCTTGAGAAGCCCACTACTAGGATGTCCTGAAAGCCTAAAGCATTGTATATTCATTTGGCTGCAAATTGACTGCATTGTCATATTTGTTAAGCCCTGGTCTTAAGGCATTTTTTCCCAGGCAATCAAACAGGAGTTCTGCAGTTCATAGCTCTTAATTTTATTTTTCTCAAGAAATCTCACAAAAAAAGAGAGACCACAAAGGTTAACTTGGCAGAACCATCAGCAGCAGTTATGTAAATCTACTCTTAATGTCCTCCCCAAAATAGTCCTTTCTTCTATTATGATTCATTCATTCATAGATAGCAATCATCTAATCAGATTCTAATATGGAAGATTCAATAACTATTCTTCAAAACTTTCTTAGTGCATTAAGGAGACACACTGGGACTAAAATCCAGGCTTCACTGCTTCCTACTAGCATAATCTTACACAAATTACTTAACCTTTTTGATCCTCAGTTACCTTATTTGATGTTTGGTAATGAAATTGTCACTAAGTGGACTCTTATTAAATGACAAGTATTATTGTAATCCTTATTGGAATTTCCTCTGATAGAAGACTCTGGTAAAGTTACATAACTTGCCTTTGCTTTAGTTTCCTTATTTGTTAAAATTAGAGAATTTGGGGCAATATTAAGTGAGTTAATATAGGTGAATGATATCTAGCTCCTAGTGAATATTTAATGAGTTATTATAATACATAATTATAAAAATACACAAAGTTCATATGTATGTAAATATCATTAATGCTTTAAAGTAAGGGACACTTCATATAGGATTAGTTAAGACAAACTTATTCAAGAAATTCAAATAAAATTATCTAGAAATTTAAAAGGAGATGAGCTTTTGTTCAATGCATTAAGATTATATGGTACTAGAAAGGCCTGCTTGAGTGTAGATGTGAACCATTACACAACATGAAGGAGTTAGTAGCCACAATTCAAAAGCAATTGGTTGGGGGAGGTTATGCAATTTATAGTCATTTTTTATATATTTTTTCATCTTGGGGGTTAGTAGGAGACAATTTTTCATGGAGTTCAAGTCAGCTGTCAACTCTGAAGTATGATTTTTTTCATTTAAGTTTTGAATTATTGATGGGCAAAAAATTTCTTTAACTTTTTTAGCTTGAAAAGGGACTCTTTATCATTCTCTCATAATTCAAACAAAGTTGTGTTGGATGTTTAAGTGTGTGTACGTATGTGTGCTTACATGGTGGTTATACACATGTTTTTGCTGGTAAACTTTTTGAAAATTTTCACAAAAGCAAACATAAAACTTTTATGTTTGGGCTGGGTGTGGTGGCTCATGCCTGTAATCCCAGCACTTTGAGAGGCTGAGGCAGGTGGATCATTTGAGGCCAGGAGTTCAAGACCAGCCTGGCCAACATGGCAAAACCCCATCTCTACTAAAAATACAAACATTAACAGAGTATGGTGATGCACCCCTGTAATCACAGCTACTCAAAAAGCTGAGGCATGAGAATCGCTTGAACTCAGGAGGCAGAGGTTGCAGTGAGCTGAGATCATGCCACTGTACTCCAGCCTAATGACTCAGTGAGACTCTGTCTCAAAAACAAACAAGCAAATATTGTTTGTATCATTGTTTATAAATAAGTTAATATTGTTGCAGTTGTGTATATAGATATGTTTATATTTTTCCTTGAAATGTTTATGTGCTTTTTTCCAAGAGCTTCAAGTTAATTTTAATATATTTATTATATATTTCTACCTATACCTTGCACAAGTAAAAAAGTTAATACATACTTGCTGAATACCAAGTAATGAATGCATCTGGACACATGTTGCTTAAGATACTGAGAAAAAGAGATCAAATAATTTAGCAAGAAATATTTTCAAATCAAACCTCTACTAGGTGCCTAGCACTTAGTAGATGCTATAGTAAGTAGAGGAGATGGATACATATGTTTGAGTCCTAACACTTTTTCTGGGTTGGCAGGGAGGCAGTTGGGTTGAGTTTTCATGATTTGCAGGATAAACTTGAGGCAGAAGTGTTGACTCAGTGGAAGTTTTGCAAAAATACTGTAAACATTACAGAGAATGAAGAAAAAGAATGTCTAAGAATGACCAAAAAAAAAAAAAACCCAAATATAAAATAATGCATATGTGACACCATTTAGAAAACATGAGTTACAAGGCAAGCTCAATAACTAACAATATCTGTAACCTTGTACAAGCTGTTTTACCCTAGTTAAGATGTCAGTGTCTTTATCTCTAAAACTAGGGGTTTAACTATAACATTTACCTCAACCATGACTTTTCCTGCCTTCTCCAACCCCAAGCAGTGTAAACTGAAATAGTTTAATACAAAAATTATTTGTTGATTTGGTAGTCTACTACTACTTTCCCAAAATTTTATGCTTAAAAACTATCAATTTATTCTCTTTCATAATTCTGTGGAATGACTGGGCTCAGCTGAGCAGTTTTTCTACTCCATGAAACATTGGCTGGTGCTGCAGTCATCTAGAAGCTTAACTGCATTGGAACTCCAAGATGATTTATTCTCATGGCTGGTGATCGATGCTGGCTCTTAGCTAGGAGCTCAACTGGGGCTGTTAACCAGAGCAGTTATATACAGCCTATTCTTATGGTTTGACTTCTCAAATATAAGTGTTCCAACAGGGAATAAATGACTGCTCTCATTCCTTTTAAAGTGTAGGCTTGGAACTGGCACTGTGTCACTTCTATCAGAGTGTATTACTTGAGCAGTTAGCCACAGGATGAACCAGATTCAACAAGATGAGGAATAAACATTTCAACTTTAGGGAGAAATGCAAAGAAGCTGTGGACATCTTTTAGATACCTAGATTTTGCTCTGTGGCCATACATTACTTATATTTCTTTCACATGTAAAATATACTCCCTCTTCTCGCAGACCTCCAAAAATCTCATTTTCTTATCTGATGTGACTTCAAGAGCAGGATCTCATCATTTAAATGAGGTTTAATTACAGATAAGATGTCTTGGATGTGATATCTTTCAATATGAAAGCCTAATGAAATAAAGTGACTAAGTTGACCCCTACATACTCAACATATAATAGAGAGACAGGAAGAGGAGAACCACAATTCACATTCCCATCCCCTGCTCTGCTAGTAAATGTTTATCAAAGATTCTCCAGTGACAGGAGAAGTATCAATATTTAACATTTGCTGATTTCAACAGTGTGAATAACATAGTCAATTTCAATCTATCAATGTGTTATCAACTAGCTTGCAAAATTCCTTAACATTTAACAAATGGCCCTTGCACACCACTGTGTTCCATCCAAGAAGGGGAGTTGGGAAATAGGAACCATATCAATGATCCACAGCATTGTGAAATCAAGTTGGGTACATATTGGCAATAATTTATTAGAGACATGTACCTCGGGGGTGATTTTTGATGCTTCTTGTCTCTACTTTTTAGGTTCTTGGCTCTTCTCTCCATGCCATCCTTCCTTTTCCACAAGAAATGCCCCAAGTTTGCATTTAATTAGCATGTGCAACTTCTTCCTGTCCACAGGAAGTTGGAGGCCCCAAAATCTCTTTGTATTATAAATTACCTCTGTTGCTTTAATTCAAAGTCCATAAAATCCCTTAAACATTGTGTGGGTTTCTTGTGTATCAATTTATAATTCACTTCATAAGTCACAGTCTACATTACTCTATTAACCAAAATAATGGACCCACAAATCATTCTGAGACTGGTCCTTTTTTACCTTGCTTAGCCTGGGAGTCAGAGTAATATGGAATAACAGCCTTAAGATCCTAGAGACAGTCTAGGATAAATGGCCTTCAGAGGATTAGAAGCCTTATTGCCCAGCTGAAAAGCATTGCCTTAAGTCTAAGATCCTAATAAGGAGTCTAACAGATGCACCCTTGAAACTTGACCTTAGATTGCATTTTTCTGGCAGTGCCCTGGATGTAATTATTGTCTCAAGAGTCTTTTTCCGGGAGTGTCTAGTGAAGAAAATTCTTTAAAAAACAAAACAAAACAGAAAGTCTTATTTGAAAACCTAAAAATCCCTTCTCTAATTCATATCTCTTTCTTCTGTCTCTCTCTATCTTGATATTACATTATATGCAGCTAAAATAAATGAGGACCTTTGACATTTTGCCTATAAATATTCTCAGCTGAATTCACAAGTTCATTAGGCATTTTTCTACTTTCTATGTTACCTTAGGTGACAGTGTTGACAAACTTTTGACACTATATGAAACAAGTACTGTTATTTTCAGCTTCAAATAAAAAGTTTTTTCCTGTCCTTCCCACCTTTTTTGTGGTTTCCTTAATGTGCAACCACATTCTGCCTACCTCTTAGCTCCAAAGCCAGTGCCAAGTATTTACACTTTTGCTAAAACAATGTTACACTTCCAGGCAGTAATTTCTGTTTTGTTTATCTGTTGCTGAATAAGTAATCATCCAAAACTTGTCTTAAGACAAGAACCATTTTATTATTTTTAAAACAATTATTTTGTTGTCTGGGCTCTGCTGAGTGGTTTTCTGCTCCATAAAATGTTGACTGGGATGAAAGTCATCATCCCAGTCAACAGGAGCTTGACTAACTAGAAGGTCAAAGATGGTTCTCTCACATGACTAGCAGTTGATACTGGCAGTTGGCTAGGAGCCAAGATTGTCTGCTGGGACTACACATGGACAATTTCTGTGTCTTGGGCTTCCACACCATAGCAGTTGGGTTCCAAGAAATAGCATCGTAGGAAAAAAAAAGTTCTAAGAGGGAAAAAGCAAACATTTTCTGCATTGTTAAAGGGTATGCCTGGAACTGGTGTAATATCACTTCTTCCTCCTATTAGGGGCAAGTAATCACAGGACCAGGGTAGATACAATGGGAGGGTGAATGAACATCAATTCTAAATGAGAATATAACAAAGAATTGCTGACCCTCTTTAAACCATGAGACTTTATCCTGTTTCATGAGATACAAATATTTCAGGTAACCAAAAAGAATAACAATAACTTTGTTTTCACCGTTTTTGATGAGTTTGTTTTTGTTTAGGTTATACATGTCTAACTATCATGTTTTTCCTCACTTTCTGAACTTGTGTAACCATCAAAATGGAAAAATATTTTATTCTGGAGAGAGATTACATCTAAAATAATTCCAACTCTAAATGATCATGGACTATTATATTGGTGTCGTCTCTGATTACTCTCCCTATATGGTTTCAGTGTCATATATTGAAAATTTCCTTCCTTATTTGTTCACGATGGTCACTCCTATAGCTAGCCTCCTTCATCTCTGCACAGAAAATAGTGTCCCAGACTTAGGATATCTAGATGTTTGGCCTGGCTCTGCTATTTTCTAAGTGACCTTGGGGAAATCAGTAAGCTTTCAACAATTTTCTCACTTATTATATGTTGATAAAAATAAAACAAAATAATGCTTCACTATACTGAGACAGTTTATGTGAAAGTGCTTTCCACAGTGTGTTATATTCATGTGAAGGATAACTGCACACTCACTATGAACCCTCTTGGGGGACAGCTTGTGCTTACATGGAATGTTGCTTTGCTGGTTAAAGCCAGCCAGCTAACACTGACTGTATCTTTGAAAAAGAGGCCTCTGTCCACAGCCACTGCATGCACTATTGCCTTTGAGAAGAAGGCCATACACTAGTGAGGCCCCCATATGTTTCAGGCAGCCAGCCAGCCAGCTACAACCTGTCAACCAACCATTCCTAGCCCAGTTGGTCTTTTCACATTACATCCTAAACCCCAGTAATTTCAATCTGTTTTGTTGATTGTTTAGATACTTGGTCTATAGGATGCCAAATCATCAGTTTGACTAATTTGGGTACTGGATTCACCAGATGTTTTGGAACTACATATGCATGTATTTCATATAGAGAACCTTGTGTGTGCTCTTGTGTGTGCCTGACAGCTCTTTGGGAAGATGGAAAAAACTTTCTGTAACACATGCTATTACTTCAAACTTTTAAAGCCACCACCACAATTGTTGGAATCTGGGAAATAGAGTTAACTTTATGCATAGAAAGAATGTGTTATTTTATTTCCAAGATAAACAAACCACCCCTTTTCCCCACATTTTTCTTTCTCTGGCCCACCCACTCACTTTGCCTGAAATTTTACCATTTTGCCCATTTTGAGAATTGAAGATGAAAACAAAATTGCCAATTTGTTCTGAGATATAAAATCATCATTAGTTAGTAATATAATTGAATGAATTGATTATTAGCTAAGCAGTGCCTTTCTAATTGAGTCCTGAAGGAATAGAACAGATGACAGATGATATTATGTGAGATAAGAGAACATGAAAGGTTTAATATCTCTGATATGGATGATGAGGACATGAGCCACTGGCTAAAAGAGTGTAGAACATAAGCCAGTGAAGCAAAAAGCAGATGAGAGTAGGCATTTACTCCAACGTTGTATGAAAGGACTTCTACAAAGGAGATGGGGTGGATTGGCTGTGAACTGTTTGATCTGACATTGCTAGAGGAATGGTAGGAGCTAATGCCTCCAGATATTACTATGTTACTAACATCTCTCATACTATACTCAGGCGATTTGATTGTGATAGATTGCAAAAGTAGCCACAATACTTTGGATCAACTTTAATTAATAAGTAGTTGATTTCTCCACCTTTTGAATCTGGGATGCTCTTGTGACTGACTTTGGCCAATAGAATGTGGAGGAAGAGAGAGTGTACCAATTAGAAGCCTAGGCTTTAAGAAGTCTTAAAACTTCCAATCTTTTTGCTCTTGTAACCTGCTATCAACATATAAATAAACCCAGGTCAACCTGCCAGAGAATTAAAGGCATGGAGACCAGGTGCCACTGTCAACCCAACTAACAACCAGTCAAATGTTGGAGTCAGAGCTGCCTATCTGACTAGCACTGACCTCAGATACATGAGTAAACCCAGTCAAAGACAGCAGAACCACTGAGTCCAGCCCAAATTACTAGGCCATAGAACCCTGAGCTAACAGAATGATTTCTGTTTTAAGGAACTAAGCTTTACAGTGGTTTATCATGCCTCAACAGCTAACTGTCTAAGTGATATAATGGAAATCACTCTAATTTTAGAGTTATTTGTTGTGTATGGGGGTCATTTGATCTTTCCTCCAGGATCTACAGGAGCTTGTTGAGAACAAAATGGAATACAGAGAAAGAGCTGGTTATAGTCCTCTCAAATCTTGATTTGCCTGGGTTAAATGTTTTGATTACTCAGAGCTTACTTTTCTTTTTATTTATTTTATTATTTTCTTTTTTTTTTTTTTTTTTTTGAGATAGAGTTTCGGTCTTGTTGACCAGGCTGGAGTGCAATGGCGAGATCTCGGCTCACTGCAACCTCTGCCTCCTGGGTTCAAGCAATTCTCCTGCCTCAGCCTCCCGGGTAGCTGGGCTTAAAGGCACCTGTCACCACACCTGGCTAATTTTTTGTAGTTTTAGTAGAGAGCGGGTTTCACCATGTTGGCCAGACTGATCTCCAACTCCTGATGTCAGGTGATCCACCTGCCTCGGCCTCCCAAAGTGCTGGGATTACAGGAATGAGCCACCATGCCCAGCCCAGAGTTTAGTTTTCTTCCACTCAGAAACAAGAAATTTTGAAGAGAAGATTATAGTAAGGTAAGATTATAGTAAGGTAATAGTTGACAATGGTTTTATTCCCTTGTGAAAGTGACATTCATACCCTAAAGCACATGATCCATAATCCAAAATAGTGAAAACAGTGATGAGGTAATAATGATTAGCAGTGAAAATAATGACGAGGTAAATATCGTAGGTGCTTAGGTAACAATGATAATATAATAATGGTACTAATAATCATACTTAAGAAGAACATGAATCATCATTATTATGTACTCTCTAAGTTTGGGGTACCATATTAAGGATTTCAGCAGCACACTCTCATTTAAGCTTCACTATAACAAAACAAAAATATCACTGCCCTCATTTTATAGATGTGGAAATCAAGTCTCAAAAAGTCAAATTGGGTTTTCCAGGGTCACAAGAGTAGAAAAACTATCAGCTAAGACTTAAATCTATCTTTCTATGGCTCTCAAAATCATGTTTATAATTATTTAGTTAATAAATAACAAACTAATACCTACAATAAGAAAGGCACTCTTCTAAGTGGCAGAAACGGTAAGAATCATGGGGCTCAGATTTTATAAGGTTTATATTCTAATCAGGAGATACTGGAAATAATGAAATAAACATTTAAGATAGTAATAAGTGCTGTGAAAAAAGATAAATATGATACTGTGGTAGTAAGCAATCGATTCTTTACATTGGGTGACTGTGAATGCCACCTAGCTATAAATGACAGGAAAGCACAGCCATGCAATATCTGGTGGGGAATGATTCTAGTAGGAGGGAAAAGTTAATACACAGGCCATAGGGCTACAATGACATTAGACTTTTGAGTGACAGAAGGCATTGCTGGAACATAAGGAAAGCTGAGTGTGAGTGATTCTGAGAAGATAATCAGGGTCTTGATTATTTAAAGGGTCTCATGATCTACTTGCAGATCATAATGAACAGTTTTGATTTAGTTTTGAATGCAATTGGAAACAGTTGGAAGATTTTAAGCAGGCAAATTACATAATCTAATGTATGTTTTAAAGAGATGACACAGACTTCTGTGTAGGATTACTTTAATACTCCGTTTTGGTCTTATGACTAAGAGTGTAAGTCATAAGATGAACAAGGAGTATTAAAGTGATCCTAAGAAATAATGATGGCTTGAACTAGGGCAATAGTAGTAACAATTATAAATAAACAAATTCGGAATACTGTTTTGGATGTTCAGTTGACAGAATTTAGTGATAGAATGATTTTTAATGATGGAATGGTTCTAAGGAGTGAAATTATTAAGAATAACTTCTAGATTTTAGGGTCTGAAGGCCACATATCAAAAGGACAATGACTAGGGTAGAAGCAGGTCATGAAGTGGAAAAAGGCTCAAAATCTCTACATTTGGTAATTCCAAGAATATATATTTAAAAAGATATTTTATACAGGAGTATGGTATTCAAGGAAACCTGTAACAAAGATAAAAACATGGTAGTTACCTGCAAACAGATGGTAATTGAAGCCATGGGGCCAAATGGCTGGACAAGCTAACATAGAGAAAGAGTTTAGATATGAGATCGGAGGTGGCCAGAAATAATTTTAGAGGCCAAACCAAAAATTAGCAGTCAGGCTGAAAAAGAGTGACAAAGATAACTGAGAAGGAAAAGCTAGTGCAGTAGGATTAACCCCAGAAGAATATGTTTTTCTAAATGAGAAAAAAAGTGTTTCTTTAAAAAAGAAAAAGTGACCAATTCTGTTGAGTGTTTCTGAAAGTTTGAATAAAAGGAGAAGAAATGACGATCGGACTTAACTTGGGATAGTTGATGATCATACCATTTCAGAAGGCTGGTGACAATAAAAGCCTAAATAGAAATGAGTTAGGCCGGGCACTGTGGCTCATGCATGTAATCCCAGCACTTTGGGAGGCCAAGACGGGAGGATAACCTGAGCTCAGGAGTTAGAGACCAGCCTGGGTAACATGGTGAAACCCCATCTCTACCAAAAAGACAAACAAACAATAGCCAGATGCAGTGGTGCACACCTGTCGTTTCAGCTACTTGGGAGGCTGAGGTAAGAGGATCGCTTGAGCCCAAGAGGTTGAGGTTACAGAGTCAAGATCACACCATTGCACTCCAGCCTGGGCAACAGGGTGAAATCCTATCTCAATAAATACACAAATAAATAGAAATGAGTTTATGAGAGAATGCAGAAGAGAAAGTACATTGATACTCTATTACTTGCCATATGTTTGTGGGGAAAGGATTTATTTTGAAGAAGTTGGCCTTTTAGTAGCCATCCAATTATAGTCGACTTGGTTAGAAATGTCATAGAGAAATGGGTAAAGGTATGAGTAGTGCCTCTGGCACGCCTGTAGTCCCAGCTACTCGGGAGGCTGAGGCAGGAGAATGAAGTGAATCCGGGAGGTAGAGCTTGCAGTGAGCCGAGATCGTGCCACTGCACTCCGGCCTGGGCGACAGAGGGAGACTCCGTCTCAAAAAAAAAAAAAAAAAAAAAGAGTAGTGCCTGTGAAATAAAAAAATTACATAAATCCTCAAACTTTATTAAATTATTTTTAAAATAATCTAATTGTAAGCTAAGTTCCACTCTAAACAATACACTAATTTTAGCAATGAATAAAACATTTATATTCCAAGGAGACCGACTGATGTGTCAAAACATAAAATAAAATAACTGGAGTACCAATCAACCTCTAGGATGGGATAAGTTGATTTTGACTAACAGCAACAGTTTTATGGGTAAAGTCAACATTTATAAGACTTGGAAAGAGGAGGAAAACTGATAATTGGATAAGTCAGAGGAAAAGAGGAGAGACAGTGGCATCCAATGTAGCTGGGGCATAAGTTGGGAAGGGGTAAAGAGGTAGACTGAGGCCAATATTTAGAATATCTAGGTTCTATGCAATTTATGGTGATATAAACAAGGAGCCAGTAAATAGTATTAAGGAGAGGAGTAACATGATCCGGGCTGCTTTGTTAACGCCAGCATTTCATTACTGGTATGTGCAAGATGATTTGGAAGATAAAGAGACTTACTCAAAGGCTACTGAAATAGACCAGATGAGAGGTAATGAGGTATGAACTCAGGCACTACAAATAAAAGTGAAGAATGGGGAGAACTTTCGAAGATGTTGCTGAAAAAAAAAGAGAAATAATGGTTTGTTGGTTTGCAAATTGTTCCAACTATTTGCTATTGCTGTGGGCTCATAGCAATCCATTCCTATGGTCTACTCCATGGTGAGTCAGACAGTTATCATTTACAGTGCATGAATTAGTGGTCTGGGGATTACTACTGGTTGAAATGTGTGAATGGTGCAAAAAGGTGGGGTTGGGAACTATAATGAGAGACAGATGTAGAGAGAGAGAGCATTGAGAGTCCTGTGCACATGGCAAATTGTGGCATGTGGTTAGTTTACTGATAAGGAGGCTCTTGGAGCTTGCTGCGGCCACCACAGAGGATTTTGCTTACCTCTGGCCATCTGCTCCAGCTCTGGTTATCTTTTCTTCTTCTATCCAGAGTCCCAGAATGACTTCCTAAAACAAAACAAAACAAAACAAAACAAAACAAAAAAACAATGGAAGGAGAGGAAAGAAGGAGAAAAGGAAAGAGCTATCACCTCCTCAAATTGTTCTCAGATTTGGGTCTGTATTGGGGGAAAGGTGATGCATGCGTGCACTCACACTCAGAAATCCTTGGTTCCAGCATGTGAAGTGGAAACAGGTATTGGTGCTTTGATTGAAGCTGGGGTAAAAGCCTAAAAGCCCAGTCTTCTTGGCTGGCCCCACTGGGCCCTCCTAAGGTCTCTATTGAGATTGTGGCAAGTGCAGTCAGTGAACCACTGATCCAGTGCTCTCATTTTTCATGCTGGGAAACTGAAACTTTGAGAAATGAGGTGACTTGCGTAACCATCACATACCTGTTCAGTGGCAGAATGATGCCTGAAATCAAGTTTTAATCCTGGGCTGTTCTCATAACATATTAATTTCATTCAGAATTACAGGCTACCTCTCTGATTTCTTATAGTTTCTTGCTTAATGGGTTAAGCATGTCTTTTTCGTCCGATCTTTCAAATCTGGAGCCTTACTGACCATGGAAGAAATCCCACTTTGAGAACTGGAAAATTCCTAAAGAGAGTAAACAATCTACCAGTGAGCATACTTTTCATATGCAAATTAGCCAAGAGCCCATCATGTCCCTTGCCCCTCCACATACCTCCTCTATCTGGCTCTTCACACTCCAGGTCAATATTCCTCTAACCTAATCACCCCAGGTCCAGGTACCAGGCAACTCAGGACAGCTCCTACACCCCAGAGCTCACTGAAATTATTCAAACTAAACAATCATAAGCCTAGTCCTCACCTGGTCCTTCCTATGAAAATCACAATAAAAGCTCTTACTCACATTCTTTTCATATTCCTCCTGCTTCCTTCCCCAACTCTGATACTTCTCCATGTGACCTTTTTGCATGGTGTGGCATGCTCCTACCTCTTGGGAACTGTAAGTAACAAATTGTCTTTTCAATGCTAGGCTTCTTCTGATCTCCAACAGATCAGGAGAAGCCTGAATACCTGAATAACAATAAGACCTATGTTTTAAAACACCCATGTCTCTTCCCTGTTCTTATTTGTCTTGACTATCTCACCCACTGCAGTGTGAGCTCCTGAGACTAGGAGGAAGATTTTGCTCTACTTCGAAGTCTCCAAGTACCTGGCACAAATAGTAAACACCTAATACGTATGTTAAAATTATGAATGTGGATTTTTAAATAAAACTTGCAAATTTAATACATGAGAAAACCTCTAATAGGCATGATCACCATTCTCAATGAGCTGATAGTCAAGTCTTACCTAGGAAAAATAAAATATGCATCTAGGTAACTGAAATAAAAAGTTAGTATGTAATATGTCAAAATAGAGACTCAGATAAGATGTGTTCACATGCAACAGGAAATAAAATTATCACGGGTGTAATTTAAGAAGTAGAAGTGGGTATTGATAGGCAAAGCCAGGTATGAGGCATCTCAGTTTGTAGGTAGGACATATATAAAGTCACGAATGTAGAAAAACAACGAAACATTAATTACCATGTTTTAAACACGTCAACATCTCAACTTTTCCTTTACAAAAATGTCCAAACCGTTAGCATCATTTAAAAGATAAGTCTTCCTCTGTTTTCTTTATCTGACCCACTCTTCTGAACTCATTCTTTGAGAAACCTGTGATTCCCCAAGTCCAAACTTCTTCTCCCTCTTCAGTGCTCCGATAGCCCCCATCTCTCTCAACCATAAAATGTAGAGTATACTGTAATATTGTCCAAGTGTCTATATTTCTCATTAGACTTTAAACTCCAGGAAAGATCTCTCTCTCTCTGTCTCTCTCTTTCTCTGTGTGTGTGTGTGTGTGCGTGTGTATGTGTGTGTGTGTGTGTGTGTGTGAGGGGACAGGGAATGGTGGTATCAGTCTTGTGTTGCTCATTGCTATGTCCACATCATCTAGCACACAGTGAATATTCAATAAGGGTTGACTGATCAATTGATCGCTGAAAAAGAGAGAAAGGAGTTTTTCCAATTTGGCTGCAGTTAGAACTGTGTCAATGAGCTGAGAGGTGACTGTATAATTTATCATTTCACCTGTGATATTATTAAAGCTAAAGAGGATGCGATTATTAACTCTGTTGTGACAACAAGAATAAACGAGACTTGCTTTGGCAAGTCAGGGTTTTAAGTTACATCTTGTCTCAACGATTGTCTGCCTTTAGCCTGGTCTAATACAAAATTTCACAGAAGACAAAAGAGGCAACCTTAAAGATAACACTTCAGAGCTCAATCATTGATGGTTCCTCCATTGTCTTGATTACTTGCTCTGGGAAAGGTCTGGAGGACTTCAACCTTGGATACAAAACGTTGCCAGAAGGTCTAAGACAAAGTTTATTGATAGTAATAATAAAAGTAGTGGTAGTAATAATAATAAACTATCTTAGTTTTTAATTGCTACATTACAAGATACTACAAATTTAGTGGCTTTAGTGGCTTTAAATTTGTTGTCTTAAGAGTTTCTATAGGTCCAAAGGCCAGGTATAGAGTGACTGGATTCTTCACCAGGCTGAACTCAAGGCATTTCCTAGGGCTATGGTTATCACCAGAGTTTTGTGGTCCTCTTCTAAGCTTGCTGGGCATTGGCAGACTTTCTTTCTTGTGGCTGTAAGACTGAGGTTCTTATTTTCTTGCCAGCTTTCAGATGGGATCCACTCTCTACTCTTAGGGGCCAGTCTCAGGATTTTGCCATGTGGCTTCCTCCATAGGTAACATACAAGACTGATGCCTGCCTTCTTCCAGGCCAGCCAAGCACATCTCTCTGGCTTCCTCTACTGCAATGACCAGAAAAACTCTCTGCTTTTAAAGGACTTATCTGATTAGATCAGACCCACCTAGGAAAACCTCCCTTTTGCTGTACAGTGCAGCATTATCACCACACTAATATCTCCTCATATTCACAGGCTCTACCCACAATAAAAAGCAGAAGGGATTATACAAAAATGAGGAGATTTTGGAGCTCATCTTAGAATTCTCTCCACTGCATGTATCATTTTTGAGCAGTCTCCATAAGACAGGCACTATGATAAGCACTATGCATGCATTATCTTATTTAAACAGCACAATCATTTTATGAGGTAACTGAGACTTAGAGATTACAGTTGATGCTGTGGTTCCACTCAAACTTCTTCCTCCCCACTTCAGGATTGAGCCCCTCTTCTCCCAATTGCTGGGAGATTTAGTTGCTGAGGACTCTTAGCTCAGTCCCTCTCCAGGAGGCATCACTGGATAAAGGCAATTGACCACACCCAGAGCCACACTCCCTCCCCAGAGGGAGCTCACATTCAGTGATGGCAATTGTAGGTTATGAAGTCTCAGGCCCTTGACCTTGAGACAGGAACATGCAACATCCAGCCCCAGAAGTTCTCACAGGATCAGCTGTGGCTTTTGTTACAAATCTCAGAATCTGGGTCTGTTTCAGGGAAACTGACATAGTACAAGGAGATGAAAAACAAACAAACAAACAAACAAAAAAGCCATGACATAGTTCACAGAGATAGTATTAATAAAAGCTAGGACCAGTGTTTGAACCCACGTACAAACAACCCATGCTGTAAATCACTGTGTGATCACTCCTTATTAGTCACTTAAGCATTACAAGTAGAGAATTTGGAAAACAATCATGTTTGTTTCCTCTGAAACCTGAGATCAATTTGGGCATGTTATTATTTGCACAAAGAAAAAATAGAAGAATATTTTATTTTTTTATTGGAGTCAAGATACACAATAAACCTGTGATTGATTTCTTGCAATGTTATCAATTCAAATACTTTTGAGAGTTGGACAAGAAAAAATAGGTCTCTGGACTCATCACTTTTTAATACGGAATTGCAATTCCAATGTCACCGCCTGAATGTCTGCATTAATAGGAATAACTTAAGCTTCCAGGTTAATGGTTCCCAAATGCTGGTCCTTGTTCCAGGCCAGTGACAGCAGAGTGTCAGGAGCAAATCAGGCATCCAATCAACAGCTGATAAATAGATGGATTATTAACCATCACCCTTAATTTTCTGAATAGGACTCTGCAGTGTAAAGTGTCAGGAACATTTTTGTAAAAGTCTTTCCAGGTGGTTCTGATGCAGAGTCAGATTTGAGCAGCCTTATTGAGGTAGTTACACTAATTTTTATTTTGGCAAAATACACCTATTGTCAAATTTATCATTTAACCATTTTTTAATTGCAGTAAAGTATATGCAACAGAAATGACTTTTACAGTTTTAAAGTATATATTTCAGTGGCATTAAACACATTCACAATGTTGTGCAACCATCATCACTATTTCCAGAACTTTTCCATCAACCCAAAATGAAATCTGTGCCTATTAAGCAGTCAGTCTGTATTTCCCCTCCACCAGCTTTAAGGTAGTTGTTACACTGAGTCATCTGACCCAGTTCATGTCCTGATAATTCACATATTTCATGTTTGTCCCCTGAGTCTAGTCATTTCAGACTAAATTCCCTCATATGGCATAATTTGGAGACCACACATAACATGATTTTTCTTCTCTTGATCTGTTTATATTTGTCCAAATCCCCTTTAAATTGCACTATCTGAAACCTGGCATGGTTTTGCCAGAATGCATAAAGCAAAGCTATCTCCTGCCTGGAGCCTAACATTATACTTCTTTAATTTAACCTTAAATAGTTTCAAGAGCAGCTATTTTATACTGCTGATACCCATTGAACTTGAGAACTAATTTTTATATGTGCTACTGGTAGGGTTTATTTCCTTGTGTGTAAAGATAGTTTAGGAATCTAAATTCAGGAATTTATATTCATCCCTTTTAAATTTGTTTTAAAGCAAGTTTTTTCCAGCTTTCTGAGATCTTTTGAGATATGATTTTAAATTTAATTATTATCTTAATTCAAGTGAGTTTCATATGTCATATTAGATTGTATAATTCAGGTCCTCTGACAAAACTATATATATATATAATGTGTTGGATTTTATGAGCCTTGGAAAGTTCAGACACTCTTTTGGAAATATCCATTTATCTATTTCATCATTTACCATAGCTACTTAGAACACAGGCAGAGCTATACAGTATACTCTGAAATATTATTGCTAATAAGAAAAATTGAGTCCCTTCTTGTATTTGTCAGTGGGATAGGCTGATTTCTATAATGGCCACCCAAAGATGTCCTGTTCTAGCCTTACCCCTGGCACGTGTGATTATGGTGACATACCATCACTCCCATAATTATGTTACATGGCATAGTTTACTTCAAAATAGATCATCTTGGATTTATCTGGGCAGCCCCGACATAATCATATGAATCCCTAAAAGCAGAGTGCTTTCTCTCAGTGGTGGTAGAAGTAGGGTCAGAGAGATTTAGAGCATGAGAGACTCAACATGTGGTTGTTGCTTTGAGAATGGAAGAGGAAACCGTGTGAGAAAGAGTGTGAGAAGCCTCTAACATCACAAAGCAAACATCAGCAAGGAAATGAGGATCTCAGCCTTATCCCATTGAGAAAATATGTGAATTCAGCAATCTGAATGAGGTTGAACATAGATTCTTTTCCAGAGCTGTCAAATAAGAGCCAAGTCCAGCAAACACCTTGATTTTATTCTTCTCAGACCTGGAGGAGAATACCCAGCAAAGCCCATCTAGATTTTTTACCAGCAGAAACTGAGTGATAAAAAATAGTATCATTCTAAGCCTCTAAGTTTTTGGTAACTTGTTATGCAACAATAGAAGAGTAATATAGCCAGAGACTGGTCAATAAAATAGAAATACTTCTGAGTCTTACAAATGGAGGGAATTGAATTTAATTGGTCAAACAGATGGGGAGTGGAGGGGAAATCTAAAAATTCAAATAAGGGAATTGGAATCAATCTAATGATTCTAAGGAAAGAAAGCCACCATCACTTCTAGGGCTGGAGGTATAATGAGAGGAGGTGTAGTTGCCAGAGCCGAGAGCTGAAATGATGCTGGTGCCAGCCCATTGGGAGTTGGAGCCACAGAAGAGATGAAGACACTGTGGGAGCCATCCAAGTCAGAGAGAGAACAAGGGGAACCTACTCCAAGGTTTCCCCTTCTTCTGCCCCCCAGTTGTCAATCAACCCTTCTCATTGGCAAATCTGCCAGGAGGCCAAAGAGCAAGGGCTCTTAGAAAATGTTGTAATGTGGCTGGGCACAGTGGTTCATGCCTATAATCCCAGCACTTTGGGAGGCAAAGGCATGTGGATCACCTGAGGAGTTTGAGACCAGCCTGGCCAACATGGTGAAACCCCATCTCTACTAAAAATACAAAAATTAGCCAGGCGTGGTGGTGCACACCTGTAATCCCAGCTACTCTGGAGGCTGAGGCAGGAGGATCGCTTGAACCAGGGAGGTGGAGGTTTCAGTGAGCTGAGATTGTGCCACTGCACTCTAGCCTGGTCAATAGAGTGAGACTCCATATCAGAAAAAAAAAAAAAAGAAAAAAAAAAGGAAAATGTTGTAATGTCATTCTCTGGTGATTCAGAACAAAGAAAGAGAATGGTAAGGAACGAATTTGACAGCAACAAGTCACATGACCAACACAGAGTTTACATTATTGATTTTATAGACTAGCAAAATAGACAATAAATAATTTGAGTGTCATGTATTAAGTGCCCTACTATTTGCCAAGGAGTGTGTCAAACAAGCATTTTATAGACCTATCTATGGAATCATCTCAAAAATCCAGAGTTATGTTTGCTCAATTCTTCACCCCTCCCCTGCATCCCTGCTTTTGCCATAGGCTCCTCCTGGGATAAGTTTCTTTCCCTGTATTCTTGACTTTGAGGTTTGGACATCTGATTTTCTGTGGTTAAATATGTAGGGCAATTTTAAAAGTGTTCCTTGGCCTAAGAAGCTTCATGTTTTCACATGATCTCTTTTGCCTTTGTCATCCCAGAGAAAAAATGAGTCCCAGTTAACATGCTAATCCTAGGAAGATGAGACAACTGCTGCAGAGCCAACCCAGACAACCACCAACAGGGTGAAGCAGAGCTACCTCCAATTCTGCAGCCTGTGAAGAGTTCAACTCCAGTGAAGCCCAGCCTCAATCAGCCAGTGCCCTGTGATTATGAAAATAAGTGATTTTTGTCTTAGCCACAGCATTTTGGGTTGGATTAATGGGTACACTTACTGTGGCAAAGTTAACTGCTACAAATGTTGAAAATTAGATAGCAGAAGAACAAAGTATAGATGATTAATACATTCCAAGATCGCCAGAGTTAGTAAGCAGCAGAAGTGGGATTTAAGCTTAGGTCTGTCTGACCACAGACCCTAGGCTCCTAAACACTATCTGTACTAATTATAATAAATCTTGGATTCCAGTTTCAGATAGGAGAGCACAATCAGAAGTTCATGATCGTTTGAGATTCATCATTTAGGTCCCATCTTTTTTTTTTTTATGGAATTGCTGTCAGAGTGACTCTTCTTTTCTTAAGGAATGAGATATCACCAGGAGAACCCAGCTCCCACTGAGAAGAAATAAACACAGATCCCAGCAGCTGCCTGAGTAAGTCCGTGCCATCCATCGTCCCCCAAGCTGCTCAGAGACAGTGATGCAGTGTTTCAAGCTGCCTCTGAAATAAGCGAGCAGCTGGGCTGGAGCATGAAGCTGGTGATTTAAGGTGGTGTCTCTGCCACTCCATGCTGCCACTATGCCCTCAGAGGAATCCACGTAAGTGGGGAGTAGATGAGCTCTCCAGGGAGTTGGTCAGGCCAGTGGTGCTGAAGCACAGGGAAATTTATGGCAGTGTTTCCAAATGGCTGCCAGCAGACCAGTGAGGCTTCAAAAGCCTGGAGAGCCTCTTCCCTTGCTTCACTCCATTCCCACTGCCACCACCTAGCTGTAATTCCCAGAATCTCAGGCCTGGATGATAGCAACAAAAGTCCTGTCACTTAGGCTTCAACTCCTCATTTTTTATCCCATTGGGATGCAATGACTCATACCTCTTTGACCCCTTTGTATCATACATCCTAATAAAATAGTCATAGGGGAAAAAGTACAACAAGTACAAGATTAAATATCAGAGCCCTATATTTGGATCCCAAATAATATTAGATATCATTGCATAATTGGGATTAGTATAACTCTCACATACATGTAACTTTTAGCTATTGTTATTATTGTTGTTCTTGTTATTAGGGCTAAAAATTATTTAATGCTTCTAGGTTCTAAAGGATATATATCAGAGCACAAGCCTATAAGCTAGGATCCATGATCCTCGCTATATAGACAAATAAACTGCAACTCAGAGAATGTAAGCACCTTGCCCCAGGTCCTATAGCTAAAGAGTAATGAAACCCTAAAGTGCTTGAACCCAATATTCCAGGTTTTAGAAACTGCATGCTAAACTGCGTAGATGTTCCACTTTCTAGTTCTAAGCATTGGGCCAGTTACCTAATTTCTTTTAGACTTGTTTTGTTTATCTAAAAATGGCAAAATAATATCTCTGTTAGTTTTATTCACTTAGTTACAAGTGACAGAAAACACACATTTTTCTTTAAGAACAAAAGGGAAATTATTGATTTATGTAACTGATTTTGTTTTTTTGAACAAAAGTTTCAATGTCATCTCCACCACTCAGCAGTGTCTTTCTCTGAGCTGGCTTCACTCAAGGTAGGGTCCCCATAAGTGGTGTTCATGGCAACTACAGGGTCACACACTACTGTCCAGAGCAGCTCCAGTGACAAGAAAGCATTTTTTCCCTAATGGTTTTAATAGCCATCCTGAGGTAGGTTGATCCAAAATCAGTCCAGTGGACCTCAGTCACAGTAGCCCAGAAGATAGAACACACCAATTGGATGTGATGAGGTCATGCTTCAACCTACAGTGAAAATATTTTAGTGAACAATCCAAACTGGGTGAATTCACTGTAGGGACCGCCTGTTCTTAAAAACCAAACCAAACAAAGCAATATGTTGCCACTAGAAGATTAAGGAAACTGGCATATTTTAAGTATCAAAACATATAATCACATCATAAATATGATTTTATCCTTCTTTTCACAATAGCCCCCAAAGTAAGTATGGTAGGTATTCTTATTAGAACCATGTTATAATTGAACAAACTATGGCTTAGAGAAGTTAATAAACTCTCACAGGATAACAGAGATAGTAAGTTACAAGGGCTGGAATCACACCCATCTATACTAACTCCAGATTTTGTGCACTAATTTTAGAACCGGAATGTGTCATCCTCTTAAGCGGCAACCACTCCTTTGAGTAACAGCTTCTCGGGACTTAAACCAGAACTTGTAAGTGTATATAGAACACATCTCCTTGCAGCCTGTACAACCAAGAACATCAGACCCCTATCAGAAACACACTGTTCTGGAGGACTTTAAGGTGAGAGTTTCTACTGGAATATTGAATTTCTTGCTTCCTTATACTCCCTTCCCAGGTAGAACACTGAGATATCTCAAAGAATTGGAGCCAAATAAATCTTGGCCCTTTGCTGTCTATCTTATTAGCTCAATGGGGCAGAAGTGATGGCCACCCAAAGGACCATGCCAGCAGTCAGATTTGTCTTGGTGAGCGTAAGTGCTTGGCCTGGAGTTTGCTATCCTTGTAGGTATGTTGTAAGGAGAGGCAGAGTAAAATGGAATCTCAACTGGAGAAGAGTCATTGGGAAGCAGTAGTTCTGTAAGTGCAGCCTTAAGGCAAAATATGGCTGAGAAATCAGCCAGCAGAGAGAAAGTAGAAAAAACTGAAAACGGGAGGACTGAGAGGTGTCTCACACTGTCT